>NC_000012.12:13959650-14584650 GCF_000001405.40 Homo sapiens | reverse complement strand
AAGAACAAAGTCACAGAAACTGTTGAAGGATCTGCTTTATTGAAAGCAATGAGACTAACAAAAATTCTAGGAGGGCCTATATCAGATATGGAGAAATTTCTAATGACCTGGACTGAAGACCAGACACAGAAGTATATCCCTCTCAGCAACTATAGTCAAAGCAAATCTCTTCAGGACAATCGGTCAAAGCAAAAGGTTTGCAATGTTGAAAGAAAATATTAGACAGTTAGGATGTTGAGTTTACTGCTAGCTCTGGGTGGTTTAAACAATTCGGCCGGGCGCAGTGCCTCACACCTGTAATCCCAGCACTTTAGGAGGCCGAGACGGGCAGATCACCTGAGGTGAGGAGTTCGAGACCAGCCTGGCCAACTTGGAGAAACCCCGTCTCTACTAAAAGTACAAAATTAGCCAGGCGTGATGGCACATGCCTATAATCCCAGCTGCTCAGGAGGCTGAGGCAGGAGAATTACTTGAACCTGGGAGGCAGGGGTTGTGGTGAGCCAAGATTGCACCATTGCCCTCCAGCCTGGGCGACAAGAGCAAAACTCCATCTCAAAAAAATAATAATAATAAATTCAACAAGTATTACACATTGCATCGTGGTGAAAGTGAGTGGTGAGCCTGTGACTGCTGATGTGAAGGCAGCTGAATAATTTTTGAAAACTCTAGATAAGCTGATTATGAAGGAAGATTACTTGCCTGAGCAAATCTTCAATATGGATAACACCTCCCTATTCTGGAAATGGATGCCTGAGAGGACTTTCCTCTATGTGGAGGCCAAGTCAATGGTATTTCTGGGCTTTTGAGGACAGGATAACAGTCTTGCTTGGGGTCAGTGTTTCAGGGTACAATAGAAGCTCTTTGTGATCTGGCACAGTGAGAACCCTAGGGTTTTCAAGCATATCAATAAGCACACCCCGGCAGTGTGCTGCAGGACTAACAAGAAATTATGGGCCGGATGAAGTGGCTCATGCCTGTAATCCCAGCGCTTTGGGCCGCTGGGATCACCTGAGGTCAGGAGTTTGAGACCAGCCTGGCTAACATGGTGAAACCCTGTCTCTACTAAAAATACAAAAATTAGATGGGTGTGGTGGCATGCGCCTATTATCCCAGCTACTTGTGGAGGCTGAGGCAGGAGACTCGCTTGAACCTTGGGGGCGGAGGTTGTAGTGAGCCAAGATCATGTCACTTTACTCCAGCCTGGGCAAAAGAGCAAAACTCCATCTCAAAAAAAAAAAAAAAAAAAAAAAAAGGAATTATGGATAATATGGATGACCCAGCTCCTTTTCCAAGATGCCCTCCTGAATCCCTATATAAGTGAAATGGAGTACTGTTTAGAGAATAGCATACCTCTCAAATTTTTACCTATTGTTGTTAACACTCCCACACATCCTCCTTTTATTGGTGATACTTATCCCAATATCAAAGTGGTGTTTCTCTCTCCAAACACCACTTATGTGATCCAACCAATGGATCAGAGTTATAGCAGCTCTTCAGGCCTACTGCCTGAGAAGGACCTTTGCCCTGGCTATTGCTGCAAAGGAGGAAGACTTGGAAAAGACATTGATACAATTCTGGAAAGAGTACAGGATCTGCAACTGCATCAAGAACCCTCCTTGAGCTTTGGGCGATGTCACCAAATGTTGTGTGAATGGCATCTGGAAGAAGACACTCAAGATCTTTGTCCATGACTTCAAAGGATTTGCCAAGGATGAGAACACTGAAACATTAAGACTGTGGTTGAGATGGCAAACAATTCTTTAATATGGGTGTGGATGAGGATGACATTGAGAAGCTCCTAGAGGTGGTTCCCCAGGAATTGACTAATGAGGAGTTGTTGAAACTAGAACAGGAATGTATAGCTAAAGAAGAGCCAAGAGAAAAAGAAACTGCAGGAAAAGAAAAAGAAAAACCCTCTCCCTGAGAAAATTCACAATGAAAGCTTTAAAGGAAGCTTTTGCAGACCTCATCAAACTCCTTAAAAAGTTTGAAAACAGACCCGGCCAGGCACGGTGGCTCATGCCTGTAATCCCAGCACTTTGGGAGGCTGAGGCAGGGGGATCACCTGAGGTCAGGAGTTCTAGACCAGCCTGGCCAACATGGTGAAACCCCGTCTCTACTAAAAATACAAAAATTAGCTAGGCATGGTGGCAGGCGCCTGTAATCCCAGGTACTCGGGGTGGCCGAAGCAGGAGAATCGCTTGAACCCGGAAGGCGGAAGTTGCAATGCGCCGAGATTGCGCCATCACGCTCCAGCTTAGGGAACAAGAGTGAGACTTTGTCTAAGAAGGAAAACAAAAAAAAAGTTTGAAAACAGACCCAAACACCAAAAGGTTTTCATGACCAGGGAAAAAGGTTCATGTTGTATTATCTTTTTACACGCAAATCTACGACGATGGAAAAAACAAACAAACAAAAAGCAATCCATCTTGGTCATGTTTCTGAAGAGTGGCATCATGGAGGAAGACCTCAGGCAGGTGCTTCAGTAGGCATTCCCAAACAAGGCATTGTTATCACAGGAGATGACAGCTCCATGCCTGTTATTGCCCCTAAATACCTTACAGTAGGACAACATATGGATGTGGAAGAGAGTGACACAGATAATCCTGACACTGTGTAGGCCTCAAATTTTAAAAATAGGAAAAAGCTTATAGAATAAGGATATAAAAAAGAAAATACTTTTGTATGGCTGTACAATGTATTTGTGTTTTAAGCTAAGTGTTATTACAAAAGAGTAAAAAGTAAAAAAAATAAGTTTATAAAAGGAAAAAAGTTATAGTAAGCTAAGGTTAATATATTCTTGAAGGAGGAAAGTTTTTATTTATTTATTTATTTATTTTTATTTTTGAGACGGAGTCTTGCTCTTTTGCCCAGGCTGGAGTGCAGTGGCATGATCTCAACTCACTGTAACCTCTGCCTCCTGGGTTCAAGCGATTCTCCTGCCTCAACCTCCCTAGTTGCAGGGATTACAGGCATCCGCCACCGTGCCCAACTAATGTTTTGTAGAGACGGAGTTTCATCATGTTGGCCAGGCTGGTCTTGAATTACTGGCCTCAAGTGATCCACCTGCCTGGGCTTCCGAAAGTGCTAGGATTACAGGAGTGAGCCACCGCACCCAGCCAAAGAAGAAAAGTTTTTAAAAATGTTTAGTGTAGCCTACGTGTACAGTCTTTATAAACTCCACAGTAGCATATAGTAATGTCTTAGGCCTTTGCATTTACTCGCCACTCACTCACTGACTCACCCAGAGCAACTTCCAGTCCTGCTTCCTCTACTCATGGGAAGTGCCCTATACAGGTGTAACATTTTTTATCTTTTATACCATGTTTTTACTGTACCTTTTCTATGTTTAAATATGGTTAGATACACAAATTTTTACCATTGTGTTACAATTACCTATGGAATTTAGTACAGTGACATGCTGCATAGGTTTGTAGCCTAAGAGCGATAGGCTATACCATGCAGCCTAGGTGCATAGTAGGCTATACCATTCAGCTTTGTGTAAATCATCTCTATGGTGTTCACACAATGGTGAAATCACCTAAGGACACATTTCTTGGAACATATCTTCATTGTTAAGCCATCCATCACTGTATGTAGGAGGTAATCAATAATTCAGGTTAATGATTTTGTTGCTGATGCCGACAATGACTTTGCTTATGCTGCAGAATCTCTTCCACATTCTTCTCTTACGCTTTGGGATTCATCTCAACCATCACCTCCTCTTGCAGGACTTCTGTGGCATCTCACGTCCCATCTGTGCTGAGTGCTCATTCTCTGTGCCCCTCAAAGCAACCGGCTACTTTCCTTCTAGGCCTCTTCAAACCTGACTCTCTTAAAGGCAGAAGCTATAATTTATTTATCTCCATATCCACAAAGCTTAGCATACTGCCTGGAATATAGTAGGCACTTCACACATCCTTATTGGAATAAAACTATGATTAAATTAATTTAATTTTTAACTATCTTTTGGCTTAAGGTAAATTAGACCTCAGATTTGTCAGGAGCTCAGCTGAGCTGAAAGAGAGCTGAACTGCCAGATATCAGCATAGCAGATTAAAACAACAAGCCAAAAATGAAAGAAGAAAGCCTCTAGTTACCGTGATGGTATAAGCAAGACTTTAAAGCCAGGGAAAATGCCAACTCCCCTGGAAAGTTTTAGAGTGAAATAATTCAATGTTTTTCTTTACTTAAGGATCCCGGCTGGGCGTGGTGGCTCACGCCTATAATCCCAGCACTATGGGAGCCTAAGGCAGGTGGATCACTTGAGATCAGGAGTTTGAGACCAGCCTGGCCAACATGGTAAAACACGTCTTTACTAAAAATACAAAAATTAGGCCAGGCACTGTGGCTCATGCTTGTAATCCCAGCGCTTTGAGAGGCCGAGGCGGGTGGATCACTTGAGGTGAGGTGTTCAAGACCAGCCTGGACAACAAGGTGAAACCCCCTTTCTACTAAAAATACAAAATTAGCCAGGTGTGGTGGTGCCCGCCTGTAATCCCAGCTACTCAGGAGGCTGAGGCAGGAGAATTGCTTCAACCCGGAAGGAGGATGTTGTAGCAAGCCAAGATCACTCCACTGTGCTCCAGCCTGGGCAACAGACAGAGGGAAACTGTCTCAAAAAATATATATATATATAGCTAGGCATGGTGGTGTTTGCCTGTAATCCCAGCTATTCAGAGGCTGTGGCACAAGAATCTCTTGAACCCGGGAGGCGGAGGTTGTAGCGAGCCCAGATCATGCCACTACACTCCAGCCTGGGTGACAGAGCAAGACTGTCCTAAAAAAAAAAAAAAAAAAAAAGGCTGGCCGTAGTGGCTCATGCCTATAATCCCAGCACTTTGGAAGGCCGAGGTGGGTGGATCACTTGAGGTCAGGAGTTTGAGACCAGCCTGGCCAACATGGTGAGCCCCTGTCTCTACTAAAAATACAAAAATTAGCCAGCCATGATGGCAGACACCTGTAGTCCCAGCTACTCAGGAGGTTGAGGCAGGAGAATTGCTTGAACCCAGGAGGCGGAGGTTGCAGTGAGCAGAGATCGCACCACTGCACTCCAGATTGGGTGACTGAGCCAAAAAAAAAAAAGGATTTGTTCAATCAGGAAATCAGGACACCTTCAGACATTTTGCTTACATAAGATGAAATTTCCTGTGGCTATTTTAAATTTAAAATTTTTAAATGAGAAAACTACTATATTTTTATCATATAATTTTGGAAAATTGGATCCAGGCACAGTTGTGCATAACTGTAGTCCCAGCTACTGGGGAGGCTGAAGCAGGAAGATTACTTGAGCCCAAGAGTTCGAGACCAGCCTGGGCAACAAATACTGACATGTAGTGAAACAAAATCACCCAAAAATCCCAGTACAGAGACATCCATTATAATCTGCTCTCATTATTATTCCCTTTGCTCTAGTAAAACAAATTTGATATGATACAATTGGCAATTCATTCCCACCCCCCCACCTCCAGCCACCATTTTCATTTCATTAAACTTGCAAAAATGTGTCCTTCATATTTAACTATTTTAATTTTGAGACTCTGCTCATAGCATTGTGGTGGAGTTTTGCTGTATGTACACATTTTATCTTAATGGTGTCAATGCAATTTGGCCTTCCCTGCAGTGTTTTTGTTTTTGTTTTTGTTTTTTTAGAGATGAGATCTTGCTCTGTTGCCCAGGCTGGAATGCAGCTGTGCGGTCATACCTCACTGTAGCCTCGAACTCCTGGGCCTAGTATCTGGAACTTCAGGTGCGCACCCCCGTGCCCTGCCAACCACAGTTTTACTTGGTGGAAATTATGCTGACATGAAAAGTAAGTTTCTCTTCCCTGTTCTGTGGCCCGTGCTATGATCTGGCATCAGAACAATGCTCTGATGGCCCCACGCCTCGCAAATTCCTTCTTGAAATCTCCCTCTTTTGCCTCCGCCTGAAGTCCCTTTCTCTTTATTTATTTATTTTAATAATTATTCTTATTTGAGATGGGGTCTCACTCTGTCATCCAGGCTGGAGTGCAGTGGCGCGATCTTGGCTCACTGCAGCCTCTGCCTCCCAGGTTCAAGCAATTCTCCCACCTCAGCCTCCCGAGTAGCTGGGAATACAGGTGTCTGCCATCACACCCGGCTAATGTTTGCATTTTTAGTAGAGACAGAGTTGTTGGCCAGGCTGGTCTCGAGCTCCTGACCACAGATGATCTACCCACCTTGGCCTCCCAAAGTACTGGGATTACAGGCATGAGCCACAGCGCCCAGCCATCCTTTTCTCTTTAAAGAGCTCAAACTGAGTTAAAAAGGCAAGCAAATTATAGGGGAGACATCATGTATTTCTTGCCATCCCTTCCTCCTTCTCTTCACCCATTCTGCCTTCCACCAAGTGCCTTCATACAAGTCTACTTCCCCAGTTTCTTTTCTCAGCACAAATCAACTCCGGCAGATGGATACATGCATTCATCGGACATATCCAAACATGAATCCTAGTTTAGCTTAGCCAAGATCCTACAATTTGCAAGCACGTGGGAGCATTCCCTGCAAGATGAACAATAAGAGGATGGGCTTCCTGGCTGTTTCATATATCGCCCCTTAGTCATTTGTTTTTCACAGCTAATTTTTAAAAACATGACACATTGGCCAGGCGTGGTGGCTCACACCTGTAATCCCAGCACTTTGGGAGGCCGAGGTGGGTGGATCACGAGATCAGGAGTTTGAGACCAGCCTGGCCAACATGGTGAAACCCCATCTCTACTAAAAATACAAAAAAATACTATATATATATATATATATACCTGGCATGGTGGCTCGTGCCTATAATCCCAGCTACTCAGGGGGCCGAGGCAGGAGAATTGCTTGAACCCAGGACGTGGAGGTTGCAGTGAGCCAGGATCGCACCACTGCAACAGAGCAAGACTCTGTCTCAGGAAAAAAAAAAAAAAAAAGACCCATTATTCAATGGGAGTTGTCAGGATGTCAGCAATGTACAAAATCATTGCTTAATTTGTTTGACAATGGAAATGGCCATTATGGTTTTTATGTAACTTTGCTTCTGTTACATAATTCTTGCTGACACGGTGTTTCAACCAAGGTACTTGGTAGCAAGTGTTGTACAGAAAAGGATCTGTAAGTGGTTTATGTGGTCATCAACCACAGCAAAGATTTCATCTGAGCTGTGCTATGAAGAATGTAGCTTGAGAAACACAAAATGTATCACTGGGCAAAAAGGAAGCAGAAGAAAAATACAGTTCTGCTAATGAGAGCTCTGAGGGGCAAGCTGCCCCCAAGGTTGCAGGATCCACCTTAGAATACCCAACAAATTTGATTCCTGAATTTACTAAACTGCATGAGATTCCTCTTCAAAATTTTACATTATGACTTCTCTATTCTTCGGGTCTTAATTTTGACTTGTCAATCAATTGAAGTATATCAAAGTAATCCTTTCTTTTCTTTTTTTTTCTTGAGACGGAGTCTTGCTCTGTCGCCCACGCACCCAGGTGTGTGCCATCATGCCTGGCTAATTTTTAAATTAGTCAGGCGTGATGGCACACACTTGTAATCCCAGCGAGCTGACAGGCTGAGATGGGAGGATCACCTGGGAGGTCGAGGCTGTGGTGAGCCGTGACTGTGCCATTGCACTCCATCCTGGGTAAGAATTTAAAGACAGTGACAGCAGAGCATTAAATCAAATGTGGGCCCCTTTAAAGCTGGGGCCCTGTTTGACTATGCATGTCATGTACCCTTGAGTCAGCCCAGTCAGATTTTATCCTCATGATTTGTGCCTCTTCCATCACATCATATCAGGAGAAACACTTAGATCTCTTTTTCACCTCAGAAAAGTTTTCTTGATAGTGTTTTCATCCGTGATTCTATTCTAATTAGTTTGATTGCATGGTCAGAAACATCTCAGTTTTTGCTTGAATTCTGCAGTCTTTTGTGTCTCTTACCTTTATCTTCCTTTTCATTTTAATCTTTTTATCTTTCCTCCTTCTTCTTGGAGAGCTTTATCAATTTGTCCTTGAAATTGAGTTAGCAATTTCAATTTTTTAACACTGTCAGTTTCTCCATTTTACTATTGTCTCCAATGGAAACGTTAATTTCCACTATTAAATTTTCAATTTTCTATCAACACTTTCTTATTCTACTCATCTTCCCTTTTCATCTCATGCATTTTCCTTATATCCTGTTTTTCTTTACAGATGTTTTGCTCTTGCAGGCCATGTTTGTTCATACTCTGTGGAAGATGTCAAAACATTTTCTAAAATATTATTTCATTTCCTTAAATTGGTAGTTTTAGAAATCTACCAAGATTACAAATCCAAGATTTCAAGACATGCCCCCTTTTTCTCATTCTGCGATATCTTTCAACGATTCCATGTCATGTTCATTCTTGTTTCTGATCATTCATCTTAAAATTAAAAGAGTTGGTAGACAGTGTGTTTCTCAACAGAGAGAGTATTCAAATGTCTTTTGGCACTGCTCCTCAGAACTCCTCAGAGGACAGTTGTAGAGAAGATTGATATGCACAGTTTCTAACTCAATTTCCTGTATCCAGGAGGTGTCTGTCCAGGCTGAAATGTGATCTTTTCCTAGAAACAAATTCTGGAGTTTTGAGCCTGGGTTTTATTTATTTATTTAGAGACAGGGTCTGGTTCTGTTGCCCAGGCTGGAGTGCAATGGCACACTCATAGCTCACTGCAGCCTAAAACTCCTGAGCTCAAGGGATCCTCTCACCTCACCTCAGCCTTTTGAGTAGATGGAACTAGGTCATGTGTCACCTCACCTAGCCAATCTTTTTTTTTTTTTTTTTTTTTGTGTGTGTGTGTGTGTGTGCGTAGAGATGGATCTTGCTATGTTGCCCAGTCTCATCTTGAACTCCTGGCCTCAAGTGATCCTTCTGCCTGAGCCTCCCAAAGTACTGGCATTACAGGCATGAACCACTAAGCCCAGCCAACCCTGGGTTATATTTAAATGTTAATTTCTAGCCACTTTTCAAGAATTGACTGCCTACAATTGTTCTTCTTACTGTCTTCATTAATCAGTAGCAGCCAGACTCATCAAATATTTATCAGGCACTTTTCATTTAGTCATTGTTATGCCAGTACCATTAAGGCTTAAATCCTTTCCTACAACCTGAAAGAAGAGCTGTGGATATTTAATATAGGAGTGTTTCACATCTACAGTCAAGGCTCAATACCACTAAGAAAGGATTATGTCTAGTTAACTGTTTGTATTTGGCATTTGTACTTTTTTTCTGTAGAATGAAGAGAAGATACTAAGATCGTAAACCTGGGAGAAGAAATGTAAATAGAGGAAGTTGGTGGCAGCTACTCAAGAATGCAGCCACACAATTTAGGAAAGAGCTAGAGGAAAAGGTTTAGGGAAATAATGAAAAAGGAACAATTAAGTAAAAATTGCATCCCTCAAGCAATGCAGAAAATGCTCTTGGCCCTAAAAGTATTCAGAAGTGCCTTTTTCAGCCTCTTTGAAGGTAAGGATGGGAAAGAAAAGCCTACCAGTAGGATAAAAAGTTCATAACTTTGTTGTCTCTAGAAAAATAATAGTAACAATAAACTGCTTAATCAGTATTCAGCTTGTACAGCAATTTCTTTCTTAACCTCTACCTCTCCTGCTGTAGTCAATCCATTCCTGATTCAAATCTCACCCCTAAAACCATGGTCCTAAAGCCAAGACATGCTATAACAGCCTTATAATCACTGACCAATGGCAGCCCCTCCTGTTGTACCCAATTTACAAGACACTCACAGGCCAGCAGCATGTATAAAGGACAGGCAAGTGCATAGATGAGAGGACAGACAGACAGGACAGACGGTTATAAGTGGTCAAGACAAGCTCCATAGGCATTGAGCCCAAACCTGGGATTTATGAAAAATGTTCGTTTTTTCTTTGATTCTGCAGCAACGTAGACTCAGTATTCTGATACTGATGGACCAAATGGTAAGCTTATTTTTCCATATACATATAAATATACATTTTTTTTTAATAGAGACAGGGTCTCACTACAGGGCCCAGGCTGGTCTCGAACTCCTGAGCAAAAATCATCCTCCCACCTTGGCCTCCCAAAGTTCTGGGATTACAGGCATGAGCCATGCTGCCTGGCCCTAAATCCCAAAGAGTAAATTTAACCACCAACACAACCTACACGCAATAATGGAGGAAAAAATAGAAAAGAAAAATCAATTACATAAGTAAATGTTCATAATTGTAGTTAGATGGTAGTCTAAAATATTATTCTACATATTTTTCTTTTCTTTTCTTTTCTTTTTTTTTTAAGATGGAGTCTCACTCTGTCACCCAGGCTAGAGTGCAGTGATGCAATCTCGGCTCACTGCAACCCCCGCCTCCTGGGTTCAAGCAATTCTCCTACCTCAGCCTCCCAAGTAGCTGGGACTACAGGTGCTCACCACCACGCCCGGCTAATTTTTGTATTTTTAGTAGAGACAGGGTTTCATCATATTGGCCAGGCTGGTCTCAATCTCCTGACTGAGTGATCCACCCACCTTGGTCTCCCAAAGTGCTGAGATTATAGGCGTGAGCCACCACACCCGGTTTACTCTACATATTTTTCTTTTGAGAAATTCTTATTTAACCTAGTAAATCTTTCACAGCTATATTTATTCCAAAAGGCAAAGGCTTATTGCTTAAGGGAGGAAAAAACAAAAATATCAGAAGACCAAAGGGTAAACTCTGTGGCTTTCTGAGACCTTGTGTGTACAGAGACAATAGTCTTCAAAGCCATGAAAACATAAGATCTATGAATCTGAAAGAGAAAAATGTTTTGAAATATCAAAACTTGGAAAATGGAAAAACAGACTGAAACAGAAGAGCATATGATATACTAAAGAACAATAAATTAGAATAACAATATATGTTAATGTTGAATTCGTTCCTGCCCACAGAAGTAAAAAGTTTGAAGAGCTGATGAGATAAATACATAATGGGTCGATGTGAAGGGTCTAGGACTGTCCTCCTCGTTAGCGGGGGAGTCATCTGTTTGATGGGTGAGGCAGAGTGTGGAAATGTTTGCTAATAGAAACTCAAAGTAGGTCTCTAATTACCAGAGCAGACATGTTTAAACTTTCCAGAACATACCCATAAAATTGCAAGCCTTGAATAGGACCCATATAATCCCACATGGCACCTGAGTTGTAAAGTAGCAATAACTGAGGGAGATGTTTGGGGAGATGAACCCAATGGCTGGCTCATTAATTGATGCACACTAGATCAGACTAGCTTTCAGGCCCTATTGCCACTCCCGCAGGGCTCAGAGGGGTTTGAGAATGAGCCAAACGACCCAAGAGTATCCAAGTCAGGATGAAGAGGTTGCCAAGTGTGTCAGAAACAGCTGGCTGCCTACCAGAAATGCGCGCTCTTACTTCCATACCGAGCAATGACATCCCAGGTAGAGGCTGCATTTCCCAGTCTTGTTAGCATAAAGATAGGGCAATATGTCTAGCTCTGCCAATGGAAGGTAAGCAGAAGTTATTAAGAAGCAGGGGTGCAGCCAAGCATGATGGCTCATGCCTGTAATCCCAGCACTTTGAGAGGCCGAGGTGGGTGGATCACCTGAGGTCAGGAGTTCTAGACCAGCCTGGCCAACATGAGAAAACCTGATCTCTACTAAAAACAAAAATTAGCCAGGCATCGTGGTGCATACCTGTAGTCCCAGCTACCCAGCTACTAGGGAGGCTGAGGCAGGAGAATCGCTTGAACCCGGGAATCGGAGATTGCAGTGAGCCGAGATAGGACCACTGCATTCCAGCCTGGGCGACAGAGTGAGACTCCATCTCAAAATATATATATATATATAAATAAAAACAAAAAAAGAAGAAGCAGGGGTGAGGGGTGCTTTTCTCTTCCCATCGCCAGAAGACAAGACTCCATAGCATTATGGTTCCCGCACACAGTTTGGCAACCACAGTGAATGCACAGAGTGTACCTGAGAATATAGTAAATACTCATGGGAAACAGTAGTAGCACAATACACTATAATCAATCAACGGAGCTCTCTGGGATACTTTAAATGTTTGAGGGACATGTAGCACCATCTGTAGGATACTGAGCAAATGACTACTATTGCATTGTGTGGCTCTAACTACTTAGTAAAAAGAACTGTTAGGTATTTCTTTTGGTCTGCAGCCCTAAAAATATATTACTGACACTCTACGGGCACTATAAACCAAGAAAGCATGGGAACTTCTGCCTTAGAGAATGACAGAGCCACAAGATGAAAGATAGGTGGGTTCTTAAATTTCTACATGGAGGAAAGCCACTTACTGATTAAGAACTCCCACACTGGACTGGCATACAAGACACCAATAAACTTTTGTTGCATTAATCCAATGAACTTTTGGAGTTTATCTGTCATCATAGCTAGCATTACATTAACTAATACACAGAGTATCTGGAAATCTAAATCCGAGGTCAAGGTAAAGCTGCAGATACCAACAGCAGATGCCTATGCACTACAATTCCTGCAGACCGAATGAGAAAAAAAGCTATATCTTAGTGGAGGCCACTAAGCCAAGAGTATGACTCACAGAGTAAATGTCCCTTATTTAGTACCAAGTCAATACATAAGCCCCCGAAGCTAAGGTCATCCTTAAGGAAAAATGGTAAGGACATAAAGAAGGCAAAGGACACTAAGGATTTGGTCCAAATGAAATTGCGCAACCTTAAATCTGGTATTTAAAAATTTTTACTGGTTGGACTCACACCTGTAATCCCAGCATTTTTGAAGGCCAAGGTGGGAGGATCACTTGAGCCCAGGAATTTGAGACCAGCCTGAGCAACATAGTGAGATCCTGTCTTACAAAAAATTAAAAAAAAAAAAAAATTACCATCAGTGGATGTGTTTGAATGCTAAGTTAATTACACTTTTTTGGAAAAGAAACAAATTTACATTTTGGATATTTCATTCTGGAACTGTAACTGTAAAATTTTCAATCCACCACATACATGTTACAGCAAGGAAAGAAATATAGAGGCCAATAGAGACCACTATCTTTGTTTCTGCAACTGGTCACCTGGCTATAGATAATTATATGTGACTTCTCTTCTCCACCTTTTTTCCATGTTCCCCTTGCTTTGGGCCAGCAACTCAGCTGCTGGGATTCTTTGCCCATTGGGATGAGGAGTCTGAGTCCCCAGTGGTGCTTCCCAGGTGAGATTATGCTCCCAGTCCTTTCATTTTGTTTTGGTTTTGGTTTTTTGAGATGGAATCTCTCTCTGTCATCCAGGCTGGAGTGCAGTGGTGCGATCTCAGCTCACTGCAACCTCTGCCTCCTGGGTTCAACTGATTCTCCTGCATCAGCCTCTCAAGTAGCTGGGATTACAGTCATGAGCCACTATGCCCAGCTAATTTTTGGTATTTTTAGTAGAGACGAGGTTTCACCATGTTGGCCAGGCTAGTCTCGAATTCCTGATCTCAAGTGATCCACCCAACTCGGCCTCCTGAAGTGCTGGGATTACAGGAGTGAGCCACCGCATCCAATGCTCCTACTCCTTTTGATAGTAAGGCAAAATTACCAATACTACAATCCTATTCTTAACCATTCAAACATATTTTTATGTTTTAAGAGGAGCTCAAAAAAGACCAATTGCAATTCAGTAATGCACTTTCAAATTCCAATTCAATAATACTTCCTTATTGTGTCTCCTGGTAGAAACACCTCCACCCTTGGCTCACCAAAAGTTGGCATTCCTGCACCAAAAGTTGGTACAGGAAGAGAATAATGGACGCTGAGTAGCCCCAAACCACACAAGTCCATTATAGAAGTGATGAGAACATTTCGCAGCTGGCATCTTTGGTTCTCCTCATTGCAGCTTTAGTATGTGAATCCAAAAAATCTGAGACAGGTCTCAGTCAATTTAGAAAGTTTATTTTGCCAAAGTTAAGGACACACCAGGGCCACAGCCTCAGGAGGTCCTGACAACATGTGCCTAACGTGGTCGGGGTACAGCTTACTTTTATACATTTTAGGGAGATATGAGACATCAGTCAATACGTGTAAGATGTACATTGGTTCAGTATGGTAAGGCGAGACAACTCAAAGTGGGGTATTCCATGTTAGAAGTAGAAAAGAGACAAAATGTTACATTCTTTTGAATCCTTGATCAGCCTTCCACAGAATACACAACTTAGTCTGGCCCAGGGAGTCTGCATTTTTACATAAACAATACTGCAGAGGAAGCAATCAGATGTGCATTTGTCTCAGGTGAGCCTCAGAGGGATGACTTTTAAGTTCTGTCTTCCCTTTGTCCACAGGGAATTTCCTTGTGGGCAAACTGTGAGGGAGGTATGTAGCTTCTTATCTTTGTAGCTATCTTATTTCAGAATAAAATGAGAGGCAGGTTTGCCTGACATAGTTTCCAGCTTGACTTTTCCCTTGGCTTAGTGATTTTGGGGTCCCAAGATTTATTTTCCTAACTATGTGTGAGTTTTGCAGCTCATTTTCCTCCCAGATATGTAAAACTGGCATAATTTAAAGAAAGCAAGATTTATCATCTAATTCAGTGATTCTCAACTAGGGGGCAATTTTGCCCCCCTACGGGAGCATTTGACAATGTCTGGAGACATTTTCAATGGGGGTGCCACTAGCATCCAGTAGGTAAAGGCCAAGGGGTGTCCAGGACAACCCCCCCACAACAAAGAGTTGTCTGCTCCAAAATTTCAATAGTGCTGATGTGGAGAAGTCCTGATCCAATTAATTTGTTTATATGTATAATTTGCTCCCCACTACTGGAATGCAAGCTCTGCAAGGGCAGGGACTTTGTTTTGTCTACTGCTCTGTGCTTGGAACATGGGAGTCAACGAATATTTGATGACAAATAATAGATGAATGAATGCCTCAAGGTTCACATTAGGCATTTATATGCATCTTACTTCATCAGAACACTTGGCTCCTTGGATCAGAAGGGTTAGTAAGGTGAAGGAGGGTGGTATAGGGCAATATGACTCAAATATTTGGGGTGGCACCACTTCCTTGAACATCCTAATGTGGTTCTCTTCCCATCATAACACAACCAAAATTTTCATTTTTGGTTCATTTTAATTTTCTAACTTGAAGGAAAATGTGCAACTTTTACAATGTCCTCGATGTCTTCATTTTAATTTTTCTTCATTTAAATTTTCTAACGAAGGAAAATGTGCAACTTTTACAATGTCCTCGATGTCTTCGTTTTAATTTTTCTTCATTTTAATTTTCTAACTTGAAGGAAAATGTGCAACTTTTACAATGTCCTCGATGTCTTCATTCATTAAATGCCATTAAACATAATTGTGACTTTAATTTTAATTAAATAAAAATGAGTTGGAGTCTCCCTGTGTGGCACAGGCTTGTCTTGAACTTTTGGGCTCCGGTGATCCTCCCACCTTGGCCTCCCAAAGTGTTGGGATTACAGGCATGAGCCATGGTGCCTGGACCACAAAATTGTGACTTGTGTTTCACAATTTGCACAGAGATTTGATGAACTTTTAGGTTCTTTATCTTTTCTAACAATTACATTTTCCCCGTTATGAAAGGTACTGCTTATTCTCTCTTCTCATCTCTCCTTGACACCTAGGTTAAGCTTAGAAGAAAGGCCAAGAGGAAGAGTGGGGTGCTGAGGTTCCCATCTGAGAGGTGGCTTGTTCCCTCCTTCCCCCTCTCCCACTGCACCTTAAACATAGCTCTAACACAGTAGAATGGCAAGTTCTGTGTACTTGTTTATCTATATGGCTTAGTTCTTTTTTAAAAAAATTATTATTGTTATTATTATTATTTTTTTTTGAGACGAATCTCGCTCTGTCGCCCAGGCTGGAGTAGAGTGGCGCGATCTCGGCTCACTGCAAGCTCCGCCTCCCGGGTTTACGCCATTCTCCTGCGTCAGCCTCCCAAGTAGCTGGACTACAGGCGCCCGCCACCGTGTCCGACTAATTTTTTGTATTTTTAGTAGAGACGGGGTTTCACCGTGTTAGCCAGGATGGCCTCGATATCCTGACCTCGTGATCTGCCCGCCTCGGCCTCCCAAAGTGCTGGGATTACAGGCGTGAGCCACGGCGCCCGGCTGGCTTAGTTCTTTTTGTCTGTGGTGAGGCATGCTCTTAGCTGTCTTTATATCACTGGTATCTGGAGTATAAGATGGGCCCAGCCAATGCTGAGTGAATGAATGAAATGCCTTTTGCCTACTTCACAATGTCACCTAGGGCACCCGGTGCCAACTTCACAATATCACCCAAGGCATAACTTTTGACTACTTCACAATGTCACTTTTAACTGACCCCACACAGAAATGGGGACTCCACAGAAACGTAGGAGTGTGTCTAGTGTCAGCCCCGTCTGAATCACTCTCCTGTGGTGGCTCCAGCCAACGAAGAGGAAGCAAAAAGGATAAAAAATCTGAGCTACAGCGCATGGATTTAGGTTAAACAGCCTGGGAATGAGGGGTACGCTAATCGCTGAGGAAAACGCACCTGTGGAGGCCTCTCCAGAAACAGCAGAGGATCCGAGCTGCGTGTAGGCAGGGCGCGCATGTCACCCTGGCCCGGGCGCCTGGTCCGCTGCTGGAGATAAATGGTCGACCCCGGAGGGAGAGGCTAGTAGGGGTGTTGATGTGAACTGATTCGCCCAAGCCTTGGGCCGCAAAACTGCGAAAGAAAGCGGCAGGCAGCCTCTGCATTTCCCAGAAGTGCAGCTGGGGAACTTTCCCAGACCGGCCCAGGGGTTGCTAGAGGGTCAGACGTAAAGGATCCGCCTTTCCTAGGCGGGGTGGGCCCCAGGCCACCACGTGAAGCGTCCTCGCCCCTCAGAGCCCGGAGCAGGCCGGGCTCAAGAAAGAGGAAAGTTGAGGACGCCCCACCTCGGAGAGGCGGCGCCCCTGAGTAGGCCAGGAGCCTCTCTTGCAACTTCTGCCACCGCGGGCCACCGCGGCCGCCTGATCCCGCAGAGGAAGGTCGCGGCCGTGGAGCGATGACCCGCGGCGGTCCGGGCGGGCGCCCGGGGCTGCCACAGCCGCCACCGCTTCTGCTGCTGCTGCTGCTGCTGCCGCTGTTGTTAGTCACCGCGGAGCCGCCGAAACCTGCAGGTGAGCAGAGCGCGCCCTGGGCGGGGGGCGCCCGGGGAGGCTCCTAGGAGCCTGTTAGCGCCCGTGCCCCGCGTCCGGCCGAGTTGACGTCCAGCGGGCGTCTGGTTCCTGGGTGAACTCAGAGAAACGCGCCTCCGGCCGGCGGTCTCGCTCCAGCCCTGCGGCTGCGCAGCGAGGGCACTTGAGAAGGGCATGGCGAGTGCGTCTGCCAACTTTACAAGTTTTGGCCCGAATTCTTGGCCAACAAATCGGTTCGCTCCTGCGCCGATTCTTGGCCCACAGAGCCTGGGCTGGTCTTAAAAACTCCAGCCAATGGGCATCTAAATATATTTATCCAGATTGTAGGGAGGTATGGTTCCGGCTTGCCATTTGTTTTGTGTTTTAAAAATTTACATTGACTTTGGCTTAAAATCACGATTGCACGATTGTCAGTTTGATACGTGCCTGGCAGTGGGCTTAAGGGCCTTTTGGTTTTGTTGTTGTTGTTGAGACAGAGTCGCTCTCTGTGGGCGACGCTGGAGTGCAATGGTGTGATCTCGGCTCACTGCAACTTCCGCCTCCCGGGTTCAAGCGATTCTCCTCCCTCAGCTTCCCAAGTAGCTGGGATTACAGGCGTCAGCCACCATGCCCAGCTAATTTGTGCATTATTAGTAGAGACGAGGTTTCACCATGTTGGACAGGCTGGTCTCGAACGCCTGACTCGGGCGATCCGCCTGCCTCGGCCTCCCAAAGTGCTGGGATTACAGGCATGAGCCACCGCGCCCGGCAGTTTTTTTTTTTTTTTTTTAATATATAATCCTAAATAGGATTATATTCCCCATTCTGCAGATGAGAAAAGTGAGATTGATCAGAAGTAATTCGCATAAAGATAACACAGCAAATAAGACAGAGTTAGGGGATGCCAGAGGGCATTTTCTTAACTACTTCCCTCTTGGAAAAACAGGTTTTATCTCTACAGGTATTCATGCAAATCTACATCCTTTGCCAAAATTAAATTAAATTAAATTAAAAAGCCTTGGATTTATGATTTCCGTTCCTAAGGAGGTGAAGATTATGAACTGTAACTAAGGGACTTGAAAGAATTCTAAAGTAATAATAAGAGAATTAATTTTGTCTTATTTCATAATCCCCTTTTCTGTGCTGACCTTGTACAAGAGTAGGGTGGGGCTTGGGGGAGGATGCCCCTTCCTAAATATGTGTACTGATTCTTATTACACTACCTTCCATCATCAAGAGCCTTCGTTTTTGAGACTTGCTTAGTTATCACTCTTCAATCTTAAATCTTTCCAGTCTGTGGGATCAGATGTACCCACAGGCTCCTGACTCGTGATTTTCTGTGTTCTTTGCCTAAACTATGGAGGTGGCCTTGGTGTCTACTTCTAGTCTAGGGAGACAGCTCATTCAGAGGTACCTGGGGGAGGCTGGGGAGGGTCCCAAAAGTGGAGGTAGCTTTTGTGTTTGGAATGCTGGCTAAAATCTTTATTCCTTTTCTGTTTTTTTGGACGAGTGAGATTAAGTGTTTTTGTAGGTGGAGGGGGCAGCCTGAGGAGTGAGACAGGCGTTGTTTTTCTGAAGATGGAGCACTATTTATTCAAGAAGGTACCACCTTGTAAGAAACTGCATCTTAAACAGTTCCTCCAACAGGAAGCTGACTCCATGCTTGGAGGTTCTGGAGCCAAGGCAGAAAGTAAGGACATTTCTGAGATGAAGTGATCCTGACAGCACCATGCCCAGCAATCTGGAAAGGATTCTTACTTACCTAGGTGTTAAGGACATCTGGTGATGCCACACTATTTCAGCAGATGAGATCTCTGTTTCCTTTGTCCTACCCACATTAATCTGTTTTCCCTTGAGGCTTTTTGGGTCTTTGTCTTTACCCTTCTACTAGCCTGCGAACAACCAAAGAGTAAAGAACTGGGACTTGCTACCTCTCACTTGTCATGTGTTCTCTGAAGTACCCAGCTCAGTACCCTGAACTTAGTAGGAATTCAGTAAACACTAAAGGGATTGCATGTCCATCCCCTTGGAATGGATTTTATATCCACTCATATGCATCTATCTATCCAAAAACAACTTCTTCAATTTTTAATTTTACTTTTTTTTTTTTTTACTATTATTTCCTATTATTTTTATTTTCCCCCCAGGCTGGGTACAGTGGCGTGATCTCGGCTCACTGCAACCTCCACCTCTTTGGTTCAAGCAATTCTCCTGACTCAGCCTCCCGAGTAGCTGGGATTACAGGCACACACCACCACGCCCAGCTAATTTTTATATTTTTTGTAGAGATGGGATTTCAACAGGTTGGACAGACTAGTCTCGAACTCCTGGCCTCAGGTGATCTGCCCGCCTCAGCCTCCCAAAGTGCAGGGATTACAGGTGTGAGCTACCATGCCCGGACACTTTTAGTTAATTCTTGCATATTCTTCAATTTGTAAAGGTTACTCTATAGTTTTATTATTCCAGAAGTTGACAAATAATTGCACAGTCATTCTAGCCAAATCTTTCAAGCTATGATTTCAGACATATGGTGTTGCGTTTATCTTTCCAGACCAAAAGCCCCATAATTGATTTTAGAAGGTCCTTATATAATTTTTTCTAAGTGGTATGTATAGAGAAGTCAGGTGGTCACTAGAGAAATAAATCATACCTTTATCTGGTTCTGAAAAAGTTTAACATCTTGGAAGTCATTCAGTCTCCATAAGGTGATTTGGCAGACCTATGATTGGAGTCAGTTTCAGTTGATCCTTTAACTCTGCAGACATTCTTTTAGGGTTGGCTGCTGAGAGACTCATAATATGGTATGTATATTGGTAAAACTGGTTCAGAATCTGGCCCTCGGCCTTGCAGGGCTAGACTCCAGAAATTCAGTCTTTCTACTGCTCCATATCTGATCACAGCTAAGAAAGCTGATTCACCCTGATATACACCCAAGTCTATTCATCAGACTTAGCATAATTTTTAGTTAGAAATATAACTGTCAGGCAGACTGGATATTTGTGAGGTCTGCTCTAGGCACTTTCTCACTGTAATCAAACCACATGGGGGTAGATAACATCACAGATTGTCAGGCTGGAGGCCTGATTTGTCTGTCTCCTGGTAGGCATCATACACTTGAGTCAGCCGAGAGAGTGCCCCTCCACTGCATGGTGCTTGCCTAGCATTGCTGGTCCCTGATTTTGGGACACTGCCTTTTCCACATTGCCATGGCTTACCAGTGTCCACTTGAGAATAACAGTTAATACCTTTATCTGGTTGTCAAAAAGTTTAATATCCTGGAACATTCAGTCTCCATAAGCTGATTTGGCAGACCTATGACTGGGGTCAATTTCAGTTGCTCCTTTAACTCTGCAGACATTCTTATTTATTCATTTATTTGGAGATAGGGCCTTGCTCTGTCACCCAGGCTGGAGTACAATGGTACGATCATAGCTCATTGCAGCCTCAGAGTAGATGGGACTACAGGTGCACACCACCACACTTGGCTAATTAAAAAAAAAAATTATTTGTAGAGATAGAGTCTCACTATGTTACCCAGATTGATCTCAAACTCTTGCTCGCAAGTGATCCTCCCACAGGTTCATTTCCCAAAGCCCTGGGGTTCAGGCGACCGCCACTGCACCTGGTCTCTGAGGACATTCTTATTTCCAAATTCATTCGACATAAGGCCTCACAGTTGCTCAGTATGTTCATTCTTTACACGGAAGTCCTTCATTCTTGGAAGTATAGTATTAGAGAGGTAACACAGAATTCCAGCAAGAGGAAATCCTTTGGAACCCTAATGCCTGTGTTTGAAGCCTGACTCCAACACTTGCCATGTGACCTTTAGTCAGTTATTTTCTCTATATGTACTTTGGTTTCCTCAACTGGAAGATGGGTATTATAAGTGTCTCTATCTCATGGGGCTGTTGTGAGAAACACTGTGCCTGACATGCAGTAAGTGCTGTATAATTGAGTGGCCACTGAAGTTGTTTTTCTCTAAAAAGTTATCATGTCTTGATAAGGCAGGCAGGATTGAAGATGATAATCCATGTGCTTTGAAGTAATTTTTTTTTTGTTGTTTTTTTGAGACAGAGTCTTGCTCTGTTGCCCAAGCTGGAGTGCAAAGGCGCGATCTTGGCTCCGTGCAACCTCCGCCTCCCAGGTTCAAGTGATTCTCATGCCTCAGCCTCCCGAGTAACTGGGATACAGGCATGCACCACCATGCCTGGTTGATTTTTGTATTTTTTGTAGAGATGAGGTTCACCATTTTGCCCAGGTTGGTCTCAAACTCCTGGCCTCAAGTGCATCGCCTGCCCTGGCCTCCCGAAGTGCTGAGATTACAGGTGTGAGCCATCGTGCCCAGTCCCAACTTGAACATTTTCTTGTGCTCTCCCTTTATCAACTTGTTTGCATAATGTACACAAGATAAATTCCAGAACAAAGTCTGAAGGAAGTGCCCACTTATCTTCATTATTAAACTTTGTTTCCTGGTCCTTCTGAAAACATAAATTTGGTAGCAAAGATAAAAATCTTTAGAAGAATATTTAAAAGGATCCTCCTTCAGTGTTTACATTGAAGTAAAACAATTTTTTTAAAAAAAATTCATGGTGGCTTATTTTTATAATATATATGCTAAGAAACATATGAACTTTGTCTTGAGTGTTGACATGCAGAAAAGAAATTTTTGTTTTCATACTTCTTTAGACATGAATTTTACATTGTCACTTGTTATCCTTTGCTTTTGTTAGATTTCACATTATAAGGCATTAACTATGGAGACAGCAAAATAAAAGAGGTAGTGGTACCCTTCATGGAATAAAACCAAAGGGATTTATTTTCTTCAGCATTTTAAGTAATTTTTATGCATTTAGGTTTTGCCTTTCAAAAAAATGGAATGGAGTCTAGTTTATACAACTTATATGTTACAATCTTTCGAACATCCAGCTTGAAAATGTGACTAGAAAATGTGTTAATAATGTTATTACGGAGCTTCTTTTTACTACTGCAAAACAGGAATTAATGTGGTAAAAAATGAAATAGAGGTAGTGAAATTATGGGGAAATTTTAGCTTAAGACTTGAAACACTGTCTACACAGATAACATAATCATGTTCAGTTACAGTCTTTTTTTTTTTTTTTTTTTTGAGAGGGAGTCTCACTCTGTCACTCAGGCTGGACCGCAGTGCTGCAATCTCAACTCACTGTGACCTCCACCTCCTGGGTTCCAGCGATCCTCCTACCTCAGCCTCCCAGGTAGCTGGGATTACAAGCATGTGCCACCGCACCTGGCTAATTTTTGTATTTTTAAGTAGAGACGGGAGTTTCACCATATTGGGCAGGTGGGTCTCAAACTCCTGACCTCAGGTGATCAGACTGCCTTGGCCTCCAAAGTGCTGGGATTACAGGCATGAGCTACCACACCTGGCCATGATACAGTCTTCCTAGAGAAAACTGTGGAAGTCTCTTGATTGAGAGAGATGAAAACAGAATGAGCACTTCAACGAAAGAGACAGGCTGGCTCTGAAATTTGTCCATCTGCCTTGCATATGCAGTAATAATTTCAGCATAAGGGAGTGTCAAGTTATTCACACCGGTGTTATTCTCTTTCAGGTCATTTGCAAACCTAGGACACCAAAGTTCTAATTCATAATTAGAAATCGAGAATGACTGTACTATCAAGTTTATATAACTTGATAAAGTCTGTCACCAGGTGTGACCTTCCCAGCCAGTGTGAAAGTTTGGGATCCAGGCCAGGTGCAGTGGCTCACGCCTGTAATCCCAAGACTTTGGGAGGTCAAGGCAGGCAGATCACCTTAGGTTGAGAGTTCGAGACCAGCCTGACCAACATGGACAAACCCCGTCTCTGCTAAAAATACAAAATTAGCCAGGTGTGGCGTGGCGCACGCTTGTGATCCCAGCTACTCAGGAGGCTGAGGCAGGAGAATTGCTTGAACCCGGGATGCGGAGGTTGCGGTGAGCCGAGACCGTGCCATTGCATTCCAGCCTTGGCAACAAGAGCGAAACTCTGTCTCAAAACAAAAGAAAGTTGGGGATCCAGGTGGCCACGTAATCCATAAAGCATTGTGCTAGGCCCAAGGGAGTGGATACAATGAAATGTGAGACTCCACCTCTCATCTGCAAGGAGCTTGTAATCAAATTTTTAGGACCAAGCAGACACAAATGCATAATTAATGAGTAATCTAGATGAGGACTGACCTAACAGCATGGAACCAGAATGGGGCAAAGTTGACTTTCAGCTGATAGGGCTTTTGGCAAGAACTCTGATTTCAGCTGCCAGTGACAAATCGGTATGTTTCAACGGGATGAAGGAAAGGGATCATTCCAGATCTAAGCAAATCTCCGGCATTTTTCTGCATTTGTGGATTGTTGTTTTGAAGCTAGTTTTTAAAGCTGTATCCCTTTCTACTTATCTAGTGTGTCCTGCACTTCCTGACCCTGAGGCCCACCTCACATCCTCTCACTTGCCTTTTATTTCCACTTCCTGCAGGTGATCTGAGGTGCCTCATCTCAACCTCACTGTAGAAATCTCTTAATTTCCACCTCAGGGCGTCTCTGAAATCACAGCCACTTAGTCCTGGAGCACATGCAGACATGGAGTGAGGGAGTTAACCCTTCCTAGGGCAACGTTTGACCTTTGTAGTATGGGAGCAGGTAGCTGGGTCCTCCATCCCTGGGATGAAGATTTCCGAGGCTAGTCCCAGTGGGATCAACCCCTGTGTCCACAGTGGAAACCAGCTCAGAATGCACCCTTCAATCGGTGTTCCTCCCTTTCACTCTCCCAGCCCACCACTCCTGTTCTCTGGAAGTACTTGCCAAAATAATCCTCCTTCCAGCAGGCATCTTAGTCTCTGATATCTGGAGAGAGCCAAGGCTTAAACACCTACTTGCAATTTTGTTTACTGGAGATTGTTTAATTTACAAATCAGTTATTTCGTTAGTGACTCCGATGAAGAGTCAAAACAAATCCAAAAACCAGGTATCAATTTACTGAGAGACCTTTCAAAGAAGGCAAGTGCAATGCCAAGGTACACAGAGGTATACTGAGAGACTAGCCGAGCAGACATAAAAGAGAAAAGCAATTCAAGGACCAAAACCAGTGAATTTTTAGCTAAACCCAATATGAATAGATTGTTTTCATTTTAATTTTTTTCTATTTTCTCCAACATCTTTTGCTTGATCTCTTTCTCATTTCTTTCTCTTTTTTTCCCCTCTGACTTCTGAATATATTAAGTAAACATTGCATTGCTTGGGGTTGAAAACTACCTGCTCTTTCATAAATGAGGTGCTAGAAAAATTATTATAGAATCCAAATATGGGAGAGAATAGTTTAAGCTACTTATGAGTATTTTATACATTTTTTTTCCTAAGACAGGGTAGGAATTTTTTCAACTGAAAACAATGAACTCATAGAAAATATTAATTGGGCTGGGCGCAGTGGCTCATGCCTGTAATCCCAGCACTTTGGGAGGCCAAGGCAGGCAAATCACCTGAGGTCAAGAGTTCGAGACCAGCCTGATCAACATGGAGAAACCCTGTCTGTACTAAAAATACAAAATTAGCCAGGCGTGGCGGCGCATGCCTGTAATCCCAGCAACTTGGGAGGCTGAGGCAGGAGAATCGCTTGAACCCGGGAGGCGGAGGCTGTGGTGAGCCAAGATCGCACCATTGCACTCCAGCCTGGGCAATAAGAGCGAAAACTCTGTCTCAAAAAAAAAAAAAATTAAATAAATAAAATATTAATCAGAGTATACAAGTAAATATTAATAAAATAAATTTAATTTTGGTGTTTGGGCTTTTACAGAGAGAAATATAAAAATGATGGCACATTTTCCATCTTTATTTATAGAAAAAAATACTTTTTATAAATAAGATTCCCATTCATTCAACAGATATTTAATCAAGTGCATTGATTTTGAGGATATTGCTGTTAAAATGTTTGAATTCTGACTTTTCCTTTTCACAACTCTAAAGAAAATACCAACAAATAGCTCTTGCTCTTGGGGCTGGGTAGACTTAATCCAAGATTCCGAGCCATTTAGTAAGTTTCTCACCCAGGCTTGAAAACATAATTACTTGAGTTATTTCATACTAACTTCTGTGAATGAGTGCTCTGATGAGCTTCCTTTTCTGGGAGGCTCAGGTAGGAGGATTGCTTGAACCCAGGAATTCCACTCTGTAGTGAGCTGTGATTGTGCCACTGCACTCCAGCCTGAGCAACAGAGCGAGACCCCAGCTCAAAAATAAATAATAAATAAATAAATAAATGGCTTTCTTTTCATTTAGAGAACACACACAAACTAGATTCATCAAAGAAACATTATTTTGTCAGGTTTATAGAGTGTTAAGCAGAAACAGTCCGCGCTTTCACAGAGCTTGTATAAAACTAGGTTTGCATTAGAATTATGTACTATTTTTCTACCTTTTCACTATTACATTTTTCATACCAGCCACCTCCCATCATGAAGATGTTTTTAAAAAATGGAAAAGTATAATGGCTTAAACTATTACAGGATTTAAGAAAATCAGAAAATAGCATGAATACTGGGAAAACCAGGAAGAGTTGAAACTTAGAGAAAACATTGAGGAATGGAGGACCTCGGTTGGAGTGGAGTGAAAACTCTGATTTTGGCTTTATTCTCAAAGCACATGCTAAGCTGTTGGCAGGACATTTTTCTCACCAAAATCTCTTGGGGATTGAGTAAAGGTTTTTTCATTCATGGAGGTACACGAGTGTCAAAAAAGCACATATTTGCAGAAGTTTCTTTTTGTGGTCAGGAAATTAGGTAGGACCAGCAACAGTGAAAACATAGCTCTTGGTTTAGTACTCAGGTTGCCTTGAGCAAGCCCCAAATTACAGCAAAAAGGAGTTGATTGGAAAGGGAAGGGGAAGGCAGGCCTGGGGTGCTTACGATGAGAAATGCCAAGGTTTTGGAGAAGAAGAAAAAGCTAAAATCATGCTTTGTGGGTAGAAAGAAAAGAGAAGAGACACACCTTCCTTTTTTCTTTTATGGTTCCTGTTTATGACTCTGCTTTTTATTCCAGCAGCCACACTTCCTCATTTCCCTACAACGCTCCCTGGAGTCGAGGGTGGAAGGGAATGTGTGAGAAAAGCTGGGGATATATGGTCAAAAATGGATTTGGAAAACACATTTATTGCCTTTGGGTGGAGAAGGGAAGTTTCTGTGGGTGCTGCCTACAATTGTCAAATTGTGGCCAAATGGCTCCATTAACAATCAGACAATTATTTGTCACCCGCAGTTTATTGGCAAATTATTTGACACCTCCCTATTTCTTAATGCCATTACTTCCGATTAACGATTGTGAAGGCCTGCCATGATGGTCATTGTACTCAGAAGTCAATTGACTTAGGCCTACTCAGATCATTCCTTAAGCGTTTAATCAGGATTAGTTTCTAAGCCTGACTAAGCCCCAGCCTATCACCGAGCCCCGGGAGCACGGTGCCATGATGCTCTAGTATTAAGACTCTACTTTTAGTGCATATTTGATAGACAGTCTTTTTTTTTTTTTTTTTTGGCTACGTAGTATTTCATTGTGTATATGTACCACAATTTCTTTATCCAGTTTACCACTGATGGGCATTTAGGTTGATTCTGTGTCTTTGCTATTGTGAATAATGCTGCAATGAACATACGTATGCAAGTGTCTTTATGATAGAACAATTTATATTCCTTTGGGTATATGCCCAGTAATGGGATTACTGGGTTGAATGGTATTTCTGTTTTTAACTTTTATTTTAAGTTCAGGGATACATGTGCGGGTTTACTGTATAGGTAAATGTGTGTCACAGGAGTCATTGTATGAATTATTTCATCACCCAGGTATTAAGCTTAGTACCCATTAGTTATTTTTCCTGATTCTCTCCTTCTTCCCTCCACCCTGAAGTAGGTCCCAGTGTCTGTTGTTCCCTTCTATGTGTCCATTAGAAACATAATGGACTAAAGGATGTGTCTCATCGTTTAGCTCCTACTTATAAGTGAGAGCATGCAGTATTTGGTTTTCTGTTCCTACGTTAGTTTGCTCAGGATAATGGCCTCCAGCTCCATCCATGTTCCTGCAAAGCACATTATTTTATCCTTTTTTATGGCTGCATAGTATTTCATGCTGTATATGTACCACAATTTCTTTATCCAGTCTACCACTGATGGGCCTTTAGGTTAATTCCATGTCTTTGCTATTGTGAGTAGTGCTGCAATGAACATATGTGTGCATGTGTCTTTATGACAGAACAATTTATATTCCTTTGAGTATATGCCCAGTAATGGGATTACTGGGTTGAATGGTATTTCTGTTTTTAGGTCTTTGAGGAATCACCACAATGGTTGAACTGATTTACACTGTCACCGACAGTGTATAAGCATTCCTTTTTCTCTGAAACTTCACCAGCACCTGTTATTTTTTTGACATTTTAAATAATAGCCATTTTGACTCATGTGGAGTGGTATTTCATTGTGGTTTTGATTTGCATTTTGCTAATTATCAGTGATGTTGAGCTTTTTTTCACATGCTTGTTGGCCACATGTATGTATTATTTTGAAAAGCGTGACAGACAGTCTTTTTTTTTTTTTTTTTTTTGAGAGGGAATTCCGCTCTTGTTTGTTGCCCAGGCTGAAGTGCAAATAGCACGATCTCGGCTCACTGCAACCTCCGCCTCCCAGGTTCAAGCGATTCTCCTGCCCTAGCCTCCCAAGTAGTTGGAATTACAGGCTTACGTCACCATGCCCAGCTAATTTTGTATTTTTAGTAGAGACGGAGTTGCTCCATGTTGGTCAGCCTGGTCTCAAACTCCTGACCTCAGGTGATCCTCCTGCCTCGGCCTCCCAAAATGCTGGAATTACAGCGGTGAACCACTGCACCTGGCTGATAGACAATCTTAACATCAAAAAGTAAAATGTTGGCCAGGCACGGTGGCTCATGCCTGTAATCCAAGCACTTTGGGAGGCCGAGGCAGGCGGATCACCTGAGGTTGGGAGTTCGAGACCAGCCTGACCAACCTGGAGAAACAATGTCTCTACTAAAAATACAAAATTAGCCGGATGTGATGGTGCATGCCTGTAGTCTCAGCTACTCGGGAGGCTGAGGCAGGAGAATCGTTTGAAACTGGGAGGTGGAGTTTGCGGTGAGCTGAGATCTTGCCATTGCACTCCACCCTGGATGACAGAGGGAAACTCCATCTCAAAAAAAAAAGGTAAAATGTTGGTCCAGTTTGGAACGTTTGCCAACAAATAACCCTGTGTAAATATTTAATCTGAAAACTTTCTAGCCTCTTAATCACTAAAAACTCAATATGTCTAAAACTAAACTCCTGATCCCTCCCAGACATATTGTCCATGTGCTTCCTTTCTTGGTAAATGATACAACATCCATCCACTGAGTCTCAGCCTAAAACCTGATAGTCATTCTGGCGTCCTCCCACCTCTCTGATGACTGACCTGAATGTATAGATTCTTCAACCAGAGCACATGTGTAATGGCTTCTCAGACAGAGAAAAGAACACGTCATATTTTACCATTTCCTTTCTCCATGTCTTATTTCCTTGTTTCTTTCTCTTTCTTCCTAAGTCTTCCTTCCTTTCACAAATATTTATTGAGTACCCATTATGGGCCAGGCACTGCAAGTGCTGAGGACACAGTCTCTGGCCTCAGGGAGCTTCTAGTCTAGGAGCAGGGGCAAGCATGTAAGTTACAGTACAGTGTGACAAGGCATAAAGATGGTGTGCTTACAAGCATTGAGTTTGTAGAGGAAGTCATTCCCTGCAACAGAGGTGCTGCTTCCTGGGTCCTAAATAGCAATTTTGAGATTGCTAGGTGGCTAACCAGAGGGAAAACATCAGGCAGAAAAAATAGCATCTGCAAAGTCAAAGGTGTTGACCTAGTTACTGGCAGGTTGGAGAGCTGTATGTGATGGTCTCTGGATCATCGAATGTGCGTGTGGGTGATGAGGAAGCTGGATAGGTAGATGGAAACCAGGTCACGAAGGCCAAGTGGGAAGCAAAACTTTTTGTTTTGTTTTGTTTTTTTGTTTTTGAGACAGAGTTTCGCACTTTTTTGCCCAGGCTGGAGTGCAATGGCACAATCTAGGTTCACAGCAACCTCTGCCTCCCGGGTTCAAGCAATTCTCCTGCCTCAGCCTCCCGTGTAGCTGGGATTACAGGCGCACACCACCATGCCTGGCTCATTTTGTACTTTTAGTAGAGACGAGGTTTCTCCATGTTGGCCAGGCTGGTCGCGAACCCCTGACCTCAGGTGATCCGTCCTCCTTGGTCTCCCAAAGTGCTGGGATTACAGGTGTGAGCCACTGCTCCCAGCAGCAGAACTTTTAAGAAATAGAAACTATTGAACATTCTTAGCCGGCAAGCTAACAAAATCAGTTCACATTTTAGAAGTGCTACTCTGGTAGAGAACGAAGAATGGATTAAAGGTCAGAGAAACCTTGAAAAAGTCCTCTTCTATACTTAAACGGCTAGTTGTGTTACCTAAAGTAGCATAAAAATATAGGGATAAAGAGGTAGAGATTGGTGGGAGAGATATTTAGAAGGCTTTGATTAAACATAAGTTATGAGACAGAGAAAGGAAGCCAGGATGGATTCAAATTTCAGGCTGGGAGATCACTGAGAGAGAAAACACCACGATGGAGGATATTTCGAATCTCTAGTGCGATGGAATCATCCAGATTGTGTTATTAAGTGTGCTGTGGGGTATTGAAGATAAAGAGGAACCTGTGGGGAGAATGAGGAAAAAGGCAGGCACAGGAGGAGACTGGGGAGGGTGTAGTGTCCCAAAGGCCGTGGAAGGAAAAAGTTTTAAGAGTAAGTGGTCATGAGTCCAATGCATTCAGAAGTTCATATGACATTAGGACTCAAGGATTTTGTTAGTGACCCAGGCAGAAGACGCATTGGTATCCTGGAGGTGGAGAGCAGACTGCAGCCGGCTGGAGCAAGGGACAGGAGGAGGAAGTGCAGGGTGTGAGTGCATTCCTCTTTCCAGAAGGCGAGGCCTGGAACTGTGCCAGTCATGTTCACAGCTCTGTCACCAGCACTCAAAACAGTCCCTGATTCAGTGTGGACACTTTAAACTTTGTAATGATTTCATGAAGGGAGTGAGAGATTCTAGCAATAGCTCTGTTGGGTCACAGGATCCAGATGGCTTCTGTAGTTGGTTTATTTTTAGCTATGAGACAATGGAGCATGTTAACTATGCCAAAGGGGGAGAAGCTACTGCCGAGAGAGGGAGCTTTAGGGCACAGAAGCGAGAGGATACAAGATAGAACAGAGTTCCTAAAGGTGGTAGAGTGAGATCCAGAGCATGGGTCAAAGAATGGAGGTGAACCAGAATGGAGAGATGGGCGTGATGAGTGCAGGGATTGTGTAGGGACGGACCCACAAAATTATCAACACCATACGGAGTCACAGGTGATAGCTTCTAGTTTTTCTGCAAAGAATCTAATGTCATATGACATTAGATGAATTAAGCAGGAGACAAGGGATAAGGAGCCTGAGAAAGGTGATGTTTTGTTCCACCTGTTAAGGGGAATGGAAGAAGTTGCTGACTAGGGACAAGAGCCCTATTCTTGTCTGAATTAAGAAGTAGGCGTTGGAAGTGAGGGCAATCTGGCTGCGACATCTGTCACCCCATTGACCACCAGGGTTGATTTGGCTGATCTGGCTGGCTAGGCGGGTGTCCCCTTCCTCCCTCACTGCTCCATGTGCGTCCCTCCTGAAGCTGAGCGCTCAGTCAAAGAGGACGATCATCCCTGATAGAGGAGGATCGGTCTTCAGTCAAGGGTATACAACTAGCTGAGCCATCCTGCGAGAACCTCCAAACAAGCTCTCAATAAGTAGGCGTAAGGTCCAGCTCCAGCCCTGCCCAGATTCCCACCCTCTAAGGATGAAACACTCAGGCTCACCTCTATGATGCTGTAGCTACACCCCCACCTTTGACCTTGCTCTTTGTGTTTTGGGCTTATCCCCCTTGATTGGGATTCCAGTTTTTCCCCACTTGGAATTAAGGGCAAACTGTAACGGCAGATTTCCCAATTCTAATAGAATGGAAATCTTTAAAAGCAAACGTCTTGAAATTGTTGGATACATAGGAAAAAAATGCATCACAACTCATTTGAATGGCGTTTTTGTCATTATTCCCTTTTCTTCTAGGAGTCTACTATGCAACTGCATACTGGATGCCTGCTGAAAAGACAGTACAAGTCAAAAATGTAATGGACAAGAATGGGGACGCCTATGGCTTTTACAATAACTCTGTGAAAACCACAGGCTGGGGCATCCTGGAGATCAGAGCTGGCTATGGCTCTCAAACCCTGAGCAATGAGATCATCATGTTTGTGGCTGGCTTTTTGGAGGGTTACCTCACTGCCCCGTAAGTATCCCAGTCATGGTAGAGCCACTGCCAGGCAACCCCTGTCCTTCCCATGTTCCACAGTGACTCTCATCTTCCTGGCATTGCACATTAGAACTGAAGAGTAGCTGGAGTTCACATGTGTGATAGAGACATTATCAGAATTGCATTTTTGCGGGGGTGAGGCATGGGACACAGTCTCGCTTTGTTGCCAGGCTGGAGTGCAGTGGCGATCATAGCTCACCACAGCCTTGATCTCCTGGGCTCAAGCAATCCTTCCACCTCAGCCTCCTGAGTAGTTGGGACCACAAGCATGAGCCACTGTGCCCAGCTCAGAATTGCATTTGCTCCCATAATCAGTACCTGCCTAAAAGGAACAAAACCTCCAAGTGTGGCACTCTTTAATTCTCATGGCACTTACTTCTTAAAAATCTTCCCATCCCATGAAACCATTTTGTTTTATTTTATATATTTTTGCAAAGACAGGGTCTCCCCATGTTGCCCAGGCTGGTCCTAAACTCCTGACCTCAAGCCATCCTCCCATCTTTGCCTCCCAACGTGTTGGAATTACAGGTGTGAGCCACCATACCCAGCCATGAAATGATTTTAAAGACAGCAAAGTCATTTCATCCTACTAGTCACTTGTTGTCTGGTAGAAAGCAAATGAGAGGTGGGGTCACTCCTTGAGAACAACAGAGCAGGGAAGAGTAATTAAAAATAAACGGTTGGTGCATTTATTTCCAGCCATCTTGAAACAATAGCTCCATGTGGGCAGAGATTTTTAAATTGAAAGTATAATGAGTCTAAAATAAATGTTTCTTCTAGTTCTACCATTACTTGATTCTAGTGTCCTTGCCTTGCCTTATAAAAGTAACAAGGACGTAATTAATAATAATGCAATCAGGATACATGCCTTTTAGAGAAGAGGTCTTTAAGGAAAATAAAGTTGCAATTTATTTAATCGACTCTCATCCCTCCTTTGATATAAAAAGTATCTTGATGACTTTGCTTGCCTCTTTTATTCTCTGTGACCTAGATTGTTGAGTGCAGTTTAACCAAACTTTACTTGGGCTGTTACTGCCTTAGTCATAGTAAGTGAAATGTCAGTCTTAATCTATTTTGAGTACTGGAGATTGTATCAGATGTTGAATGACTAGTTATTGAGCTCTGATTGCTCTTTTTTAATACAAACTACAAATTTTTGTTTTTATTTTTATACCCAATTTTTTTACCCTACCATACAAATCTCCTTAACGGTGTACTATTCATAGATTTATAAAACTTCATAAACTGAATTAGATTTTTTAAACATGTTTAAAACCATATTATACAGGTAAAAATCTGAACTTCTCCAAATCTTTATCCACTTCTGTTCGCACTGAATTCTGATTGTGTTATTTAAATTGAGTCGTGAGTTTGAAGAAACAATTTGAACCAAAGTTGTGTGAATATAAATAGGTTAGATTAACTCATGAGTGACATATACAGTGGGTTATTAATGGAAACTGTGATTTGCAGAAAGCAGCTCTAATCTCTGAGAATGTTCTAAGAATGCACGTTTCCCTTGGATATTTCTGTTGGTGTTATTGTTAGAGCTCACAGAGATTTAGTGGGCTTTGACAAAGGTGGCACCTCTGATATTCTTATGTCTCAGAAAAAAATAAGCTTTAACATCTCATAGCAGCCACTTTTGAAGGTGGCTTTATCATTTTGCCTTCATTTTTTAGATAAAGCATTGACCTATTCTTGAGTAACTTTATCCACTAGCCAAAAAAAATCTATAGAAAAAGCCATTCTAATAATAACTTTTTAAAAATACTTCTGTATTAGAGTAAAAATTGTTTGTTTGTTTTGAGTTAGAGTCTCTCTGTTGCCCAGGCTGGAGTGCAGTGGCGCAATCTCGGCTCACTGCAACCTCTGCCTCTCGGATTCAAGCAATTCTTGAGCTTCAGCCTCCCTAGTAGCTGGGACTACAGGTACGCGCCACCATACCCAGCTAATTTTTGTATTTTTAGTAGGGATGGGGTTTCACCACATTGGCCAGGCTGGTCTCGAACTCCTGACCTCGTGATCCTCCCACCTTGTCCTCCCAAAGTGCTGGGATTACAGGCATGAACCACCACGCCAGGCCTGTATTAAAGCAGAAATTTTATTTATTTATTTATTTATTTTAAGACAGGGTCTTGCTCTGTTACCAGGCTGGAGTGCAGTGGCACAATCATGGCTCACTGCAGCCTTGACCTCCTGAGCTCAAGAGATCTTCCCACCTTAGCCTCCACAGTAGTTGAGCCTACAGGTGTGAGCCACCACATTCAAATAATTTTTTTTTTTTTTTGAGACGGAGTTTCACTCTTGCTGCCCAGGCTAGAGTGCGATGGCGTGATCTCGGTTCACTGCAACCTCCGCCTCCCGGGTTCAGGAGATTTTTCTGCCTCAGCCTCCCAAGTAGATGGGATTACAGGCATGAGCCACCACGCCTGGCTAATTTTGTATTTTTAGTAGAGACGGGGTTTCCCCATGTTGGTCAGGCTGGTCTCGAACTCCTGACCTCAGATGATCCACCTGCCTTGGCCTCCCAAGTGCTGGGGTTACAGGCGTGAGCCACCGCACCCAGCCTAATTTTTTATTTTTAGTAGAGATGAGGTCTCACTATGTTTCCCAGGCTGGTAATTTTGTTTCTTAAAAAAAGACACTCGCTATACTATTCAGGAACTGTTTTCTTGTTTAATTTGCCTTTTTGCCATGTCCTTTCAAAAAAAAGTTGACACGTATAAGTCAGCCTTTGAAAATTTTAAAAACAAACAAACAAACAAACAAAAAGACTTCTTGCAAATTGTGATGCAGGCTTTGAGCATCTGAGTCTGCCTTCCCTTCAGACCAGTAGCAGCAGCCCAAGGGCAAATGATCAGGAGTGGGGCAGAGATAGCTCTAGAATCTCTAAAACTATGTCCTTAAGGAAAAGCTGGTTCACTCTTGCTAGCAACTCTACTGCGGAGAACAACCTCAAAAGAGCTTGTTAGCCATAAGTACAGAGTACAAGAGAGAAAAGCACTCCAGTGGCCAGAATAGTCAAAGAAGGCTTTGTGGAAGAAGTGAGTTGTAGGCTTGGTGCTTGATAGAAGAGAACTACTGCGTTTGGCTGGGAAGAGGGATAAAGTCATTCTGAGCAGAATGTAATGGAACAGAGTACTGAAAAAAGGCACTGAGTCTGAAATGAGTAAGTTGCATTTACAAGGAGTGAGGAGTGGCTGGGCACGGTGTCTCACGCCTGTAAACCCAACACTTTGGGAGGCCGAGGTGGGAGGATCACCTGAGGTCGGGAGTTCGAGAACAGCCTGGCCAACATGGCGAAAACCCGTCTCTACTAAAAATACAAAAATTAGACTGGCATGGTGGTATGCATCTGTAATCCCAGCTACTTGGGAGGCTGAGGAAGGAGAATCACTCCAACCAGGAGGCGGAGGTTGCAGTGAATTGAGATTGCGCCATTGCACTCCAGCCTGGGCAACAAGAGTGAAACTCCATCTCAAAAAAAAACCAAAAACAAGGACCGAGGAGTGGAAGCTCCAGTTGAACAATCGAAGGACGGTGGGTTTCAAAAGGCAAATGGGGGCCATGTGTGGAAGGCCTTGGATGGAAGTGCTCCCAACAGTCCTTCTCTACTTGGAGCACAGAGTGCCCGAGGTTTCTTAAATATAAAAGATGACCTCTCTGTCATCTCTGTCTAGTGTGTGACTGTGGTCATTTTCCCACCTTCTCAAAGAGGGGCTTCCCATATATGTGGTACCAAGAGCCTGAGAGGACCTCTGCTTTGCAGTCTTTGATGCAGCTCAAAGGCCATCTCAAATGCTGTCTTCTTGATGAACCTTTTTAAGATTTCATTCCCACTGGATTAGAGCTCCATCTCTCTCCTCTACCACCTGTTAGTGCCTTGACGGCCACCGTATTTTGTTAATTTTTATAGACCCCAGATGTCTGGCATAGTGCTTTGCTCCCAGCCGTTACTTAATTACATGCTAATCAGGTTTAATGGAATTCTATTGTTCCAGTTCTATTAGAAACAAATTCTAAGTATGAGGTATATTTCCATGTAATGGAGTGTGATGGTAGCAGCCTTGACCAAACTGAAGATTCTTCCTCTGATTTTTCACTCTATAGGACAGTTCCCTAAGAGTTACAGATTCAGCCTTTGATGTCTCATGAATGATATAAAGACTGTTAAATAATCATGGATCGATTTTTAATAAAATGAGACATGAAACCTATCTGGAAAGCATGGTGATAAGGGTATGGGGACCTGGTCTGCTCTAGTTTTTAATAAAGCAGCTGATCTCTTATGTTGTTCACGCGGCTGCTGAAACTCCCTCCTCTGGTATTACACAGTTTGAATGAGTCAACTCAGCACAACAAACACTTGTTTTGCTACTTTGTGCGTGGCACTGAGGATAGGAAGAAACGTAGGGAGTTGGTTCCTGACTACATTCTTCAAAGGCAACTCCTTTTACTTACATTAATATGTTGAGACAACATTGCTAAAACAGTGATGAAAAGAGGTTCTACTAAGGTCACGGCACAATTAGAGAAAGTAGTCAGTGGTGGGACCTCCTTTGTGCTTGGTGTTACCTCTTTTGCTCCATTTGGTGTTAGAAACTGAATATGCTTCTAGGTCCAGACTGTGGGCAAAGCAAACTCAGACACAGCCTCACCCTCAAAAATTTCTTCTTCTTCTTCTTTTTTTTTTTTTTTTTTTTTTTTTGGAGATGGAGTCTCCCTGTGTTACCCAGGCTGGAATGCAGTGGCACAATCTCGGCTTACTGCAACCTCTGCCTCCCAGGTTCAAGCGATTCTCTAGGCTCAGCCTCCTGAGTAGCTGGGATTACAGGCATGCACCACCACTCCCAGCTAATTTTTGTATTTTTAGTAGAGACAGGGTTTCACCATGCTGGCCAGGCTGGTCTCGAACTCCTGACCTCAGGCGATCCGTCTGCCTCAGCCTCCCAAAATGCTGGGATTACAGGCGTGAGCCACCGTGCCTGGCCCACCCTCAAAAATTTCTAATGATGTATCAAATTGTAATTATTTGTAACTTAAAATTGACCATAAAATACCAATGACGATGATAATCATCACTTATATACCATTTACAATGTGTCAGACTGTTCAAAGCATTTGACATATGTTGAGTTATTTAATCCACAGTACCATGAGGTATGTATCATTATAATCTTCATATTATTTATATGAAAACTTGGGAAGTTAGGTAACTAGCTGAAAGTCACGACGCTTGTGAGTAGGAGCCAGGATTGGAAAGGAGGCTATCTAGCCCCAGAGTTTGCATGCACATGCCCCGCTACCACAGACAAATGGATTCATCACTGTGGGAAATACTAAAGGAGCCCAATATGGTCTCTGACTCAGGGAATCCAAACAGGAGAGCGTAGGAGGTAGTACATGACAGGTGCTAAATGATGTGTTATTGCCATCATGCAAAAAGATTCTGGGAAAGATGGGTGTGCACATGTCTTTTTGATTCTCAACATGTAGAAGAGGTGTTGAAGAGGTAAATGTGAGCAAAATCTCAGCCAAATTAGCAGGAAACTTACTGACTTTACACACTGCAGGAGCTGAAACAAAACCTAACTCATCCATGAGGTTGACGCTAGTGTTGCCTCTGATGAGAATTCAGAAGCATGGAAAAGTTGGGAATCCTGCTTTTAGTAAGATATAGCTTAGAAGTAGTGGAGTCAAGCTTTAAACTCAGAGCTCAAAGCCTGGATTCTTTAATGTTACACTACATTGCTCTGCCACACAGAAGTGTAGGGTCCCAGGACGAGGGATGAGGGAAGGGCCTCAACCTGAAGAAACTGCAAGAAGATTGTATTCCTTGGAGCCCCTGTGTGTGGCAGGACTGGCTGAGGCCCCCACTTCTCATCTCAAGGTGGAGGTTTCTCTCCCCTTGTACTGAATGTCAGAATCAAAAAAGCTAGTCTACACACACACACACACACACACACACACACACACACACACACAAAGCCAGGTGCAGTGGCTCACACCTGTAATCCCAGCACTTTGGGAGGCCAAGGCAGGCGGATCACCTGAGGTCGGGAGTTCAAAACCAGCCTGACCAACATGGTGAAACCCTATGTCTACTAAAAATACAAAATTAGCCAGGTGTGGTGGCACACGCCTGTAATCCTAGCTACTTGGGAGGCTAAGGCGGTAGAATTGCTTGAACCTCGGTGGCAAAAGTTGCAGTGAGCTGAGATCACACCACTGCACTCCAGCCTGGGTGACAGAGCTAGACTCCATCTGAAAAAAAAGAAAAAAGAAAAAAAAGAAACCAGAAGAAAAATTTTAATAATTCTGGCCCAGTTACCTTCCTGTATTTCTATCTGTCTTGTATATGGTTATATAGTAGACATCCTCAGCAATGACACTCAAGTCAGGATTAATGTTCCTCTGTTTAAGGATTTTCCCATCTAGGCAATATTGACATTTTGGGTTGGATTGTTCTTTGCTGTGGTAAGCTGTTCTGTACCTTGTGGGATCTTTAGCAGCATCTGTGGCCTCTACCCACTAGCTAGCAGTTGCACCTTCTCCCTCACTCAGTGTGACAACCAAAAATGTCTCTAGAAATGCTCCTTACAGGGAGAAATCATGCCAGTTGAGAACTACTGCCTTATCTTGAAATAGACTGAAAAATGTGGGGGATCTGGAACTCTGGGTGGAGCTAGGCAGGGTGCAGTGATGGAAGACTTTGGATAAAAAGTATGAATTTTTTGTTTCTTTACCTGAGTGAGCATTGTAAGTGAAGAGCCCACAAGTTATTGGTTTCCAATAAATAAAACTATTTTCATATAACTGTTTTTTGTTTTTCATTTTTTTTTTTTTTTGAGACAGAATCTTGCTCTGTTGCTCAGGCTGGAGTGCGGTGTCATGATCTCTGCTCACTACAACCTCAGCCTCCTGGGTTCAAGCAATTCTTGTGCCTCAACCACCCAAGTGCTGGGGTTACAGGCATGTGCCACCATGCCTGGCTTTTTGTATTTTTAGTAGAGACAGGGTTTTGCCATGTTGCCAAGGCTGGTCTTGAACTCCTGATCTCAAGCAATCCACCAACCTCGGCTTCCCAAACTGCTGGAATTACGGGTGTGAGCCACCGTGCTGGCCTTCATGTAACTCATTTTAAGAGCATGAGGCCAGGACAGAGGATCCCTTTCTTGTCACCCACACACTTGTCTAGCTTTATTGCTGTTCTTGCTCTTGTATTAAGAGGTGGTAGAAAGTAACCGAATGGATCAAAGCAGAGGTATGTGACAGCATAAACTATATGTAAATAATAGTTAAATGTGATGATTCAATTTAATATATATACACAGGTAATTTGAAAAAAAAATCTCATGAGGTAAAGTTTATTAAATTCCAGGACCATAAAATAAAAAATTTCAAAGGATCATAATGTCGTGTACTTCACCAGCAATAAAACTATTCTCAGTTTATTAGTTTCAGTTCTGGAAACAACTAGATAAAGAATATCTGAAGTTTCAAAGTGTAGGAGCCAAATTCCCATTCTTGGAATCCAGAATGGCCTCCAATTCTGAACTCCCTACATCAGTGAAAAGCATCAGATAAAAACCAGAACGAGGACTGTAGGTAAATATTCAGTCCAGAGGGTGCAGGGACTTCCTCTTTGCTCTAAACTTAGAGCAAATTATAGGGAAAATATGTAGAAAGAAAACCTCATAGTAACACACCTGGGCTCCAGAACAAGATTAAATGTCTCTTCTACCAGAAATTGAACAGAAAACAAAGTGATAAAATATGGATCTGCTGGCCCTTGGCCTGAAGCCAGCAGAGGCAGCCACCTGCTGATGGGTGAGGGCCTCAAGGCTCTGAGTGAGCTGAGTCAAGGCTGGGAGCCAGATGCTTTTAACTGCTTGTAGAAAGGAGGCCACAAAATAGTGTTGGTGATGTAAGTCCTAGCCTACAGATTTATAAGAAACGGTAAGCTTGGGGGTGTGGGGTGGGGAGGCAGTGGCAACCAAAAGCCAAAGCATTCACAGCTGGTTTAGTTATTTACAAATATCACTGCAATATTCCATAGGATGGAAGTCCCAAAAAGGCACTGTAAGACCTGGTTCCTAGGACTCAGATGGAGGCATTTGGACAGAGAAAGAGGGAGGGAGAGAGGGAGAGAGACAGAGAGGGGGGAAAGAAAAATGCCTACACACCAAAGTTCCAAAATCCACAAAGAAATTGAAAGACAGTCAACAAAATCAACAATATGAATATACTCCAGATTAATTTTTAGAATGGTTTAACAAAGACTTTAAATTTGCATAGGGTGCTTTAAGTTATAAATGAAAGAAAACTTGGAGAATTTATTAAACAAGGAATAAGAAGTAAGAAGATGATTTTTTAAAGAACTTGTTAAAATATAAAAGAAAATTATAGAAGTTAATTTTTAAAAATCTCAATACATAGACAAACCCTAGACTAGATACAATCAGAGAAAAAATTCTGAATCAGATATTAGTATTGAGGGATTTATACCATAAACAGCCCAAAGAGATAAAGGGGTAAAAATTATGAAAAAACTGTTATTAGACATAGCAATTAGATTGAGAAACTCTGATATAGACCTATTAGGAGTTTCAGAAAAAGAGACTAGAGGCAACTGCAGATAAGCAATAATTGACAAGGTAATTGCTGAGAATTTATCAAAATGGAAAAAACGGGCCCAGTGCAGTGGCTCACTCCTATAATCCCAGTACTTTGGGAGGCTGAGGTGGGTGGATCACCTGAGGTCAGGAGTTCAAGATCAGCCTGGCCAATATGGCAAAACCCCATCTCTACTAAAAATACAAAAATTAGCCAGGCATGGTGGCAAACGCCAGTAGTCCCAGCTACTCGGGAGGCTGAGGCAGGAGAATTCCTTGAACTTGGGAGGCGGCGGTTGCAGTGAACCAAGATCGCACCGCAGCCCTCCAGCCTGGGTGACAGAGCAAGACTCCGTTTCAAAAAAACACAAGTCCTTAGTTGGAAGACACAGCCTTTTAAATTGCTATAATGCAGCAGATGAGACTGCAGACAATTGAAGATAAAGGGAACAATCTTAAAAGCTATTAGAAAGGAAAGACATTAACTACAAAGGAATTTCAGCAGGAAGCATATTGCTGATCATCAGCAATAGTGTCAGAAGATACCAAGATATTATCTTAAAAGTATTGAGGAGAAATATCTTACTAGAATGTTATAACCATTTAAATTATCCAAGAGTAGGGGCAAAATAAGAATATGTTCAGATACATAAATTAAAAGTTTACCACCCAAAGACGTCTATTAAACTGTTAGAGGATATACTTTAGCAAGTATAATAGTAGGGAAGGTGTGGTATATAAGGAACAATCGTTAATACAAGAAACAAAAAATTAATACAATTTAATTGTAAAGGTTAAAAAGAAAATAATTTTTATTTTTTTTCCTGAGATGGAGTCTTGCTCTGTTGCCCAGGCTGGAATGCAATGGCATGATCTTGGCTCACTGCAACCTCCACCTCCCAGGTTTAAGCGATTCTCCTGCCTCAGCCTCCCAAGTAGCTGGGATTACAGGTGCACGCCTCCAGGGCCAGCTAATTTTTTTGTGTGTGTATTTTTAGTAGAGACGGGGTTTCACCATGTTGGCCAGGCTGTTCTCAAACTCCTGACCTCGTGATCTGCCCACCTCAGCCTCCCAAAATGCTGGGATTACAAGTGTGAACCATCGTGCTCGGCCTAAGAAAATAATTTTTAAATCAAAATTTTTAATTAAAAAGGTAAAACTAAATCTTTGAACAATAACATGATGGAGGATGTCAATGGGTAGTTAAAATTTGCTAAAATATGCTTTATGTTTGGAGGAAGAGAGAAATATAAAACTCATTTAGACTTTATAAGAAAATATTAGTTATATCTTTTTAATATTAAGAATAAAAATACATTCTATAGGTTTTAAATCAGCAAAACTGAAAAGAAAATAACAAAAGTATTATCTAAACAAAGAAAACATGAAAGAGGGGACAAATAAAGGGATAGTAAATGGAAAACAGAAAAGATTATAGAGATAAATCCAAGAATGTTAAAATCCCAGTAATATAAGTGGATTATTTTAATCAATTAAAAATATTAACTGTACACCATATGAGACATTTTTAATTTTTTTAAGTTTTAAAATAAAGAATCGCTGCAAGCTCTGCCTCCCAGGTTCATGCCATTCTCCTGCCTCAGCCTCCCGAGTAGCTGGGACTACAGGCGCCCGCCACCACGCCTGGCTAATTTTTTCCATTTTTAGTACAGACGGGGTTTCACCGTGTTAGCCAGGATGGTCTCGATCTCCTGACCTTGTGATCCGCCTGCCTCAGCCTCCCAAAGTGCTGGGATTACAGGCATGAGCCACCGTGCCCAGCCAGTATGATCTTTTTTATAGTGTGTTGCGAACATGATAAATAATTCTATACATTATTTATGGTTAAATGTATATGTAGTAATTGCATAAAAACATGCATGGGAATAATCAGATTCAAGACTGAAGTTATTACCTCTTGGGAGAAGGGAAAACAATTAGCATCAGGAAGTGCACACAGAGGCTTCGACTCAAATTTTTTGTTTGATTTTTAAAATATATGTGGCAAATATGGCAAAATATAATAACTTAATAAAGTTGAGCGGTGAATACTTGGGGTGTTTTCAATATTCTATCCTTTTCTATATGTTGTAAATATTTCCCAATTTGAAACTGTGCATTTATTAAGGAAAAAAAAGATAGTAGGCAGAGTTTGTAATAAGGGACATCCTAGTTAGCCAAATGATTGAATAATTTACTGTGATGGAGAAATCCAAGAAGAAAAATATAAATGTAATAATTTTCATGTATCATTTCAGACACATGAATGACCACTACACAAACCTCTACCCACAGCTGATCACGAAACCTTCCATCATGGATAAAGTGCAGGATTTTATGGAGTACGTATAATAGCTTTTCTCTTTTCATTGTTTTAAATGTTGGAGGCACTGAATCTGTAATTTCAAGCAGCAATTTTTTGCCAATTTCTTTTTAATCTCTTTAGCAGGACTCTAGAGTTATTCTTGTAGTAGGGTATAGCACTTTTTGCTAATGGCATGAAAAGTGGTTGCAGACAACATGCTCTCTAATTTCAGCTCTTTCAAAGGTTGAGTTGAATATCGCATACTCAATTGCTAACACGGTTAGAGGAACATCACCAGTGTAAAGTACCAGTGTTAAGTCCCTGGGTCTGTTCCTCATGGAGGCCCTTCTCCTTTTTTCAGGGATCCCCTCTCCTCGCTCTTTAAGATGTTTCCTTTTCATGAGCCTGCTTACTAATCCTAGCTGAGGTCTTCAATAATATCTAAAGTTATAACTCTTAACACCCTCTGAGAATATTTCCATTTTAATAAAGTTTTCTAAGACTAAAGTTTTAAATGTGTTTACATTTGTGGGATGACAGGAGATTAATTTGGGGACAGAAAGGCTCTTGGGTTGGCCCTCCAAACTGCACTCTAAGCAACCTCTTCATGAAATGCTTAAAGTCCTATAGAGCTTCAGTTAAAAACCACTGGGCTAGATCCCATGAAGCAATGACATTATTCTAAGATTGAGCTAGTGATAGCCTGGACAAGTCAGAAATAGTTTTCAGTACGCAAAGTTATATCAAATCATCCCATAAAAGTTCAGAGAACTGGAAGAAGAGTGAAAGGACCATTAAAAAATGACATTTTTGCTACCATGCTAGGACAGAGGCATTGAAGCGGTTACTAATAACAACTGAAACGGAATGAATCATAAGCTATGCAAATGATCTGAGAGAAATACAAACAGATATAAACCACCTTGTCCTTAGATTTTTGTCCCGTTGTTTAACTTTACTACTTCTACAACTAAAAGTAAGGTGAATCAACCTACCTTTATTGACTTTGTGAAACATTGTGGTTTTACACAAAATGCATTTGGATAGTCTCTCCTTGACATGTTTAGGTCTTGTATCACAGTTAGGTCACTATCACACTTATGCTTTTGTTCTAGATACAGCACAGAAGAAGCTGTGAAAGAAGAATCATAACCCTAGGGAGAAATTAAAAATCAGTTAGAATTTGCCCTGAAGTCCTTTGAGTGACTGGAGTGTTACAAGATCTAGAATTTAAATCACATTAGCATAAGTGTCTGAGTATATAATCTCTCAATGCCTGCTTTGATTTAGCTTTGAATGAGCAACTATTGAGACTGTGGTGCAAATCTAATTTCTCTTCCAGGAAGCAAGATAAGTGGACCCGGAAAAATATCAAAGAATACAAGACTGATTCATTTTGGAGACATACAGGCTATGTGATGGCACAAATAGATGGCCTCTATGTAGGAGCAAAGAAGAGGGCTATATTAGAAGGGACAAAGGTAGGACTTTAAACAAGCTTCTCAGAATTTATAGAGTATGGTAAGAATATTGAATGTTATCTTTAAAATAACATTCCAATTTAGAAGCAGGTCAAAGTAGAACTACAGTATAAATTCCTTACGGAAAAGAACTGTCATAGCTCTCATATTGCAGCACCTAACTTACAAAATTACAAGCCCAAAACACAAATAAGCCAACTTGTTTCTGTGTATTTTCAATCTTCCATAATACTGGGCTCAGGATTAGGTTAAAAAGCATAGTATGAATGTACTGGGTTTTTAGCTAATCTGATAAAACTAGTGTTTTAGACTGCATGCTCATTAAGACAAGATGTTTAAGTATACAAGTTCTATGTTTCCCACACTCCACAACATTCACATAAACACATATCCACACAAACACATATACATTCTAATTCTGGGGGAAAGCTTTACTGAATCACTAAGGCTTCCAATGTACCATTTGATGTACTTCCAAAATTATGGATATTTTATTTCCCGTGATAATATATGTCTAAATGAAAAATGTATATTATATAACTGTCTTTTGGTCTATTTTGCCAGTATATATGTATATAATCTGTATATTATATAACATGTTACATTTATTATGTTTTGTCTATTTTGCCAGTATATATATATATATATATATAAATAATATTTATATTATATAACTCTCTTTTTGCCTATTTTGACCAGTGTGTGTGTGTATATATATATATATATATATATATATATATATATATATATGTGCATAGCTTTTCTTTGAACTTTTTGTCTATTTTGTCCAGTATTTGTATATATATGTATATGTATACATATATACACACATATATACATGTACATGTCTGTGTATATATGTGTGTATATATATGTGTATATACACATATATATTGATAAATGTCAAAACAATAATACCCAGTGAAAGGAATGAGTTACAGAAAAATGCATACAGTAAGACTCTAACTTTTTTTTTTTTAGTCAGAGTCTTGCTTTTTCACCCAGGCTGGAGTGCAGTGGCATGATCTTGGCTCACTGCAACCTCTGCCTCCTGGGTTCAGGTGATTCTCCTGCCTCATCCTCCCGAGTAGCTGGGACTACAAACTTGAGCCACCACACCCAACTAATTTTTGTATTTTTAGTAGAGATGAGGTTTTACCATGTTGGCCAGGCTAGTCTCGAACTCCTGACCTCAAAAGATCCATCCGCCTCAACCTCCCAAAGTGCTGGGATTACAGGTATGAGCCATTGCACCCAGCCCACACAATATGACTGTATTTGTGCAAATTCAAAAAAGGTAGATTTTAAAAAATATATCTTAAAAATATATATAGATGATAAATATATTATATATAGATGATAAATAATAGAGAGGCAGGTAATGAGCTATACAAAATTTAGCATAGTGGTGACCGCTGGCGGGAAAGGAGAGAGATGAGATTGGAGACTTCCAAGGCACTGCTAATGTTCCATTTCGTAAACTGTGAGTTGACTACATCAGTGTTTATTTATTTTTCCTTAAATGGTATGTATACATCTTTATTCTTTCAGATGTATAATATCATCTGTCCTCACTCTTCTAAGCAGTGTTCCAATGTATGGATGTATTATACAGTATAACAAAAGAAATGCAAATATCAATTACAATGGGATACTGTTTTGCACCTATGAGATTGGAAATAAACTAAATGTTTAATATGTTGTTGAGGATGGAAGAGTTTTATTTATTTATTTATTTATTTAGAGACAGAGCCTCGCGATATCACCCAGGCTGGAGGGCAGTGGTTGATCTCAGCTGCAACCTCCGCCTCCTGGACTCAAGCAATTCTCGTGCCTCAGCCTCTTGAGTAGCTGGGATTACAAGCATGCGCCACCATGCCCGGCTAATTTTTGTATTTTTAATAGAGATGGGGTTTCACCGTGTTAGCCAGGCTGGTCTCGAACTCCTGACCTCAGGTGATTCACTGGACTCGGCCTCCCAAAATGCCGGGATTACAGGCATAAGCCACTGTGCCCGGCCAGAAGAGTATAATTTAAACAATTCGTATGAGGACAATTTGGCAATATCTATTAAAATCTAAATCACTTCTAGGAATTTATCCTACACATAGACTCAAACACAAGCAAAATGAAGCGTCCAAGATTAATTATTGTGGCATTGTTTACAATATCAAAAGACTAGAAACCACTTGAAAATTCATCAAAAAAGAGTAGTTAAAAATATTATAATACATCCGTACGTTGGAATGCTGCTTAGGAGAGTGAAGACAGGCTGGGTGCAGTGGCTGACACCTGCAATCCCAGCACTTTGGGAGGCCAAGGTGGGTGGATCACCTGAGGTCAGGAGTTCTAGACCAGCCTAGCCAACATGGTGAAACCCCATCTCTACAAAAAACTACAAAAATTAGCTGGACATGGGGCGGGCACCTGTAATCCCAGCTATTTGGGAAGCCAAGGCAGGAGATTTGCTTGAACTCAGGATGCGGAGGTTGCAGTGAGCTGAGATCGCGCCATTGCACTCCAGCCTGGGCAACTAGAGTGAAACTCTGTCTCAAAAATAAATAAATAAATAAATAATAATTAAAAAAAGAAGAGTGAGGACAATTTTTACATCCAATATAAAAATATCCCCAAAACATTAAATGAAAGATACTAAGACAAAAAAAATCAAGGTGAACAACAGCACATATGACACACTACCATGTATGTTTTTAAAAATTTTATTTACAAGACATTTTTAAAACTCTGGATCCAAGATCACAGTGCCAGTAGGGAAAAATAAAAAAATCAAAAAACTCTGGCAGTATATGCAAAAAAACTAGTAAAAATGATTAACTAGAAATGGTAGTACCTGAGAAAATGGAGAACAGGTAAAGGAGGAGACTTTCTGATATAAACTTTGTTATAATTTTTTTTAAATCTTGACTAATAAATGAATAATTTATTCAAACAAACAAAACAGAGATGATATTTATATAAATAAAAATTGGATTGAATTTTTGCTTTGGTTTTAGTTTTTTGGTTAAAATGTCATTTGTGTTTGTCTTCCCACCACCTCTACCCCAAAACCAATTTGCTGATGCCTAACCCGGACCTGCTCCAGCAGATTGAATCTTCCTGGAGCCGTGCTCTCCAGTTTGCACAAAGTTCATGTTCAAGTACAATCTGATAATTGCTTCAAAGTCAATGCTGGCTGGTCAGTTAGTCTTATAGTAAACACACAATCAAAACCAAAAGCATCTTAGTTGAATGTTTTTGCTGTATAGCAGTGGTTCTTGTCTAAGAGTGGTTTTCTCTCCAGAGGACACTTGGCAAAGTCTTGGAGATATTTTTGGTTGCCACAACTGTGAAGTTGCTGCTGGTACCTAGTGGGTAGAGGCCAGGGATGACGCTAAACATCTCACAACGCACAACAACTGAAAAGAAAGTATCGGCCAGCTCAAAATGTCAATAGTGCCAAGGTTGAGAAGCACTGCTGTAGAGTGCAAACAGAAAGCTCTGTTTTACTCTCCAAGGAGCCACTCCCAAATTCTGGGGCTATCAAAACATGCCAAAACAGCTCTTTTAAACTATAAAGCCATAACAATTATTTTATAAGCTACAATAAAAATCTAGCGTACCTGTTAAATTAGAGACTCTTCGAAAATAAATAACTTTTTTTTTTTTTTTTTTTTTGAGATGCGGTCTCGCTCTGTTGCCCAGGCTGGAGTGCTGTGGTGCGATCTTGGCTCACTGCAACCTCCGCCTCCTGGGTTCAAGCGATTCTCCTGCCTCAGCCTCCTGAGTAGCTGGGACTACAGGCGCCCGCCACCACGCCCAACTAATTTTTGTATTTTCAGTAGAGACAGGGTTTTGCTGTGTTGGCCAGGCTGGTCTCAAACCCCTCACCTCGGGAGATCCACCCGCGTTGGCCTCCCAAAGTGCTGGGATTACAGGCGTGAGCCACCATGCACAGCCTGCAAGGGAATAATTTAATGGGTCCCTAACAAGAGGAAAACAGGAAATGATGTCTGTCACAAAACGATGTTAAGTGCAGTCTTTGTCCTTTCCTAGCCAATGACCCTGTTCCAGATTCAGTTCCTGAATAGTGTTGGAGATCTATTGGATCTGATTCCCTCACTCTCTCCCACAAAAAACGGCAGCCTAAAGGTTTTTAAGAGATGGGACATGGGACATTGCTCCGCTCTTATCAAGGTAAGACATAGCAGCTCCTTTTGCCTTGTTCTGGTTCATACAGACTTTTTCTATATAGCGCCCAAGTATAGCAACATCTCATCACCCCTGGCTATAACTGTATATCAGCTCATGAGTTCTTCAATGGTAGAAGTTAAGAACTGGAAGTAACTTTGATGGAGAGAATTGTAAGTACACGATGTTACATCTGTTCTTCCACCATTCCTCCCATGCTGTATGCACCTGCCACTCCCACCTTCTAGAATCTTCCATTTTGTTTTGTTTTGTTTTTGAGCCGGAGTCTCACTTTGTTGCCCAGGCTGGAGTGCAGTGGTGTGAGCTTGCCTCACTGCAACCTCTGCCTCCCAGGTTCAAGCGATTCTCCTGCCTCAGCTTCCCGAGTAGCTGGGACTACATGGGTGTGCCACCATGCCTGGTTAATTTTTCTTGTATTTTTGGTTTAGACAGGGTTTCACCATTTTGGCCAGGCTTGTCTCAAACTCCTGACCTCAAGTGATCCGCCTGCCTTGGCCTCCCAAAGTGCTAGGATTTCGAGCGTAAGCCACCATGCCCAGCTGGAGTCTTCCATTTTGAATGTTAGAAGGAAGAGTCTGTTTGGGGCCACATTAAAGGTTAATCTTGACTCCTTGGCCATATTTTCCAATAATCAGTATAGCAATAAACACTTACCTGAAATGGCACAATCCCTGTATGCCTCTTACACTTAAGACAATTGCAGTCAGTTAGCTATGTACATCTGTGTAATCCACTATGATTCTGGCTGTAGGTTCTTCCTGGATTTGAGAACATCCTTTTTGCTCACTCAAGCTGGTACACGTATGCAGCCATGCTCAGGATATATAAACACTGGGACTTCAACGTCATAGATAAAGATACCAGCAGTAGTCGCCTCTCTTTCAGCAGTTACCCAGGTAAATGAATTTAAAGGAACATCTGAGCACTTTGAGTACTATTCCTGGATAAAACCTTAGTGATTCAGTGTTAACTGCAATGGGAGAAGAAATGTTTAATGGTTAGTATATATTAACAAACAATCTGATTTTCAGAGGGCTTTTGAAGAAATATAGCTCAAATACTTTTATTTAATAGAATGACATAAACAAGGTTACTAGAATTGCCAAATAGAAGACACTTTGTAAATGTAAATGGCTACATCTAAATTTATTTCAACAAATGCCAACTGAGTATGTATCAAGTACAAGACTCTTTGCTAGGCTCTGCGGCAGAAGCAATGAAGACATGGCTGATCCTGCACTCAGGTACCACCTTGAGGGCGTGTAGTGTTTCTTTTATTTACTGCACTATCCACAGCACTTAACCTCAGTGTGTGGCATTGAGTACTTAATAAATTGCCAAATGAATGGATGAATGAATGTGTAAGTTTATAAACCTTACACTATACTCAAGAGGACAATATAAAGTGTAATATGAATAAGAGTAATAATATTACTGGATACTGTATGTGCTACAAAAGAAGTGTAACCAGTGTTGTCCATTCCAAGGAGGTGAGACTCACATCTGATTGTTGGGGAAAGAGAGGACAACCTTTGAGATAGACCATGAACATGGCTATCTCAAAGTGGCTAGAATTTGAAAGGATGGCTAGAATTTGAAAAAGTAGAGATGGACGGGAGGACAGTCCCAGTAGAGGAGAGGCTGCAAATTCCTGGGCCTAAATGCAATAGGCAGGTGAGGTAAATGAATAAAGCAGGACTGGTTTAAGAAAACAGTGGAGGCCAGGTGCTCACGCCTATAATCCCAACACTTTGGGAGGCCAAGGTGGGCGGATCACGAGGTCAGGAGATTGAGACCATCCTGGCTAACACAGTGAACCCTGTCTCTACTAAAAATACAAAAAATTAGCCAGGCGTGGTGGCGGGCGCCTGTAGTCGCAGCTACTCTGGAGGCTGAGGCGAGAGAATGGCGTGAACCCGGGAGGCGGAGCTTGCAGTGAGCGGAGATCACTCCACTGCACTCCAGCCTGGGCGACAGAGCGAGACTCCGTCTCAAAAAAAAAAAAAAAAAAGAAAAGAAAAGAGAAAGTGGAAACAATGGTAGCAAACATATGACCCACAGAAAGGAGGCAAGGATGAGCTCTCACTGTCTGTTCTCCATCCAAGAATTTCCAGACCCTCCAACTTAAGATAAAACTATGTATTTAAAACAACAAAACTCACTCTGTGAATCCAACAAAGCATGTGTGTTAGCATGTGTTAGCCCCAACCTCCTCAGGAAACATTATGAGCAAAGTCAAGGGGAAAACACCAAACATCTAAGGGTTCAACTGGATACACTGTAACCAGTTTGACCTTTAATTACGCATCCGTAACTTATGGGGTGGTTATACCAACCACCTGTCATATCTATCTACCTTTGTCGGAGTATTTTGCTCTTCCTATCAGAAATTCCTTTTTATTTTTAAAGTCAGGGTCTCACCCTATCGCCCCAGGCTGGAGTGTAGCGGTACAATGTTAGCCCACTGCAGCTTTGACCTTCAGGGCTCAAATGATCCTCTTGCCTCAGCCTCCCAAGTAGTTGACACTACAGGCACACATCACCATGCCTGACTAATTTTTTAAAAAATGTTTTATGGAGATGGGATCTTGCTACATTCCCCAGGCTGGTCTTAAGCTCCTGGGTTCAAGTGGTCCTCCAGCCTCAGCCTCCCAAAGTGCTGGGATTAAGGTGTGAGCAATCATGTCCGGCCCCTATCAGGAATTCTGACCAAGGGCATAACCCAGTATTTCTCTGTCCTTGTGACCTGATCCTTTCTTTGAAACCAATTTGATTTCATCTTTGTCTTAGTTTGCTTAGTTGTTTTAGCATTGAGGGGGACTGGGGACTCCTCTCTCTGAGTTAGACTGTGCTTTGATTCTTTCACATTCTATTACACTGACATTTAAGGACAGCAAGAGACAGAGCAGTCCAGTATTCTTCCTCTTCCTCATCTTTGTGATAAAATGCAATATTCAGATGTTATGTGCACTGCTTTGAAATCTCTGTGGAATACAATGCTCTCCAGTAGTGTTAACAGTCCTGGATCCCAGAGGTAGTGATGGAGAAGGTCATGGAAGATTTTCTTATGAAACGTATAATCCTGTTAACATTTGCATATGTATCCTTCCAGATGAGATACACAAGTAGATTTCATAGATAATATGTAGAGCTTTTTGGAGCAATTGAATCTCCAAGAGAGCAACAGACAGTTTTATATATACCCCAAAACATTTTTACAGGAGCCAATGGAACAGTGGGATTCATATTTTCTCTAACTGGGCAGCTTTGTTCTCAGCACCAAACAGGAAAACATGTGCAGTCTCATTTATGTTACAACTTATTTTATTAAGGGACCAGCCACATTGGATTCATCCAGTAGACATGACATAGAACTATGCTTTACGATGAAGCTCATGCCATCTTAGCTGCTGAGTCCAGAACAAAGCTGGATGGCTTCCTTGTTTTTCTTTGATGGAGTTGTTTAACAGGCTTGGTCTTTTTTAGTCTTTTCTAAAATACAAAGTGGAGATTGAGGAAATTATTTCACCTAAAGAGGCTAACATGCAATACCCAGGGAAGGTCAAAAGTATACCAAAGTATACCAGGTGCTGATAACCTCAGTACCACCCTTAGGTCTGGGCACAGGAACCCCACCCTCCCAGCTTGGAATTACCTTCATGAAAATTACCTAAATCCCCCTCCAGCATCCTGAGACTGGCCAGGCTGGCAGTATCTTGACCTGTGTCTCTGTGCATCTAGTTTAGAAAGCTCCTTTCCAGAAAATTTCAAAATCCCCTTCTAGTGCCCAAGACTGACCAAGGTGGCAGAGCCATCCAGGTCAGCTTCTCTGAGTCCAGAAAGCAACGCATGTGGACTCCCTATCTGGGGGCTCTTCTCCTCCATTCCTGCCCACGCATGGGTTCAACAAGATGCCCTAAGGAGCTCTGGGACTCAAGCCTATGGCCTGGTCCTGGTAAGCAGATTCCTCTAGTTGGCCCTCACAGTATATATTTTTTGCAAGATGGTGCATAACTGAGCTGTCAGAACGGTGGTCACACGATGACCTGGGGTGACTCTCATGTCAGAGCATATGTTCAGGGCTCTATGCTACTGAAAACCACCTCTTACCCTCGGGTTTCAGCATGCAGCAGGGGAGGACGGTAAAGCGAACTTCGACCTATGAGCTCCACATCTGGCCCCTGTCGTGGCCTCCTCACCCCTGCAGCTCTGTACCATGTGTCGGTCAGTCCTTGGGGCGGGCTAGGCCTGGCCCCTCTGAGGCCTTTTGAGAACCTTGCTCCACAACACAAACGGGCCTTTGCAGCAAATCTTTTGCTGCAGTTGGTGATGTGACTTCCTACTGTCTTGGGTCAGTCTTAAGCCAGATGGATTTTTCTGGTGTGATTGGGACAGCTCTTCCAGCTCGACTTATAGGCTTCTCACCTATCCTACCCACTGGTGCCCGTGGGTGAGGAGTGAAGGTGGGGGAGGGTTCAGCATGAAAAGAGATTTGACTCATGAAGACTTGACTTAAATTGTGAAGCCTTAAATTATGAAAACTTTACTTAAATTTTCCTGGGGCTTTTAGCCTGTTCTTTTATCTTTTTATGTACCTACTTTCAAATACATGCACTTAACATTTAAACAGGCTAAGCAGGCTCATGCCTGTAATCCCAGCAATTTAGGAGGCCAGGGTGGGCGGATTATCTTGAGCTCAGGAGTTTGAGACCTGGGCAACATGGCAAGAGCCCGTCTCTGCAAAAATACAAAAAAATCAGCCGAGTGTTGGTAGCTCATGCCTGTAATCCCAGCTATTTGGGAGGCTGAGGCTGAAGAACAGCTTGAGCCCTGGAAGCAGAGGTTGCAGGGAGCCGAGATAGCACCACTGCACTTCAGCTTGGGGGACAGAGTGAGGCCTCGTCTCAAGAACAACAACAAAGAGATTACATTCTAGGGAGGCAGCAATTAGCCTGAAGAGTCCAACAGAAAACATGTCGATCTATGTTTACACTGTAAAATTCCCAGTGTAGCTTTAGTAACCATAAAACAAATTATCATTCACAATTTTTTTAACACTCTGGGTAAGGCTTGCATTTGTGGTCATCATTAACAAAGCATAATAAGGATTTTTGAGTCATTAGAAGCCAGGATTCACAGGTAGAGTGGTAGATGTCGCAAAGTCATTAAGAAAATGGTGTTAGGGAACTGCAGAGGCAAGGAGATCTGTGTTGTTTCAAAACAAACAGGTTCCAAAAAGTCATGGTTTTGTAATAACAGTATTGCTACCTTTTTCTCATAACAAAAAATAGGAAATTAGCCAAGAACAATGCATTTAATAATAAAGAATACAAAGAGATGGTACCTGGATACTGTAACAAATCTTCACGTGCACTGATTGGACAATAGACAAAACAGATTGCCTTTCTCTGCCCATCATCCTAAATCTTCAATGATAAATCATCATATCTCACATGTACTGATGAATTTTTAAATATATGTTTTTAATCAAATTGTTTATATAGGCAGGGGCCCTGTTAAAAAAGACAAACAAACAACAACAAAACAACAACAACAACAAAAAACACTTGCCTGAGGCACTGGATACCCAAAGGAAAGTGGCTTTGAATGGCCTTGTTCTAGGAGTTTCTGTCCCTAACAAGAAGGGTTTTGAATACATGGTCTGTTTGCCTAGTAACAGCTAAGGCTGAGTAAGGAATGGAGAAGCCTTGCACTAGCCCTCCCCACACATTTACTTATTTTGGCAATGCAAATTAATAATCAAGGAGGTAAGACAAAGAGATAAATCACTAGAAAATGACGGCACTGAAATGGCAGCCAATACAATTGTGTGAAGACCTCAGCACAAAGATCTGATAGTTTTAACCAATCCAGAGAAAATTTACTTGTCAACAACATTGAGTCTTCCAATCTACTAATATAATCTATTTGTTTATTTCAGTCTTTAATTTGAGTCATATCATGTAGTTTTCAGTATTTAGGTCTTACATACCTTTAAGTAAGTTAAATCCTAAGTAATGTTTGATGCTACTGTAATCAAAATGTTTTTTATTCTTTTTTCAGTTGTTTGTTGCTCATATGTATTTATTGGTTACCCATTGCCACATAACAAATTGCTCCAAACATTAGTGGCTAAAAACAATAATGATTTAGTTACTCATGGTTTCTGTGGATCAGGAATTTAGATAGGGCACAGTGGGGATAATTTGTCTCTACTGTGACTGGGGCCTCAGCTGGAAGACTCAATGACTGAGGGGCTAAAATCTCTGATAGCTTAACTGAGACTGGAACATGCACTTCCAAAACGACTTACTAACATAGCTGACAGGGTGGTGCTGGCAACTGGTTCCTCTTCACTTGGGCCTCTCCTCAGAACTGCTTGAATGTCCTTCATGGCAAGACCCCTGGCTCCAGACGAAGCCATCCAAAAGAACAAGGCAGAAATAGTAATGCCTATTGTGACCTCACCTCAGACGTCACACACGCTCACTTCCACCAGGTTCTATTAATTAGAAGCAAGGTGTTATGACCAGCCCACATTCAAGGAAAGGCGATTAGAATCCACCTTTTAAAGAGAAGGGTGCCAAAGAATTTGTGGAAATTTGAAAACTACCACAATGTATTACGATTTTTTTGTACATTATTATCCTGAGATCTTTCTAATAGCTTTTTTGTAGATTCCTTGGGATTTTCTATATATACAATCATGACATCTCTAAATAAAGACAGTTTGACTTCTTCCATCCCTTGTATGTCTTTGATTGTTTTTTTGTATGATTGTGCTGGAGAAGACCTCCAGAATAATGGAGACCATAAGTGGTGAGCATGCAAATCCTTGCCCAATTCCTGACCTAGGGTGAAAAGTATTGTCTTTCACCATTAAGTATGATGTTAACTGCAGATTTTTTGTAGATGCCCTTTATAATGTTAAGGAAGGTCCCTGCTCTTCCTACTTTCTTTAATATTTTTATCAATAAATGAGTGTTGCATTTTTCTGAATTCTTTCTCAGCAATTGTTGAAAAGATCATATGAATTTTTTCCTTTATTAATATGATAAGTTACATTGATTGATTTTCAGATGTTAAACCACTTGAAATTCCTGGGTTAATCCTCAGTCATGATGTGTTATTCTCTGTATTTATTTTTAGTTCAGTTTACTAACGTGTTAATGATTTTTTTCATTTACATTCATGAGACATATTTGTTTGTAGTCTGCTTTTCTTATGATGGTTTTTGTTTTAGGATAAGCTTATCCTCATATCCTAAATGTGGAATTATTTCTTTCTCCTAAGTGTTTTAAGAGCATGTATATGATTAGTGTTATTTTATTCTATTTATTTATTTATTTATTTATTTTTAAAGACAGGGTCTCACTCTGTCCCCCAGGCTGGAGTACAGTGGTGTGAACATAGCTCACTGCAGCCTCAAACACCTAGGCTCAAGTGATCCTCCTGCCTTGGTTTCCCAAAATGCTGAGATTACAGGTGTGAGCCACTGTGCCCAGCCCATTTTCTTCTTTAAGTGTTTAATAGAATTCACGCGTGAAGCTAGATATGAAGGTTTTTATTTGTTGAAAAGTTATTAATTGTAAATTTAATTTCTTTCACTGCTACAGAACTATTTCAGTTTTCTAACTCTTCTTGAGTTAGTTTTAAAAATGTATCTTTCAAGGAATTTATCCCTTCTTTCTAAGTTATTGTTTTTATTGATATGAAGCTATTTATAATGTTTTTCTTAACCTCTTAATGTCTGTAGGATCTGTAAAGTCCCCATTATCATTCATGATATTGTCCATTTTTCTTCTTTATTAAGATAAAATTTCCATTTTTATATTTATTTTCTTTCTTCTACTTACTTTGCATTTAATTTGTAATTTTTTCTAGCTTCTTAATGTAGAAGACTAGATAACTGATTTTGATCTTTCTATCATAAGCAAATAAAATGATAAATTTTCCAATAAGCACTACTTTTGGTGCATCTGACAAATTTTGGTATATTTTGTGTTCATTTTTATTCCATTTAGAATATTTTCTAATTTATCACGATTTATTTAATCCATAGCTTATTTGGAAGTGTATTGTTTAATTTCCAAAAATTTACAGATTTTTCAGATCTTTGTCACTGTTTTCCAATTTAATTGCATTTTCTAATTTATTCTGAGATCAGAGAGCATATTCTGTATGATTTCAAATTTTTTTAACTTTATTGAGACCTGTGTTATGGCTCAGCATGAGTCTATCTCAATGAATGTTTCATATGCAGTAGAAAATAATGTAAATTCTAGTACTTCTGAGTGTAGTGTTCTGTAAATGTCAGTCAGTGCAAGTTAATTGATAGTGTAATTCAAGTCATCTATACTCTTAACTGATTTTCTATTTGTTAATCATTTACTACAAAAGAAATATTTATACCTCCACTATAATTATTAATTTGTCTGTTTCTCATTTTCTTATCTTTTTTCTCTAATCCCATGGCAGATTATATTTCTCATTTCATTTCTGGTAGTTTTGCTTTATGCATTTTGATACTCTATCATTTAGCACATACATTCATAAGTATGGTATATTCCTACTATATTGACCCTTTTATCATTATGAAACGTCTTTTTTTTTTGTCTCTAGTACAACTCCTTGCCTTAATGTCTACATTGTCTTATATTAATATAACCACTCCAGCTTTCTTATGCTTACTGTTTTCATCTTGTACTTTTCCTGTCTGTTTACTTTCTTTTTTTTTTGTCATTTCATACCAGCAATTTTATTTACACAGAAATAACATACAGGTATCTGTTATAAATGTCAGAGATCATCTCTACATTTCAGATCTTGATTCAGTTTAAGGGCCAATAAAGGAAGGTTCTTTTCTTTCCATTAAGTTTCTTGCCTTTGTTTTTTGTTGTACAAAGTGTGTAGTACTAGCAACTGCATTACCATAGCATGTCTTTAATTTTCAATTTGAAATCTTATGTGCTGGAGGAAAGTGCATCGTAAGTTTTTGTTTTTGTTTTTTTTCACCTTACAAATTCAAAAGACTAGAATAACGGTAGTCATCTGGAAAAAGTAAATCATGGATAGATATAATTTTGAAGCTGATGCTTAATGATGGCAGTGATTTTTAAGTGTGGTAACAAACGTTTTGGGAGCATGTATCCTCTGTCAAGATGGTACTAGTAACAGATTCAAAGTAGCACAATATCATATCAGACTGATGTGGGTTTTTTTATGTTTGAGATCAGTTGGTGACCCTGTTGTTCTTTAGTAAATTGGTGCCATAAGCTAAAGTTAGCATATTCATATTTTCCCTGCCAAAAGTCCTTCACAAATAACTGGTCATAAACTGAAAAAAAATTAATATCTGCAATATAAATGTGTTGTCTATTAGAGATGGGGCTAGATGTCTTAAGGATTTCTAAGTATATCTTAAAATTTATACGGTAGTAGTTCATACCAAGAATCATCTGGGGAATTTTAACAAAATATATATATGTTCTAAACCTCATCACTTCCCCATAAATGCAGCTTAAGTCTGTAAGTCTGAAGGCGTATGTGTATGTTGGGTGTTTTTCTTTTTTCTTTTATTTTGAGATGGAGTTTCGCTCTTGTTGCCAAGGCTGGAGTGCAATGGTGCAATCTTAGCTCACTGCAACTTCCACCTCCCGGGTTCAAGTGATTCTCCTGCCTCATCCTCCCGAGTAGCTGGGATTACAGGCATGCGCCACCACGCCCGGCCAATTTTGTATTTTTAGTAGAGATGGGGTTTCTTCATGTTGGTCAAGCTGGTCTCCAACTCGTGACCTCAGGTGATCTGCCTGCCTCGGCCTCCCAAAGTGCTGGGATTACAGACGTGACCCACCATGCCCGGCCTTGGATGTTTTTCTTTCAGCTCCTCCAGTACTTTCATATTATTCTAATATATTTTGTTGGTATGAAGCTATGAAGCAAAAGTCGCTATTACCAATGCATACATACAGTATACTGGTTTTAAGTTCCACCTCAGAGTGAATCTTAGAGCCTAGTGTAAGTGCTCCACTTTAGAGATGTACCTTAATTACTACTGTATTTGCAAATTAAGGGAAATTTAGGTCATCATTTGATTTTCTAAAACCTAAAAGGAACTGGCCATCATTACCAAGTCTTTCTAGATAATCAAGGGTAGATGGCTGTTTTTAATGTAGCAATTAATGTAGGCATTCCTGCTTTCGGGTTTAAGTATGAATCAAAGCATATTTTAATTTGTTAGCACAAACGGAATGTCTGTTTACTTTCAAACTATTTGTGGTTTTGTGTTTGTTGTATGTCTTTTGTAGACAGATAATTAGTACATTTTGCTTTCTTTTCAATCAAGTTTGACAGTCTCTTACTTTTGATGGAAGTGTTTGGGTCATTTACATTTACTGTAAATATTTATATATTTAGATTTAAGTCTGCCATTTCACTATTTAGTTCATTTCATCTCTATTTTGTTTCTCTGTTCCTCCTTTCCTGTCTTTTTTTGTGTTAAACATTTTAACAAAGGTTTTATAACAAAATATTCTATATTTTAATAAGTTGGCTTTCTAGCTATATTTATTTGCATTTTTAAAATTGTTGTCCCTGGGGCTTGTGATATGCATCTTTAACTCATCACAATTTGCATAAAGTTAATAAGCAATTATGTCTGCTAAAAAATATATAGGAACTTAAAATGGTAATTATCCCATTTAGTGCCTTCCATCCTTTGTGCTATTGTTGTCATATATATGCTCCATCTATATATGTTATAAATACACCAATATGGTGTTATGATTTTTTACTTAAAAACTTACTGTCTTTTAAAAAATTAAAACAAGTGTGTGTGTGCGTGTGTGTGTGTGTGTGTGTGTGTGTGTGTGTTGAGAAGTAAGCTGTTAAGTATATTATTTTCCTCTCTAATTTTTTTCTGCATTTAGATTTTTGGTGACTTCAGCTTTGTCGTGGGCTAGCTCTGGTCTTCTTTGTGATTATTGTATTTTAAGTTTGTTGTGCTGGTAGGAACTGCAAATTAATGTTTTTCATTAAATGTAAGGGTTTTTCACCAGTTATAGCTTCACATATTTTTTCCATCCTCTTTTCTCTCTCTTCTCCCTCTGGGACTCCAGTCATTTATCCATCAGATGCTAAACATTTTTGCACAAGTCTTTGGGGCTTTGTAAATTTTATTTAGTTTTCTTTTTCTCTCTGTTCTTCAGATTGGATGATTCCCATTAATCTTCTATCTTCAGGTTTTCTTTGTTTTATTTTTTGTTTATTTTATTTTATTTATTTATTTATTTTGAGATGAAGTTTCACTATTGTTGCCCAGGATGGAGTTCAGTGATGCGATCTCAGTTCACTGCAACCTCCACCTCCCAGGTTCAAGCGATTCTCCTGCCTCAGCCTCCCAAGTAGCTGGGATTATAGGCATGCACCACTACACTGGGCTAATCTTGTATTTTTAGTAGAGATGAAGTTTCACCATGTTGGCCAGGCTGGTTTCCAACTCCTGACCTCAGGTGATCCACCCGCCTTGGCCTCCCAAAGTGCTGGGATTACAGGCGTGAGCCACCATGCCCAGCCACAATCTTCAGGTTTTCTAATTCCTTCTTCTGCCATCTCAAATTTACTGTTGAAGTATACAGTGAGTTTTTCATTTCATTTACTGTACTTTTCAGATCTAGAATTTCAATTTTGTTCTTTCTTTAATTTCTAATTTTATGTTGAGATTCCCTCTCTGGTAACTCTTAAAACCATATTTTCCTGTTTTGTCTTTGTCCGCTAAACCCAATATCAAGACCTACTTGGAAACAGTTTCCAGTGACTTAAGTGTGGGGTCGTACCTTCCTTTTTCTTTTGAGGTGACAAATATAGCAAATACCATGACTTGATCATTACACAATGTATATACATATTTAGTATATTCTTCACCGCAAACATTTATCAGTTCCTTATGGCAAGAACGTTCAAAATCCTCTTTTATAGTTATTTTGAAATATGTAACACAATATTGTTAACTGTAGTGCCTGGTAATTTTTGGTTGAAATGTGGACTTGAAAAATAGCACACCATAGTGTCTCTGAAATGTGTATTTTTGAGAATTATGTTTTATTTTATTTTTAAATGACATATAATTGTACATATTTATAGGGGACAGTGTGATGTTTTGATGCATGTATACATTGTGTAGTGAACAAATCATGGTATTTAGAATATTCATCACTTCAAACATTTATCACTTTCTAATGGTAAGGACATTCAAAAATCTCTCTTCTAGTTATTTAAAATATATAATATAGTATTGTTAACTATAGTAAGCCTACTGTGCAATAGAATACCGCAACTTTCTCCTTCTATCTAACTGTAATTTTGTACCTGTTGATTAAGCCCTTTCCACCTTGCCTACCCTCCCCAGCTGCTGGTAAGCATTGTTCTTCTCTATACTTGTATGAGATCGGCTTTTATAGATTCCACATCTGAGTGAGATTGTGGAGTATTTGTCTTTCTGTGCCTGGCTTATTTCATTTAACATAATGCCCTCAGGGCTCATCCACATTGCTACACATGACATAATTTGATCCTTTTTATGGCTGAATAGTATTCCATTATATGTATATGTATCATATTTTCTTTATCCATTCATCTGTTGATAGCCATTTAGGTTGATTCCATATCTTGACTATTGTGAATAGTGCTGCAATAAGCATGAGAGTGTGGATATCTCTTTAACATACTTATTTCATTTCCTTTGGATAAATACCCAGCAAGGGGTCTAGTTTCATTCCTCTCCATGTAGATACCCAGTTTTCCAAGCACCATTTATCAAAGAGAATTTTTTCCAATGTGTGTTCTTAGTGTCTTTGTCAAAAATCAATTAGCTGTAAGTGTGTGAATTTATTTCTGTATTTTTTATTCTGTCTTATTAGTATATATGTCTATTTTTATGCCAGTACTATGCTGTTTTGGTTATTATAACTTTGTAGTATATTTTGAAGCCAGGTAGTGTGATGTTTCCAGCTTTGTTCTTTTTGCTCAAGATTGCTTTGACTATTTGGGGTCTTTTGAGGTTCCATACACATTTAAAGATTTTTTTCTCTTTCTATGAAGAATGTCATTGGTATTTTGATAGAGATTGCACTGAATCTGTCAATTGCTTTGATTAGTATGGACATTTTTTTAAAAATTCCTCAAATCCGTAAACATGGAATATCTTTCCATTTGTATCCTCTTCATTTCTTATGTCAATATTTTATAGGTTTCATCATAGAGATCTTTCACCCGCTTAGTTAAGTGTTTGTTTTTGTAGCTGTAGTAAATGGAATTGCCTTCTTATTTTTTTCTGATTGTCTGCTATTGTCATATAGAAATGCTATAGATTTTTGTATATTGATTTTATATCCTGCAACTGTACTCAATTTACTTATTAGTTCTAACAGTATTTTGGTGAAGTTTTCAGGGTTTTCCCTGTATAAGATTATGTCATTTGGAAGCAGGGACAGTTTGATTTCTGCCTTTTCAATTTGGATGCTCTTTTTGTCTTTCTCTTGCCTGATTGCTTTGGCTAGAACCTCCAGTATTATGTTAAATAAAAGTGGTGCATTTGTGTCTTGTTCCAGATCTTAGAGGAAAAGCTTTCAACTTTTCCCCATTCAGTATGATGCTAGCTGTGAATTTGTCATATATGGGCTTTATTGTGTTGAGTTACATTTCTTGTATATCTGTTTTGTTGAGAGTGTTTATCATGAGGGGATGTTGAATTTTATTAAATATCTTTTCTAGATCAATAGATTCAACATCCCTTCATGGGTTTGTCCTTGATTCTGTTAATATGATGTATTATGTTTATTGATTTGCATATATTGAACCATCCTTGCATCCCTGGAATGAATCCCATTTATTATGGTGAGTGATTTTTCTTAATGTGCTGTTGAATTCAGTTTTTAAATATTTTTTTGAGGAGTTTTGTATCTAGGTTTATTAGGGATATTGGCCAATAGATTTATTTATTTGTTGTGTCCTTATCAGGTTTTGGAATCGGGGTGATGCTGGTCTCATAGAAAGATGTTGGAAGTATTCCCTCCTCTTCATGTCTTTTGAATAGTTTTCAAAGGATTTGTATTAGTTTTTCTTTAATGTTTGGTAGAACTCATCAGTGAGGCCATTGGGTCTTCGGCTTTTCTTTTCTGGAAGACTTTTTATTACTAATTCAATCTCATTACTTGTTATTGGTCTGTTCAAATTTTCTATTTCTTCATGATTCAATTTTCGTTAAGTTTTATGTGCCCAGGAATTTATCCATTTCTTCTAAGTTTTCATATTTGTTGGCATAGAGTTCTCTATATCTCTCTCAAAACTTAAGAAGTTTCTGCTATTATTTTGTGAAGCTTTCTGTGCCCTTCTCCATCTCTTCTCCCTCTCAAGTTTCTATAGTGTGAAAATGTGTTCACTTAATGGTGTCTCATAGGTCTTGTAGGCTTTCTTCACTCTTCAAGCAAAGAGCTGTCTTCAGTTCAGAAATTCTTTATTCTGCTTGGTGTAGTCTGCTGTTGGAACTTTCCATTATATTTTTTATTTCATTCATTAAAGTCTTCAGCTCCAAGAGTTTTTTTTTAATGATATCTCTGTTGAATTCTTTATTCATATCATGATTTGCTTTTCTGATTTTATTGAATTGCCTATCTATATTATCTTGAATCTCATTGATTTTCCTTAAGATCATATTTTTAAATTTTTTATGCAATTAGTAAATTGCCATTTCTTTAAGGTCAGTTATGGGAGAGTTATTGTGTTTTTTTGGTGGTATCATGTTTTCTTGCTTTTTCATATTTCTTGTGTCCCTGCACTGATGTCTGGGCATCTGATAGAATGGATGCCTCTTCCAGTTGTATAGAGTTGTTATCATAGGAAAAGATTTTTGCCTGCAGATGTGTCCTAAGGTGTCGGTTGTGGAGGATGCATTGGCTGTGGTTCCAGGTGGATGCAGTAGTGTAGTCACCATGCAGTTTTTTCAGCTGTAGTCAATGTTAGCAATTTCTATGGATGCCTCAGTGGCATCCTAGCCTGGAGGAGTTTGTATGGCAGCTCTGTCAAATCATATGCATGGCTTTTCTGCTTGTGGCAAGGGTGCCAGTTTGTTTCATGCGCCACGGGTGCACAAGGCCTACTCCAATAGGATTAGACACAGTCTGTCCTCTGGGGGCAGGAGTGCCAGGCTGTTACACACACCGCAAGTGCATAGGGACTGCTCCTTCAGGGTAAGGTGTGGCCTTCCTGCTGGGTAGGATCATCTGTTCCTTGGGCGTCAGGACACCACATGGGCTCAGGCACCAAGGTTATGGCTGTTTCACTGGGCCTATGCTCTGAGTAATTGAGGTTGAGGTGCTGTGCCACAGGGATGGGGAAGATGGAGTGCATCGTAGGCAGCTTATTCCTGGTGGATAGGAAACAGTAGCTGCTCAACTGGTGAGTGGTGTGCTACTGTTTACAAGCACAGTGTACTTGCAGCAGAGCCTCAGGATGGGGAGAAACAAACAGTGGTTACTGGCCCTCCAGAGCACAGTGTACTATAGTAGTGGCACCGGTCTCAAGATAGTGCTGTACATCAGCAGCTTAGATCACAGAGGAGAAGGAGGCACAATGTGGGCTCATTCTTTGGAGTAATACAGCCATGTGAATGCCAGGCAGCTCCCTAGAATGGGTTCATGACTTGTGAAAACTGCAGAATTCTCAAGCAGCAAAGACTGTAGGTGTTTGCATCTTTAATGGAGATTGCTGGGAGTTCTCCTGCTCACGTTTTCTCCGTAGGGAGACTGCCTCCTGGTTTCATACCGACCTTGACTGGGAAGACGAAGTGGCAAAGGCAGAATGTTTCATTCTCTTTTTTATGCAGCCATCCCAAGTCTCCATGCTCCACTGGGTCTCTGCCCCTCCCTTATTGTACTCCTTCGGAACACTTTAGTGTTCTCCTTTGGATACTCTAGTCAAAATGTAGTTGTTTATTCATCATTTTGGTTCCTTTTTTTTTGTAGGGAAATGAATGTTAGGCACCTCTAGTCAGACATCTTGCTGAAGTCACTTGTTTTACTTTTTTTGTTGTTGTTTTTAACAGGCAATTACCTTGCTTGCACTCAAACTTCAACATATGTCACCTGCACAGTGTGCAGCAACCAATGTCCTTCCTCAACACTGCTGCTTCAACCTGGTCTTCTGGAGGTTGCTCCTGCATCTGTGTAATTTAGCAGTCAGTGAAAGATGTTGGCAGCTCAAATTCATATTATAGAGCTAACTCTCTTTGTGATTTCCTTGATCCTAAGGTTTCCCCTATATTCCCATTTGCTTTTCCAGCTCTTACCTTTGTCCTCTGAGAGCCTGAGGAATTTGAGCTGCATATGAGTTGGGAACCCTGGCAGTGTAAGTTGCAGCAAACTCACCTATCTCAGTTCTAGAACATTTCTGTCTTACAAGGGAAAACCCTTCTCATTTCTTTCTGTTTTTACCCTGGGCTCCCTGGCATTTCCCACATTCATGCACAGTTAGTGGTCAGTCAGGGAACAGGACACAGTTCATATTCAGATTTTGGATCTCTGCTCTTCTTGTGGTTCTCTTGCTCCCAAAATTTTCCTCTTAAATTCTCAGCTGTTCTGCAATACTAGACTTTGATCTCACCATCTCAAGCCAGAATGGCTCTAGTTTTCCATAACTAGAGTTGGGTATGGGCTATATATTAGTTTGCTAAGGCTGCCATGACAAAGACTGGGTGGCTTAAACAACAGAAATTAATTATTCTCACAGTTCTAGAAGCTGAGAGTCCAAGATCAAGATATTGACAGGTTTGGTTTATCTCTTTGGCCTACAGATGGCCACCCTCTCACTGTGTCCTCACATGGCCTTTTCTCTGTGTGGGCTATACCTGGCATCACTTCCTCCTTTTTTTTTTTTTTTTTTTAAGATGATGTCTCACTCTGTCATCCAGGCTGGAGTGCAGTGGTGCGATCTCAGCTCACCACAACCTCTGCCTCCCAGGTTCATGTGATTCTCCTGCCTCAGCCTCCCAAGTAGCTGGGACTACAGGTGCATGCCACCACACCCGGCTAATTTTTTGTATTTTTAGTGGAGACAGGGTTTCGCCCTGTTAGCCAGGTGGTCTCGATCTCCTTACCTCATGATCCACCTGCCTCGGCCTCCCAAAGTGCTGGGATTACAGGCATGAGCCACCACGCCCGGCTCACTTCCTCTTCTTATAAGGACACCGGTCATGTTGAATTAGAGTTTGCCCATATGACCTCAGTTGACCTTAATTACCTTTTTAATGCTCTGTATCCAAATATAGTCATATTTTCAGGTACTAGGGGTTAAGACTTCAACATATGAATTTTGAGGAAACAGAATTCAGTCCATATCACGGGTTTAGGAATACACACAGGCAAGGAAGCCTCATACTCCATCTTAACCAATGCTGTACTAATGTTCTGTTTCTCTCTGCCTTTGGTCATTCCTAGTATCTTCAGATCATTGCTTTAAATAATTTTATACAGTTTTATAATTATTATTTGTGGGAAAATCACTCAATTTTATCATGCTGCTATTATTGGAATACTCACCCTTGATACGAGCATTTTTTTTTTGGCTGGGTAATACATAATACCCTAGTGCTTTTCATATTAACAAAGAGTAGCACAAGAGCTCCTTTTAGAAGGTTTTACTAACCTTCAGGCCAAGTAAGTTATCTCTCCTTTGAGCTTCCTAGGTACCCTGTGCATAATTTCTTCAAAGCCCATATTCTGTATTCATGTCTGTGTCCCAGGATGAGCACAGAGCCTTGCATATTATAATCATTGAATAAATATTTATGGAAGGAAGGAGAAAAGAAGGAAGGAAGAAAGAAGGATTAGAGGGAAAACAGTAAGGAGATAGATTATGTCCACTTTGATGTGGACATGGTAGGAACTGTAGGAAAGAAAGACGGGCAATAAAACAAGGAGGAGGTGGGGGCTGCCTAAGAGATCACAGTTCTTATTGTAACTTGCTTTCTATTCATCCTGCCCTCCCTTTCATACCCTAGATTTGAGAACAGGAGTCTAAGATGTTCAGGAATTGTAAGCAAGGGACTTCAGATGCAAAACCTATGTGTTCAGCACAGGACTTGTTACTTGAAGCAAATCCTTTGTGATAAATAACATGAATGGGACCTGACTAGTTTTATGGGAATTAGGCAGAATTTAAGTTTTAAATAAATTACTATAAGCTTGTTTGTGTTCAACTAGTTATTAAATAGAAAGGAAAACAAAAAACCTGAATATGTGTTTAGCCCCTACCATGTACCTGGCTCTGTCCCTGACACTGTGCACATTTTGTTTTTGTCTGTTTTGGGGGTTTTGTTTTCTGAGACAGAATCTCACTCTGTTACCCAGGATGGAGTGCAGTGGTGTGATCTCAGCTCACTGCAACCTCCGCCTCCCAGGTTCAAGTGATTCTCGTGCCTCAGCCTTCCAAGTAGCTGGGATTACAGGTGTGTGTGACCACGCCCGGCTAATTTTTGTATTTTTAGTAGAGACGCGGTTTCACCATGTTGGCCAGGCTGGTCTCGAACTCCTGGCCTCAAGTGATCCGCCTGCCTCAGCCTCCCAAAGTGCTGGAATTACAGGCGTGAGCCACTGTGCCAGGCCAACATTTTGTTTTTATTATGTCATTTAATGTTCATAAAAACCTAACAAGAAGGGTATTTTTAAAATCAGTTGTCTACCATTAACTTCTAGTATTGTATTTTCTTAACAAGCATACAAAACATCAAACTTCTCTTTAGACAAAGTGCAGTTCTTTGACATCCTTTACACAAAACAGTCTGAGCCTGTGGCATGTTAATGCAGTCGAGAGGCAAAGCATACTGACTTTTACAAATTCTGCCTTCCATAAAAAGCCTCAAGGAGGGTATTTTGTCTGCATTTTTAAAATAAACAGTTCAGAGAAGTTAAATAGTCAAACAGGTCAAGGTCACACAATTCAGTGGTTGAGGACTGGGTGCAAAGGCAATATATCTAACTATAAATATCCATTTCTTTTTTTTTTTAGAAATGATGCAGTTTGGATTTAAATTAAATGGCTAAAACTGAAAGAGCCGGCTGGGTGTGGTGGCTCACACCTGTAATCCCAGCACTTTAAGAGGCCAAGGCAGGAGGAGCGCTTGAGCCCAGAAGTTTGAGACCAGGCTGTGCAACATAGCAAGACCCCCGTCTCTACAAAAAATTAAAAAATTTAGCCAGGTGTGGTGGTGCATGCCTGTAGCCCCAGCTACTCAGGAGGCCTGGTGGGAGGATCCTTTGATCCTGGGGGTTTGAAGCTGCCTTGAGCCTTGATCACGCCACGGCACTCCAGCCTGGGCGACAGAGCATGGCCTGTCTCAAAACACAAACACAAACAAAAAACTAAAAGAGCAGTGAACTCAAAGGATTTCCTGCCATGCCAGGTGGGTGGAGCTTCTATGTGGGAATAAAAGATGGAACCTATTTAAAGGACTTTTTTTTTGTTTGAGATGGCGTCTCACTCTGTCGCCCATGCTGGAGTGGAATGGCGTGATCTCAGCTCACTGCAACCTCTGCCTCCCAGGTTCAAGCGATTCTTGTGTCTCAGCCTCCCAAGTAGCTGGGACCACAGGCGTATGCCACCATGCCCTGCTAATTTTTGTATTTTTAGTAGAGACAGGGTTTCTCCATGCTGGCCAGGCTAATCTCGAACTCCTGAACTCAGGTGATCCGCCCTCCTCTGCCTGCCAAAGTACTGGGATTACAGGCATAAGCCACCTTGCCTGGCCTCAAAGGACTTTTAATTGAGGATCCCAGTAATGATGATCCCCATAAGGCTGAGGCTTCAAGCTTAATGATCTATAAGTGAGGCTTTCTGGGATGCATTTAGTGTGTTTCCCCAAGCGTGTGTGTGTTCCTACTTCTCATTATATACAGGTATGCTATCACCTCCCCCATACATGTATACATACCTCTTAAACTTAGATGTTCCCCAATTTTTCCTATGGAGCTTGCTAAAAATGCAGTGTCATCCATAGAAATTCATATTTCATTGATCTGGGCTGGGACATTTGTAACAAGCACCCTAGACCATCCTAGCATACTGAATCCATAGTCCATCCTGTTTGTGAGACTATGGCAGCCCTTGTGGTCTAAGCAGCAAAATCTTTGCTTAGCCTTTTTTGTTGTTGTTGTTTGTTTGTTTTTGTTTTTGTTTGAGATGGAGTGTCGCTCTGTCACCGAGGCTAGAGTGCAATGGCGCGATCTCGGCTCACTGCAGCCTCCGCCTCCTGGGTTCAAGCGAATCCCCTACCTCAGCCTCCTGAGTAACTGGGATTACAGGCGCGCGCCACCGTGCCCAGCTAATTTTTGTATTTTTAGTAGAGACGGGGTTTCACCATGTTGGTCAGGCTGGTCTCAAACTCCTGACCTTGTGATCCACCTGCCTCAGCCTCCCAAAGTGCTGGGATTACAGGCGTGAGCCACCGTGCCCGGCCTTGTTTTTTTTTGAGATGGAGTCTCGCTCTGTTGCCCAGGCTGGAGTGCAGTGGCCAATTCAACCTCTGCCTCCTGGGTTCAGGCAATTCTTGTGCCTCAGCCTCCCAAGTAGCTGGGACTACACCACGCCCGGCTAATTTTTTTTTTTTTGTATTTTTAGTAGAGATGGGGTTTCACCATGTTGGTCAGGCTGGTCTCAAACTCCTGACCTCAAATGATTCACCACCCACCTCGGTCTCCCAAAGTGCTGGGATTACAGGCATGAGCCAGCTTGGCCTTTTTAAATATTAAGTGCATGTACTTGAAAGTAGGTACACATGAAGATAAAAGAATAGGCTCCAGGAAAATTTAAGTCAAGTCTTCATAATCTATAAAATTGCCTATTTAATAAATATATGTTGTAAACATTTTTAATGTTCTGTAATTACTGTTATTAATGTCATGTTACCTCTTTGATCTAGGTACTTTGGTCATAAAGCTGAAGTATATAAAAACAATCTATATTTAGTACAGACCAAAATTCATGTCCTTTGCTTTTAAAAGGTAGAACCAAGAAAAAAAAAGCAATAGCAGAATACGGGCACGTATTCTAAAGAATTATAAATGGATTTTGCAGCACTTAATTTCTGTTTTTTTTTTAAGTACCTTTCTTTGATTCTTTGTCTCCTCATTGGTACCATCCCAGAACACTGATGTCTTCTGCCAGATCAGACCTGTCTTGATCATCTTCCCCACCTAAATCAGGATGTGTCCTCCCTTCTACCTTTCCAGAAATCCCACCTTAGTTTTCATACTTTTCTTGATTAACTGGTCATAAGATGATTTCCCTCAACTCCACCCTGTCTCAACATGCAACTCCCCATGAGTCAATCTTCATAATTGTTTCTAATGTGTTTGTTCCATGGTGTGTGTTGAGTAACTGTTGTTGCCATTTGCATGACTACATAGTGGTTACTGTTTATTTCTGCAGTTTGGTGTTTTTTTTAAGTCTTGAAATAGGATTTATTAACCGGAAGTGTTTCTTTTTATTTCTTAATTAAATTCAGTGAGAAGCTTATCATGAAATGTTATTCTTAGGCTGGCATTCATAAAACACTGGAGTGTTTCATTTTCTCCTGATCTCAATCTGCCTTCCAAAGCTGCTAATGACAGATGAGAGCAAGATTATAATTTTAGTTAGGGTGTGGTGGCTCATACCTGTAATCCCAGCACTTTGGGAGGCCAAGGCTGGAGGATCCCTTGAACTCTAAAGCTCGACACCAGCCTGGGCAACACAGGGAGACCCTGTCTCAAAAAAAAAAAAAATTTAAAAAGATTATAATTGTATGTAGTCAAAGAAATGTGTTTCTTTTCAAAGGCAATGTGTCAGAACTTTGTCCCATCTCTGGGCCTTTTCTTTATTATCTTAAACTCTAAACTATAGAATTAGCCTCCTCAACTATAGTTTTTGCAGGCCAGTTCACTCTCCTTGCTCTAGAACTCTGGATAGCCTATATATTTCCATCATCCTGTCTCTTTCATAAAGAATCTTGCCTTTAAATGAAAGACTACTCCTTAAACATTAGTACTTGTAATATTCAATCACCTACACATATTAAAGAACGCCTGCCCTCTTGTGTCCAGGGAGACTGCTACAGCAAGTATTGAATTAGCAAACTTGTCATTCCGGAAATACAGCATTCTACCCTACAGGGATTATCTACCAGGGAGCTTTCTCAAGGCTGCCAAGTATGGTTGTACAGTTTGAAAAATGATCCCAGCCCAAGACACGAATGCAATCCATTTTACACTCTGTCAAGCCATATATCCTTGCCCAGGTCATGTCTTTCTAGAGAGGTGACCCATTAAAATTTCATTCAAGAGTACTGTTAAACCTTGTACCACTTGGAATGTGCAACTTTCTCTAATTTACACAAAGCTCTCTATAGCTTAATGGCAGCCGTGTAGAGGCTCATTAAGAGTTAGTTGGGGCCGGGCACGGTGGCTCACGCCTGTAATCCCAGCACTTTGGGAGGCCGAGGCGGGCAGATCATGAGGTCAGGAGATCGAGACCATCCTGGCTAACATGGCGAAACCCCGTCTCTACTAAAAATGCAAAAAATTAGCAGGGCGTGGTGGCGGGCGCCTGTAGTCCCAGCTACTTGGGAGGCTGAGGCAGGAGAATGGCGTGAACCCAGGAGGTGGAATTTGCAGTGTGCCAAGATCACGCCACTGCACTCCAGCCTGGGCGACAGAGCGAGACTCCGTCTCAAAAAAAAAAAAAAAAACTAAGAGTTAGTTGGACAGTCCTCTCATCGTGTAACTTTCCTACTCAAGAAATTTCAAGAAATTAAAATCAGATTGTTAGAGCTGAATAGCTGAATGACATTAGTCCCAGGTTATCAGAAGAAGGAAATAAGGAAGAGAGAGGCAAAATAAGAACTGTCAAATTCATTAGAGGCAAGCAGGAAACTAAAATGCAGGTCTTCTGACTCCCAGTCCATGCTCTTACCTCCGGTTTCAGGTGACCCGTTTCTTTGACCCCACCTTACTTATTCCATACTAGGCTAGAATAGATGTGTAATAGCATGCATAGGGCTGGTGGGGTGATTTGAGGCAGTATGTGGACAAACATTTTTTGCACATTAGTAGAAATGTATTTGTTTTAATGTATTTCTTTGGGAAAAAACAAAAACATTAAGTCCATAGTTTCTGAGACATTATGATATATGACAAGGGTAAGTTAAGTTTGAAAAGTGAGTTAATTTGAAGAAAGATATTAAGTAGTGCATATGTTAATAGCTTGATTTAGCCATTGACAATGTATACATATATCAGAATATCATTTTGTATGCCAAAATATATACAATGTTTCCTTGTCAGATATCAAAATATCCTTTCTTTTGTATAACATAAATATATATAATTTTTACTTGTCAGTTAAAAAATAACAAAAATATTAACTAAATGATAGTTCAGATAGTACTCAGATATGGCAAAAATGATAAAAGTGGTAAAAAATCATGGTAGAAATTTGAGACCATCTCAGTCCATTCTGACTACTATGACAAAACACCTCAGACTAGGTAATTTATAAGCTATAGAAATGTTATTGCTCACAGTTCTGGAGGCTGGGAAGCCCAAGATGAAGGGACTGGAAGACTCAGTGTCTAATGAGGGTCTGTTTCTCGTAGACAGTGCCTTCTCTCTGTGACCTCACATAGTGGAAGGGGCTAGCTAGCTCCCTCGGGACTGTTTTGTAAGGGCCTTAAAACCCTTCAGCAGGATGCACCGAAGGAACTTACCACTCTGGCCCCTTCTAACCCTACCACTGAGGTCCTTTTCTGTTTAACACTGACAGTTGTTCCATTACTGTTACTGATGACAGTATATCCTCTCTTTTTATTACAGCTGTGCCTGATATTCTATCCTTTCCATACTCATCCCAGTATAAACCACAAAATAGGTCTTCAGAAAAGACTGTGGCTTCACTGATTTTCCTGTGTTGCCTCCAACATTTATAAAAAAGCATTGACCAAGAGTGTCAATGCCCTAGTTTCAAAACCATCTTTACTTTTCTAAATGTAGATGTTTTTCCATTTATAAAAATTATGTAGACTTAGCCGGGTGTGGTGGCCCACACCTGTAATCCCAGCACTTTAGAGGCTAAGGTGGGTGAATCACTTGAGGTCAGGAGTTTGAGACCAGCCTGGCCAACACGGTGAAACCCGGTCTCTACTAAAAATACAAAAATTAGCCAGGTGTGGTGGTGCACACCTGTAACCCCAGCTACTCAGGAGGCTGAGGCACAAGAATTGCTTGAACCCAGGAGGCAAGGTTGCAGTGAGCTGAGATCATGCCACCACACTGCAGCCTGGGTGACAGAGTCAGACTGTGTGTCAAAAAAAAAAAAAAAGTAGACTTATACAAAATTTGAAAAATACAGGAAAGTAGAAAAGAAGAAAAAAAGGCATTTATATTCTTACTAATGAACCCTGCTAATCCCCTCCCTAATTAAAAATTCTCCTGCAAAATCCTAGCAAGTCGGGATCTACATCTGTTTATCATTCTGGAAGCTTGCAATGTTCTGGATTTAACATATTTTTGTTATTTCAAATCACAAAATAAATTTTCAATGGAGAATCCAGGGGTGGAGTTCTTTTGGCACCTCTATAAGGGGCAGTTGGGTGACTACCACAGAGGTGAGCCAAAGCTGGGGGAGGCTACTGCAGATCAAGGATAGTAATAACTGATACACTTTGCAAAATGCATTGTGTATGTAAAGCTCTTTGTCAATAATGATGGTTCACTGTTCCATGTATACATATGCTGATGTGTATATTTGTCTTTCCTGTAGGGTTTTTGGAGTCTCTGGATGATTTTTACATTCTTAGCAGTGGATTGATATTGCTGCAGACCACAAACAGTGTGTTTAATAAAACCCTGCTAAAGCAGGTAATACCCGAGACTCTCCTGTCCTGGCAAAGAGTCCGTGTGGCCAATATGATGGCAGATAGTGGCAAGAGGTGGGCAGACATCTTTTCAAAATACAACTCTGGTAAGTGACCCTGCAGAATAACTGTTAGGCACAGACATATATTTTGATTTAGGCTTGTTAACCAGTAAAGTCATACCCATGCCCCGTCTTCATGTTTCCTGATATTTCAGGCACCTATAACAATCAATACATGGTTCTGGACCTGAAGAAAGTAAAGCTGAACCACAGTCTTGACAAAGGCACTCTGTACATTGTGGAGCAAATTCCTACATATGTAGAATATTCTGAACAAACTGATGTTCTACGGAAAGGTACTTTCTTCATGTCGTAAGTCTTAAAACCTGATGAGTATGTGTGTGTTCATATATGGTAGGGGAATGCACATTGTGTGAATGTGTGGTGGGGGAGGGTATGGTGGGGAAGACAGGATGGGGATGCTATATTACACCAGAATGACCAGGTTTAGCACAACATGTAAACCTACATCTCAAACTCTTATAGGACAATGTGCAGATTGGGACGCAAATCAGGCATTCATGACTCTATGATTTCTCATAGTTCTAATGTTACCTTTTCTCCTGTGTTCCTGGTTAAAGCTTTAAGTTCAATTCAGCAAATATTTTTGGAGTGCCACTGTGGCCCAGGGACTAGAAAAGCAAGGATACAGAATCCCTGACCTGGAAGGACTCAGGAGTCTAGTAGGGAAGCAAAGCACTCAAAGCAGCTGCAGGAACTCAGGATGGGAAGAGCTGTCATCAGGTCTCATGTCCCTAGGCCAGTGGTGAACCTAAACAGAACGTGGCTGTTAGTGGGTGGAGTCAGAGAAGGCACTTCTGGTGGGCAAGAAGGAGTCCAGACATTTGAAGCCAGGAGGCTCACTGCCTTGATTCAAATCTCAGTTCCTTAAAATCTCAGGCAAATTAGTGAATCTCTCCAAGCCTCATTTTCCTCATCTATAAAACTGAATCGTGATATAGGTCCACAACCACGTATTTGTAATTTTAAAATTCCAAAATTGTAAAACCACAAATTATTATTTTGTTTCTCTTGTTTTGCTTTGATTTGGTAGCCTAGCTCACTTGGTAGCAAGAAAATGACCTGATCTGAACTCACTTGGCAGCAAAAACTACCAGAAAGAAACTTTTAGTGGTTTTTAATTTTAATTTTTATTTTTCTTCAGATGGAGTGTCGCTCTGTCACCCAGGCTGGAGTACGGTGGTGCGATCTCGGCTCCCTGCAACCTCTGCCTTTCGGGTTCAAGCGATTCTCCTGTCTCAGCCTCCTGAGTAGCTGGGACTACAGGCACGTGCCACCACACCTGGCTAATTTTTTGTGTGTTTTTAGTAGAGACGGGGTTTCACCAGTTGGCCAGGTTGAACTCCTGACCTCAGGTGATCTGTCTGCGTCGGCCTTCCAAATTGTGGTGCCCAGCCTGTTTTTTTAAATTGTCTTTATTTCCTCTTAGAGACACCATGTATACATTAGGCTACAGAAATATCAACATCTTTGATTATGAGGTGTTTCCCAAAGAGACTGTAATGTCATATAATCCATGCACTCCATGGTTGTTCTAAAGTCTGAAAAACCCTAAATTCTGAGACTCATCTGGCTCCCAAGAATTTCTGGATGTGGGAGTGTGGAACTCTACAATTTCACAGGATGGTCATGAAAATTAATTAAGATAAATAGATAGATTTATTGAGAGAAAATGTTAGCTTTAAAAATCCTACTGGACAGTTCAGACTTTATGTTTTAGAAATTGGGAGTTCCTGACAAGGGAGAATAGACTGGGTGGGAAGAAAAGAGACTAGTTAGGAGACTATTGCAATAGATCAACTGGCAGATGAATAGGGACAGAACGGAGATAAAGTGTGGACCCTAGGGATCAGGACCTGGTCCTCAGTTTTCCAGGTCCCCAAATTGACTTTGTAATGATGCCTAGAGTGAGCCTTGTCAGTGGAGAATGGGTCACACCAACTAAATGCACTAAGACTTATGCATAAAACAAAAGGTGGGAGTTTCATTGCCAAGCAGTTCATATGCTACCAAGCAGTGGACCTACCTTCTTCTTTGCTTGTTAGGAAAATCCATCCAAGAAGTCAAATCATTAGGTGGTTACTGTTTAGCATAGAGCAATTCAAAACAGAGAACCCAGCTCCTAAGAGCCTGAAAATAATAGCATGCCTCAAGAGAGAGAGATGCTTGCTAAAGTAGTCTTTTCTTCTTTGGACAGTTGCTGATAACAGAATGGTAGACTTGGTTCTCTGCAGTCCCATTCCTAGACCCCTTGAAACTCCCTAAGACTAAAAAGAGTTGATGATGATCTGTCTGTATTTTTTTTTCTTTGCCAGAGGAGAGAAGAACAGAGAGTTAAATTCAGAGTACCTACTGCATTCTAGACACTCTTCTGGGCCTTTTACTTATGTTCTCTTGTTTGATGTTTGTAACATACTACCCCATAAGTGTTATTGTTGCCATTTTACTGTGAGTAAAGAAAAGCTCAGAAAGAAACATGTTTTGCCCAAACAAATACATGATATCATATAGCCATTAAAAAGGCGGGGGCGTCGGGGTCGGGGGTGGGCACATCTCCTAACGTATTTAAGCAACTGTGGTATGGTGATAGAAGCCCTGGATGTTTTAGTTAGAAGGCCTGTATTCTGTCAAGTTTTGTGAGCCAAGGAAGACAATTGACCTCTCTGAAACTCTGTTTCTTCTGTTTAAAAAAGGGATGGTAATACTTATACATCATCAGGTTTTTGTGAGATTAAACAAGCTGCTCTATTTTCTTTATTTATTTTGAGACAGGGTCTCGCTTTGTCACCCAGGCTAGATTGCAGCTGCGTGATCTCGGCTCACTACAACCTTTGCCTCTCGGGTTCAAGCGGTTCTCGGGCCTCAGCCTCCCGAGTAGCTGGGACCACAGGTGTGCACCCCAATGCCTGGCTATTTTTTTATATTTTTAGTGGAGGCAGGGTCTTGCCATATTGCCCAGCCTGGTCTTGAACTTCAGAGCTCAAGCAATCCACCTGCCTCAGCCTCCCAAAGTGCTGGGATTACAGGCACAAGCCACTGCACCAGGCCAAGTTGCTCTGTTTTAAATCACGAAGCTTCATGAAATGTGAAGTATAAAGTAGACATTTTCGTTATTCATTTGAGCTGTTTTCACAAAGAGAAATATAATAATCTAATGTTTACCAAGTATTAGATACTATTGTAAGCACTCCATCTGAATGCATTTCATGCTCATGCTTATGAAGATGCTTAATGCTGAATAGTTAATGAAGATGAAGAAACTGAGGCACAAAGGGGATAAGCAATTTGTTCAAGGTCACATACCTAATAATGGCAGAACCAGGCTTCAAATCCAGGCAATCTAATTCCTGAGCCTATATAACCTAGATATGTTTTAGCAACAAATCTGTTTTTCTTCTTTAATTTCAATGTCATCCATATCTCAGTTCTTCTGATGCTGGCTCTGTCTCAGAATTAGCAAGGCTGAATGTCTTATCATTTTCTTTTTGTCTCAGTAACCTCACCCCTAAAGAGGAGGTCCTGTACAACAATACAAAGGAGAAAGGCAGAAAAGGGCCAGGAGAGAATGTGGAGGTGGGAGAGAACCCTGCATGGTGGAGACATTCCTTGACTGTTCTGTAGGCAGTAACCCAGGCCAGTGTCATCCAGGATGTTTCTGAAATTCTGCTTTTACAAGAGAGAGCTGTGTCACATATTTGGTGCTCAGTGACTAGTAGGCTATGTGGCCTTCACACACTATGAAGCTTTGAATGAAGCTGAGCCTTTATAAATGTTTAGAGTCAAAGGAATTAAAAGCCTAATGTAACCTAAAAGATCATCCCCAATCCCCTTACATTATGGACTTCTCCTCTCCCTCCCCATTGACGTCTTTCAAAAAAAAAGAAACAGAAACAAAACAAATGAAGTTGCCTGCCTAAGACCTGATTCTTAAGCCCTGAGCCTAGAATTCAGGCTTTCTATTCCCAGTGCTATGTTCTTCCACTACTTCATGATTACCATTTGACATCTTCCTTTATAGGGCCACACTGTGAACAACCATTTCTTGGCATTTCAGTAACTAAATCCACTTAGATGAGCTCCCCAGACCACCTTGCATTATACTTTATTTTGCTCTATAGAGAATATGGTTGTTTTTTGGCTTAGAGATTAAGAATTTTGGGTGAAAACCAGAGAATTCTGATGCTCTTCTTCCCCTAATGAAATAACCTAGAGCTGTGCTGATTTAGGAAATTTAAAAGGCTGTTTGGCTGCCAGGGTTCACATGCAAAGCTTTATTTTCTGTACATTATTTTGTAATTAAATGCCTGTGCCCATTTTCAAAATAAATGAACATGGATAACATTTCTTTTGCTCTCTCTCCTTTTCTGTCTCCTTCCCTGTCAATCCCTCCCTTACTTCCCTTCCATTCCAAATCAGGATATTGGCCCTCCTACAATGTTCCTTTCCATGAAAAAATCTACAACTGGAGTGGCTATCCACTGTTAGTTCAGAAGCTGGGCTTGGACTACTCTTATGATTTAGCTCCACGAGCCAAAATTTTCCGGCGTGACCAAGGGAAAGTGACTGATACGGCATCCATGAAATATATCATGCGATACAACAGTACGTAGCATATTTCTCAAGAATCATTCTTCAAAACTCCTTTTCTTCCCTATGGATACAGAATCCATGTAAGTTTATCATCTCTGTACTAGAAGGAATTATAAGAAGTTATTTAAGTATTTAACTAATATTGTACATTTTATACTCAATAAATAGAGCTTTGGCCTCCTTTATAAAATGAAAGAGAAGAGTCTATACATTTTTTAATTGAAAAAAAAAAAATCATCTGTAAAACACAGAAGAAATAACTCATAGAGGGTCCTTTAAAATTTTTCTCCAAACACAAGTTTCCTTCCAAGGATAACAGCAGCTAATAAAACAAAACATTGTTCATAAATACCTCATTTTTTTTGTATGAACAGCATCAAAGTCAAATTTGTATTTATTTTGTTGGAAACAGCTGATGGACGTTTATCTGGTTCTCTTTCCCATCCATTTTTCACTGTGTAAGGTTCTTGAGGGCAGGCTGGGCCTGGGGCCAAGGACTTACTCCTTCCTCACAAGCCAAGGGAGATGTCTCTATCTGGAAGCAGACTGGGCTGAGGAGGCCTGTGGGAGTACACTCTCTGATTATCTAGGCTTTAACAGGCCTCAAAACCTTACTGTGGAGAAGTGTGTCTCCAAATAGCCAATAATCACTCTCTTCCCCATTTCTGTTTCCTAGATTATAAGAAGGATCCTTACAGTAGAGGTGACCCCTGTAATACCATCTGCTGCCGTGAGGACCTGAACTCACCTAACCCAAGTCCTGGAGGTTGTTATGACACAAAGGTAACATGCTATTGGCTTTTGAATTTAATTCCCACCAGCACACAGGCCTCTCCAAAGGCAAAGTTGCACAGGTTTTTATGGCAGGAAGCGATGTCGCTAACCATAAACTCAACCCAGGAATCAGCTTTTTCAGAGATTCTGGTGGTAGGTCCTATTATCTAACTTCAAGTCCCTGCTCTGCCATTTAGTAGTAAATCACATAATTCCGTCATGTTTCTGTTTCCTCATCTGTAAAATGGATATAACAGTACTTACCTCATATGTTGTTCTGAAGAATAAGGCTTTAATCTCTGTAAAATGTTTACAACAGCACTTAGTGAGTTATTTGTAAATGTATACAACCATAATGATGTTATTGTTGTCTTATGTTTTACCAGACTGGCCCAAAGTCCAAAGAACATATTATTCAAGCAGTGCGATTCCATGTTAAACATGAGTCAAATTTAGCTGAAGGAGCAAGTTTGGACAAGATGCCTAAAGCACAGCAGTTTTTCACAATGTTAGAATTGATAAGTGCTGTAATGTATCTGAAAATATAAGTAATAAGTAGGTTTGCAGTGGTGTGCTAAAGCCAGCTTATAGACATGCAGGAACCAATTGTTAGTTGACGTGTTGATGGCTTCAAACCAGTCAGTGAAAGTATTTACATTATGGAAATCAGGAACTTTTTTCCTCACAAAGAAAGATTGTTGTTAAAAATTTACCTGCTCACCACTGGATTTGGGACGTCTGAGGGTATGAGGCATTTGGTTGGTGGAATCATGCTACTACATCCTTTTGCACTCTTGGCTTGGGTGTGTGTCTTTTCATTTCATCAGCTGTCCTAAATTCTGGAAGAAACCTGTCAGGGTAAAGTGTGTATTCTGTCTTTGGCTCAAAAAATTATAGGAATGCTGACCCCAGTTGCACATGATTCTCTATCAGCCTAATACCTAAACAGGAAATGCTTTAAAGTATCCTAAGTTCCAGCTCAACCTTCTTTTTAGCTATGTGATGAAGGCAAAGCTTTAGCCGTAATGACTCTCAATGTTAACATTAAAAAAAAAAAAAAAAAAGGTAGACGTAGAGAAGCTGGCACAGATGAAACCCCAATGAATGTTTTTGTATTCCTTTTTTAAAATGGCATTTGCAAACATTCAGTCAATGTGTGAAGTTTGTATCTATCACAGAATACACAAAGAAAATCACCTCTGCTGCCTTGCCTGGGAGAACTCAAGCCAAGCTTCCCTCTACCAAATCTCACTTCTGGAGACAGAGGCCTGCAATTGTTCTTATCAGAAAGTTTCTGTTGAAGGATATTCTTTAAAAATGTAATTTATCTCTTTAGAGTCATTTTGAATATGGGGAAAAGAAGAAGAGATTCTCTTTCCCCTCTAAGATTAAGACCCACTGCTAGCCAGTTGTTAGGTGTTTTTGAGAACCACGGCCCTCAATTTTTGACAGTGAGCTCTATCTACTTTCAGACTCTTGTTACCACCCTGATTAATAACAACTTTTTCTAAGAACTTCATCTATTCTAGGCATTACTTTGAGCATTGCTTGCATTAATCCTCATGCCAACTCTATGAAGTAGGGTTATCAGCCCATTTTACAAAGGAGAACACTGATTCATAGAGGGGTTAAGTGATTTTTAAATAAGCTTTGGAGCTAGAATTCTGAATATGAGTAATCTGACTTCATATCTCACTTTTGGCTACATTGTTCATTTCACACACTTCTAGTCAACTGACATTTAAGCCAAATGTATACAGAAGACTGTATCATATAAAGACAATGTGAAAAATGGCAAGAAAATTTTGTTTTAAAGAAGGCGGCCTGGCGCGGTGGCTCATGCCTGTAATCCCAGCACTTTGGGAGGCTGAGGCGGGCGGATCACCTGAGATCAGGAGTTCGAGACCAGTTTGGCCAACAAGGCAAAACCCCATCTCTACTAAAAATATAAAAATTACCTGGGTGTGGTGGCCCATCCACGTAATCCTAGCTACTTGGGAGGCTGAGGCAGGAGAATTGCTTGAACCTGGGAGGCAGAGGTTGCAATGAGCTGAGATTGTGCCACTGTACTCCAGTCTGGGCAACAAGAGCGAAACTCCGACTCAAAAAAAAAGCTAATATTGTGACTTTGGTAGTGGGAGAGTGGGGAAGGCCATGGATTTAATTTTTTGCTGAACGATGATTTTCTAAAATGTCCTCCTCCTCCCTCTTTCCAGGTGGCAGATATCTACCTAGCATCTCAGTACACATCCTATGCCATAAGTGGTCCCACAGTACAAGGTGGCCTCCCTGTTTTTCGCTGGGACCGTTTCAACAAAACTCTACATCAGGGCATGCCAGAGGTCTACAACTTTGATTTTATTACCATGAAACCAATTTTGAAACTTGATATAAAATGAAGGAGGGAGATGACGGACTAGAAGACTGTAAATAAGATACCAAAGGCACTATTTTAGCTATGTTTTTCCCATCAGAATTATGCAATAAAATATATTAATTTGTCACTTTCATTTCCCACTGACTTTGTTGTTTTTACAGTAAGCACTCACTATAAGGTAGAGCACTGTAGAAGAAATGTTACATATATATATAAATAACACTAAGCTTCGGCATACATGCTAATACACAAGAGGGTATGGAAGAAACAGCTCCTTCATTCACCAGAATTCATGTTCTCCTTTCACGCCTGCTCACACAGACCACATCTCCCAGTGTCCCTCAGATAGTTGTGCCACATGACAATTCTAGCCATTGGAACCTGAGACGAGTGCCACTTCCAGGCCTCGCCCATAAGAATCTGTACTCCTCCTATGCTCTTTCCCCTTTCCCTGGATGAATATGCCTAATGACAAAACCCTAGGGGATGCTGGAGCTTCGTTTTCAAAGGAACCTCTAGTAGTAGTTGGTGATTGTAGTTAGTGATTTTTCTGGTCATTAACAGGCATAAGTTGAGTCTTTTTGTGATGTAGGTTAGGCATACAATACAGTAAAGCTTACTGTTGCCTCCTATAAGCTAAAAGCACCTATACAATCTGGCAGCAACCCTGCATAGCAACTTTCTTTCGAAACTGGAGAGTTACATGTGATCTGAGTGCCATGGAATTGCCAAGTAGATTAAATAAGCCATACCATACAGTATGTAATGGGTGATTCTAAACAAGGTGGAAGATTCTTAAAAAAGAAAGAAAGAAAAAAAGCCACAAGGGTGAATAACCAGAATTAATCAGAGTACTCAGAATGTTAAAAACCCAGTAGTTTTATTTCAAAGTATAAATTTCAGGCTTGCTGGACAAAACCCCACTACAGGTAACACTTATACAGACACCACTCTACTATACATTTAAAAAAGAAAAACACACACACGCACGCACACACACACACAAACCTTCAAAACCCTAATAAAAATAGGGCCACTTGCTGGAGCCCAGTTTGTATTAGACATTAGGAAGGTCTTACTTACATTGTCTTATTATTTACACTTTCAATTGCAATAAAGAAAAATTAGGATGCAAGTTTCTTACAAAGGATTTTTATATTTAATTTTAAAATGGCTGATAAAATACTAAAGCCAGAATCCCCAAAAGGTGTTTGATTGCCCAGTTACCTTATTTACAAAACAAAACAAAACAAAAACAGACAAAAACAAAGACCTCAAAAAAATAATAAAGACGGCATTTAAATATGGGTACTTAGCTGACTCTACAAATAAAAAACAAAGAAAAGTTTATTTTAACATGGTAAATTATTTGAAAATGAGAAAACAAAACATGTGTTTGCATTATCCTATTCCTCCCCATTGGCTGGCTCAAGGGGATGAATGAGTTTCAGGAATTAGACAAGTCTGCCACACTAACAAACGCTTCATGAGAATTGCTGATTTTTGTGTGTCCCAAAAGTTAAAAATAATAATAATTAAAAAAATAGGGCATTTGCCCAGTAAAAATAGTAAGGAAGGTAGAATCACACATCGGTTTTAGAGTTATTTGATATTGCAAATACTGGGACTTGACTTTTCTGGAAATTAGAATAAAACAGGCCAACCACAGGTCAGTGATAAAACAACAAAATCTTAGGATGTTGAGGATACTGAATTGGCCCAAGAAATAAAGTCAAGGAGAACATTTGGAAGGAAGGTCTTTGCAGTACCTTACTGTGCTAAAATCACAGAGTAAAAAAGTGAGAGATGAGGATACCACAGGCATTACTTTGTTGACCTTGTACAGTACTGGAAAGTTCATGAAACAAGATAAATGAATACCATGCAGTATTAACCCTAACCATGTTGCATAAATGGTAATTTGGAGAATATTTAAAGCAAAAGAGCAAACAACAAAAACTAAGTTAACACTTACCCAGTGCAGTAAGGGAATTGTAAGATACAGCCTGCTTAAGGAGGTCTGCAGACAGATGCACCTAAGATTTCAGCTGTTTTAGGTCACTTTTCTCAAAATATTTATTATCTGGCAATGGGGATGGGAGTGGGGAACACCTCTCTGTGAGGCAAATGGTATCTCAACAAATACCGACTTTTCAAGGAAGAAAGCTCTCCACTTCTCTCATAAACTTATATACTACCTTAAACAGTATGCAGTATTCGGCATATTTTTTAAAAATGAGTCCAGAGAAATAGAAGGATATAGTTACCTCATAAAGTTAACTGTTAGCAACAGACGTCTTCGTATGTGATTTATAAATTTCTTGGCAAGAACAAGATTTTTAGAAGAGGCTTACTCACACTTAAGACAGAGTGAAAATTACTCTCACAGAATGCAAAGTATAGAATAATAAACATCACCATTACCTTTAAATGCCATACAAACATCCTACATTGCAGGTTGCAGTATCAGGTTTCCAGAATTTCCAATAAGGCAATACCTACACAAATATTGCCAGGCTAAAAATGTAGCAAACTTGCATTCCCAAACTGGGAGAATCTAGCTTATTTGTAATACTTTGTGAAAAGATACTATGAAACTAAAAAGGTAACCGTGGAGTGGAAACTGCTACTAGAAAGTCTGTTATCAGTAGCTACTTCTACTTAAGTCCTCCATTCTCTCCCAGAAGAAACAAACCAAACAAAAAGCATCTATCAATATTAAAACCTGCCTCAATAAAAGCCTAGTGTTCTAACTTAGCACCTCTAGTAAATCTAATATAGCTGCTGCCCCTACGTGCCATGGTAGGCTAATTTGAGGACACCATCTTATAATAAATATACTTCTCCCCTAAATAATTGCGATTTCTCCCTGTACCTTCCTTCCAACTGGAATAAAACATTTTAAGTAGTTATTTTACTTTAGTAAATATTTTTAGAATTCCTATTTGAGAATTTGTTTTCCTTTGACAGAAAACATAATATAGGCTAGGCTAATGAATTTTTTTTTTATTCTACTGGGCTTTCTTCATCTGATTATATAATGCTATGAAAGCTTTTTTTAAAAAAGATTAGTAAATATAAATAAAAATGTTCATCAAGAGAACCTTTTGTAGGTTAGGTAAGAAAATTGTTACCACGTGACCATAAAAACACCCAATAAAGAACAATTTGAACATGGGCCTTCAGTTTTGTAGACAGGAATAATCTTGAACACATATCAACATTGCAACCACTGCAGGTCAAAACATATACATGCAGATATAGACAGGTGTTCATATACATCTAGAAGATCATCAACTCCTCCTTTCTGAAATTTTCATTGCCATAACACTGGCAACTTCTTTACCATCATCATTAGTCCTAGAATGAGTAATATCTACATAATTGGTTGGCAAATTTGATTTATAGCATACTCCTTTGTGGTCTCATTTTCTGAGAGTGAAAGGTGGTTTGGAGAATTAATTTTTTGGCAATCTATAGGCTTTCTTCATCATGAATCAAATCTCACACCTCAGTATACTGACCAGTCAAAAGTCTCTAAAGAGTTTTCTTTACAACTAGAATACTTCCTATTATAAGCCATCAAAGTTGCAAACAAAACAACATTAGTAAAAGAGCTCCCTCCTGTAATTCTAGGAAAAATGAATCACTATTTTGAGAAGGTACAAATATGAATTCAAATATTGTAAAGGAAGAGGACTTCGAAGTTATTTCACAAACTCCATAAATTCCTTTCAAAATATTCTCAACCACATTCTCCTCCTAAAACTTAACTCAGCCCTCCAGTCCTAAATTATCTACACCCAAAACACCTACCTGACACCAGTACAGCTGGCCCTCATATTAAAAATCCATGACCTAAGCTGAATTTTAATAACTTTGAAGAGGAACAGAGAGATACACAGGAGGTTATATCTAATTGTTACATAAAATGACCTCAAAGGATATACTTTAAATTCTTTTTTTTTTGAGGCAGAGTTTCGCTCTTGTCTCCCAGGATGGAGTGCAATGGCGCAATCTCAGCTCACTGCAACCTCCGCCTCCCGGGTTCAAGCGATTCTCCAGCCTTGCCTCCTGAGTAGCTGGGATTACAGGCATGCACCAACATGCCCAGCTAATTCTGGGATATACTTTAAATTCTATCCAAAGCTAACAATGGGTACATCAGACTCAACTTGGCACCATCAAAACAAAGTTAAAAGGTTAAAATGGGAAGGACGATAAAGAGAATAAAGAGGAAATGAAGCTTTCCCCTTGATATTTTAGCTCATTCTATATTGTAATCTTACTATTTGCTTCCTTTGAAAGAATACTAAGGAGTTAGTGTTGGGTGATAGCTTTGGGTGATAAACTGAACTAGAATGGTTTTCATAATCTCTAACACAGTGTGCAACACGGATACTAAAATGTGTGAAAAACTGTCTTCCACAATATGGTTTTCTCTTGGTCCACTTTACACAAAGTTAAATAGTGACCAAAAATAAAAGCATCTATAGTTTTAGAAGAAAATAGCACGTCAAATTTTTGGAGTTAAATGTGATTGTCGCCACCATGCCCGGCTAAGATGAGACTATGCATGCACCTGTGTGTGTGTGTACATACACATCCATGTACATACACACACCTTGGTTTAAAAATCACTTGAGTAGGCTGGATACAGTGGCTCACAACTGTAATCGCAGCACTCTGGGAGGCCGAGGCGGGTGGATCACCTGAGGTCAGGAGTTCAAGACCAGCCTGGCCAACATGGTGAAACCCCATCTCTACTAAAAATACAAAAATTAGCCGGGCATGGTGACAGGTGCCTGTAATCCCAGCTACTCTGGGGCTGAGACAGAAGAATTGCTTGAACCCAGGAGGCAGAGGTTGCAGTGAGCCAAGATTGTGCCACCGCACTCTAGCCTGGGCAACAAGAGCAAAACTCCATCTTAAAAAAAAAAAATTACTTGAGGAGTTGTGCTATATTTGGTAGAGATGAAGGAGAAATCAAGGGTAAAAGGCTGCAAGGGAAGACTAAGCAACAACGGACATATGGCCATATTTATTTATTTATTTTTGGCCATGTTTATCTTTGTAGTTAATCTTTAAGGCACAAAATAAATGTAAAAGCCAGATTAGGAAAGGGAGGGGGCCATTGCAGATCTTTTTTCACCTAATTAACAACTCAGGAGACCAGACAAAAGAAACAACAAATAGATCCTTTCCTGTGTTCGAATTAACCTATTTTAAACTATTTAGCCATTTTGTTTTTTATTTATTTCTTTGGGTTTTGTTTTGATTCTGTTTGACCCACTTAACTAAAATGATACTATAGATCCTTCAAAAGCAGAATCATGCCAGTTACACATCTCAAATCCTTTGATCTACTTACTTCGTACTTTAAGAGGTAAATTTGAGAATGAAAATGGGAGACTCCAATGCAATAACACCTACATAAGGAAAAACACACATAAACACCCACACATATTCCCCAGCCTCAAAACTAAAGCAAGGTACACATTTACATTTCCAAACCCCAAAGCCTAAACTGTCCAGGAAAAGATTCTAGCTTTGTGGGCTGAGTTTATTTTGCTTCTGGTTATAAACAAATGTAGTGTATACACACATCTGTCCAAGAAATCTTGCACAAGGTGGATTTTACATGGGGTATCATGCACAAGATTAAAAACAAGACCAAAAGGTGGAAATTTTAAAAGAGGAAAATATAAAGGCTCCAAGGTTTAACTGCTCTGGGTAGAAGAGATCACATCTGTTGACTGAGGATCACAGAAAGGCCCAAAACGTCCATAAATATCCTTGGCTCGTACTGCAAAGTAGTATTTGCTACCAGATACAAACTGGGTGAGAGTACATGCCATGGGCAAGGGAAGTGCCTTGACTTCCCCAATCTTTTTCCATTGTGAGGGCACAGTGGCACTGGGTTCCTCATGGTAAGCATAGAGATGGTAGCTATCAACAGTGGCACAGCTTCGATCCACCTCCAGGACACTCCATGACAGTACTATGCCATTTTGACTCTGAACGCGTGCTAACTTCAAGTGTGGCTTCTGAGGCAGAGATGTGCTGGCAGCTTCTGGGGGCAGACGCTGTGGTTGTGGAGCTTCTGGTAAGGGTGCTGGGTGCACGGGGCGTGGGGGCTCCTGAAGAAACAGGTCACACTGATTAATGATGATTGCAAAAAGAACTATTTTAGAATGTTAGAATTAAAACACCTTAGAGAACATACGTAGAAGTATCATTTTATATCAAGAATTCTAGGAAATACCAAATACCATATCAAATTTGGCAAGTTCTATTTGGGGTTTTGTAATGAATCATGCTACAAACAATGATGCTGAGGTTATTCCTACTATACTTCCTAGACCTAAAATATTTTGAGTTTTTCTTAGGAAATAAAAAGCCCCTGCTGACGGAACATCATTTTGAGGAACACGGAAGTAATGATCTATTTCTAACAAAATAATTTATGATTGAATTATCTATGTTACAGATTATCATTTCAGTATGATGTAACATTTTTAAATATCATGTATGGCAACCAAGATCATATAAAATTGGAGAATACAAATATACTTTCATTTTTAAGTTATTTATAAATAAGCACATTAACACTAAATGTGTACTATATTCTTGGCCAATTTACAAGAAAAAGGTGATATTTAAACTCAACTGTGAAGGAGGATCCAGAGATGCAGAAATAATCATGTACCTTTCAGCCAAAAATAAAGCATGAGCAAAGGCATGTGGACAGTAAAGTGAGGGGACGTATGGACAAGAACAAGTATTAACTTTTTCTTGGACATAGGGTACATGAAGAAAAATCTGGAAAGGTAGGTTAAGGCCAGATGATGAAAAAACATGACTCTAACTTTAGGAAGTCCTATTGACTTTTCTAACACTGGAACATCATCATCATTATAATGATATTTCATACCAGTCAAACACTGACAAAATTGTGTCACAGGATAATGTGACATTGTTTTGGAGGCTAAATCTAAGGAGAAATCTTTGGTTATCTCTGTTACCTCTTAACTAATGAATTCCCAATATCATTGGATTCTTTAGAACAATTAATTGATGACAATGTAGCAGTTAGATGTGGCATAGTTTAGAACGAAAGAATAAAATTAACACATGGAGAAATGAAAAATGTCCTTTTTAATTTAACTATGAATTAGAAATGGTCTATATTTCACTTCATATACCCCAACTGTGGACCTGTTTTTGTACACTGTACACCACAAGCAAACTCAATGATTCTAAATGATCATCATCCCTAGGAACTATGTGTTCATAATGGTAAGATCAATTTTTAGAAATAAACTTCTGAAAAAGCAGGAAGACCTAACACTTCCCTTGGATATAACCATTTTAAAGAAAAATGCCAAATACAATAATATTTTATACCTCTACAGTTGAGAATTTTGCAAAACCAAGCATCAACACTTACAGTATGCACTTGTGGTGGTCGGTGATGCACTGTGAGCTGAGGTCCTGTTGATCCCAGGGTTAGTCCATTGTTTACAACATATGTGGTTGTTTGAGGCACTCGAACTGTAACACCTACAAACAAACAAAAAAATTACAGGATAAAATGATAATTCTATTGTAAATTTGGTGGAAAACTGATTAAATATTTGAAGGCAGTGAAGCAATGTTTTCAAGATTCGAAAGGAAAGATATTTCTAACCTAGAGGTCCTGTTCGTATTCAGCCAAGCTATCAATCAGCCTGTGGATAAAAAAACTTTCTTACATGCAAGCACTAAAAAAAAATTCTAACTACCACAAACCCTTTCTCAAATAGTCAATGGAGAATATGTGCCACCAGTACGTGAGAAAATAAAGAGAAAAACACGAGACACAAGCAACAGGAGGTCCAGCACAGGGAGAAATAAATGGATCGTTACCAGGAGAACTATGAACAAAAATCCTAGAACACTGGTTGTGTACCACATGTAAAAGGTAAATGGCCATAATGGAGCAGTGTGACTCAAAAGACAGACAAACTGGGAGTATCTTCATAAAAATCTCTGCAGTCTCATCTTTTCAACCAGGACAGAAAGCCAGAATAAGTCATCCTTGCCATGTATTAATGAGGTTCCTCTCATTTTCTCCATGCCCAGCTCCTTGGTTGAGGATACTCACTTCACCCCACAGAAAACTGCTGTGACATACACCAGGGAAACAAAAAGAGAAAATTTAGAGCCACCTACTGCCCTAACTATATTCCTGCCATTTATTCAGTACCTGGCCCATGCTGTAGTTCGGCCTGGTTCCTGGACTATAGTGAGCCAAGTTTCCCAGAACTCATTTCTAACCTTGTTGATTAATTTTCCCAGACAACGCTCTTGTAAACTTGAGAGAGTTGAAGCCAAGCTATGATCCAGGGACTCCAATCAGTTTATTTTCTAAATGATAGCATTACTGTGTTTCTTTAAATAGCTATATTTTCCCTTGCTGTCACATTTTGCAAAACTACAACATATGTGTGATGGTTAATACTGAGTGTCAACTTGATTAGATTGAAGGACACAAAGTATTAACCCTGGGTGGGCCTGTGAGGATGTTGCCAAAAGAGATTAACATTTGAGTCAGTGGACTGGGGAAGGCAGATCCACCCTTCATCTGGTGGGCACAATCTAATCAGCTGCCAGAAAATATAAAGCAGGCAGAAAAACGTGAAAAGGAGAGACAGGCTTAGCCTTAGCCTCCCAGCCTACATCTTTTTCCTGTGCTGGATGCTTCCTGCCCTGGAACATTGGCCTCCAAGTTCTTCAGTTTTGGGACTCAGACTGGCTTCCTTGCTCCTCAGCTTGCAGACAGCCTACTGTGGGATCTTTTTTTTTTTTTTTTTTTTTTTGAGACAGAGTCTGGCTCTGTTGCCCAGGCTGGAGTGCAGTGGCATGATCTCGGCTCACTGCAACCTCCGCCTCCTGGGCTCAAGAGATTCTCCTGCCTCAGCCTCCCAAGTAGGTGAGATTACAGGCTTGTGCCACCACACCCAGCCAATTTTTGTATTTTTGGTAGGGATGAGGTTTCACGATGTTGGCCAGGCTCATCTCGAACTCCTGACCTCAAGTGATCTGCCTGCCTTGGCCTCCCATACTGCTGGGATTACAGGCGTGAGCTACCATGCCCAGTCTATTGTGGGAACTTCTGATTATGTAAATTAATACTTAATAAACTCCCCTTTATATATATAAACATTCACTATATATAAAGTATTTTACATATATTTAATATTTATATATAATTAAGATATACTGTATATATATAGTAGGATATAAAGTATATATACAATTAGTTTATATGTAGTATATATTTTATGTATATACCCTATTAGTTTAATACATATATAATATATAAAATATATATATCCTATTAGTTTATATATAGTATATATTATATGAATACTATATATAGGAAACATATGTGTATATATACATATACACACACACATATATATATATATATATATATATATATATATATATATATATATATATATTCTATTAGCTCTGTCCCCCTAGAGAACCCTAATTCAGATTTTGGTACCAGGAATGGGGTCCAGAGGAACAGAATATTAAGGATGGAGTTCTTTCATTGGTTTTGGGGTTTCTGGAGTTGGCTGCTTAATGTGATTAGACCCAAAAATGTTAAAAACTCTAATTCTAATAGTATAGAGAACACTGATAGTCCCTGGTGTGAACTGTTTAGAGGGTTATGCAAAATAAATGCATTTGACACTCCTGATTCACTGCTTGTGGGAAGCAAGGAGTTTAGTGACTCTATACATAATACCTTGGACCATATGTGGAGAACCAAGGAACATAATGAAGCTGGTCAGTTGCTCCTAAGTGCAGTGGAAAAAGTGATGAAAGAAAATGATGAACTCAAGGATTCTGTCTCTCAGCCTCAGAAGAAGATACTGAGGCTCAAAACTGCTAAGATTGCCCTGAATGAGAGTCTTATCTCCTGTAGAGAGAGCGCTGAAGTTGTGGAAAAACAGACACAAGCTCTTATCATGCGAGTGTCTGACCTGCAATGAAAGATACATGCACAGCCTTGCCAGGTGTCTACTGTTAAAGGGAGGGCACTGACTGGAAAAGAATGGGACCCTGAAACTTGGAATGGGGGTGTGTAGAAGCACCCTGATGAAGCTGGGGACACTGAGTTTGTAAATTCTGATGAAGCTTTTTTGCCAGAAAGAACAGCTTCCCCATCCCCAGTAGTGGCAACATCCACTCCCTGACCCATGCTGCCATCAGCCTTTCCAACTTTGTCTGAAGAAATAAAGCCTGTGATATGTGAGGCAAGAGTGATGGCTTCCCCTGAGGCAGTTGCCATGCAAGACAATGTTGATTCTTCTCAGGAGCCACTCCAAACACCTCTCTTTGCTTCTAGATGTATAACTACACTAAAGTACTGGTGGGCCCCTAGAGGTGAGGTTGAAGGTGTGACCTATAAGGAGGTATGCTACACTCAGAGAACTGTTTTGAGTTCTTTAATTCAAATATACAGAAATCTGAAGAACAGGCATGGGGATGGATATTAAGGGTATGAGATTATGGTGGAAGGAACAAAGTTGGATCAGGCTGAATTTCTTGATTTGGGCCCACTAAGTAGGGACTCTGCATTTAATGTTGCAGCTCAGGGAGTTAAAAAAGGTTCTAGTAGGTTATTTGCTTGGTTAGTTGAAATAAGGATTAAAAGATGGCACACTGTGAGAGAGCTGGAAATGATTTATCTCCCTTGGTTAATGTAGAGGAAGGGATCCAAAGACTAAGGAGATTGGGATGGTAGAGTGAATCAGTCACTTTAGAGCTAGTCATCCCAGCTGCGAGGGTCCAGAAGATATACCCTTGACCAATGCCTTGCGAAACAGATTTGTGAGGGCAGCACCTGAATCTCTGAAGAGCCCTCTAATTGCTCGACTCTATATGTCAGATCTAACAGCGGGAACTGCAGTCACTCAACTACAAAATTTAAATACAATGGAAATAACTGGATCCTAAGTTGGCAGGGGCCAAGTGGTGGCACTCAACTGTCAAAGGCAATGTGGGCATAGCTACCATAATGGACAGCAGAGGCAAAGTGGCAATCAGAAGAGTCTGACTTGTATAGATCTCTGGCATTGGCTAATTAATCACAATATTCCTAAAGATGAAACTGATAGGAAGCCTACTGCATTCCTACTTATACAACCAGAAAGCTTCTAGGTCAAATGGACAAAAGACTAAATTGAATAATAAAAACAGAATGATGACCCCTCAATCAATTTCCAGACTTGAGCCAGTTTACAGACCAAGAACCCCTTGAATGAAGGGGAGGCCTCGTCCCCTTGAGGAAAGACCCCACTACATTCCTGACAATTTATGCAGTGAATCTTTCTCCCATCCTTCCCCAAGGAGATCTCTGGCCTTTTACCAGGGTAACTGTGCATTGCGGAAAAGGAAACGATCAGACATTTCAGGGACTACTGGACACTGGTTCTGAGCTTACACTGATCCCAGGAGACCCAAAGCATCATTGTGGTCCTCCAGTTAAAGTACAGGCTTATGGAGGTCAGATAATTAATGGAATTTTGTCTCAGGTCTGACTTACAGTGGATCCAGTGGATTCCTGGATTCATCCTGTGGTCATTTCCCCAGTGCCAAAATGCATAATTGGCATCGACATACTTAGCAGCTGGCAGAACCACCACATTGGCTCCTTGACTGGTAAGGTGAGGGCTACTATGGTGGGAAAGGTCAAATGGAAGCCATTAGAGCTGCCTCTAAAAAGTAGTAAATCAAAAACTATATCCCATACCTGGAGGTACTGAGATTAGTGCCACCATCAAGGACGTGAAAGATGCAGGGGCGGTGCTTGCCACCACATCCCCATTCAATTCTCCCATGTGGCCTATGCAGAAGACAGATGGATCATGGAGAATGGCAGTGGATTACTGTAAGCTTAATCAAGTGGTGACTCTAACTGCAGCTGCTGTACCAGATGTGGTTTCACTCCTTGAGAAAATTAACACATCTCCTAGTACCTGGTGTGCAGCCATTGACTTGACAAATCCTTTTTCTCCATTTCTGTCCATAAGGCCCACCAGAAGCAATTTGCCTTCAGTGGGCAAAGACAGCAACATACCTTTACTGTCTTACCTCAGGGGTGTATCAACTCTCCAGCTTTGTGTCATAATCTTATTCAGAGAGACCTTGATCACTTTTTGCTCCTGCAAGATACCACACTGCTCCATTACGTTGATGACATTATTCTGATTGATCAAGTGAGCAAGAAGTAGCAAAAACACTGGACTTATTGGTGAGAGATTTGTGTGCCAGAGGATGGGAAATAAATCTGACCAAATTCAGGGATCTTCTACCTCAGTAAAATTTCTAGGGGTCCAGTGATGTGGGGCCTGTCAACACATTCCTGTTAAGGTGAAAGACTAGTTGCTGCCTTTGGCCCTTTCTATAACCAAGAAATAAGCACAACGTCTAGTGGACCTATTTGGATGTTGGAGGCAACACATTCCTCATGTGGGTGTGTTACTCCAGCCCATTTATCAAGTGACCTGAAAGGCTGCCAGTTTTGAGTGTGGTCCAGAACAGGAGAAGGCTCTGCAGCAGGTCCGTGCTACTGGGCAAGCTGTTCTGCCACTTGGACCATAGGACCCAGCAGATTCAATGGTGCTTGAGGTGTGAGGGGCAGAGAGGGATGCTGTCAGAGCCTTTGGCAGGACCCCATAGGTGAATCACGGTGGAGGCCTCCAGGACTTTGGAGCAAAGCCCTGTCATCTTTTGCAGGTAACTACTCTCCTTTTGAGAGACAGCTCTTGGCCTGTTAAAGGGGCTTTGGTGGAAACTGAACATTTGACTATGGGTCATCAAGTCACCTGAGATGACCATCATGAACTGGGTGCTTTCTGACCCACTTAGCCATAAAGTGGGTCATGCACAGCAGCATTCCATAATCAAATGGAAGTGGTATATATGTGATTGGGTTCGAGCAGGTGCGGACGGCAGAAGTAATTTACATGAGGAGTGGCTCAAATGCCCGTGTCTCCCCTCTGACACCCTGCCTTGTCTTCCCCAGCCTGCACCAATGGCCTCATGGGGAGTCCCTGTGATCACTTGACAGTGGAAGATTAAGACTAGGTCCTGGTTCACAGATGGTTCTGCACCATATGCAGGCACCACCGGCAAGTACACAGCTGCAGCACTACAGTCCCTTTCTAGGACATCCCTGAAGAACAGCAGTGAAGGAACATCTTCTCAGTGGGCAGAACTTGGAGCAGTGCATCAGGCTGTGTGCTTTGCTTAGAAAGAGAAATGGCTAGATGTGTGATTATATAGATTCATGAGCTGTAGCCAATGGTTTGGTTGGATGGTCAGGGACTTGGAAGAAGCATCATTACAAAATTGGTGACAAAGAAATTTGGGGAAGAGCTCTGGGCATGGACCTCTTTAAGTGGTCAAAAACTGTGAAGGCATTTGTATCCCCTGTGAATGCTCACCAATGGGTAACCTCAGCAGAGGAGGATATTAATAATCAAGTCCATAGGATGACCCGTTCTGTGGACACCATTCGGCCTCTATCCGCAGCCACCCGTGTCATCGCCCAATGGGCTCATGAACATAGTAGCCATGGTGGCAGTAATGGAGGTGATGCCTGGGCTCAGCAACATGGACTTCCACTTACCAAGGCTGACGTGACTATGGCTAATGCCGAGTACCCAATTTGCCAGCAGAAGAGACCAACACTGAGCCCTCGCTCGGGCATGCCATTCCTCGGGGTGATCAGCTAGCTACCTGGTGGCAGGTTAATTATATTGGACCTCTTCCATCATGGAAAGGGAAGAGGTTTCTCCTCCCTGGAATAGACATATACTCAAGATATGGGTTTGCCTATGCTGCACACAATGCTTCTGCCAAGACTACTATCCATGGACTCACAGAATGCCATGGTATTCCACACAACATTGACTCTAACCAAGGCACTCACTGTACGGCTGAGTAAGTGCAGCAGTGGGCTCATGCTCATGGAATTCACTGGTCTTACCATGTTCCCCATTGTCCTGAAGCAGCTGGATTTACAGAACGGTGGAATGGCCTTTTGAAGTCACAATTACAATGCCAACTAGGTGACAATACTTTGCAAGTCTGGGGCAAAATTCTCCAGAAGGCCATGTATGCTCTGAATCAGCGTCCAATATATGGTGCTGTTTCTCCCATAGCCAGGATTCATGGGTCCACGAATCAGAGGGTGGAAGTGGAAGTGGTACCACTCACCTTCACCCCTAGGGATCCACTTGCAAAATTTTTGCTTCCTGTTCCTGCGACATTACGTTCTGCTGGCCTAGAGGTCTTAGTTCCAGAGGGAGGAACGCTCACACCAGGAGACAAAATGATTCCATTAAACTGGAACTTAAGATTGCCACCTGGATACTTTGGGATCCTCCTACCTTTAAGTCAACAGGCTAACAAGGGAGTTAGTGTTGGCTGTGGTGACTGTCCCGGACTGCCAAGAAGAAATCAGTCTACTGTTCCACAATGGAGGTAAGGAAGAGTATACATGGAATACAGGAGATCCATTAAGGCGTCTGTTAGTATTACCATGCCCTGTGATTGAGGTCAACAGGAAACTATAACAGCCCAATCTAGGCAGCACTAAAAATGGCCCAGACCCCTCAGGAATGAAGGATGGGGTCACTCCACCAGGAGTAAAACCACTACCAGATGAGGTGCTTGCTGAAGGCAAAGAGAATACAGAATGGGTAGTAGAAAAAGGTAGTCATCAATACCAGCTACTACCATGTGACCAGTTGCAGAAATGGGGACTGTAATTGTCATGAGTATTTCCTCCTTCTTTTGCTAAAAACATGTTTGTGCATGTATGCACTTGTACAAACAAAATGTCTTTATTTCCTTTTCCTTCATCATGTGACATAAGATTTATTGACTTCCTATCAACATTTAAGTATTGTTAACTTTATGTAATAGTATTTGGCTTGGGGATTGGTGCGCTTCTGGTTGTACAAAGGATAATTGTATTATGTTAGGCATAAGTATGGCCTTATTACCCTCTTTATTTGAAGGCTGCGTATGATATTAGGAGATGTATATGGGTTCAGGTTGACAAGCGGTAGACTTGTGATGGTTAATACTAAATGTCACTTGATTGGATTGAAGGACACAAAGTATTAATCCTGCGTGTGTCTGTGAGGGTGTTGCCAAAAGAGATTAACATTTGAGTCAGTGGGCTGGGGAAGGCAGATCCACCCTTCATCTGCTGGGCACAATCTAATCAGCTGCCAACAAATATAAAGCAGGCAGAAAAACGTGAAAAGGAGAGACAGGCTTAGCCTTAGCCTCCCAGCCTACATCTTTTTCCTGTGCTGGATGCTTCCTACCCTGAAACATCGGCCTCCAAGTTCCTCTGTTTTTGGGTGTCAGACTAGCTTTCCTTGCTCCTAAGCTTGCAGATAGACTATTGTGGGATCTTGTGATCGTGTTAATATTTCATAAACTACTCTTTATACTATAGATATATATAAAAATATACTATATCTACAAATTTATAGGATACGTGTGTGTGTGCATGTGTGTGTGTCCATCTTATTAGTTCTGTCCCTTTAGAGAACCCTAATTCAGATTTTGGTACCAGGATTGGGGGTCTAGAAGAACCGAATATTAAGGATGGAGTTCTTTCATTGATTTTGGGGTTTCTGGAGTTGGCTGCTTAATATGATTAGACCCACAAATGCTAAGGACTCTACTTCTAGTAGTATAAAGAACACTGATAGTACCTGGCATGAACTGTTTAGAGAGTTATGCAAAATAAATGCATTTGACACTCCTGAATCACCACTTGTGAGAAGCAAGGAGTTTAGGGACTCTATACACGATACCTTGGACCATATGTGGAGAACCAAGGAACATAATGAAACTGGTCGGTTCCTCCTAAGTTCAGTGGACAAAGTGATAAAAGAAAATGATGAACTCAGGGATTCTGTCTCCTGGCTTCTGAAGCAAATACTGAGCCTGAAATCTGCTAAGACTGCCTTGAGTGAGAGACAGTTATCTCCTATAGAGAAAGAGCTGAAATTGTAGAAAAACAGACACAAGCTCTTATCATACAATTGGCTAACCTACAACAAAAGAGGCATGTACCAGACTCACCAGGTGTCTACAGTTAAAGTGAGGGTATTGATTGGAACAGCTTCCCTACACCCAGTGAGGGCAACGTACCCTCCCTGATCCATGCTGCCATCAGTCTTTCCAACTTTGTCTGAGGAAATAAAGCCTGTGATATGTGAGGCAACAGTGATGGCCTCCTCTGAGGCAGTTGCCAGGTAAGACAATGTTGACTCTTCTCAGGAGCCCCTCCAAACACCTCTCTTTGCTTCTAGATGTATAACTACACTAAAGTACTGGTGGGCCCCTAGAGGTGAGGTTGAAGGTGTGACCTATAAGGAGGTATGCTACACTCAGAGAACTGTTTTGAGTTCTCTAATTTACATAAACAGAAACCTAGAGAACAGGCATGGGGATGGATATTAAGGGTATAAGATTATGATGGAAGGAACAAAGTTGGATCAGGCTGAATTTCTTGATTTGGGCCCACTAAGTAGGGACTCTGCATTTAATGTTGCAGCTCAGGGAGTTAAAAAAAAAGGTTCTAATAGATTATTTGCTTGGTTAGTTGAAATAAGGATTAAAAGATGGCACACTGTGAGTGAGCTGGAAATGATTTATCTCCCTTGGTTAATGTAGAGGAAGGGATCCAAAGACTAAGGAGATTGGGATGGTAGAGTGAATCAGTCACTTTAGAGCTAGTCATCCCAGCTGGGAGGGTCCAGAAGATATACCCTTGACCAATGCCTTGCGAAACAGATTTGTGAGGGCAGCACTTGTATCTTTGAAGAGCCCTCTAATTGCTCGTCTCTGTATGTCAGATCTAACGGTGGGAACCTTAGTCACTGAACTACAAAATTTAAATACAATGGAAATAACTGGATCCTAAGTTGGCAGGGGCCAAGTGGTGGCACTCAACTGTCAAAGGCAAGGTGGGCGTAGCTACCGTAATGGACAGCAGAGGCAAAGTGGCAGTTAGAAGAGTCCGACTTGTATAGAGCTCTAGCATTGGATAATTAATCACAGTGTTCCTAGAGATGAAACTGATAGGAAGCCTACTGCATTCCTACTTAATTTATATAACCAAAAAACTTCTAGGTCAATGGAACAAAAGACTAAATTGAATAATAAAAAGAGAATTATAACCCCTCAATCAATCTCTAGACTTGAGCCAGTTTACAGACCAAGAACCCCTTGAATGAAGGGGAGGCCTCGTCCCCTTGAGGAAAGACCCCACTACATTCCTGACAATTTACGCAGTGAATCTTTCTCCCATCCTTCCCCAAGGAGATCTCTGGCCTTTTACCAGGGTAACTGTGCACTGGGGAAAGGGAAATGACCAGACATTTCAGGGACTACTGGACACTGGTTCTGAGCTTACATTGATCCCAGGAGACCCAAAGCATCATTGTGGTCCTCCAGTTAAAGCAGGGGCTTATGGAGGTCAGATAATTAATGGAATTTTATCTCAGGTCTGACTTACAGTGGGTCCAGTGGATTACTGGATTCATCCTGTGGTCATTTCCCCAGTGCCAAAATGCATAATTGGCACTGACATACTTAGCAGCTGGCAGAACCACCACATTGGCTCCTTGACTGGTAGGGTGAGGGCTACTATGGTGGGAAAGGTCAAATGGAAGCCATTAGAGCTGCCTCTAAAAAATAGTAAATCAAAAACTATATCCCATACCTGGAGGTACTGAGGAGATTAGTGCCACCATCAAGGACGTGAAAGATGCAGGGGCGGTGCTTGCCACCACATCCCCATTCAATTCTCCCATGTGGCCTATGCAGAAGACAGATGGATCATGGAGAATGGCAGTGGATTACTGTAAGCTTAATCAAGTGGTGACTCTAATTGCAGCTGCTGTACCAGATGTGGTTTCATTCCTTGAGAAAATTAACACATCTCCTAGTACCTGGTGTGCAGCCATTGACTTGGCAAATCCTTTTTCTCCATTTCTGTCCATAAGGCCCACCAGAAGCAATTTGCCTTCAGTGGGCAAAGACAGCAATATACCTTTACTGTCTTACCTCAGGGGTGTATCAACTCTCCAGCTTTGTGTCATAATCTTATTCAGAGAGACCTTGATCGGTTTTTGCTCCTGGAAGATATCACACTGGTCCATTACACTGATGACACTATTCTGATTGGATCAAGTGAGCAAGAAGTAGCAAAAACACTGAACTTACTGATGAGACATTTGTGTGCCATAGGATGGGAAATAAATCCTACTAAATGCAGGGACCTTCTACCTCAGTAAAATTTCTAGGGTCCAGTGGTGTGGGGCCTTCTAAGGTGAAAGACTAGTTGCTGCATCTGGCCCTTCCTACAACCAAGAAAGAGGCACAACATCTAGTGGGCCGATTTAGATTTTGGAGACAACACATTCCTCATGTGGGTGTGTTACTCCAGCCCATTTATCGAGTGACCTGAAAGGCTGCCAGTTTTGAGTGCGGTCCAGAACAGGAGAAGGCTCTGCAACAGGTCCATGCTACTGAGCAAGCTGTTCTGCCACTTGGACCATAGGACCCAGCAGATTCAATGGTGCTTGAGGTGTGAGGGGCAGAGAGGGATGCTGTGAGAGCCTTTGGCAGGACCCCACAGATGAATCACAGTGGAGGCCTCCAGGATTTTGGAGCAAGGCCCTGCCATCTTTTGCAGGTAACTACTCTCCTTTTGAGAGACAGCTCTTGGCCTGTTAACTGGGCTTTGGTGGAAACTGAACATTTGACTATGGGTCATCAAGTCACCATGTGACCTGAGATGACTATCATGAACTGGGTGCTTTCTGACCCATTTAGCCATAAAGCGGGTCATGCACAGCAGCATTCCATCATCAAATGGAAGCAGTATATACGTGATTGGGCTCAAGCAGGTTCCGAAGGCACAAGTAATTTACATGAGGAAGTGGCTCAAATGCCCATATCTCCACTCCTGTCACGCTGCGTTCTCTTCCCCAGCCTGTACTGATGGCCTCACAGGGGTCCCTATGATCACTTGACAGCGGAACAGATGACTAGGGCCTGGTTCACAGATGGTTCTGCACCATATGCAGGCACCACTGTAAAGTGCACAGCTGCAGCACTACAGCCCCTTTCTAGGACATCCCTGAAGGACATCGGTGAAGGGAAATATTCCCAGTTGGCAGAACTTCAAGCAGCACACCTAGTTGTGCACTTTGCTTGGAAGGGTAGATGGCCAGATGCATGATTATATATATTTATGGGTTGTAACAAAAACTATGAAGATATTTGTATCCCTTGTGAGTGCTCACCAACGGGTGACCTCAGCAGAGGAGGATATTAATAATCCAGTGGATAGGATGACCTGTTCTGTGGACACCACTCAGCCTCTTTCCCCAGCCACCCCTGTCATCACCCAAAGGGCCCATGAACAAGGTAGCCATGGTGGCAGTGATGGAGGTGATGCCTGGGCTCAGCAACATGGACTTCCACTTACCAAGGCTGACCTGACTATGGCCATTGCTGAGTGCCCAATTTGCCAGCAGCAGAGACCAACACTGAGCCCTCGATACAGCACGCCATTCCTCGGGGTGATCAGCTAGCTACCGGGTGGCAGGTTGATTATACTGGACCTCTTCCATCATGGAAAGGGAAGAGGTTTGTCCTCCCTGGAATAGACACTTACTCCAGATATGGGTTTGCCTATGCTGCACACAATGCTTCTGCCAAGACTATTATCCATGGACTCACAGAATGCCTTATCCACCGTCATGGCATTCCACACAGCACTGCCTCTGACCAAAGCACTCATTTTATGGCTAAAGGAGTGCAGCAGTGGGCTCGTTCTCATGGAATCCACTGGTCTTACCATGTTCCCCTTTGTCCTGAAGCATTCAAAAGGAATGGCCTTTTGAAGTCACAATTACAACCCCAACCAGGTGACAGTATTTTGCAGGGCTGGGGCAAAGTTCTCCAGAAGGCCGTGTATGCTCTGAATCAGCATCCATTATATATGGTGCTGTTTCTCCCATAGCCAGGATTCATGGGTCCAGGAATCAGGGGGTGGAAGTGGAAGTAGCACCACTCACCTTCACCCCTAGGGATCCACTAGCAAAATTTTTGCTTCCTGTTCCTGCGACATTACTTTCTGCTGGCCTAGAGGTCTTAGTTCCAGAGGGAGGAACGCTCCCACCAGGAGACAAAATGATTCCATTAAACTGGAACTTAAGATTGCCACCTGGACACTTTGGGCTCCTCTTACCTTTAAGTCAACAGGCTAGCGAAGGAGTTAGTGTTGGTTGTGGTGACTGTCCCGGACTACCAAGAAGAAGTTAGTCTACTGCTCCACAACGGAGGTAAGGAAGAGTATGCATGGAATACAGGAGATCCATTAGGGTGTCTCTTAGTATTACCATGCCCTGTGATTAAGGCCAATAGGAAACTATAATAGCTCAATTTAGGCAGCAATAAAAATACTCAAGAATGAAGGTTTGGGTCATTCCACCAGGAATAAACCACGACCAGCTGAGGTGCTTGCTGAAGGCAAAGAGAACACAGAATGGGTAGTAGAAGAAGGTAGTCATCAATACCAGCCAGGACCATGTGACCAGTTGCCAACTCAGAGACTGTAATTGTCATGAGTATTTCCTCCTTCTTTTGCTAAAAACATGTTTGTGCATGTATACACTTGTACAAGAAAATATCTTTATTTCCTTTTCCTTCATCACGTAACATAAGATTTATTGACTTCCTACCAACATTTAAGTATTGTTAACTTTATGTAATAGTATTTGGCTTGGGGATTGGTGTGTTTCCGGTTGTACAAAGGATAGTTGTATTATGTTAGGTTTAATTATGGCCTTATTACTCTCTTTATTTGAAGAATATGTATGATCTGAGGAGATGTGTATGGATTCAAGTTGACAAGGGGTGGACTTGTGATGGTTAACACTGAATGTCAACTTGATTGAAGGATACAAAATAGTGATCCTGGGTGTGTCTGTTAGGGTGTTGCCAAAAGAGATTAACATTTGAGTCAGTGGGCTGGGGAAGGCAGATCCACCTTTAATCTGGTGTGCACAATCTAATCAGCTATCAATGAATACAAAGCAGGCAGAAAATGGGCTGGAGAAGGCAGATCCACCTTTAATCTGGTGGGCACAATCTAATCAGCTGTCAATGAATACAAAGCAGGCAGAAAAACATGAAATGGAGAGACTGGCTAGCCTTCCAGCCTACATCTTTCTCCTGTGCTGGATGCTTCCTGCCCTTCGACACTGGACTCCAAATTCTTCAGTTTGGGGATTCAGTCTGGCTTTCCTTGCTCAGCTTGCAGACAGCCTATTGAGGGACCTTGTGATCATGTAAGTTAATACTTAGTAAACTCCCCTTTATATATCTATTTATCCTGTTAGTTCTGTCCTCTAGAGAACCCTAGTATGTTTAAATGATATCAATTTTGGTGGCAAAATCATAAAGAAAAGCAGAATGACTAATAGAAAAGTAGGAACAGTGGTTACCTTTGATGGAAAGGAAAAGGGATGTAGTCAAGACAGGAATACAAGACCACTTACAGGATACTGAAAAATTTCTACTTCTTAACCTGATGAAGAGTTCATACGTAGTTCATTTTATTATTTTTCTTTACTTTAAAGTTTAAATATACCTTTTATATAAGCTTGTGTTTATGTGATATATTCTACTACTGCTTATATACATGTGGTTAATATATAATTTTAAAATGTCATCTACATATGTAACATGCATGTAACATATGTATGTAACTAATATATGATATATACAAGAAACTACAAGCTTTCTTTAACATTTTCCCTTCTTTTCTCAGCCACTTTCCATATCTTTAAGACTCTCATTGAAGGCTATCCTTTACCATGATTTCCATCATCTGGGGTAAATCACAATTGACCATTCCCACTCTAACTAGGTAAGGTGTTTCTTAATAGAGTAGAGAATATACCAATATCAAATTGTGTACTATACTAATACAGGCCATAAATAAAGTTAAATTAAAGACAACACTCAGAGCACAAATCAACTAGTATACATCAACAATTTTCTCTGTTTAACTCTCCTAAGGGAAGAAAAATAATAATAGATTAGTTTTGGTTATACTGCCATTTCTTTTTTGAAAACTATTTTTTAATTGACAAAAATTATATATATTTATGGTATACAACATGTTTGAAATATGCATACACTGCAGAATGGCTAAATCTAGCTGACATATGCATGATCTCACATACTTACCTTTTTTGTGTGTGGTGACAATACTTAAAATCTGCTCTATCAGCTATTTTCAAGAATATACTACATTGATTTTAACTATACTATAGTTTCTATGTTGTAGTACAGATCTCTTGAACTTATAACAATACTTTTAATATGACATTATAAGAAATTTTTGCAAAATTTAACATTATTATATGCCATTCCAACTAAATGCTGAAGAGAACTACATGTATCTTGGGGCCATATACAAGAAAAATCTCTTACTATTTTGGGGATTGACCTGCCGAACAGCAGGAGCCTGCATAACAGTTCCTCGCAAGGGAGCCTGAGCTGGTGGTGCAGGAAGAGTTGTATAAACCACCTGGTGGTTTGCAGGAGCTCTTGGTACAGGGAGTCTTGTGGTCACCTGAGTTACTGGACGATGTGTTACATTCACGGTAGTTGGAGCTAATGCAAGGCAGAAAAAGATATTAAGAATACAGTAAATTCTACGTTAAGCAAACAGTATTAAATGGCAGTTATCTTTGCATAAAATCTAATTAACTAATAAAGACAGAAACAGAAATAACAGTCTCCTTTTATGATCTTCTAAGATAAAAATGATAGGGCCAATAAACATTAATAATATTAAAATCCAAGCTTCAGAGGAAAAGAACATCTCCACCACATCCAATTCCCTTCCCACTCTGGTTTGACCAGATAATAAGCAATGTGAAGATTTTTTAAAAAGGTGCAGAATTAAGAGTATGATGCCACAGGAGTGACTTAAAAGAGAAAAACCTCCTAATTTTAATTGTTCTTAGCAAAGTAGAATCATAAGCCCTCTCGGCCTTCTACCAAGGGGGTGTAAATCCAAAAGAGTATTTTTGTATTCCCAAAGATCAAGAAACTGACCAGCTATTGTTAATTCACATTTATTTTTCAAGTGAGCCAACCTATCTCTTTGACCATTATAATTCACATTTTGTTTAGCTGAACCAATCTATCTTTTTTTAAAACAGTAAATAAAATCCATTAAACAACAGACTTCTCCCTTCTCTACTCTGGTATTCCTCCTATTGTATGTTCCAGAAAGCATTAATACTTTGAGTAATGTTAATAAATATTTATCAAAAAATGAGTCATAAACATTCACTGACAGCATGTATCTATAATAATGATTTTTAGTGACACTTTCTTGTTAACAACTCTCTGAATTAGAATCATATCTTACAAATGACCACATAGTAACTATATAATAAAAAGTAACAAATCAATCTACTTTCTTATGGAAAAAATGGGTCCTATAAAAAAATAAAGTTGGAGGAAAATACTGGCTATAACAAAGATAAAACGGTTTCTTTACTAAAGACTCTTCAGTCTTTACAGATACTAACTTTCGATGTGAGTCTTCAGAAACGGGAAGAAAGAAGAAAGTATTAACAAGAAAGAACATTTATTTTTTCATCTCTTTACTCCCCATTCCATAATCTACACTGCCCATGGGTTTGAATAATGACATTTCCTTCCAAAATATCTAATTTTGATGACTGTCATTATAACTTTGTATAAATGTAAAGAAAGACAGATAATACAGCTCCCAAGGTTGAACTTACTTATAACTGCCTATTTAGATAGAACAATGGTATTGAAATATGAGAACCAATATAAAATCTACACACCAGAAATAAAGTCACATAGGCACATTCTTTTGCCTGGAAATGCCAACAAGGTAAAATTTATTTTAACTGATAGGAAAGTCTGCATAAGCATCTAAGATTCTGAAATTCAACAAATCTAAACAGTCCCTACCAAAACAACCACACATTTGCTGCATCAACAATAATTTCATAACTCAAAGGTTAATTAACAAATAGTTTGCTAAATCACTATGGAAAACATCCTGATTCCTACAAGATATCTGGTGTTTTAAGTATAAATTTCACTGGATAAAACCCCACTTAAATTCAATGTTTTCCTTAATGAGAAGAGTACTTATATAAGTACTGTGCAGATAAATCTTCAAGCAATGGACTGCTGCTATACAGAAGACAAACCATGTTGATTGGTTTCTGAACAGTTTAGGAGATACAGGCTAAATCTTGAAAATTTTGAATTTACAGCTTCTTGAAAGGTAGCAAGCATATGATTCCTGGTGGTAGTGTTAGACTAGTTAAAGCTATTTCAAGATAAGACACATTTAAAAATTGTTGTTTGATCAGTCAGTTATAACTTCTTGGTTACACTCAGAATAAGTCATATCCATCCCTTCCAGAGAAACTACAGTCATTTCTGCCATTTACAGAACATTTGCTGTGGCAGATGACAAATCTGCTAATTTTTAAATTTTTTGTAGAGACGGGGTTTCACTGTGTTGCCCAGGCTGGTCTCAAGAATATAACTCAGAATAGTATTATTTTCCACATGCATTAGTAATCACCAGAGTTTTATAGATATTAGGTGAACATTATTTTGCGCAGCCAAGTAACTTTGAGAAACACTTTATATCTTAAATCATTCTTGGAGATTTACATTATAAATTAGCATAGTAAAGGCTCAGAGAAGTCTGCATCAAGAAAAAAATCAATTTAGCTTTAAACTCAGCATTTCCCAAGCATATTTAACCATGGAACTTTGTATTCATGAAACACCTGTTAACACTGCAGAATAACTAGGAATATGGTTTACAGTTTCTAAATATTATAACTCAGAATATTATTATTTTGGATGTGAATGCTTTTTAAAATTACCTCCACTTTTATTTATATAATGTTAAGTAAATAAATATATACTTTTCTTTAAAATCATTCTTTACCAGTGCCGCTGCTTAAGACAGTCAGAAAAACTAAGTTATACTGCCTTCAAAAGGACATGCACTGTAGTCCTCAAATTAACAAGATGAATATTAATTTTCTGTCTTATCTTTCCACTTAACTCCATAGTCATAGTTCTCTACAGGCAAAACCAAAGCTTCTACTCAATGATTCAACAAATTTACCTGTAGGTAGTAAGTGTATGGTGGTCTGAGATGGTCCACTTGTTGGCACCCCAGATGGTTGAAGAGGCGGTGCTGGTTGTATGGGTTGCAATGGTCGTGACACAGGCTGAGAAGAACTCATGGTTGATACAGGAGTGTGATTTAGTTTTTTGGGGTCTGTTAGTTAAAAGTGAAATATTATGACTGACAAGAAAAAAATCAGGAAATACAAGTCTTTCCTCTATGGACAAATTTTACTTTTGCTTGCCACTTGTGTGTCACATTTACCTCTAAGAGAATAATTTATTTCCATTTTACTTACGTGTATTTTTGCTGATTTGAAAACTGAGTTAAGAGCATATGTAATTTGCTGGTGGTTCTATCACAGATTCAAATTCACGTTTACAGAAATTCAGAAATAATCTTACTTGTAAATCAGTACAATATGTCAACTAGAATAACTCATTACTTGCATAAATATATAATCTACCTACCTATAGGAAGAACACTCTTCTAGACAAATATCTATAAACTGATGAGTTTTCACTGTGATCTTGAATTTCAATTACTACAATTATTTAGGTTCTTTGATAACAGATAGTTGCTTATCATCACTATATAGTCTTTAAAATAGTCAAAGAATGACTAATCTCAAAAAAGGTCTTCAATAGCCTATGAAATAAATATTTGCATCTCAGAAAAAACTCTTAAAAACAGGAAACCACTATGAAGATTGTGACCCAAAAGTCCTTCTATCCAAAATAATCCCCATCAATTTCTGTCCTATAGAATTCCACACTAAATGTAAATAAAACCCAAGGCTTTAACAATGGATACTTTAATGCCATTGGAAAACAGTGTGCTTTAGGAATGTGAGAATTTGAGACAGACCCAAAGGTGGGGCAACAAAAAGACCCCATGAGGCATGGATGCTAGGGAAATGGTGAGAGCACTGAAAACAAACTTTTAGGACTTTACTTTTTAATCCAGAATTAAGCCTACCTGTGTCCTCTCAAAAACCTGTATTTATTTTTTTCTTTAGGGATCCATTATAATAGTCATGGCTGTCTATTAAAAATTAGTGAAAGCAATAGAGATAAGTGAAAGCAATAGAGATAATTTGAAACTTTTAAAGAATAATCATACTGGCTTGAGTTCAACCCGGATGAAGGATGGCATACATTTCTCAATTCAGTTTTAAATAACAAAACCGACTTTACTGTCATATAATCAGTTGTACAGCTATTTAACTTTTGTTTTCCAAAGCTCAACTAGACTGATTCCCCAAAATATTATTTTTAAAATATTTGGGTGTTTTAGAAAAAAGTAATGTCTTTAAGATAATAAGAAGTAACTCAGCACATGATATTATATTTTCCATGTGCAATAATCACCAGTTTTATAGATATGTAGCTGAACGTTATTTTGCACAGCCAAGTAAGTTTGAGAAATACTTTATATCTTAAATCATTCTTGGAGATTTACATTATAAATTAGCATAGTAAAGGCTCAGAGAAGTCTGCATTAAGAAAAAAATCAATTTAACTTTAAACTCAGCATTTTCCAAACATACTTAACCATGGAACTTTATATTCATGAAACACCTATTAACACTGCAGAATAACTAGGAATATGGTTTACAGTTTCTAAATATTATAACTCAGAACATTATTATTTTGGATGTGAACGTTTTTAGAAATTACTTCTATTTTTATTTATATAATGCTAGATAAAAGAAATTAATTCAAATGACCAAAATTAAATGAATACATATATATACAGTATCTGCACTGAAACATAAACAGAGAGAGAAAAAGAACATTTAATGTAGAGACAGAAGAGCTGGATTTTACTCCCAAGACCCTTACTGAGTCTGAATTGTTTTCTCTAAGGCTAACAAGTTTCCTCAAGTCTAAAATGAGTATTACAGGATTTTTTTGCAAGGATCAAGTGAAATAACAGATACAAAAACAGAGGTACTCCAAAAATTACAATATTCTCTTAATTGCTGTTTTCCTCTACACATTGTTCATACTCATTTAAGATTTGATTCTATCCTTTTTTTTTTTTTTTTTTTTTTTTGAGACAGGGCCTCATTCTGTCACCCAGGATGGAATGCAGTGGCATAAACACAGCTCACGGCAGCCTCAACCTCCCAGGCTCAAGCTATCCTCCTGCCTCAGCCTCCCATGCAGCTGGGACCACAGACACATGCCATCACACCCAGCTAATTTTTAAATTTTTTATAGAGACGGGGTTTCACCGCATTGCCCGGGCTGGTCTCAAACTCCTGACCTCTTGCCTCGATCCTCCTGCCTTGGCCTCCCAAAGCACTGGGATTACAGGTGTGAGACACTGCACCTGGCCAAATTTTAAAATTCTAATCTAAAAAACTTCCATTCCAAAAAGAACACAAATAAACCAAGCATAATGCCATAAACATCTGTCTTTGTAGAATACTGTACCGTATTAAGACAAAAAAAATGGTATCAAAACGTTGCTTAGTACAATTACTATTGAAGTACCTTGTGAAGCTCCACTCTCTTCATCATCCATTGTGAGATCAATGACACCACTTGAATCACTGCCAGTGGCTTTTCCACACTGAAAAACAAAACTTCTACATTTTACAAAGAAAACTCTGGCAGATATACGTGTTAAAAAATGAGATGATAAGTGAGGTAAAATGAGACTAATGAGTAACCTGGTTCAATCTGGACCCTTAAATGGCTGTACCTGAATAAAGAGAGTTTGTCAGACAAATGTCCCAGGATACTCATGTGTTAAACATCTACTATATGAAATATAATTTTCAAAAGAAATTCAAGACGTTTTCTTAAAAAAACTAAGCTATCTGTTGCATAGAGCAAATAAGATTAAACAGAAACACTATTCATTTTGTGACATTTAAAATGTTGATCAATACTACTCTAAATTATCAATATTAATCTACCACAACACCAAAGGCAATCATTAAAGCTAGAATTGGGTTATAGAAAATAATCTAAATTTTTGCCCTAAAAAAATGGTATGGTATACTATGAAATCATATGGTATGCTATGCTATTAACTGCACATCCAAGCTGACCAGTAACCCATCATCCAAAATCATGAGAAATATTAGGATTATAAGAAAAACCTTTAAAACCACATGACAGCAACCAAAAAGGAAGGTAAGACGACATAAACCTAAAGAGCCAGGACTCTGAAGTCAGTGTGTCTTACAGTTCTAACTTATTAGCTACCTGATTCAGATGGGTAATTATCTCAATTTCCAATATTTGAATATTGAGGCTATTGTGAGGATTAATCCAAATGTGTATATAAGGTGCTTAACACCATATATGATACATGGCAATTGCTTAATAACTGATAATCACAATTTACTTTGATATATTATACTGAGATCAATTCCAAATGATAAAGGTTTTCATCTGCGATACTCAAGTTGAGAAATTAAAGAAAATAATGCCTTGACTTTATAATATCCAGGCCCAATCCCAAGACAATAATGCAATTCTCATTCTTATAAATCTTTCTACAATAATGATTTCACAGAAAATGGGTTATTTACAAACACCAAAAATCTATAAAATCCCAAACTAAAAGATCCCAAAAATCATCAACAAATGTAAAATAATCTTTCACTACAACATATTATCATTAAGGTCCAGCTTTGAAAAGTGGAACTAACTTAGGACGAAAAAATAAGTCAATACAAACTGACTCTAAGCAGAGCCAGATATTACATCCAGCAGATAAAGACTCGAAAGTAGCTATTAAAAATATGTTTAAAGCCAGGAGCAGTGGCTCGCGCCTGTAATCCCAGTACTTTGGTTGGCTGAGGCAGGCAAATCACAAGGTCAGGAGTTTGAGACCAGCCTGGCCAATATAGTGAAACCCCATCTCTACTAAAAATACAAAAATTAGCCAGGCATGGTGGTGGGTGTCTATAGTCCCAGCTACTCGGGAGGCTGAGGCAGGAGAATCGCTTGAACCTGGGAGGCGGACGTTGCAGTGAGCTGAGATTGCGCGACTGCACTCCAGCCTAGGTGGCAGAGCAAGACTCCATCTCAAAAAAAAAAAAAAATTCAAAGAATTAAATATAATAATAACGAATGCACAAACAGGAAATTTCAAAAGAGAAAAAGAAACTGAAAAAAAAAGAAATAATAAAGCTGAAAAAATAATTACTAAAATAAAAATTAGCTTAATGTAGGCATAAAAGCAGATTGGAGGGGGCAGGAAAAACTCAAATGAAATTGATGCTAGATCAATAGAAATTTTCTAGTCCATAGGACACAAAGAAAAACAGAAGAAAATATGAAAAACGCCTGAAACTTGTGCAATAAGAAACAGTTCAGCAAAACCCTAAATGAGAAGAAACAAAGATCTAAAGAAAAAATTGAATAATAACCAAAAACTTCCCAAATTTGGTGGAAAACATTAGTTTACAAATCCAAGAGGTTCAACGAACCTCAAGCAGAAGAAACACTAAGAAATCATAACTATACACATCATAGTTCAAATACTGAAAACCAATAATGAAAAATTTTGAAAATAAACAGAACAAATTATACGTTATACAGGAGCAAAGAGTAACTGCTGACTATTGGTCAGAAACTATGGAAGCAAGAAGACACTGGAACAACATATTCAAAGTGCCGATAATTTAAAAAAAAAAAAACCTTTAAGAATTCTATATCCAATGATGCTCTCCTTGAAAAAAGGAGACAAAAGATACAAAAGTACATTTTTTAGATACTAAAAAACCAAGAGAATGTATCACTAGCAGATCTACACTGTAAAGATGAGCTTAAGGACATTCTTCAGTTTGAAAGGAAATACCAACTTGGATCATAGGAAGAAGAGGACCAGAAAAGGTAAACATAAGGATAAATATTAAAGACTATATCTATTTTCTGTTCTTAATTTCTTTAAAATTCTATAAGGCAAAAATTAAAAACAATATATTTAGAGATCTACAACATGAAGATTAAAAACAATGTAATATATGTGCAAACAAGACCACAATATATGTGAAAACATGAACGTCATATTTAAGGAAAGCAACTTCATTAAGGAGGTAAATGTACACATAAAATTGCAAGGTTCCTATAATTAAGATTAGATACATACTGTAAACTCTAGAACAACCCCTAAAACACACACACACACACACACACACACACACACACACACAGAGAGAGAGAGAGAGCGCGCTAAAAAGCTAACAGAGGAATTAAGACAGAATGCTTTAAAAAAAACTGATACAAAATAAAGCAGGAAAGAAGGTACACAGAAACCAACAAAAAAAGAAAACAGATGAAATGAATAGAAAACAAATAGCAAAATAGCAGACCTAAACACAATCCTATCAATACTTATATTAACTATAAATGGTCTAAAAACTCCGACCAAAATGTAGAGATTATCAGATGGGATAACACAGCAACAAATCAAGAAATATGATTTTTTTTCTCTTGCGGATTCACTTTAAATATAAAGACACAGATTGAAAGTAAAAAGCTGAAAAAAGTAACATGCAAACAGTAAACATAAAAATGCTGCTGTAGAACCATGAGCCAATTAAACCTCGTCTTTGTAAATCACTGAGTCTCAGGTATTTCATTTTAGCAATGTGAGAAGAGATTAATATAGTGTGTGTGTGTGCATACATTCATATACATATATGGATGACTGAAGATGAACAGAGATTTGAACTAGAGGTTTAAATATGCCAGACATAAGAATATATGCAGTAACTGAATCCCAGGAGTGAATGAGATCTCCCAAGAAGAGATGTAGAGGAAAATCAAAAGCATGTGAATGGCATGGAAACCAAGAGAAACTAATGTTTCAAAAAGGAAGGAGACTGAGTGGTGCTGAATGTTATTAAGAAGTCAAGGTGAAGAAAAATGGGAAAGATCTGGACCAGGGTGGTTTCAGGAAAGAAAGGGCAACAAAAGTTACTGGTGGGGTGCAGGTGGGAAAATAGGTATGCGTATATACCTACATCCCTACACACATTCAAGCTGGGCAATAGCAACTACAAGGTCAAACAGTTGACAGAATATTCACTTGGTGCTGATAAATGATTGCTAATTAGTATAATTTTTATTTTCTAAATAACAAAGAAATGTGTGACTAATTTATAAATGAAAATCATGCTTTTTCATGCTTTTCATAACCACATTTTTTTCATAAAAACGCAACTTGATGGCAACTTTTGTCTCATCATTTACTATTAGCATTTATTCAATAGATAAGGATGCTTACTTAGCATAAAACACTACTAATTAGGGGCAGGGTAATAAGTCAGATATGTAGCCAGATTTCAAGGCATTAGAGGGCAGTTAAGATGTCCTTAAAATACTACACTATAAGGCTATACGATATATGTGGCACTAATATACACTTTGGCTTTAAAAAATAAATATGGATAGATACTTTTATTCTAAAGGCTTTTAATACAATATACATGGAATATTGGTTTTAAACATTCAATTGTTAGATCTGCATTCCTCCAAGAGCATCATTGCCTTTTTCCAATGATCATTTCTTAAACTCTATACACACAGGTAACTTAGAAAAGTAGCAAGATAATGAATACAGGGTCCTACCTCCTTATATGGTTTGGCTATGTCTCCACCCAAATGTCATCTTGAATTGTAGTTCTGATAATTTCCATGTGTGGTGGGAGGGACTGGGTGGGAGGTAACTGAATCATGGGGGCAGTTTCCCCCATGCTATTCTCATAGTAAGTTCTCACAAGATCTGATGGTTTTGTAAGGGGCTTCCCGCTTTGCTCTGCTCTCATTCTTTCCTCCCTGCCCTTATGTGAAGAAGGACATGTTTGCTTCCCCTTGTGCCATGACTATAAGTTTCCTGAGGCCTCCCAAGCCCTGTGGAACTGTGACTCAATTAAACTTTTTTCTTTAAGAGTTAAAAAAAAATGCTGCTGTAACTATGTTAATGTCAGAGAGACAAAGAGGGAAACTTTATAATGATAAAAGTATGGCAAGATTACAAATTATACATAAAAAACACCATGTAATACAGTGTCAAAACCTATGAAGCAAAACTGACAAAATTAAAGGAAGAAATCGATTCACAATCATACCACTCTTAGTAATAGATAAAACCACTACAGCAAAAGGCAATAATCAGTAAACATACAAATAATCCAAATTACACTACTAACCATGCTATATTGACATTTATAAAACATTACACCCAATAGCAGCATAATCTTTTCAAGTGTAATGGTACATTCACTAAGATATATACCATAGATGGGGCTTTATAACACATATTTAATTTGTGTAAAAGTAACAAAGTCATACAGAGGATATTTTCTAAATCCAATAGCATTAAATGAAAAATCAATAATAAAAAATTTGCAAAATCCCCAAATATTACGAAATTAAACAAATTACTAACTAAACAACCCAGGACCCAAAAGGAAATGACAAGGAACTACATGAAATAAAAATGCAACACATGAAAATTTATGGAATGCAGGCAAAGCAGTGCTCAGAGGAATATGTGTATCATTAAATGCTTATATAGATCAAGAAGATCTACAAGCAATGACCTAATGATAAATTATGATTTTTATTGATCATAAACTGACAGATACAATTTATTATCATATACTACAAGTAGTTTCCTGAATAGACTTTCTTTTTTGACAAATAAAATTGGTAATTATTTCCATAATTATTAACTACATTTATAAGATAGTCATGATAGCTAGCACTACTCCAATTAGACTCTGTGCTAAATGCTTTACATGCATTAACACATTTACTCTTCCCAATATTTCTATGTGGTAAGTACTAGCTCTAGCTCTACTTTATAAGTGAAAAATCTAAGGTGTTCAATAACTTGCCAAAGCACCCACTATTAAGTGACAGGCTCCAGGCTGTCTGACTGTAGACCTTATTATTTCTATGCCACCAGGTGGAAATGAACAAACAGAGACATGTATACATATACATGTATCTTTACATCTTTTCCTGACAAAACATTGTCTGAGAAATCTAATCAGAAACACGTTTATGTTTTTACAAACTGAAACCTTCAGTTTGAAATCATTAAAAAATTATATCAAATAGTTTTTAACAGTAGAAATTTTATTAAAAACTTAGCTAATCATGTGTCGTTTTCCAAAACGACCAGTCTCAATAAGCAAACACTAAGAAAATTTCAAGAGAGCAAACATATTGGCTTTGTAGCTTTTTTGTAATGAAACAAGAATATACTTGAAAGGCACACTTCAGCAAATGTGAAGAAAGAGTTCACGCAGAAGAGCTGGTTGTTCATTCCTTGCACATCTCTCCAAGGGAACTTGGACCCATAATTGAGACTTGGTTAGTTATCAAGAACGTTGCCCTTGGAAGTCATGTTAACAATTAATTCTCTTATATACACTCTGAACAGTGAATGAAGATTGATGATGTACACTTGGGTTTCATTGTTGGGATCCTGAGTTTCCAATGCCATGGCCACTTATATAGAAAAATGTCACTATGTGACCAGACCTCCAAAAAACCTCAGACCCTGAGACTCAGTCAGGCTTCTCTGGGAAGACTCTTGGCACATGTCTCTAAGGTTAATAAGCCAGAGAAAAAACAAATTCTGTGCGATCCCAGACAGACGACTTGGAAGTCTTTGCCTGATCTCTCTGAACTTCAACTCTGCAAATTTTTTTCCCTGTTGCTCTTGCTCTATACCTTTTGCTGTGACAAATCATAATGGTGAGTATAACCTACTACTGGGTCTTATGAAATCCTTCTAGCAAATCAGCAAACTTAAAGGTGAATCTTGAGTCCTTCAAAACAACAATTACAGATAGCAACACTATTTTATAGCTTATGTTGATAATTTGAATAAATTTGTTTTTCACTATATAAAACAATTCATTATATAAAATGATATATAGTAATAAAATATACAATAATAAATTATATGCAATATGTTAATAAATACTTATTTGGGGATATCAGATAAATCTTCATTTAACAACTACAGAAAGAGTATTTTACATATTTCATCATTTGCTAATTAACTACAGCTCACAAGCATTTCCACACTAGATGTCCAAGTTTTTTTTTTTTTTTTTTTTTGAGACAGTCTCATTCTGTCACCCAGGCTGGAATGCAGTGGCATTATCTTGGCTTGGCAACCTGCAACCTCCTCTTCCCAGGTTCAAGTGATCCTCCTGCCTCAGCCTCCCAAGTAGCTGGGATTACAAGCGTGCACCACCACGACCAGCTAATTTTTGTATTTTTAGTAGAGACATGTTGGCCAGCCTGGTCTCGAACTCCTGACCTCAAGTGATCTGCCCGTCTTGGCCTCCCAAAGTGCTGGGATTATAGGTGTAAGCCACTGCACCTGGCCTGAGACATCCAGATTTCTTCTGATCTAAATAACCTTAAAGTGTTAACAAGTACAACTAAGTAGGCTTGGGACAGAAAAATGAAGTTAGCCAATTGTACTTAAAATGTGACAATTCAAAGAATCACAGGCTACCTGTTTCACACTAGTTTCTATCTGCTAGCAAGGTGCACATTAGGGTAAAAAGATAACAACTTCTTAGTCAATAGTGTAACATTAATAAAGGTATTCATCACAATAACAAAAATGATATTTGTTTCAAAAAATTCTGGCTGACAAGCATAACTTCATAACTGAAAGCACATATATACTTCCATTATGGTTTCTTATTACACAATAAAACTCCTGTAATTATATTTATTATTCATATACATAATTGACACTGATTCAAAACTGAAACTTTGTTATTTTTGATAAGGCATTGCTTCAGCAGGCTAGCTGCTCAAACTGCTTGTACGCATTTTTTATACTCAGATATTAAATTCCTCTTCCTTGAAGCCAAATAAAATATCTATTGAGAGCTTAATATTAATTTGTACTATTGCTTTGCTTTCTGATGAAGTCAATTCCTGTTTCAAGTGTCTTTTTTTTTTTTTTTAAGTTTCTTCTTTTTTATAGAGACGGAGTCTCACTTTGCTGCCCAGGTTGGTTTCGACCTCCTGGGCTCAAGTGATCCTCCTGTCTTCACCTCCCAAAGTGCCGGGATTATAGACGTGAGCCACTACACCCCACCTCAAGTGTCTTATATTATATCCATTTTAATTTCACTTATGTATTTATGATGTTACATATATTATATTTCTTTTTTTTTTTTTTTTTGAGATGGGATGGAGTTTCGCTCTTTCACCCAGGCTGGAGTAAAGTGGTATGATCTCAGCTCACTGCAACCTCCGCCCTCCTGGGTTCCAGCAATTCTCCTGCCTCAGCCTCCCAAGTAGCTGGGATTACAGGTGCCCGTCACCACACCAGGCAAATTTTTGTCTTTTTAGTAGAGTTGCGGTTTCCCCATGTTGGCCAGGCTGGTCTTGAACTCCTGACCTCAGGTGATCTGCCCGCCTCGGCCTCCCAAAGTGCTAGGATTATAGGTGTGAGACACCATGCCCAGCCACATATACTATATTTCAGCAAAATATTCTATACAATAGAGTTTAATACAACTTTTTGCAATGATGAAAACAGTCTGTATCTGTGTGGTCCAATATGCTAGCCACTAGCCATTTGTAGCTACTGAACCTTGAAATGGGGTTTTGACTGAAGAACTAAATTTTTAATTTAATTTAAATAGCTACATGTGACTAGTGGCTATCATATTAGATAGCACAGCTCTAGAAGAACCACCATTTACAAAAGGACAAAAGACAGCCATCATAATGTCCATTTTCCTTTCCTTGAAAATATTACTTGTTAAAAAAAAAAAAACTCACTGAGGGAAGTAGAGATGTTCATAAATCCTTTGTTTAAAGTTTAACTAGACTTCCTATAAATGTCACTTAAGTATCACTGAATATATCAACATTTTCTATACATCTTCCAGAAAGTATCTCAATCTTATAATTTTAATTGAAAACATAGTTATAACCCACAAGACATGCTCAGAAACAATCACAACTCTGATCTCTAATACTGCACACAAAGACTGCTAACATTTCTAAGAAGTTAAGATATTTTTAATAGCTTTTATTTGATCTATAAACTATGGTGTACATCTAGGTTGGTCAAAATCCATCGTTTTTAAAGAAAATAGTCATATTTAAAGATCAAATGATGCCCTTGTTTTAAAATTCTTGTCATTTTTTCATGCCTGACATGCTCGAGATTTTTGTTCTGCTGGGAATATATGAGCTCCTTGAAATGATTCAAAGGAAGTGAAGAAAATAAAATAAAACTATCAACAATCTAATCACTATAAATTCACTACACCTAAAGCCATAAAGAACAAGGAAGAACACTGTTAATACAGGAAAGAAGTAGTTATTCTATTACCGGGTGGTTAAGATTTAATATGAAAAAGTACAAAGACTGGCAAAGTGCTAGTAAACAAGCAGACAGACAAAAAATTCTTCCTCAAAAGGTATTTCTGATTACCTTTGGGGAAATTAAAAAGGTGGTAGGGGTAGAGTGTGGTACAAGTGAAGGTAAACCAATGAGACACTCTTAAAAAAGATGTACCTGGAAGAAATTACATGTGTTTTCTTTTTGCAGACAATCTTTACAGTATGTAAAGGCAAATGACTGGATTGTCAATTGTATTAATCAAATCAGTCAGTTAATAGAATAAACTAATTATTACCTCTAAGAGAACTGTTATGCAAAAACAAAACAAGACAAAACACAAAAACCTCAATTCTTGTCAAACATTACAGAGAAGCTGTGAGACAATGTTTGGATAGTTATAAAAAACACACATAGAACAATTTTCATTCAATCAAAGAATGATGAAAATTCATTTTCCTGTGGACCATAATTAGGATTTTACTTTGAAGAAGAAGGAAAAATCTTACCTGTGATGTGCTATCAGCTGCTTTCTTACTGACAGAAGCATCTATTGTTTTGTTTGTCTGGTTTTCTGAAAAGTAAAAAAAGCCATTTTTAAAAACATCTACAAAATGTAAAAAGTTAAGTTGCTTTATATGAAACAATTCATGTAGTTTTCTCCAACTACTTTTCCGTCAACATGTCACATACATAAATAAAAACTCAAATTCACAGACCACTGCTATAGTATCTTTCAGATACCATACAGATTACTATACAGATCACAATACAGATTAAAAAAAACTTTCCACTGGCCCAGCAATTTTAACTCTAAGCAGTATCTCATGGAAATAATTTAAGATACACATAACTTAAATGTTCTAACATGAGGAAATAGTTAAACAAAATATAATTCCTCCACACTATGTTCTTTTGGAGAAAAAAATTTAGTATGTCAAAAATGTTCCCAATAAATTCAGTAGAAACAGTTGCAGTAAATCCAAGAAAATACACATGTGTATTTCTCAGTAGTTCAATCATCGGTGATTTTTCTTTCTTTGTTCATTTTTCAACTAACTTGTAATGAGTTCGCAGTTAAAAAATGTTACTTTCAGAACAGCACAGAAAATAAACAAAGTATATTTTGTCCCAATTTCTAATGGGAGGAAAAGAGAGAATGTATTAAATTTTATCAAAGGTTTTTTGCACCTATTGAGATTATTTAGGGTTTCCTGTTTGGTAACATGGAGTTTTTAAATGTTGAAACAGCCCATCCTTTCTTTCTGGAGATAAAACCCTCTTGGTCAAACTATGGCATTCCTTTCATTTGCAAATCTTCAGAATGCATACAGAGTAAACAATTTATGTTTAAAAAAATACAGGAAGTTAAACTACCTATGTATTCCCATATGTATATATATAAGTCTGTATGTCTAAAAAATCAAGTTGGGTTAATATTCACCTGTTAAAAGAGAAGTATTCCAGGGTACAGAAGTAAAAAGAATGCCCTTTGATTTCTCCTACCTTATCTGAATTACCTTCTTTTTGTAAGAAGAATATTAATATATTATCTATTTATTTAAAAATATATTCAAATTACCTCATTTATTACAAATGAGCATCTGTTTTGGACTATGAAGTTCCTGAAAGACTAACAAAACTAATTTTAGGCTACTGATGTTACACAGTGGAGTATTAAGATACACTAGGTGATATTACCAAAATATCAGTGATTACTACCAAAGGTTTTTATATACAATGTTAAAATACATTCATTTGCATTTGAAACACTTCCATCTTCAAATCAAAATAAAAGATAACTTTACATAAAAAGTAGATGAGGAAGTTTCACTTTTATATTTTTATTTTTTAATTCTTTATTTTATTTATTATTTTTTTTCTTTTTGAGACAGAGTCTTGCTGTCACCCAGGCGAGAGTGCAGTGGCACAATCTTGGCTCACTGCAACCTCCATCTCCCAGGTTCGAGATTCTCACGTCTCAGCCTCCTGAGTAGCTGGGACTACCAGTGTGTGCCACCATGCCTGGCTAATTTTTGTTTACTTAGTAAAGACCTGCTTTCATCATGCTGGCCAGGCTGGTCTCAATCTTCTGGCCTCAAGTGATCCACCTGCTTCAGCCTCCCAAAGTGCTGGGATTATAGGCATGAGCCAACATACCTGGCCTCATTTTTATTTTTTGTCATAACATTTTCATATAAGAAAATTCCTAAAGATGCAAGAAAGATTTAGACTGCTTAATAAAATGTTACACACACATTTCTTTGTTACCCAGCATGATTCTCTCTTAGACCTAATTGCCTCAGAGCTATGTTAATTATTCACAAAACTGTAATGATATTCCTTATTCTAGATTCTCAACTAACATTCCTTGCCCGTTATTACAGATTTTTTCCCTTGATTCTTAATGTAACATCTTATAGTTCCATTGCATTGCTTTTCCTTTCTTCTACAAGATCTACCTTGGATGACTTCTGGATATAAATATTATAACTCCATCTATCAAGCAACAAAACTGGTCAGGATGTAAAATAAGAAATTATAGCTTAAAATCCTTCTATCATATGGAATACGTCTCCATAAAAATACAAATAAAAGTAAATAAAATTAAAAAGCACTTTACAGGAGTTAAACTGGCAGTTATCTCTTAGTAGCTCTGGATAATTGTATGAACAGAAAAAAGGCAAACACTTCGCTCATTTAATTATGTCCTTGAAGAAATGGTTGAAGAAATAATTGCTGTGTTTAAACTCTCGTTTGTTTGTTTTTCTTTCTGAGACAGGGACCTCCTCTGTTGCCCAGGCTGGAGTGCAGTGGCACGACCATGGCTCACTGCAGCCTTGACCTCCTGGGTTCAAGCAATCCTCCTGCTTCGGCCTCCTGCTTCGGCCTCCTGGGTAGCTGGGACTGCAGGCATGTATCACCATGCCAAGCTAATTTTTTATTTTTTGTACAGATGGGGGTCTCACTATATTGCAAGGCTGGTGGCGAGCTCCTGAGCTCAAGCCATCCTCCTGCCTCAGCCTCCCAAAGTGCTGGTATTACAGGCATAAGCCACCATGCCTAGCCAACTCTAGTTTTATATAGTCTTAGAACAAGATGTTTAATGAAATCTGAGAGAGTACATTGTATATGGATTGTATATAACTTTCCCCCAAATCTGTTCTTTTTTTAATATCTAGTTTAGTAAATGGAACAGCATTTAACAATGTCTTAGAAAGCTGAGTCATCTTTGAGTTCTCCATCTCTTCCACACATCTGAACTTTTATTAATTACCAAGTACTGCCAATGCTACCTCTTAAATAACTTTTAAATCTTTTTCATACCACCATCTCTCATCTTGTACAGTACAAGAGCCTCCAGCCTCTTAATTGGTCTTCCTAACACTATTCCTACCCCTTCCAAACCATTCTCCATACTGTAACCAGGGTTCATGGATGTCACATTACCCCCTACAAAAACCCTTTAACCGTATTTCCCCCATTCTTCTGTTCATTACTTCATATCTTTCCAGATTTCCCATGTTCTCTTTTGTCCTCTCACAAAAACCTGCAAATTCTAACACTCATCACATTTATAATTAATTAGTTATTTAATTACCACATTCCCTATTTGATTGTAAGCTTGGTGAGATCATAGTGACTATTTTATACATTTCTGTGTATCTAAAGAACCTAAGATAATACAGACATTCATTACTTTGTGAATGAATGAAATTAGCTATAGTTTGAGCTTTAAATTTCCAAGCCCTTAGGACATTTACCTCACTATAAACAGAAAATAGTGATTTAAAATCCATAAGGATATACTTAGCTACAATAAAATACATACAAATGCATGAACATATAGCATATGTTCTTTTAAGTAAACATAATACCCACATAAGTATAGAGCTTAGAAAATTTTAATTATATAACCTAATTAATTAATCACAAACTACTAAATGTAGTAGAGATGTACCAAAGTTTGGTTTCAGTTTAGGTTTTGGGAATCCTAAAAAGCCAAATGCCTACTTTAACGTCATTTATGGCACTGCTGAAATTATACCTGATCAAATAACATATTATAAGTAATAATTTATTAATAAAGTCAGAAATGAAGAATAAGCAAATTCATAAAATCTCATTTTAGTTAGCATTATGAAAAAAATACAAAGCTTGTCATTCACATTTATTCATTATCAAATGTAGGTAAGCATTCTAAATGGAACTTGAAATGAAGATCTTGATATAATTACATATTAAAAATATATAAATGTACATGTTAAAATATACAATTTTATGTTTAGAAATAATTGTGCATTATCTCAGAATGCTATACCAATTAATGATTGTGAAAACTTACTTTTATATAAAAAAGTTAAGAATAGTCAAATGAAACAGACTGACATGAATTACTAATAGTGTACATCAACCAGATAATTTGGGGAATATATCCTTTCTATAAAAATTGTAAGAGAACAGAATAATGAAATTATAATTCTGACACTTTTAGAAGTGTTTGGAGTACAAGCATGACATTAAACAAAATACTCTTAAAATATTTCAAGCCATGGTTTTTCAGGAAAAGTTCTCTATTTAAGAATATATCTCATCTCATGACCATGAATTTAAAACAATGTCAACCTTGCCTCAAAATTTCATAAGGAGGAAAACCCAAAATCACATAAAACAATGTCCATCACTAAATGATCTGACATTAAAAAATACTAAGAACTAAAAGAAAAAGAAGTTACAGAAAAATAAACTATCACCCAAAAATCTTGTATGTCCACTGACCTCAGTTAAAAGTAAGCATCTCTTTTAGTGTTGTAAACATGAAAGAATATCCAAAAAATAATGTGGTAGCAGATAACACTAACAAACATTTGCCCTGTACTATGCAAACATTTAAATTGTAAATACTATAAATAATAATTACACTTTCATATAAAACATTAGTTTATTCTTATAAATATGATAATGATGAGTGATATCCAGCTTCAATCCAACATTAATTTTGATCTGCCATTCATTTACTTTCTTAACAACTCTGTGAAATACCGTCATTGTTTTATATGAGAAAACACTTAGGGAGTAACTACACTAGTAATGGCTATATGACAAATAAAAACTAAGGCTTGTACATCTCACTTATAAAAGTAATTTTGTACTTTAGAATTTGTTTCCTATATTACATGGTCACTTACAACATCAATAAGAAAAATACTGTAGCAATTTTACTAGACACATGATGCCTACCCTTGCATGACTTTCCAAAAGTAGTGCACATAAATGTGAAGTCAGAAATGAAGAATAAGCAAGTTCAAGAATGCATACAAAACAAACTCTTTCTAGGAACTAGGAAGACACAGAGTTTGGCAGATTTTAAACAGGTATAATCAAGTGCTCCTTTTTGCAATATTTCTAAGTAAAATACAAACAATCATATAATATGTCATATGGGAAAACACGGAAAAGATAAAACAAGAAGGACTCAAACATTTTATAGCAAATGTGAAAGAAAAACTTATTTTTAAGTTGTTCAAATTTGGAAGCTATGAGTGAGTGCACAAAGGATTTTCCAAATGGGTAAGGAACATAAACGTGTCTTTTTTTCTTAAAAGCATATATTATGTAAATTTGATACTTTAAAATGTTTTAAACGATATTGCTGGCAAATGTATCATAAAAGTAACTCATAATGCTTGCCACAAAGCCATAAATTAAAAATTCACCAAACTTAGGAAAATTACTAAAAGATAAAACACAGATACTAACTTCTAATTCAAAATAAAACCCCTCTCAAGCCCCATTTTAGCAACATCATTTCTCTCAGGTATCTAAAAAATTACTAAAAATAATCAAGAAAATTCTATTTATTTTGTACTTCCAATAACGCTAGCCACTTAGAAAAAAAAAGTTCAATCATTACAAGGCTATTAAGATGCTTGCATTTCTAGTATTAAACCTACATGGTGACTTACCAATTCTTGGGGTGGTATTGCTGTTCTGTTCTGCAGCAGACGAAGTACTAAATGCAGAAATTGGAATTTTCATCTGTATAGGACCTCGATTAGTTGATGGACTATAGAGTCCTGATGGGCCCACTGTGGGTAAAGAAGTCCTTGTGGCTTGTACAATAGAGTGTGCTGTTGGAACAGCCTGCACAGCAAGTGTTGTTCCCAATGGTGCAGCACTGGCAGTAGGGTTCCTTTGAATACTAGGACTGGGCACAGAAGGAACGTTGTTTGGTTTAGTGGGATTTGGCAAGGATGGCAAGGATACTGGATTTTTGGTAAGACCACTCACTGTAGGTGGGCTTTGCACAGAAATGAATTCAACATTGCCAGATGGTTGATTAGTCACCAAAGTCCCTGGATGGCTCTGTAGAAGCTGAGGCTGGGAGGATACTGCAACAGGTACATGCAAAATCACTGGCAAAGGCTGTAAAGAGATTGTAGGCTGGGGATTTCCACTAGGCACCTGAGTAGTAGCAACTACAGTAGCTGTATTGGGTGCAGGAAGAACTGACGTTGCTGTGAGGGAACCCGAAGTCACTGGAGTCTGCAATTTAGGTTGACTACTGACAACTGCTGGAGGAGTGACAAGATTGGTTGAAGATACTATAGAAAGAAAACAGAAGCCTCAGTTTAAATGGTTATATTAATTTATCAACTAAGAAAATATGACAGACACAAATTAAATACATTGCGTAATACATTGCAAAGACTGTAAAGTCTTTTATCATGAAATTTTTTTCCAGATTTAAATTCCAAAATTTAATTTAGAATTAAATTCATAGAAGCATTTTGCATGTAGTTTTAGTAAATTACAAAAACAGCACATGATCGATGATTAATATGCAAGACTACTGAGGATCAAAACGGTCTCTGAAAATTACTATAATCACTTTAGAGTACCTAACTAGTAAACAAATAAAAAATACTAAAAAGTTAAGTAAAAATATATATTTTTGAAACTACATTAAAAACATTATAAATGCCTTACAACACAAGTAATATATAAACTCAAATAGTAAATCTAAAAAGAGTCATGACCATTAATGAATAACAGGTAGGCTTACTCATCGTATTTTATTATTTGAACCATGTCTGTATCTTTGGATCAAGTTTGATTGAATTCCTTGGGAGAGGAACTATTGAGGGGAGATTCCCTCTACTGACACCCTACTGACATTGTATGATATGGAAAACAGCACTGAGCGAAGATGACAGATGAATTAAGAAGAAATGAGGTAGCATATACAGAAGAACAGAGAAAATACAAATGCTGGTCACTAGTTTTATAATAATTTTCAACTACTTGTGTTTATTCTCATTGCAACAGGTTTAAAATACATGACCAAACTTCTTTCTCATTGATTTATAGTCTTTCCAAAAATAACAGGTTCACTAGAGCAGCAGTTTCTCAAAGTGTGGTCCAGCGGGGTGCCTGGGGTTTTCTGAGACCCTTTCAGGGAGTTTGCAATGTCAAAACTATTTTCATAACAATGAGACATTATTTGACTGTTTAAATAAGCAGACATTAGCACCAATGGAGCAAAAGCAATGCTAAGTAAAACTTCTGATGCTTTAGTACAAAAATCAAGGTAGTATAATGGGACCAAACATCGCTGCATTCTTCATCACATGCTTACAGTAAAAAACAAAGTCAGTTTTACTTAAGAATCCCCATGATACAGCGGTAAAAACTATTAACTTTATTATATCTCAACCTTTGAATAGGGGTTCTTTTCTTAATATTCCATGTGAAGAAATAGGCAGTACATATAAGACAACTACTGCGTGCCAAAGTAGGATAGTTAAGGAAAAATGCTTGTGCAATTGAGCTGTAAACTCAACTAGCAGTCTTTCCCATGAAACACTATTTTTACTTGAATGAATGACCTACAGACACACTGATAATTCACGTTTGGGTATTTTGAAGATCTTTTCTTAAAAATAAACTAGGTAAGCCAGTCACTTCAAAGAAAAAAGCCCAACTGTATTTATCAGCAATAATAACATTTGGGTTTTAAAGCAAAACTAAGAACATTAGAAAAAACTTGTATCTGTCATTGAAAGCATGACAGCTCCCTAAATCCTTAAAATACTTCTCTGAGTAGAACTGATAGTAAAATCAGTAAATGTAATTTTTAAAAATAATATTTATTAATAAAATGTGTCATTTGGAAGATTTGCATAACTTGGTGAATAGTTTTCAAATGATCAATGAATAATATTAGTAAAACTCCATCCAAGTGCAAGATAGAGGAATGGATTTTTTTTTTTTTCTAAGACAAGGTTTGCCTCTAGCGCCCAGGATCGAGTACACTGGCGCAATCTTGGCTCACAGCAGCCTACACCTCCCGGGCTCAGGCCATCTTTCCACTTCAGCCTCCTGAGTAGCTGGGACCACAGTTGTGCACCACCATGTCTGGCTACTTTTTGTATTTTTTGTAGAGAGAGAGTTTCACTATGTTGCCCCGGCAGGCCCGGAACTCCTGAGTTCAAGCAATCCACCTGCCTCGGGCCTCCCAAAGTGCTGGGATTACAGTCGTAAGCCACCACGCTTGTCCAATAAATGGATTTTAATGGAGGAGTTAGAAAAGTTCTTTGGTGTGGTTTCAGATTACACTTCACAACCAACCTTAAAGAAACTACTACTGGATAGTATTAAAGAAGAATATCCACAATTATCTGTAAGGGCTAGCCCTTTTCCATCTATATATTTGTAAAAGACTGGATTTCTTTCATATGCTTCAGCCAAATCAACATTTTAAAACAGACTAAAAACAGATATAGATATGAGTATACATACCTTTAAGCTATCTTTAGCTGTCTTAATGTCTCAAAGTATTAAAGAGATATGTAAAAAATGTAAGAGAATAATGCTCTTTGTGCTGCTATTTTTAAGCTTGGAAAATACACAGTTTCATTTTAAAAAGCTTTTTGTGTTAGACATTATGAGTTTACTATTACTTTATCTATTTTTATATTTATTATTTATTATTTTTTTTTTTGAGAGGAAGTCCCACTCTGTTGCCCAGGCTGGGGTGCAGTGGCGTGATCTCGGCTCACCGCAAACTCCACTTCCCGGGTTCAAGCTCAATTCTCCTGCCTCAGCCTCCTGAGTAGCTGGGATTACAGGCACCAGCCATCATGCCTGGATAATTTTTGTATTTTGGTAGAGATGGGGTTTCACCATGTTGGACAGGCTGGTCTCAAACTCCTAACCTCAAGTGATCCGCCTGCCTCAGCCTCTCAAAGTCCTGGGATTACAGGCATGAGCGACCAAGCCCAGCCTACTATTATTTTAAATGAATAAACATTTTAAAAACATTTTTAAATTTCTGTTTAATTTCTACTTCATTTCGACTGATAATAAATATCAATGGATGTAACCCACATAAACAAAAGTTCTGGGGTTCTTAATAATTTTTTAAGATTGTAAAGGGATCTAGAGACCAGAAAGTTTGTGAACTACTACAATAGAGATTTGAATATCTATACTGTATTTTCACATATACTTATCTATGACCCTAAATTTTTTTGTTTTAAGAGACCAACTGGATTCCATTATGTTGCCCAAGCTGACTTGAACTCCTGGGTTTGGGTAATCCTCCTCAGCCTCCTAAGTAGCTGAGACTATAAGCATGTGCCACCATACCCAGTTTGATCCTGAATTTTTAACAAAATTTTTGTACTTAGACCAATGTGCCCAATTTCTTAATCCATTTCAACCTCAAAAGAATGTAAGAAAAGAGAACCAAAGCCTTTAATTCCTAAGAAAATGTATTTTGGTATTTAAAAAAAAAGTTACCTGTATTCACAGGAGTTTGAAAGGATGGTGGTGCACTCTCGCTTACATTTCTTTTGGACTCCAGCATCTGTCTCACTGTGCCTGCATTTCTATGAAATACATATACACACCAATAGTCAATAGATATGCCACTCAGGGAATACCAACTGATATCTAGAATAAGCAGTGGCCCACAGGGGAAAAAGGGTGGCTAGACTTGGGTTTCACAATCCTAAACTGCAAGCAAAAACAGTGAGGCATAGCTGGCACAAAGACTTCTAAATGCTGGGGTCTGTGGCATTAACTCTTAACTCTTAACTCTTGTATTCTAATGTCTGTTATCAGTACTTAACCTGAATACCAAAAGTAGGTCCTAATATATACAGACATTAGTCTTTCTCACCCTTAACAGAAGCATTTCTCAATTACTTGAAAGAATACTATTTAAGACAAGTGGTTAAAGAAATATATAGTGACCAAAGAATGCCTTATAATAAGTTAGCAAAAGTATTATTCACAGATGAACAATATAATGAAGCAGAAAAAGAAAATATACTAACCAAGTACACCAAACACTTATTTCTACATAAATACCATGATTACACTGCAAGATTCTTTGACCAAATAAAGAAAGTAGAACTTTGTTCTGTTTTTAAAAACTAGACAGACTATGAATTCTCACCTGTAAGACATGTTATTATTGCTGTTGACATCATTTACAGTTTTTCCTGGTGATACTGGTGGGTTGGGTGGATGCTGGGGGAGAAAAAAAAATCAAGGTAAAAATAAAACTCAACACACAGGGAATCTTTAAAAAAAAATTAGACCTGTAGATGCCTGTCAATATATTATCTGTCACTGTTCTAATATAATGGGAAACATTGCCAGCTGAGACAATAATTTGAATCTTGGCATTATCACTTGTTCATTGTATCTTAAGCAAATCATTTACTTTGCTGAAGACAACTGCTTATCATTTGAGAGATTAATATAATAATTCCTGCATCTCAGTGTTCTTATGAAGAATAAATTAAAAACACCAGAATGGCTCACATGCTGTAAGAGTTTAAAAAACATTAACAATATAAATCTAAAGAATAACCAGACTCACTCATTTAACAAATAGCTAGTGAATGCCTACTATGTAGCAGGCATCATATTAGCACCACCAATTCAACAAATAAGTGGTATCCAATGTCACAAATCAAAATTATTTTTAAGTTGTTTTTTAAAAAAATACTACCTACCACTATGTGACTTAAATTATTTAATAAAATGTCACAAATCTAAGCTTCAGTAACAACTTATTTCAGCCTTTCCCCCCAAAACCAGGGAATACAGAAATGGAATTATAACGCCTACATATTAACTATCATTATTTAGGCCTCCATCATTAATAACACTATCATCATTTATCTCTTAAAACGAGGCTGGGCACAGTGGCTCACACCCGTAATACTAGCACGTTGGGAGGCTGAGACAGGCAAGGATTGCTTGAGCTCAGGAGTTACAGACCAGCCTGGGCAACGTAGCAAAACCCCATCTCTAAAAAAAAAATACAAAAATTAGCCAGGCGTGGTAATACACGCCTGTGGTCCCACCTTCTTGGGAGGCTGAGGTGGGAGGATAGCTTGAGCCGAGGAGGCAGAGGTTGCAGTGAGCTGAGATTGTGTCACTGCACTCCAGCCTGGGTGACAGAGCCAGAACATGCCTCAAAAACAAACAAACAAAAAATGGAAGAATAAAATATCTCTACTCAAGACTAAGTCAAGTGTAAGAATAACATATTAAACCAAAGGTAGTAAATGCTTAGAATTACATTGAGCAGATGCCATTAATCACTCTTCTTAACAACAAATACATCTTGCTACTTTTTATATGACACAACAATAATTTCAACCTTCTAGTATGACATTGCATTAGATACGTGTAGAGGGAAAAACAATAGAATTAAGACAATCTGCTATAAAGGTGCTTAAAATCTGGCTGTCAAGATAAACAAATGTAAAACAAGAGAAAAGCACATTAAAATAACTGTGTAAGGCGAATGCAAAAAGCTTAAAAAAGAAAAGCTTTTAGGGAAAGGAATGCATCTTTAAGCACATTGTTGAGTAATTTTTTTTTTTTTTTTTTTGAGATAGAGTCTCACTGTCGCCCAGGCTGGAGTGCACCATCCTGCGGCACCATCTTGGCTCACTCTAGCCTCCGCCTCCCAGGCTCAAGCGATTCTCCTGCCTCAGCCTCTGAGTAGCTGGGATTACAGGTGCCTGCCACCAGGCCCGGCTAATTTTTGTATTTTTAGTAGACGTGGGGTTTTGCCATGTTGACCAGGCTGGTCTCGAACTCCTGAACTCAAGTGATCTGCCCGCCTCAGCCTCCCAAAGTGCTGGGATTACAGGCATGAGCTACTGTGCCTGGCCATCATTGAGTAATTATTACACTCAAAATGGTTAAGATAAAAGAATATTTCAGGAGAAAAACAAGAAGAATAAAAGCATAGAGAATAAATAAATGGTTTAGAACACAGGAGTCATTTGATGGAGGATTTTTGAAAACTGTGGTATGATCAGCAACATGTCAGAACAGGAAGTCCCCTCTGCTTCCCATATGGAGATGACTTAACAAGATAAGCATCATATTGCCTGCATGAGATTTCCACAAATTAGTTGAGAGGGTATGCCATCCCAGGTGAGCACAAGGCCAAAAAGAGGCACACTGGAACAGTTAGGAAAATACATTGCATTTACTCACTATACCCCATCAACCTCCCAACACAGCTTCTACATCAGAAAGGAAAGAGAAAGTTGGAGCTTGAATCCAACTGTTTAAGAAAGATGCCCAACGCATTAGATTTTGTCTTACCCAACATGGAGGACTAATCTGGAGCAAGAACTGTGACTATGGCACTTCGGATGCCTGTGAGCCTCAGAGACCAAAGGCAGGACCCTCAACTTGATAGAGCACCAGAGAAATTGCAGTAACACAGACAGACAGCAGGGGAAGCACTAATACAACAGCTTGCCAAAGTACCAGAGGCTGCTATAGCAAAGACAGGTACCAGAGGGAGCTTCAGAGTAGAGAGGCAAACCTCTTCAGATGGAAGAGTACAAGCAAAAGCCCAGAGAAGACACATAGCCAAAAAAAGGTGTTAGAGGCCCACAGACTCTCTAACAAGGCTGACTGGTGAAGCCCTTCCTGTGTACAAGAGTCCACAAAGACTGGGAGATGTGGCTGTTTTTTCAAATGCTAAAATTTCAACAAGCATACAAATAAACAGAGAAACATGGTCCAATCAAATAAATAAAATAAATCTCCAAAAACCAACCCTAAAGTAACAGAGAGCTATGAATTATCTGCCAATGAATTCAAAATAACTATCATTAAGACACTCTGGCCAGGCCTGGTGGCTCGTGCCTGTAATCCCAGCACTTTGGGAGGCCGAGGCGGGCAGATCACCTGAGGTCAGGAGTTCAAGAGCAGCCTAGCCAAAATGGTGAAAGCTTGTATCTACTAAACATACAAAAATTAGCCGAGCGTGATGGTGGGCACCTGTAACCCCAGCCACTCAGGAGGCTGAGGCTGGAGAATCGCTTGAACCCAGGAGGCGGAGGTTGCAGTGAGTGGAGATTGCGCCGTTACACTCCAGCCTGGGCGACAGGAGCGAAACTCCTTCTCAAAAAAAAAAAAGATACTCAATTAGGTGAAAGTGAAAGAGACGACAGAAAACAGCAAAATCAGGAAAAGGGTGCATGAACAAAATGAAAATATCAACAAAGAGAAACTGTAAAAACGTATCATAATACAAATTAAAAAGCTGAAGAATACACTGAAATGAAAATTCACTGTAGAGAATCAAGAGCAGACCGGATCAAACCGAAAAATAAGTCCACAAGTTTGAAGACAGGTCATTTGAAATTATCAAGCCAGAGGAGCAAAAAGAGAATGAAAAAAAGCTAAGAAAGTCTAAAGGACTTTTGGGACACCAACAGGCAGACCAATATACACATAAGGGAAGTAAAGGAAGACAGAGAGAAAGATAAATAATTGCTGAAAATGTCTGAAACTGGAAGAAGAAAATGGAGATGCAAATTCAAGAAGCTCAAAGACCTCCAACTATTGTTAACCCAAAAACATCTACACTGAGATACATTATAACCAAGCTGTCTGAATCACAGTAAATAATCTTGAAAGCAGTAAGAGAAAAGCAACTCATAACAACACACAAGGGAACTCCCATAAGATAACACGCAGATATCTCAGCAGAAATCTTGTAGGCCTGAAGGAGTGAGATAATATATTATCAAAGGGCTGAATCAAAGACCTGCCAATCAAGAATACTATACCTGGCAATAATATGCTTCAAAAATGAAGGTGAAATTAAAATTTTTCCCAGATTAGTAAAAGCTGAAGGAGTTTCATCACTATACCTGTCCTAAAAGAAGTGCTGAAGAAAGCCCTTCACGTGGAAACTAAAGAGTGTATGCATCATGGAAGCATACAAAAATATAAACTTCTCTAAGAAAATGTTGATAAGGAGAAAAATACAGAATCCTGTATTCTTGTTATATTGGTGCATAAACCACTTTTAATTCTGGTATAGAACTTAAAAGCTTAAAAAAACTAAAAATATGTTAACAGATACACAACATAAAAAGATGTGATATACGACAACAGTAACATCAAGTCATAGTGAGGCAGATATAGACTAGCGCTCTTATATGATTAAAGTTATTTGCAGTTTAACATAGACAGTTGTAACTTTAGGATGTTTTATGTAATCCCCACGGTAACCACAGAGGAAACATCTAAAGAAAATACACAAAACGAACTGTAAAAGGAATGAAAGCACACTACTATACCAAAAGAAAAACAAAAAGCAATGAAACACAAAGGAATCAAGAAACAAAAAAAAGCTACAAGTCATAGAGAAAAAAACAAAATGACAACAATAAGTCCCTTCCAATGAGCAGTTTATTTAAATGCAAATGGATAAAATTCTCCAATCAAACGACAGGTTGACTTAATGTTTTTTAAAATAAGATCCAACTATATGGTGCCTACAAGAGGCTCACTTTGGATCCAAAATACAACACAGAATGAAAGTGAAAGGATGGAAAAATATTACCATGCAAATGGTAACAAGAAGAGAGTAAGGATGGGCCATACTTATGTATGACAAAATAGACTTTAGGTCAAAAACTGTCAAAACAGACAATGAAGGACATAATGATAAAAGGGTACTTTCACCAGCTGTAACACACACACACACACCCCTACATCAGAGCTCCAAATATATGAAACAAACATTGAAAGAATGGAAGGGAGAAACAGACAGTAACACAATGATAGTAGGAAACTTCAATACCCCACTTTCAATAATGGATAGAACCATCAGACAGAATATCAACACAGAAACAGAGAACTTTAACAACACTATATGCTAATTGGACCTAACAGACACATAGGATAAGCTTGGATCAAACAACAGCAGAATACACATTCTTCTCAAGAGCACATAGAAAATTCTCATGGATAGGTCGCATGTCACAACCCAGGTCTTAACAAATTTAGAAAGAATGAAATCATACCAAGTATCTTTTCTGACAATAATGGAATGAAACTTGACGTCAACAGCAGAAGAAAAGTAGGAAAAGTCACAAATATGTGAAAATTAAACATGCTGTTTAAAAAAAAAAACCAACAAGTCAAAGAAGAAGGTAAATTACAAGATATCTTCAGACAAATGAAAATGAAAACAAAATATAATAAATTGTATGCAGTGAAAACAGTGGTAAGAAGGAAGTTTATAGTGGTAAAACACAAACACAAAGATCTCAAATCAACAATCTAGCTTTACAACTCAAAGAACTAGAGGGGAAAAACTAAACCCAAAATTAGCAAGAGGAAAGAAATAATGAAAATTAGGGTGGAAGTAAACAAAAATAGAGAATAGAAAAACAAAAACAAAACTTAAAAGTTGGTTTAAAAAAAATCAGCAAAATTGATAAATCCTTAACTAGGCTAACTAACAAAACAGATGACTTTAAAGATGAAAAGAAATGAAAGAAAGAGAAGACATTAGAACTGATGCTACATAAATGGGAAGGATTACAAGAGACTACAATGAACAATTACACACCTGCAAACTTGATTACCTAGAAGAAATAAATTCCTAAAAACACACAACCCACCAAGACTGAATTATTAAAAGTAAATAAATAAATAAATCTATAATTATTAAGGAGACTTAATCAGTAATAGAAATCTCCTAACAAAAAAAGCCTAAGGCCAGGTGCGGTGGCTCACTTGAGGTCAGGAGTTCAAGACCACCCTGGCCAAATGACGAAAGCCCGTCTCTACTACAAATACAAAAATTAGCCAGACGTGGTGGTGCAGGCCTATTATTCCAGCTACTCAGGAGGTTGAGGCACACAAATCACTTGAACCAAGATCACATCACTGCACTCCAGCCTGGATGACAGAGTGAGACTCTGTTGCAAAAATAATAATCATTAATAAATAATAAATTTTAAAAATAAAATTAACAAACAAAAACCTAAGACCAGATGGCTTCACTGGAGGATACTACCAAACAATTGGTAGTATTCCAAGAGGAGTACTTCCAAGTAGGAGTACTTTCAAATTCCATTTATTAGGCAATCATTACCTTGATACCAAAGTCAAACAAAGATACTAAAACTACAGACAAATATCCCTGATGAATACTGATATAAAAATCCTCAAGAAAATATTAGCAAACCAAATTCAACAGCATGTAAAAAGATTATACACCATGACCAAGTTGGTTTATCTGAGGAATGCAAGGATAGGTCAAGATATAAAAATCAATGTAACATATTAACAGAACAAAGGACAAAACCCACATGATCATCTTAATTGATGCAGCAAAAGAACTTGACAAAATTCAACACCCTTTCATGGAAAAAAATAAATAAAACACTCATCAAACCAGAAATGGAAATTATCTCAATTTAACAAAGGCCATACATGAAAACTCCATGGTTAACATCATACTCAATGGTGAAAAACCGAAAGCTTTCCTTCTAAGATCAGGAATTAAGCAAGCATGCCTACTCTTGCCACTTCTGTTCAATATAGTATGAGAAATTCTAAACCAAACAATTATGCAAGAAAAAGAAATAAATGACATCCAAATCAGAAAAAGAAGTATAAATATCTTTGTTCACAGATGATATGATCTCATATGTAAAAACCCTAAAGACAACTGTTCAAACATATGTAAACTCAGCAATGTTGCAGGATACAAAATCAACCTGCAAAAATCAGTTGCATATCTATAAACTATAAAAAATATAAAAAAGAAATGAACAATATAATTTATAATAGCATCGAAAAGAATAAAATACTTAGGAATACACTTAAAGGGAGAAAACAATTACACAATAAAAACTACAAAACAATGTTGGAAAAAGTTTAAAGACACAAATAAGTGAAAAGACATCCTGTGTTTATGGATTGGGAAGTCTTATTATTGTTAAAATATCTGTATTACCCAAAGCAACCTGCAGATTCAATGCAATCCCTATCAATATTGCAATAGTGGGTTTGTTTTTTTTTTCCAGAAAAAAATCCTAAAATTCATATGGAATCTCAAAGGATCTTGAATTGCAAAAATAGTTTTGAAAAGAACAAAGTTGGAGGTTTTCAAACTTCCTGATTTGAAAACATATTACATATTAGGCTAAGTTAGCCAAGGGGGCGGGGGGTGGGGGAACCACACAAAATATATTACAAAGCTACAATAATCGAAAAAAGTGAGGTGCTGGCACAAAAATAGACAGTGACCAAAGGAAATGAATAGAGAGCTTAGAAATAAACTCACATATACGGTCAAATGATCTTCAACAAAACTGCCTAAACCACACAACGGGATAAGGACAGCCTCTTTAATAAATGGTGCTGGGAAAACTGGATATATACACGCAAAAGAAAGAAGATGGACTCTGACAAAATATATAAAAATTAACTCAAAATTGACTAAAGATTTAAATATAAGACCTAAAACCATAAAATTCCTACAAGAAAACATACGGAAAAAGTTTCATGACATTGGATTTGGCAATGATTCTTTTGTATATGACACTAATAGCACAGGTAAGAAAAGCAAAAATAGACAAACAGAACTGCATCAAACTTAATAACTTCTGTATATGAAAGGAAACAATCGAGAGAAAAGGAAACAAAGGATGCAAAAAAGTTGCAAATAATTTATATAAGAGTCAATATTCAGCATATATAAGGAATGCCTACAACTTAGTAACAACAACAAAAATAAGGAACTTGATTTAAAAATAGGCAATGAACCCGAAGAGACTTTTCTCCAAAGGAGATACATAAATGGCCAACAAGCATATGAAAAGATGCTCAACATCACTAGTCATTAGAGAAATGCAAATCAAAACTACAATGAGGTATCACATACATCCATGAGGATGGTCACTATCAAAAGAACAGAAAATAACACGTTAGCGAGGTTATGGGAAATCTGGAACTCTTGAGCACTACTGGTATAAATGTGAAATGGTGCAGCCTCTATGAAGAACAGAATGGGGGCTCCTCAAATATCTAAAAGTATTACCATACAACCTAGTAATTCCTCTTCTGGGTATATATGCAAAAGAATTAAAAACAGGATCTCAAAGAGATAGCTGCACTCCCATGTACATTGCAGCATTATTCAAAATAGCCCAAAGATAATAATGGACCAAGTGTCCATCAACAGATGTAACAATAATAAAAATAAAACCAGAAAAGGGTAGCATGAGGGAGTCCACTTATGGTGATGTAACAATTTTATATCTTGACTGTGATGGGGGCTACATAAATCTATACATGTGATCAAAGTGCATGGAATCATAAACACAGACAGACATAAATGCACAATGAATTTTTAAATACACATGTAAAAACTGGTAGAAACTGTTAAGTCTGTAAACTACTTTGTAAACAAAATTGTCAATTTCTTCACTTTGATACTGTACTACAGCGATAAGATTTCACCACTCAGGGGAAGCTAGGGGAAGAGTTCATAGGGCTCTATGTACTATTGCTGCAAAAACAGGAAAGAATATATGAACATGTATCAATACAGAAAACCTCTAGGAAAAATGATTACTATTTATTGATATTGGCAATTTACTATGTGCCAGACAATGGAACTATCAAGATGAAGAAATGGACCTTGTTCAAATAAAAAAATTAAAAACAAAAAAAATTCAGGAGGAAAAGAAAATAAATCCAACTAAAAACTATAATGCAATATACAAAGTACTATATTAAAATATGAATAATAAAGGAAATAACAGAAGAGTGGCAAAATGATAAACAAAGGAAAAATGAAGGAAACACCAACAAGCAAAAGCCAGACTATGGAAGTCAATTTATGCTATGTTTGGACTTAATTGTATACTTTAAAAAATATTCAAACTGTTTAAGTCAATAAAGTGACTTAATCTAATCTCTGTATATTACAATTAAAGCATAAAAGAGGACTGACTACATGGGGAAGAAAGGAAGGGGAGAACAGGAATACTACAGGCAGTAGAATACTAAAATACTTTGGGGAAAATAGTAAGAGACCATACTGGGAATCTGACAAGAATGCAAAATGAAAGAAACAAGGTAAGACAAATCCCTGAAGCCTAATTTTAAAGATGGACAGAAAATACAGCTTCAAGAATTGCATAACCTAAGGGGCCAGTCACAATGGCTCATGTCTGTAATTCCAGCACTTTGGGAGGCCAAGGTAGATGGACTCCTGATGTTGGGAGTTCGAGACCAGCCTGGCCAACATGGTGAAACCCCGTCTCTACTAGAAATACAAAAATCAGTCAGGCATGGTGGTGGGCACCTGTAATCCCAGCTACTTGGGAGGCTGAGGCAGGAGAATCACTTGAACCCATGAGGCAGAGGTTGCAGTGAACCAAGATGGTGCCACTGCACTCCAGCCTGGGCGACAGAGAGACTCCATCTCAAAAAAAAAAAAAAAAAAAAGAATTGCATAACCTAAAATAGAATATAAATGTTGATATATGAGAATAGTAAATGAGGATTTGAAAGGGGTTCATTAGTTCTAGGGCTGAAGATCCAGAAATTACATAGAGGAGTACACAGTATGAAAGCAAATTTCAGATTTGTAATACAGTTTCCTCCTAATTCAGCATTTCCTAAGATTACCACTTAGTGCTAAATATTAATTATGCAAGAATAGAAAAATTTTACTTCATGTCTTTTCTTAAGATCTTCTTTGGCTGCTTCAAAGCGTTTGGTTAACCTGGCTATCTTGGCCTGAAAAAAAAAAAAAAGACAAAAATGAATGGAAATCAAATAGTATTACAGCATTAAAAAAAAAAACCATGAATATATAAAAAGAAACCTATAGAAAACAGGATCCTCAGAAGATAGCTGAGTAAAGAAAATAAATTAAGTTGATTATAAACTATATACTTGGAAAATACAGTTATGACTAAAACTAAGTGACCCCTAAATTCAGTACTCAGATGTAAACACTCTTAATTAGGTTAGCCTATTTCTTCCTCGAACTTTTGAGTGTTGCTCACTTACCAGTACATTCCTGAATATGTAAGCCTGTGTTTTGTTATTTTTTTAACACAGTTGTAATCACACTTGATTTTCTCATTGAGAATTATAAAGTGGAAATATCTGTAAGTCATAAAAGATCCCTTGCCAATACTACATATGGATGGATGTATAGGCTTTACTGTGACACTTTCAACAGAAGTGTAAATGAATGCTCATATATTACTTTTTCACAAATTAAATTACATATTCTGTTAGTCTTTAACAATCTGATAAAAACATTACCTTGGCTAGGCATGGTGGCTCACACCTGTAATTCCAGCACTTTAGGAGGCCGAGGCAGGTGGATCACCTAAGGCCAAGAGTTCGAGACCAGCCTGGCCAAAATGGTGAAACCCCATCTCTACTAAAAATACAAAAATTAGCCAGGCGTGGTGGCACGTGCCTGTAATCCCAGTTACTCAGGAGGCTGAAGCAGGAGTATCGCTTGAACCCGGGAGGCAGAGGTTGCAGTGAGCCAAGATCGCGCCACTGCACTCCAGCCTGGGCAACAGAGTTAGACTCTGTCTCAAAAAAAAAACAAAAAACAAACAAAAAACCCATTACCTTGTTTGTGTCAACATGGTCAGTGAGATTATTAATCATTTGTTGTACTTATACAAACTCCCTGATCACATATTTTGCCCAAATACATATTGAAAGGAAATCTGAGGGAAAAAAAAGCAGAACAAAAAGAAAAATAAAAATTATCATTTCACCACATGAATATTTGGTAGTATCTCCTTTCAGTCTTTTACTAAGCATAGACGTAATATTCAACTGTTTCTGTTGCTGTTGCTGCTGAAGCCATTTTAAATTAAACATATTTTCAAGAAAATTAAACTTCTGAGTGTATTCATGAGGCCCTACCTAAGGAAGAGCTCTGCCAGAGAATTTATTTTATCCAATAAGGGCATACATTTCATAAAAATGAGAAAATGTTATGATTTACTTTTAAAGTTTCTTGCAGAAAGCAGTCACTTCTAGAGGAGAACCCAAATCTTAAAATGTGCTTAAGTCCAATATTATGGCCTAGGCAATCAGTTACCTATGACTCTCAAAGGTAAAGATTTTCCCTAAGGACTTAGTTATTTATGCATGTTATTAAGGCTCAAGATCATAAAGCATAATTTCATATCCTTAACATGGATTTACCTTTCTGATGACTAAAATATCTCAAATAACTTTCTAAAAAGGTAAATGGGAAAGCCAGGTGCAGTGGCTCATGCCTGTAATCCCAACACTCTGGAAGGCCAAGGTGGGCGGATGGGTGACAAAGCGAGACTCTCTCTCAAAAAAAAAAGAAAGAAAGAAAAAGAAAAGAAAGGTATATGGGAAAGGGAAGGTATTTTCTGTACCCCAGCTCATGCGAGAATGTCATTTTTTCTTTAGTCAAATCATATAGGTGGGCCAGGCGCAGTGGCTCACACCTGTAATCCCAATACTTTGGGAGGCTGAGACAGGTGGATCACAAGGTCTGGAGTTCAAGACCAGCCTGGTCAACATGGTGAAACCCCATCTCTACTAAAAATACAAAAATTAGCCAGGCGTGGTGGCGCGCGCCTGTAGTCCCAGCTCTTCGGGAGGCTGAGGCAGGAGAATTGCTTGAATCAGGAGGCAGAGGCTGCAGTGAGCCGAGATCGCACCACTGCACTCCAGCCTGGATGACAGAGCAAGACTCTGTCTCAAAAAAAAAAAAAAAAAAACTAGGTGGTTACACTAAAAATTGCATAGTATGCATAATATTATTATTCTATTTTTACTTAAGCCCCCCCAAAATCATCTTGTATATGTCACATGTATAGAAAAAGATCTATACATTCCAAGGTTAAAAGTAGTCACCGCTGGAAGCTATGATTGGCAGAAAGTGGGAAAGAAAATGAACTAAGGACCTCATTTTCACATCACATACATTTGTGGTATTCAAACTCTTTTTTAAAAGAATTATCATTTTAAAAATGAATCCAGTAGCAGAAAAACAAACTCAAAATGTGGACACTGATTTATAGTTTTCTGATATTTAATATTATAAAACAGAGAAATCAAAGAGCAGCCTTTTTGTTTTTACATAGGAAGCTGTACAATTCTTTTTTAATTATAATTCAAAATATCTGCCATACTGTGTCTAAGAATGGCTATTTTGGTAGATATTCTGAGACATTTTAAAAAAATGAATAAACAAGTCATTTTTGTAACTCCAGAAAAGTGATATTCTATTACATTGGGTTTTATTTGGGAAACTAGACAAACCAAGAATTTCACTGCATATGTACCCAGGAAACCTCTTAGGAAATAACTCTGTCTACAAAAAAAAAGAGGTTTCCTTAACATCAAGGTTGGCCTATAACAAATATTACTGCTCATAAAAGCAAGTAAATAAACAGACCCACAGTTTCTATTATTTAAAACTGTCTCTGTATTAGGCTGTCATAAATTTACTTCATTGATAGGGAACAGGAGCCGAGGCTGAAAGGAAAAAGTAAAATAGACATTTTTAGTTAAATCTACTTAAAATGGCATTTTCTAAGTCATAACCAACGGAATGTTATATTCCAGAGTGTGTTGACAGCTTTTCCATTTCTGTAAGAAATCTAGTTGAAATTCCGAGTATTATGAATTTGAACTATACTGTGATTTGAGAGGAATCAAGTCTTCCTATTTAAGAGCATAGTACTAATCACTGTTGACTCCTGTTTTCTGGTTCTGTCCTTTTTCTTCATAATGGTCTTAAAATTTTATTTTTTGGTTTATTCTTAAGTGCTTACTCATTTTTAAATAACTACCATATGTGAAATCTTTTTCTCATTATATTTTCTAATTGGTTATTGTTGATATAAGGAAAACTATTAGAATATATTGTCCTTATATGAGGTAGTTGCTATATTTCCTTCTTCATTCAACAGTTTGCCAACTTAATTCTATTGGGTTCCCACTTACCAATTGTTACTCATTTCTTTTTCCTGTCTCACTGTATTGCCCAAGACTGACACCAAAGCTCTAAATAGCAACATCTATTAATAGGCATTTTCTCATTCTCAACTTTGGTAGAAATATTTCCAATAATCCATTATTAAATATGATATTTACAACAGGTTTCTGAAAACCCTTTAAGAGATTCAAGGTATTTACCTCCTGTTTTTTCCATGAATGACCAGTGAATTTTAACAAATCCTGATTTGGCATGTACTGAGATGATCACACTATTTTTCACCTTTCCTACATTAGCAGAGTAACGTATAATTGTTAATACTGAACCAAGTTTGCATTCTTAAGAGAAATCTATGCTGGGGAATAAAACTAAACTATGTTTTTTTCTCTTCTTGTGCTAGAGGTTTCACAGATGGGCTTACTTCATCTAATGGAAGTCTCATCTTTCTCCATACCCTGGAACAGTTTACATCAGACAAGAATTACCTGTTCCTCAATGATTTGTCAGAATTATCTGGCAAAGCTTTCTGGGTTCCATGACTTCTTCAGAAATAGATCTTTGACTATAGTTTTGATACAGTTCCTCAAAACCTAGCTTTCCTGCTTCCTTTTTTGAGACAGAGTCTTGCTCTGTTGCCCAGGCTGGAATGCAAGGGCACAATCTTGGCTAACTGCAACCTCCGCCTCCTGGGTTCAAGCGATTCTCCTGCCTCAGCCTCACTAGTAGCTGGGATTACAGGGATGTGCCATCAAGCCCAGCTAATTTTTGTATTTTTAGTAGAGACGAGGTTTCACTATGTTGGCCAGGCTGGTCTCGAACTCCTGACCTCAAGTGATCCACCTGTCTCAGCCTCCCAAAGTGCTCGGATTACAAGCATGAGCCATCACACCTGGCCTCCTGCTTCCTTTTTGTATACAACAGATTTCATTGGTACAAGGTTGTTAACATAAAAACGTTCTTAAAGAATCCCTTCTGGATCTTGTCTCCTTTTCTAATCCTTGTGCAGTTTATTTGTATTTATTTTATTTCTAGGTCAAAGATTTATCAGACCAATAGAACAATTTGTCTCAGATGTATTCAACTGAACAAATTGTCCCTGGATAATTATACTAAAACATATTAAGCCAAAAGTCAAAATATCATATTAGCTAACAGGAAATTGTTCTGAAATACGCAGTAAGAACGAATTCAAAGTTTTATTTCCAAACCAACTGCACCACATAAATTTAGCCAAAATGAGCACAACTGATCTCAACAAACTCCTCTCATGATCTTGCACTATGCTTTATATTTGTTGTAACAGGACTCGATTGGCTAAGTGTTACTATACCCAGAGTGAAGGGCAGAATCAGGCTGAACTATGTACACATTGCAAAACAGGCAGCAAAATGTGGGTAGAACGGTTGCCAACAATTGCCACATGGGTAGTATCTACACCAAAAAAACATATTTCCCTCTCTAGAGCACAATCATAATGATATTTGATTTTGTATGCTACTGAAAATAAGTAGATATTAATTGAAACCTAACTGTTATAAAGTTAAGATGTTAAGTGTAATCCCCAGGGTAACCACTAAGGAAAAAACTAAAAATATATATAGGAAGAGAAACAAGAAGGAATCAAAATGATATACCAGGAAAAAATCAATTGCAAAACAAGGCAGTAATGGAGAAAGTAGAAACAAAAAAGGTATCAGATATAGAAGAAAAGTAAAATTGCAGAAGTTTTTCCTTATTAGTAACTACTTTAAATGTAAATAAACTCCTTGATTAAAAGGTAGAGATTGGTGGAACTGATAATAAATCATGACCAAACTATATACCATCTGTAAGACTTCATCAAAATTTAAAAGTTTTGTGCATCAAAAGGCATTATCAAGAAGTTGTAGACAAATTACAGAACGGGAGAAAATATTTGCAATCATGTATCTAATAAGAGTTTGGTATCCTGGGCCGGGTGCGGTGAGTTTGGTATCCTGGGCAGGGCGCGGTGGCTCACGCCTGTAATCCCAGCACTTTGGGAGGCCGAGGTGGGCAGATCATGAGGTCAGGAAATGGAGACCATCCTGGCTAACATGGTGAAACCCCATCTCTACTAAAAATACAAAAAATTGGCCGGGCGTGGTGGCAGACGCCTGTAGTCCCAGCTGCTCGGGAGGCTGAGGCAGGAGAATGGCGTGAACCCGGGAGGCAGAGCTTGCAGTGAGCCAAGATCACACCATTGCACTCCAGCCTGGGAATTGGCAGGAGACTCCGTCTCAAAAAAAAAAAAAAAAAAAAGACTTTGGTATCCAGAATATATAAATAATTCTTACAACTCAACAACAAAAAAGCAAAAAATCCAAATTAAAAATGGGCAAAGGACTTTAATAGACATTTCTATAAACAAGCACATATGATTGATCAACAAGTACATGAAAAGTTGATCAACATCATTTATCATTAGGGAAATGCAAATCAAAACCCTAATGAGATACCACTTCATACCATTCAGATGCTATAATAATAAAAAAAGAAAGTAAAAATAACAAGTATTGGTGAGGATGTGGAGAAATGGAACCCTCATACATTGCTGGTGGGAACAGAAAATGGTATAGCCACTGTGGACAACAGCTGGGTGATTCTTCAGTAAGTTAAACAAAGAATTACCATATGGCCCACAATTCCACACCTAGGTATATTCCTAAAAGATTTGAAAACAAGTATTCAAACAAACACTTGTATACAAGTTCAAAGCAGCATCATTCACAATAGCTGAAAGTAGGAACAACCCAAATGCCATTCAATGGATGAACGTATAAGCAAAATGTGGCATATACCGCCATATAATGGAATATTATTTAGCCCTAAGAAGGAATGAAGTACTGATACATGCTACAAACACAGATTAAGCTGGAAAACACGCTAAGTGAAAGAGGCATGTGAAATATGCAAAACAGGTAAATCGATAGAGACAGCAGATTAGTGGTTGCCAAGGGCTAGTGTAAGAGGAAAAGAAGAGCAAATGCTTAATGGGCAAAACGTTTCTTTTTGAGTTGACAAAAATGTTTTGAAACTAGATAGAGATTGTGGTTGTATAAAATTGTGAATGTACTAAATAACAATGAATTGTACACTTTAAAACAGTTTGGTATCTGAATTTTATTTCCATAAAAAAACAAAATACTGGAACAAGACACAAAGAGATGGAATTAAATTGGGCACATGATCATGGGTGAGTGAACAGGGGAAACAATACGAAGTCAAAAGCCTGGTATCAAAATACAATAAACATTAATAGTACCCTGTAGGACAGTGAAGCAACTGGTGGATATTAGAAAAAGTGGATTGAAAATTAAGAGATTAAAATTTAAAAATTTTAAAAATGAATACTGGTTTTACCGGTACACAATTGAGGAACTTGGACTATAAAGAGACTGAAGTAATCAGTATTTTAGAAAAATTAGTACAATGCTTTGGAAGGACCAGAAAGAACTTAAAAACTAGTACCAGAGTGCTCATATAAAAGGTGTTACTATAATCAAGGAATTGGGTAATGATGGCCTAATGAAAAGTGAAAAGAATTGAGATTTATTTTTTCTAGGAAATAATCAAGTTGTAACTTGGCAACTCACTGTGTATATGAAATGATTGAGAGGGATCGGTTTCCAAGAATTCAAGAGCTGCCAATAAGAGGAACAACGGGAAGATTTTCCTTCAAGAGTTTTCCAAGAATTCAGAAATTGTCAGTAACAGGAACATTTGCAGAGAAGATGATTGGCTTGGTGTTAGAAAGATTCAAATTCTGAGACTACAAGCAACATTTAAGTACAAATTTAAATGTTAAGAAATCTGGATTGCACCTTATGTGTGAGATGATAGGTGTCGAAAACTGTTTTAGGATGGATGGATGGATGGATGGATGGATGGATGGATGGATGGATGGATTTATTTTGGAGACAGAGTCTCACTCTGTTGCCCAGGCTGGAATGCAGTAGCCCGATCTCAGCTCACTGCAACCTCCACCTCCCAGGTTCAAGCAATTCTCATGCCTCAACCTCCAAAGTAGCTGGGACTACAGGCATGCACTACCACACTCGGCTAATTTTTTTGTATTTTTAGTAGAGACAGGGTTTCACCATATTGGCCAGGCTGGTCTCTAACTGCTAGACTCAAGAGATTCACCTTCCTCAGCCTCCTAAAGTGCTGAGCTCACAGGCGTGAGCCACTATGCCCAGCCAAAAACTTAGGTTTTAAAAACACAATTTCATAGTTGCACCCGTGGGTGTGATGAGAAACAATGAATAAAATTATTCTTTCAAATCTTCAGGCATTTTCAAATTTAATTCAAAAGTCTGAACAGTACTAGTAAAATGAAGTTTAATAATTAGATAGGTCAGTCTGGGAGACACACTTAAATTCTAATCCTATTTAGCTAAAATTTTATTCGTAACGGAAAAAGTGATTTGACTTCCATGGGCCACTTTTCCTTCATTTGCAAAATAAGGCCCTATACATGGTTTACCACTCAGCATCTTTGGGATATGCTCATATATAAAATAACCCAATAGGAACCATACACTTACTTATGACAGAATGAATGTACTGATTCAAATACCAGCTTCTTAGCTTTGGAATAAAGTAGATTACTACAGCACACTACTGTGTGCTCATTTCAGCTGACCAGAAGCTCTGGTATTGTATGTTAAGATATAGTTGTACTTAATAAAAAATGACAAGTAGAAATTAATAAATACGTGTTATTAAACTAACATCTTTAAAACATAAGGTCCACGAAAGGAGGTAGATTAACATAAAAAGAATCCCTAACAAATATTATTTAGTACTTATTATAGCATGCTAAATGACAGCCTTCCTTTAGTGACTGGAAAAAAAAATATGAAGCACTAAGTTAGATCCAGGAATTTCTGAGTCTCCGTTATGGTTTGAACTGTGTCCCCTAAAAGTTCACATATTGAAGTCTAAACTTCCAGTATTTCAGACTGTGACCTTATTTGTAAAGAAGGTCATTGCAGAGGTAATTAGTTAAGATGAAGTCATGTTGGAGTATAGTGGGCCCCTACTCCAATGACTGGTGTCCTTGTAAAAAGGGGAAATTTACAGACACACATACAAGGACAACACCATGTAAAGATAAAGCCAGAGATCAGGGTGATGTTTCTACAATGCCAAAGAACTGTCCGCAAACCAACAGAAGCTACAGTAAAGGCATAGAACAGATTCTTCCTCACAGCACAGCCCTCAAAAAGAATCTACACTGCTGACACCTTGATCTTCAACTTCTAGCCTCCAGAACTGTGAGACAGAATATTTCTACTGTTTAAACCACTCAGTTTATTGCACTTTCTTTACAGCAGCCCTGGCAAACTAAACAAACTCCTTTTCCTTCTTACATTTAGAATTTAAATGTATTTTATAGTTAATCTCAAATATATATCTCAGAAAATAAGTTATAAAAACAATGACACATGGAGTATACAACTCAAGTCAATGTACAAACCTGTAGTTCAGTGAGAACTGTTTTATGCCTCTTGTTACATTCAATCTTTTCCACTCGTGTTTTCAATTCTGCCAAAGTCTTATCAAATACAGCACACTGCAGCGCACACAATTTTTCTTCCAGCAACCACTGTATAACCTAAAGAAACAAATATTCCTTCATTATGCCAAGAAGGCATTCCAGCAAGCAATAAACAGTAAATATTCTTTTTTTTTGAGACAGAGTCTCGCTCTGTCGCCCAGGCTGGAGTGCAGTGGCAGGATCTCGGCTCACTGCAAGCTCCGCCTCCCGGGTTCACGCCATTCTCCTGCCTCAGCCTCCCAAGTAGCTGGGACTACAGGCGCCCGCCACTACGCCCGGCTAATTTTTTGTATTTTTAGTAGAGACGGGGTTTCACCGTTTTAGCCGGGATGGTCTCGATCTCCTGACCTCGTGATCCGCCCGCCTCGGCCTCCCAAAGTGCTGGGATTACAGGCGTGAGCCACCGCGCCCGGCCAGTAAATATTCTTAAGTACCAAGAAGACAGTAATGACAAACTAACTTAATGAATAAAACATGCTAGAATCTGTAACACAATACTATCTGCTAAAATCCTCTACTTTTATATATATAAAATCTACTTCAAGAGGGTAATACATACTAAAAATAGAAAATTTCCAGAGAGTAAACTTTTAAAAAGTTCCATATTCTCATTATGGGTCCACAACAAAGACATTGGCACATACCCATGAACCATACTTGAGTAACACTGTTCTAAAGAAGTAAACTCTCAGGAAACCTCAGTTTTCAAAATTCTTTCACATAGCTACCTTCATAATTCTAACAGCTCTGTAAGAAAGACTGAATAAGCATTATTATCTCCATATGTCAAATAAAAAGAAACTAGGGGAAAAAAACAACACTGAGAGTTTCTACAGCCTCACTATTCTTTTTTCTACAAAGTGCAAATATGTATGCTATATTTTAATGAAAGAATTTTGTCCTAAAACATTGATTGTAAAATGTCATCCTTAAATATATAAGACCTTGAAAAACTAGTTATCATCGAAGTTTAATATTCCTCTCTAAGAAAAGCTTTGTAAAAACATTTGTGAACACATGTTGAAAAACATAAAATACTGAATATTTTCATTATTTCTATCTCTAGTCAAACAGATGTAAGGGGAATTTCAAACTCCGTATTCTAAATACTCCTTTCTCTAGTCCTTTTAACACCCTGTCTCTACCACTTTTATACTAACCCTCAAGTACACAATAAAGAGTTTAGAATGTAGACTTATAACCATGAAACCAGCTTTATAAAGATTAAAATGCTAATATTTAAAACTCTAACATTTCCTTTTCACAATAAGATAAAGTTCAATGTGAGAAGGAAAAAGAAAAGCTGAAAAACAACATTCAGTTTTGTTACCAAAGCAAATAAATAAAAATGTTACCTTCTCTCCCTTGTTTTGATAATCATAACCTTTTTTAAAAAAAAAAAAAGATGTAGCCAAAAAGAAGTCAGAAAGAATTTTAAAATTAAATTATCAAGGATAGTAATAGACTTATTTATTTATTTATTTATTATTTTTTTGAGATGGAGTCTTGCTCTGTCACCCAGGCTGGAGTGAAGTGGCATGATCTCGGCTCACTGCCACCTCCACCTCCCGGGTTCAAGTGATTCTCCTGCCTCAGCCTCCCAGGTAGCTGGGATTACAGGCACCCACCACAACATCCAGCTAATTTTTGTATTTTTAGTAGAGTCAGAGTTTCACCATGTTGGTCAGGCTGGTCTTGAACTCCTGACTTCAGGTGATCCATCCACCTCAGCCTCCCAAAGGATTGGGATTACAGGGGTGATCCACCACATCTGGCCAGTAATAGACTTTAAAAGCTCAACCACTTTCTTCAAGTTCTTTCTTTCTATGATAAACCACATTATGTCAATAAAATACAGAATAATGTCAGAAACCTAGAAGAAGATAGTGGTGCTATTTATTCAATATGGTTTATAACTTATAATTGACACAATACCTTTTGAAGTTTCTGGTTAATGTCTCCTTTGGCTGTAATCTTTACTTGAAATTCTGCCTCATATTCTTCTTCCATATATCGACGACGTTTAGACTGTACATTGTCCATGTCTTCTGATTTAGAACGTTTTCGTCTAGAAAATTCATCTGAGAAGGAAAACCACAATGATCACACTCAGGTGTTTTTCTTATAGCTCTTAATGCATATTATCCATCCTTAGCAAAATATTATTTCTATCATAATAGCCTTCTCAACCAACTATTTTGTAAACTGTTTTGGAGATCTTAGAAGGTATATAGCTTTTAGCTTTAAACTTCAAATGACTTTCAATATACTAAATAAGAACTCCCTAATGGTCAAGCAATGCACACTGTGAACACAGAATTTCCTTGAAATCTTCATACTAAGAACTGCCTCACAATTGTGTCATGAAGAAGGTAGATGAAATCATCTCATATTCATTCCTGTAACTAAATGTCACAGTGCACATGAATCCTCTGACAAAATATAGTATTCATTCTCATGTCAGATTTTTAACTATGCACAGCTTTAATTATTTATTCTTTTTCCTCCGTAAGTATAGGAAAAAATTCTTAATCATCAGCCTTACAAAACTAGCACAGTAATAGTTATTCTTAACATATCCTAATGAATTTCAAATAAAAATAAAATTAATGTCATTAAAAGTACATTTATAAAGAATATAGACTAGAAGACTTCACTTAGAAAATCTGTTTCACGTGCTGTTAATATTCATGAGATCATAAGCAAATTTGTATCTGGCTTCTTCAATATCTAAAAAAATTAAAACACTAATATCTTCACACTTTTTAAACGCAAATGCTCTTATGTGACCATGCCTATCCCTCTGTATGTGTCTGTATCTATATGCCTACTTGTAAATCCACTCTATTCTACAATTTCTCTTACAATCTTAACTTACCCATGGTCATATATGGATAGCAGCATGACAGGAAAGTTACTGAACCCAGCTTTCCTGACTTCTAGTCCAATGATCTTTCCATAAACCTAAGGACACTCAGTCCATCATTTCCTTCCCTTCCCATAAAGCTAAAGAACCTTATCTTTCCTTCCCTTTTCCTTCCTTCCTTCCTTCCCTCTTCCTTCCTTCCTGTCTCCCTCCCTCCCTCCTTCTCTCTCTCTCTCTCAAGGTGTCACTCTGTCACCCAGGCTGGAGTACAGTGGCTCAATCATTGCTCACTGGAACCTCAAATTCTTGGACTCAAGCAATACTACCACTGCAGCCTCCAAAGTAGCTGGGACTACAGGTGTGTGCCACCATGCCTGGCTAATTCAAATATTTTTTCTGTAGAGACAGGTTCTTGCTATGTCACCCAGGCTGGTCTTGCATTACTGGCCTCAAGCAATCCTTCCATCTTGGCCTCCCAAAGTGCTGGCATTACAGGGGTGAGCCACTACATCTGGCCCCATGAAGATGAAGAACCTTAAGTGAACTAAAATACATCCTTCCATTCACTTACGTTAGCCCATACAAAATTCTTGTAGTTTCATTCTCTAAACATAAATCTAAAACAATTTATCTCAAAACACTCAGTAACTTAGTAAATTTTAAGCTAAATCTTTCTGTGGAACAATAAAAAGTATAAATAAACAAAATAAAATATTGAAGTGTATGAAACATACTTTCAGAAATCCTTCAGTTAGCCATCAACAAAATGGTATAGTTGTGAAATTGCAAAATTTTACAATTATTTCATGGGCAAAAAAGAATATTACACGGTTGTAAATATAGAAACAGTGAATTATTATTTTTCAATCCAGTTCAAGTTTGTTTATACATGCATACTTTTCTCAGAAGGTCTTTCATCATCTTCATGTATTACTTGCTCTTCTTCCTCAGGTTTGTTGTCCTTTTCATTACTTTCTACTTCTGCTGTTAACAAATATAGAAAAGAAAATCTTACTTCTACTAGAATTCATAACAGCTCACTAATTTACATTTTTAGTCACTATCCAGTTACAAAACCAACCTTTTATGAAATCAGAGTCCCAAAATGTAAAATTTGGGGAGGGGAAAAGGGGAGCAGGAACTGATCGAATGAATGACCACGTCCACATTCAACTGTTCTGCAATTCAGAACAAACTCAACACAGGATTTAATCTTAATATAGATTTTAAGTAATTTAAAAAAATTACTTAATAATTTTCTGTCACCAGTAACATTAATAAAATGTGAAAACAACTGCTGTAGAGCATTTTGATTCCTTTACATTCAATAATTAAAACTAAAATAGTGCCTGTGACAATTATCAAAAAAATTCCAAACTACTGGAAAATTCAAAACAGGTTGAATCCTTAAGTTACTTTAATGCTTATGGTATAGAGAGTTCATAAATAAGGAATGGAAAGGCTATCCCAAATATAATAAAAACTTTAAATATATACCTACTTTGATAACAGTGCCAACAACTGAGCTAGGTGCTTAATATAGTTATCACATGGCCACAATATAATCTCACACTGTAAACTGTATTTTTTGTCATCATATAGATGAGGAAAACATTCAGAAGGGTTAATTTTCTTTTCTTTTTTTTTTTTGAGACTGAGTTTCGCTCTTGTCGCCCAGGCTGGAGTGCAGTGGGGCGATCTCGTCTCACTGCAACCTCCGCCTCCCGGGTTCAAGTGATTCTCCTGCCTTAGCCTCCTGAGTAGCTGGGATTACAGGCACCCGCCACTACATCCGGCTAATTTGTTTGTTTGTTTTTGAGATAGAGTCTCACTCTGTCGCCAGGCTAGTGTACAGTAGCGCAATCTCGGCTCACTGCAACCTCCACTTCCCAGGTTCAAGCAATTCTCCTGCCTCAGCCTCCCAGGTAGCTGGGACTACAGGCACCTGCCACCAGGCCCAGCTAATTTTTGTATTTTTAGTAGAGACAGGGTTTCACCATGTTGGCCAGGATGATCTTCATCTCTTGACCTCGTGATCCACCCCCCTCAGCCTCCCAAAGTGCTGAGATTACAGGCATAAGCCACTGCACTGGGCCTAAATTTTTTTTATTTTTAGTAGAGACAGGATTTCACCATGTTGGGCAGACTGGTCTCAAACTCCTGACCTCAGGTGATCCTCCCACCTCAGCTTCCCAAAGTGCTGGGATTACAGGCGTGAGCCACCTCGACTGGCCCAGAAGGGTTAATTTGCATGAGTCATATAAAATGTAACAACTGAAGAGTGCTGCCAAAAGATATTGCTAAAAATGTCTATACAATTATATTAAATAAAATCCAAGAGGTACCAAAACGTTCTTTTGGTCAATCAATCAATGTCTCTTCAACTAACCTACTCATTAAATGAGGAATAAGGGAGCTACAAAAAAAAATTCATTAAGATGTTTGACTTCTATTTTCCCCCTTACGTCATTGCAACTTGCTTCTCAGTGGCTTCAATAAAGCATGCTATGTTTCATCACGTTCTGCAACTAATATTAAATAAACAATCATAAAGTATATTATGCTATATAAAGATTCTGATAAGACATTTCTTCTCCAATCATCAGGATTTTAATCACAACAGCCCTAATAGCAAAAGTCAAGGTTAAAAAAATTTAAAAGATATTTTAGGTGAAAATAGGCAAGGACAAGGATCATTGATGAATACCTATTAAGGCGCTAGAAGTATTTTTTTCACTGTAAGATAAACAATAAGCTAACACAGTACACAGAATTACTAAAACTATTTTTGAACTTTAAAATAAATTATTTGAAAATTAACTCTCCATTTACTACCCTTTGCTCATTTTAAGTGTTTTAAGACCTCATCTCTCAACCTCAGTTTCAGTGAAATAAAAATTTGTTTGCTTTCTTGTAAACAGATCACAAACTCATTAAAATACATTTTTCTTTCTATATTTTTCCATATCTTTCTGATTTTAATACTCATTGTTAGTAACTCCTGAGCTTCCTAGTCCCCAGAGTTTCCAGAGAGACAGAGTAACTGGGATGCTTGAGATGAAAGGTTTACATAGTCTTTATTTAGCAAATCCTCACATCGCACAAAGCACAAAATTAGCCATGGCTCCAATTAGAGTGACTCCAAGCCAGAGCATCCAGAACACAGCAGAATAAACTGGCCTGCTATGGTTTGCCTCTTTTATACGCATGTTAGTTTCCTCTCCATATGTCAAGCTCAGCTTGAGATTTCTTCATTTTATTCAAAAACCTCCTCCTATCACCCAACTCCCAGTTTCCAGATATGCTTAGAAGATATTACTGGATCCCCAACACTTAAAACACTCAGAATTCACAGAATTAAAATAGAGTTGCTAGAGTTTTTTGTAACGGAAAGAACTTGGGATTTAAAAAATGGTATTAACAAATTCTACAGAGACGGGTAGGGCCTTATATTTCTTTAATTTTATTTTGTCCACAAAGCCTGAAGAAAAACTAAGAATGGGTCTCCTTCAACCCAGAGTAATAATCAAAGGCCCTTGGTACACAGACAACTTTAGACATAATTTCAGGTAGTTCCTGGGACTCCTGAAACTCATCCAAATAGTAGGTTAACAATGTCTTTTTTACTGCCGGGTGTGGTGGCTCACACCTATAATCCCAGCACTTTGGGAGGCCGAGGCGGGCGGATCACAAGGTCAGGAGATCGAGACCATCCTGGCTAACATGGTGAAACCCTGTCTCTACTAAAAATATAAAAAATTAGCTGTATGTAGTGGTACATGCCTGTAGTCCCAGCTACTCGGGAGGCTGAGACAGGAGAGTCGCTTGAACCCGGGAGGCGGAGCTTGCAGTGAGCCGATATCGCACCACTGCACTCCAGCCTGGGTGACAGAGCGAGACGCCATCTCAAAAAAAAAAAAAAGAATGTTTTTTTTAGAATCTGTCCTTACTTACAGATAAGTTTCTGTTATAATTCCTTTGATTTTCTTGAGGATAAGGCTATAGCCTTATCACAATTTGGCAAGTTTTCATAGTTCCATATTCTTTCCTTTCAAGCAGACTAGACAGTAAGCTCATTAAGGGCAGATACCAGATCTCATAATTTTGGTAATCCCAAACACTTTGAGAAATAGCTGAGACAAATTACATGTTTAATACTATCAGATGACTACTATCTTTAATAAGGTTCCATTAAGTAAAGGTAGAAAACTGTGTTTTTAAAGGATTACAAAATAGAATTTACATTAGGGGACTTAGTTTCCCATTTCAGAATTATACTTTATAGAACTTTATTCTAAGGAAAAATGGAGGACAAAAACCATTGCCTTAGATAAGAGATTGGCAAATCTTTTTTGTAAGCGGCCAAAAAATAGATATTTTCAATCTTGTGGGCCACATGACCTCTGTCTGACACAACCTCTTAATTCTGTCCTTGTTGCAGGAATCAGCAATAAGTGCTATGTGACATGTAAACAAATAAGTGCAATAAGTGCTATGTGACATGTAAACAAATTACCATAGCTATGTTTATGTAAATAAAACTTTATTTACAAAAACAGGGCTCACAGGCCAGTCTACCCCATTCACTGATTTAGATTACTGGCTCCATGAAAATATTTGTAACAAAACAAGAAATTCCTACAGACAAATTAAAGACAATATCCATTAGAAAAATGGGCAAAGGAGATGAACAGGCAATTCACAGATAAGGAACTATAAAAGGCCAATAAACATATAAAGATTCTCAACCTAACAAGATCTATCAGAAAAATAAGGCATGACTGGTAATGTGACTTTTCCAGACATTTTGTATTAGTTTTATTTAACCAATACAGAATGGCAAATAATATCTCCTATGTGAATTTTTGTGCTCTCTTTAAAAGCAAAACCTAGCGGGGAAAGTCCCATTGTATTATCTCCAATTCTTCCCCTCCCATTCTCTCTGAAACCCAAATCAGGTTTTCCACTCCACCATTCACCAAAACTGCCCCTTGGTAAAAGTCACCAATGATCTCCAGATTGTTAAATACTTCTCTTCCATCTTATGAGCACACACAGCAGCATTTGATATAGTAAACGGTTACCTTATTCCCTCCTCAAAACAGTGTTTTTACTTGGCTTCTGAAACACCAAAATCTCTGAAACACCAAAATCTCTCCATTTTCTTCCTACCTCAGGGGCTGCTCTTTCTCAGCTCCTTTGTTGGTTCTTCCTTATCTCCCCAACCCTAAACACTGAAATGCCAAAAGCACAATTCTTGGATCTTTTCTCCATGTATACTTACTCTGAGGTGATTTCATCTTGTCACCTAATAGCTACATGCTACCTACTATATTTTTCTAATACAAGTCAAGTCTCTGATCTGAAATCCAGACTTACACATCTAACTTGGACAACAGTACTCATTTGAAAAATGATCTTCCTCCTATACACCTCCTTCCAAAATCTACTTCATCTTTGGTCTTCCTCAACTCTGAAAAGAAAAATCTGCAACTTGCACACTAGTGAATAGAACTAAGAAGCTCCACAAAGAGAAGCCAAGTACATAAGTAACAGCTAAATATAAATGGATTGAGATGATAAAGAATTTTAACTGAACACAATAAACAGTGACAACAAATTAACAGTAAATTGACTAAATCATGCCAATTCTATCAATACTAACCTACAGCAAAAATAGAAGGAAGTCTCAAATTCTAGTCTAATGTAATTATCCTCATTAGCATCAGTTTATGTTTATTTTATTTACCTTAAAGATCCAATGAACAAGGGGAGGAAAATATCAACCACAGATTTTTATTTTAATCTGAAATAAAATCTGCAAGGAAACTATGTCAGTGTTTAATGCAAAAAAAATCTAGTTCACTCTAAAACAGATTTTTCTCTTCAAAAATCTTATGTTTAAGAAAAAAAAGCACGTGGAGGAGGCCTATCCCTATTTTTCCACAAGAAATAGAATGAGAAAGGCCAAAAAAGAAGGGAAGATGGAGAATGCAGTAACCCAACAGCTAAGGGGAGTCTCAAGAGGGAAGAACTGTTATTAAGAGGTCATCCAAGTATGGAAGAATAGATAAGACAAAGAAAAGATGTCCCCGGATTTAATAACATGATCATCAATGTCATTTCACTGAGAAAAATTAGGAGGGCGGCAGCTACCAAGGCAGAAATCAAAATCCAATTAAGTGGAAGGCCTAACAGAAGAAGAAATGGTCCTAGCTTTGTTAATATAACTTGAAGAATGGCACTAAAAGAAAGGAAAGAGATGAAATAGTAGTTAGAGGAAAGTATATGGTATGGCGATGAAGCTCCTCTAGTGTTTGAACTTTCCCAGAGAGATAAATCTTTATTTTGCTATCCTCTTTAAACAGATTATCATTTTAATAATTAGTGAGTATTAGTTATAACATAATACTATGTCACAATTCAGTAATGTCTCTAGACCTATTAAGGTATATATGCAACACTTTTTTAGTTCTTTCTTCTACTTTTGTAAAATTAAAATAGCTTTTCTATTTGCTTTATCTTTCATTATTTCTTGTTGCTGCTGATACACATCACAATTGCTTTATTTAAAACATATTTGCTCAACAAGTGCCTGAAATGACAGAAGGTTATGCTATTTTCCTTTTACTACACTCATAGATGTTAGTAGCTAGAAGGAAGAGCCAGTACTGAAGCCAACTTTAGTACTTCAGCTAATAATTCTGTGTTCTGAGTATATTAAAAATTAGTCAAGAATAAAGGCATTTATTTAAGTAACATTTCAACAGGAGTACAGCAACATAAATGACATGCAACAGATTCTGTCGCCATATAAAGAGAACAGAGTACAGTTTAAGAACCAATTAAGAAACTATTCTTAAACTCAAAATACACAAAATTACCTTCAGAGGAAGGGGAAAAGATACAAAATAAAAGTTTAGTTATGAGCCAAGAAATTAAATCTATCACTAAATTTACCCTGCTAATAGCATACCATCAGATTAAAGGCAAGTAACCAAAAATATTCCCAACTTTGAATTTTCAAAGTATGCAACATGGATGGCTTAATATTCATCTCTCAGCACTTAACTGCCTTGTGTGGGATGCCCTCCAATATCAAGATTCTGACATAAAGGTACTCATTAAATCATAAGCTGCAATTTGCTTTTTTAACTTTCTTATACAGACTTTTTTTTTTTAAAGGACTTATAAGGCTTTTTTATGGACTTGGCCTAGTGCCACACTCTGTATAGACACTTATAGGAAATGGATGAAATTCATTCTCAACACTGTCACCTATTACCTTTCCAAAATGTAAATTTCATTCTCCTCTCTGCTTGAAGTTCTTTATTGGCATTCCAGCGCCATCATAAAGCTTTAGCATTATAACCAAGGTCCTCCATGATATGCTTCTCTTACATTATTGATTATTCATTCACTTTACAAATATTTACTGGGCACTTACTGTGTGCCAGGCACCGTTTTGGCCTGATGATGGTGACTCGCAGCAGGAGTAATAACAGTTGTGAATTGGACTCTAGATCTATTATGATAGTAGTACCAACAGAATTTCCTGATGGACTAATTATGGGGTGTGAAAGAAAAAATAAAAATGGTTCCAAAGTTTCTGGCCTCAGCAAGTAGGATGGAGCTGCCATTAAAAGGAATTAGACTTGGCCAGACGCGGTGGCTCACGCTTGTAATCCCAGCACTTTGGGAGGCTGAGGCAGGAGGATCACGAGGTCAGGAGTTTGAGACCAGCCTGACCAACATGATGAAACCCCGACTCTACTAAAAATACAAAAATTAGCCAGGCGTGGTGTCGCGCACCTATAATCCCAGCTACGCAGGAGGCGGAGTGGGGAGGAGAATCACTTGAACCCGGGAGGCGGAGGTTGCAGTGAGCCAAGATCGTGCCACTGCACTCCAGCCGGGGCAACAGAGCGAGACTCCATCTCGGAAAAAAAAAAAAAGAATTAGACTCATTAAAACCCTATGTTACAGCAGAGCCAATATAGCAAGACCCTGTCTCTACAAAAAAATTAAAATTTTGCCAAGTGTGGTGGCACATGTCTGTATTCCCAGGTACTCTGGGGGCTTAGGTGGGAGGATCACCTAAGCCAGTAAAGTGGAAGCTGCAGTGAGCTATGATTGTGCCACTGTACTCCAGCCTGGGCAACAGAGCAAGACTCTGTCTCACAAAACAAAAACAAGCAAACAAAAAAAACCTCTGTTATACAGATATTAAAAGGGGCAAGACATCCCTAATACATCTGGTGCTCTAATAAAGTTACCTTAATCTGCACTCCCAGAATGCCAATTTAACATTATCACTGTACTCACAGTCTTGTATTTAATGGCCTATGATTTAATTCTTGTGTGTATCCTGAGGGCAAATACTATCTTCAAATCTCTAGAACCAAGAAGGGCCTGGCCTGTCTCTTTATATAGGTTTAGTTGAATGCTCTTTGAAAATAAAAAGCCATCCTTTTTTTTTTTTTTTTTTTTTTTTTTTGAGGCAGGGTCTTACTTTGTCACCCAGGCTGGAGTAGTGGCGCGATCTCGGCTCACTGCAGCCTCGACCACCCAGGTTCAAGTGATCCCCCTACCTCAGGCCCTCAAGTACCCTGGACTACAGACAAGTGCCACCACGCCTGGCTAATTTTTGTACTTTTGTAGAGACGGGGTCTCACCATGTTGCCCAGGCTGGTCTCGAACTCCTGAGCTCAAGCAATCTGCCTGCCTCAGCCTCCCAAAGTCCTAGGATTATAGGTGTGAGCCACCTTACCTGGCCAAAAAAAAAAAAAAAGCCATTTTTTAATAAGAAAAAAATCTCTACCTCCAAAAGCTGGTATGATATATTGGGGAAAAAAGTTGTCTCTGTCTCTTAGACCTGCCTCCATTTTTTTTTCTTTGAAGAAATTAGATGGTGTTTTATGCTAGCAAGGTCACTTCTCTCAGAGATGTCTAAATCTAAAAGAATGTGATATAATGGGAAAAGAAAGGTATTCATGCTTTTCTCAGTCTTCCACAGGCTTAGAAAGTTTCATAGAGGAATAATGTTTTTCAGTTTGACCATAAAAGAAGGTAGAATTTTTCTCATTCTTTTTCTCTAGGAATAATAAATAAAATAAAAGAGATGGGAGAGATAGGTACTGAACAAATCATAAAGTTAATGTACCTTTTACATAAGGAGTTTGAAATCAACCTAAAAGTAACAGAGATCTAAGACATAGACGGACAATATCAAATAAGAGAATTGGGTTACAGGGAGCTCATTCAGAAAATGAGGAAGAGAATAGGTTGGGTAGAATCAAAAGGGCTGAGGGAGCAAATGGGTAAAGTCTTTATCAAATGGATAATCAAGCTTTAAGGTTTCTGGCTTACAACAATGGTGCTGTCATTCCTGGACAAAGAATATTAAAGAACAGGATTTCATTGGGAATATTAATTGAAAATATAATTTGTTACACTTGAAGCAAATAGATTAAACTATTAGGCTTTTAGTTCTAAGTTATTTGTTCGCTAAGTGATAGCAAGAAAGAACTGCTACAACTCTAGTCAATTATGTACTAACTTAAACTGTTATCTCAGTGTTATGGTGCTCTACTTCATCTCTATTTCCAGACTATAAGGGCATATTTTCTACTTATTTTATCTCCCTTCTTAGTATTTAGTACAATGCTACTCACAGAGTACACACACTAATTCTGAATTCTATGAAGTTAAGACATCTTTCTATAGAGTCATCACCATTCTCAACTTTCTCTGCAGCTAAAATAAATTTAAAACATTATGATAATGTTTTATTAAACAGTTCATCAAAGTCAATAAAAAATCTTTAACATTTAAGTTATATGCTAACCTGGAGAGCACGTTTCATTTTGCGATATAACTTCAGACTCATCTTTTTCACCCGAAATATCCTCTTCATCAGAGAGGACCAGAAAGGCTTCTTTTGGCAAACTCTCACTACTTTCTTGTTTAGATGGTGAACCAAAAGAACTTTCCATTTTCTCTTCCAAATCTGGATTTGTCTCATCGATTGGAAGGAGAGATGTTTTAGAAAAGCAAGTAAGTTCATCCTCAGAAGGTGCAAGCTTTTCCAAAATAGGAATGATTTCATCTGTCTCCATAGAGTCTGTATTTTCTAAGATATTCTCACTTTTGTTATCTTCAATAACATTTTCATTAATCGTTTCTACAAGATCTGCAGAAGTTTCATCTTCATTCTTTTCACCTTGGTCAATTTCCATACTGCTAGATATAGCATCTTCTCCAAGAGCAAGCTCTGTGATAATATCTTCCTCTACCTTCTTTTCATTTTCAGGAGGTCGATCTGAACAAATAGTTGTATCATCTGTTTCTAGAGTTTCTTCATTAGCATCAATATTATTATCAGCTTTATTTTTCTCATCCAATGAGTCTTTACTCTGAATTTGCTCTAATTTTTCATCAGCTCCATTTTTTTCAAGAAAATCATCATCTTTATTGCTACTTGGTTCTATATTGTCAATTTCAGGAACTGGTTCACAAACTGGTACAGACTTTGGTTCAAAGGTACGATCAAAGGTTGATTCAGAAGTCAGCTCATCAGAGGCCAGTTCACCAGTGGCCAGATCATCAGAGGCCAGTTCACTAGAGGATAGATCACCAGAGGCCAGATCATCAGAGGCTGGATCAGTGGAAGCTGGTGCTCCAGAAGCCAGATCAACAGAAGTTATTTCACTAGAGGCTATATCATCAGCGGCACAATCACCAGAAATGGGTTCAACAGGGACCGGTTCACCTGGGATGGGATCACTAGAGGTGGGATCACCAGAGGAGAGATCATCAGCAGTGGCATCACCAGAGGTGGCATCACCAGGGGACACATCACCAGAAGGGGCATCACCAGAGGTTGCATCACCAGAGGCAGCATCACTAGAGGAGGGCTCGCTAGAGGTGGGATCACCAGAGGTGGAATCACCAGAGGCCAGTACTCCGGAGGCTGGATCTCCGGCATCCAGATCACCAGGGGCTGGATCACCAGAAACTGGTTCAGCAGGCAGTTTAGAGACTGGTTCTGGAGTTATATTATGGGGAGACAAAGGTTCACAATTTAAATCATCATCCTGCTTGTTTTTTACATTAACACTTAGGATACAGGGTGTTTCCTTCCATTCTGCTTTACTTCCTTCAGGATCAAAACAAATCTCTTCAATGCCATTCACCTCTTCCTTGTCTTTAATGTAATCCATGTTTTCCAAAGGTGAGGTTGGGTCCAAATCTCCATTTTCATGGTTGCCATTTAACAGCTTGACATCAGTTTTCAACAGTTCTTCTTTGACCTTGTACACTGCTTCAAGTTGCTGACGATCACTCACTCTCATCGTTTTTCGAGCCTTAAAGACTTTTTTCTGAGGTTCTTCTAAACTGTCCATTCTGAATCTTTAAGAAAAAAGAGAAAGAGAGTTTAATAACTGAAACAGAAGCCACCTAATTGTAGACTTAATACAAATTGATCTTAGAAGAGATGCAAGCAGCACATTTCATGTAATGTTTAAGACATAGAAAACCTACTGCTTGTTGTATACTAATTATCATATTTACTGCATCTGTGTAATACAAAATCAAAAATGGCCATAGTCTACTAGAAAATCAACTAGAAAGTATTAGGGGGAAAAGGGACAAGTTTTTTTTTCCAATATGGAATTCACAGAGTATGGAGATGTTTAAGCAAAAAAAAGGTAGATAAAGTAAAAAAAAAAAAAAAAAAAAAAAAGTACCTGAAGAAAATGAGAAAGAAAAATAAAAGTGTAAGAACAACAGTAGGGAAATAACAGGTATAGAGATAAAGGAAAAAGGAGGAAGAATTAAGAAACATGTAAGGAAAGATTACATTTGCAACCAAGCATACTTAGATTGGCAGAACTATAAACATATTAACAAAAGATTACCATCAAGAAAGAAAATTCACAACAATGGGAGAAAATATTTGCAAATCATATGCCTGATAAGACTTTTATCTCGAATCTAGAATTTCATATCTAGAATACAGAATATATATTTATATAGAATACAGACTTTTATATCTAGAATATCTAAGAACTGCTATAATTCAATAATAAATCACCCAATTTAAAAATGGTCAAAGGACTTGAACAGACATTTCCAGAAAGAGACCCCTAAGCCAAAAGTCCATAAGCAATAAACATCATGAGACATCAGGGAAACGCAAGTCAAAACCACAATGAAATAACACTGCACACACGACAGGACGGCTACAATCAACGAGAATAATGAGTGTTGGCAAGGATGTGAAAAAACTGGAACTTTCATACAATGATAGTGGGATTGCAAATAGGTGCAGCTGCTTTGGAAAACAGGCAGTTCCACAATATGTGAAGTACAGAGTTGTCATATGACCCAGTGATTCCATTCCATTCATTTCCCAAGAGAAATGAAAACATATGTCCACACAAAAACTTGTACACAAATGCTCTATAGAGGCACTACTCATAATGGCCCAAAACTGGAAACAACCTAAATGTTCCATAACTGATGAATGGATAAATAAAATGTGCCATACCCCTACAACAGAATATCATTCAACCACAAAGGGGAATGAAGTACTGAACATGCTACTACATGCATAAACCTTAAAAATATGCTGAGTGAGAGAAGCCAGTCACAAAAGGCCACATACTGAATGATTCAATTTATATGAAATGTCCAGAGTAGGCAAATCTAGAGACAGAAAGTAAATCAGTGACTACCTAGGGTTGGAAGATTCTGGAGAAAATGAGGAGTAGCTGCTAAAGGGTACAGGATTTCTTTACAGGGTTATGAAAATGTTCTAACATTGATTATGGTGATGATTATACAGCTCTGTGAATATACTAAAAATAACTGAATTGTACTTTAAGTGGGTGAATAGTAGATATGTGGTTTTATCTCAGTAATGCCACTACAAAAAAATTTCAAAATAAATACAAAGGTTGTGTGTGTGTGTGTGTGTGTGTGTGTGTGTGTGTGTGTGTGTGTATTCTCTTTTTTTGGTAAGTTGTGCTACAGTTTTATCAATTCTATTCACTTATTAAAGTATGAACCTTTACTTGGCTGATATTTCTTGGTTTTATATCTGCTTTCTTGTTTTAATTATTTACTCTAATATTTATTATCTCTTTTCACTTACTTTTTCTTGGAAAGAGCTTAACATGTCATCCTTTTCCTTGAGATTCAAGCTTAAGTGTTATTTTCAATCTTTCTTCTTTTGTAATGTGTGCATATAAAGCTATAAATTTCCCTCTAAGAGCTGCTTTAGTTGCATCTCACATTTTAATGTGTCATTTACATTATTCTGTTAAAATATTTTCTAATTTCCATCATGATTTCTTCTTTCATCTATGACTTATTTAGAAGTAGGTTTCTTAAAAAGGTAATGAATTCTGACCAAGTGAAGCTCGCTTAGAAAAATACAAGGCTGATTTCACATTCAAAAATCAAGCAGTGTTGACCATGAACAAGCCATGATGCATTCTGACTTTATTTCATGCCCAGCAGAGTGTACAATTACGAGTTTTGCCTAAACTGAATGTCTGGTACCAGGATGTTACTGACTGAATTGTGCAGCATCCCACACCCCACATCCCCAGAAAGATATTAGTCTTAAGCCCCAGTACCTCAGAATGTGACCTTATTCGGATAGGGCCTTTACAGTGGTAATCAAGGTAATATAAGGGTACTAAAGTGAGCCCTAATCCAATACAATTGGTGTCCTTATAAAAAGGGGAAAATCTGGACACAGACAGACATGCACACTGGGAGAATGCCATGTGACAATTGAAGTTATGGTACCACAAGCCAAGCAACTACCAGAAGCTAGGAGAGAGGCCTGGAACAGATCCTTCCCTCAGCACCCTCAGAGGGAGAATGGCAATGACAACACCGTGATTTCAAATGTGTTGCCTCCAGAACTCTGAGACGATAAACTTCTGTTAAGCAAAAAAGAAAACCACAAAACAAATCAAGCTATTTAATTCACCACATAAACAGAACAGAGGGACAAAATCAACAAAGGATTACCTCAACAAATACAGAATATTCATTTGACAAAATTCAAGACTGATGCATAATTACAACTTGCCAGAAACTAAGAATACAAGGAAACTTACTCAAATCTGATAAAGGTTATCTACCAAGAAAACTAGAGATATCATGTCTGATATTGAAATAGGATCAGAAGAAAACAAGGATGTTTCCTGTAACCATTTCCTTGTTAACATCTGGCCAGTGCAATAAAGGCAAACAAAAGAGCACAAGGATGTGGTTCTGAAGAAAAACAATGTCATCAATCAATAGTAGAATAAAACAAAATTGCTTTAAGGACTAAGATGTACAGGAGGCAGGAATACTGTTTTCACATTGGATAGTCACTTACCATTACCATCACCAGTAGGAATGATATGGTAGAATACATTTGCTTTGGCCTGAGAAAGAAAGAAAAGCAGCCCCTGATGCCTGGAAACTTAACTGATACTCACAGTTAGGGCTCAATGTTGTTAATGGATCTGATGCTTACAGTTAAGCCATGCTGTTCTCTGGTTGGACATAAAACCAACTCAGAGAACATTCAAGTCAGACAAGGTCACTGTGCAACCCACAAAATTCCAAACATCCCCCCTCACTAAATGAGTGATGGCTATTTCTTTATTTTTTTTTTCTTTTTGAGACGGAGTCTCGCTCTGTCGCCCAGGCTGGAGTGCAGTGGCGTGATCTCGGCTCACCGCAAGCTCCACCTCCTGGGTGCATGCCATTCTCCTACCTCAGCCTTCCGAGTAGCTGGGACCACAGGCGCCCGCCACCACGCCCGGCTAATTTTTTGTATTTTTAGTAGAGATGAGGTTTTACCGTGTTAGCCAGGATGGTCTTGATCTTCTGACCTCGTGATCCACCTGCCTCGGCCTCCCAAAGTGCTGGGATTACAGGTGTGAGCCACCACACCAGGCCAACTTCTTTATCAATTACAGCTTTATCTTGTAATAGTCTGTCCTCCCTATATAGATAAAATTTATTGAGATACCCAAGAATAGAAGTGCCCCCACTTTCTGATGTCACCCAATCCACGATAAGGATCTACTTCCTTAATCTCTCCCCAAAATAACCCAACCTATACTATACTCAAATCCTATACTAGGTTTTTTCTAACATCCTCTTACTGATTGATGTGCCTTACAGTTTCCCCATAGTGAACATTATTTCCTCCCTGCAGCAAATAGTAAACCTAACTTTTTCAATTACAAAGGTGTTCCTGCTGGTCTTTGGCTGAAGCGCATAAAATAATAAGCCTAGCCTACTTGCTGGAAGCCAATTCAGCTTGAGATTCTAGCACTTTGTCAGAGAATTTCTAGACTGTGATACATTCTGTATTCATTCTCTCACTTTAAGCCAATTACTTAGAACATATTTCTTATTCTAGCCATTTTATTTAAATTATATAACTAAATCAACTATTTAGAAAAATTACTCTTCATTTAAACAGAAACCTTAATACAAAATGTATATATAATAATACAAAACCTTAATACAAAATTATACAAAATTTGTATAATATAATACAAAACATTATGTTAAGGGTTTTTAATTACAGACTAAAATTTCACACCTTCAAGGTTTTTCCCTTCCCATCATTACAAAGTTTTGCTAACTGCAAAATTTTCTGCAAAAGATACAGATACAATGCATTGTATTTTGCTGTCACTTTTCCTTACTAATTCCAAAACTACAAAATAATTAAGTTTATAATATAAGTAGTATAGTTACCCTTTAAGTATTTCAAAATACTGAAAGGCCATTCTTTTGAACTTTAGCCTCATAATATCCGCATTTCTCAGATATTAGATGGACAGCTGGTAGTTATTACCAATTGCATTAAAAGTATTCCTTTTAAAAAATTCATAACTTTTAATAACCCAATTAAGAACATGAACTCTTACATTAAAAGTAAGCATTCCTTTAAAAAAATTCATCACTTTTAATAACCCAATTAAGAACATGAACTCTGTAGACTGTAGACAGATTCACAGATTTGAATTCCAACTCTCCCAGGAAACCTACTGTGTGAGACTGGGCAAATTACCTAACATCAATTTCTTAGTTTTGGTTACCTTAAAAAGGGACTAATACCAACACCTGTCACAAAGGTTGCCATGAGAACTAAATGAGATTCTATACATTAAGCACTTGGAATGTAGTAAGAACTCAATAAATGGTATAACCATCACCATCTATATATTCAGGATAACGTTTTTAGGAATAAACTAAATATTCAGGATAATGTTTTTAGGAATAAACTAAAGAGTCTAAGACAAATTCCTCTTTGGTATTTTTTATATAAATTAGAAAATCCAACATGTAAACCTCACAGTTAATATTAAATTGCCACCACCAAATAATATTTAATAAAAATATATAATTCAAGAAAAGTTGATTTTATCAATAAAATTGTCATTAACTTCAGTAATAATAAAGCACTCTAAAAAGAATTATAGAATAACTACCATCCATACCCACAAGGGAGCACACTACAGCCATTTACCAGATCTTATGGGTTCTAAATATAATAAAAAACAGACAAAGCAATAAGGAAGTAACACGAACAATTAGTTCAAACTAGTTCAGCCATATCTGTACAAACCAATCAGCAGTCTGCTTTTAGAAATGTATTTTGCATTAGCGAAGCATATTTGAGAAAGATACACATTAGAGAAGGGTGTGTTACCTGCAAACAAGTTTCCATGGCTGTAATACCAGTGCAAAACACTTCCAAGGATCATTTTAGTACTGTCGCCTAGAACTAAGATGCCATTCATAAAACTATTCTATAAAATAAATGTTAGTATTTTAGGTGGCAACTCAAATCAGAAAGCTTTCACATGACTGTAATTCATTTTCACAGAAAAAAGCATTGGTATTTTACGGCAGAAGATGTCTGCCATGTCTAAAAGTAACTGCAAAACATGATGAACTAGTTTCTCCTGAAAGTATTTTTTTCATGAGGATGAGAGTCAAAATAATGTTTTTTAAGTCTCTGTATATTCAAGAACTCTGGGAAAATAATATCACTAATAAAACCTTTTTCTATAGAAATTTATATTTAAATAACCAGAGAAGGGTATGTTACCTGCAAATAAGTCTCTCTGGCTTGGAAATTTTTTTTTCAAATTTTTGGTAAATTATTTTTAAAATATTTTTAAGGAAAGCCCAACGAGCTTCTTCTTTAAATGAAAACATTACTCTCTTCTCTGCTTCATCCCCCTCCACCCACTTCTTTCTAGCAAGAGATCATAGCAATGAAACAACAAAGGGAAGCTGTTATGTCTTAGCCTACAATCTGCCTGCTCAAAAAGCTCAAGAATTTAAATGGCTGTTCAAGAGCTGCTCACAAACTCAGCCAATCAGCAGCCAGCATTCTGATTCCTGCCCAGCAACAGGAGACAGACAATAAGGTCAGAAAAACATAGTTAAACAAAAACTGTATCTGCAATACTTAAGTGTGGTTCTTTGTTTGAAATAAGTAATCTAGAACACAGTTTACATAAAACCCTAAATCCACGTAACACGCATTAAATATACCACACACATAAATGGATAAGATTTACATCTTTTATGCTATTTGCTTTAATAAATATCCATGAACATTTCAAGAAATATACATTAATATAAATTAATTTCCTACCTGAGGAATAAGTCAAACATGGACAATATACGTAAGAACATATTTTTCTATACAATGCAAAATTCAAATGTAAATTTCTTTTTAAAAATTCCATAGACCATACATATAAAATATATAAATCTAGCAAAACCTTAAATCCAGACAAGTAAAAAAAAAATCTTCATACCCATCTACCACTATTGTTACAGATTTCCGATTCCAAAAATTAATAGTATTCTGGACCCAAAGGATTACTAGGGATAGTATTATGAAGTGTTGTGCTGTCTACTGCACTGAACTGACTTAGTTTAATTCATCTAATGAAATCTAAATGTCTGATTCTGGACAACCTATATTAAGTGGTATAAGTACAATTACTACATCCTTTTCTCCTTAACTGCCTTTCGCAGCAAGTTACAAAAGGTTATATGAGATATCCTTTCAAAGCTTTATTATAAAACAAATGTGTGGATTACAAAGTAAATATTCATGAAAATTAAAGACATTTTTATTATATTACACCATTCTATAGTTCTTTAAATATAGGATTATAAAATAAAAATGGAAAATTTGTTATCAGAATTTTTTTCTCAAATTCACTACTTATTAGGTGTTCTTAATAACCAAGTTTTAAAAATAAACCTCATTTCCCCCCTTCCTTACAGATGAACCTTGTAATTTTTCAAACATACCCAAGAGGGAGCTTGCTGCAGCCATACTCTTAGTTTATATAATCTCCCCACAGGAAAAATATATCAACAGCTGCTTCAATGTTTCAGTCCTGTGAGAGAACTGAAATTCACTGTCTGATTGGCTCAAAGCCGAAATAGTCTAAAACCAATCAGACATCAGTGTCACAAACCTTGCCCAGCAACAAGGGAAGAAGATGAGGGCAAGAGCTCTATTAAAAATGCAAAGGATGTGAAAATCAAGGTGAACAATGAAATGGAAACATTAGGAATATAACTCTAGATGCTCTGTTTGAAAAACAGGTCATGGTAGGGTTTCTTTGATTAAATAAACTAGGGTCTGTACTGCTTTCCAAGAACAGACTTAACTAAGTACCACGATTGTTGGGTCAAAAAGCATATACAACACATAGACAAAACAAATGCTGTATTAATTCAAAGTAATGAATATCTGATGAAGTATACTTCAAAATAAAACTAAAGCAAAAGCTTAGAAAACATCAAGCAAAACCTTTTAAGTGGACATGGCATTTCTATCTTTGACAAAGGCATTCCAATTATATTCATGCTGTTGCCTGAGAGTACAACATTTTTCTGAATAAAAATTTCATTCATTTTTCTACTGAAAATAATTTTAATTTGAGTTTATTTTCATTAAATGGCTGAATTAAATATTAAATAATCACTTTATGCTGATAATTTCTAACCTCTTTAGAAATGCAACTCTGCTATTAGATTCTTTAAGAATCCCATTCTCAGTTGAAAACTGTATGATTTTATTTTACACTTCTAAATTTTGCTTGAGAATTTGCAATACTCTAAAAATAAAATCATAAAGAATAGTGGGTTGCACAAAAGATGCTAATAATCTGCTTTACTGCTTACTGCCCATTAAATAGACTACTGAATCTGTTCACTCACTTTGATACTTATCTGCTCAAATTTAGTATAAAGATTTTGAAATTTTTATTTTAAATACCATGTCCATCAGTATTTGTGGGAGACTGGTCCCAGGACTCCCTACAGATAACAAAATCTGACAATGTTCAAGTCCCTTATATAAAGTAGTGTAGTATTTGCATATAACCTATGCACATATTGCTGTATACTTTAAATTATCTTTAAATTACCTATAATACCCAGTATAACATAAAGGCTATGTAAACAGATGTTACACTGTTGCATTGTCAGCTACGGTTCTCTTAACTGGTATAAAATAACTGTCACTAGCTATCCTGCCATCTTAAAAAAAAAAAAAAACAGTAAGTGGTGAAATCTGTTTATCAAATACTCATAAACTCAGTTGAGTAAGTTATCAAGTGATCATAATATTTGACACTTTCACAAATTAACCCCTCTGCCTGTCACCGACCAAAATGTGGAATGCAATATCCCCAAACTAAATTGTAAAAAATAACCAACCACAAAGGAAACTGGGAGTTTGCTTTACCAACAATTCCCTAGACAAGGTTACCAACAATTCCCCAGACAAGGCAGGAGTAAATCATGTCCTTAAAAGTTTGGTTACATCAAAGCCAGAACTGTCACTACAATCTAACTTCTTGTTGCATTCAGTGCTATGTTTTCAGAAATTTTGGAATGGTCCACATGATAAAAACATAAGATACCTTAAAATTACTTCTCCAAGTCAATTTTTGGGATCATTGTGTTACATGGGCAAAATAAAATTAAATGACCTGATCCAACAAATGCCATTTTAGAATACATAGAGCAAATTACACCCCCTTAGAAAATTGGCCAATTTTCCATCAAGGCCCTACTCACTAGCTTGCCAAACTCTACTATCCCTATGCAGATAAGGAGTGAAGTTACAGAAGGTCTTGTATTTATCTCCACAGGCATTTAAGAAATCATTTGTCCAGAGCTGGGCGCAGTGGCACATACTTGTAATCTCAGCTACTTGGGAGGCTGAGGCAGTGGACTGCTTGAGCCTAAAGGGTAGAGACCAACCTGGGCAGCACAGCAAGACCAGGTCTCATTAAAAAAATAAATAAATAACCAGCAGTAGAAATCATTTGTCCAAACGTACTTTTCACATTTTGCTTGGGTGAAGTAAAACACCCAGAATGAGGTATGAGGAGCTGAAAGATGTAAATCCTTCAAATGCCTGGAAATAACTCTTACTTTTCTTATTAACCCAACCTAAAGAGAAAAGCTGGACAGCTAACTTTCTGTGTCAGTCACCTTTTACTAGATGATAATGCAGCAACAACAATAAAATTTCACTGGCTAATAACTGTATACTTTTTCATTATTCTAGGACACCAGGCTGAAGGAACAGCACCCCCTCACCCCATCTAGGCCTTGTGGCAGAGGTAAAAGACCAATATGACAGAGATATACAGTATACAATAGCTTTTAGCTAGGGTGTCCAAACTTTTGGCTTCTCTAGGCCACAATGAAAGAACTGTCTTGGGTCACACATAAAATACGTTAACGATAGCAGATGAGCTGAAAAACAAAATTTCATAATGTTTTAAGAAAGTTTACAAATTTGTGTTTGGCTACATTCAAAACAGCCCTGGGCTCTATGCAGCCTGTGGGCCCTCGGCAGGACAAGCTTATTTTAAAGCTTTTGCTTAGACATGGTGTACATTACTTTCATTCACATTCCATTGGCTAAAACCAAATTAAGTCACTAAGGGCATGGGAAGTAAAAAACCTCCCAAGGGGAAACACCTCATGTCACATGGCAAAAGGTAGGGACATATAATCCTCTTGCTGTAAAGAAGTATAATTATAAAATATCATGCAAACTATCACACTTTAAAATACACATATTCTAAAAAGCTTGGCATAACAAAAAGACTTCTGAACTAACAAAACTAGGTTCTATTCCATGTTCTAACATTAGTATACAACCACCATAGAATAAATCAATTTAACTCTCTGGAGTTCAGTTTCCTCAACTGTAAAACTGAAGAAGTTAGGGCAGATGCTTGCTAAGTTCCATTCTAGCTCAAGTTTTAGCTATACTGACACATATAATTTTTTATTATGAAATAAAAATAAAGTGCCCTGTACAACACAACAGCTTACTCCTTCTTCTCCATTCTTGACTCCTAAATGCAAAGATAAGCATAATCTTGAATTTGATGTTTATTATTCCCAACCATGCCTTATAAATTCTGCCTTTTATTAACACCTTGAAAAAAAACCCTTTTATTACACACCTTGAAAGGAGAAAAAGAAACTGATGCTTATCGAGGAATAATATATGTGAGTCACTATAACAAAACATATCCTTTTCTCATTAGTTTATGTGATAATTTATATTAATTTCAACTTTACATATGATGTGAATTAATAAATCAATAATTATATTACTATCAATAATTACACAAATAGTAATTTTAACTTGGTAAGGTAAAGCAGACACCCAATTCAGTACCAAGTTGTTTTCTTCAGCACAGGAACCCTTCTTATGCATTTCATCATTTAAGTTTTGGTACCATTTTAATAGAATGTTCAGCAATTGTCTTCTTTATCTCTTTGAAAATGGAGATGCCATTTAAGATCACTGGTAATACCTATCTACTCAGTAAATGAGACCTGAGAGTAGACTCCCTCCCCAATTTCACCAGCCTGCTGACTGCTTCATGTATTAGCTACAAGAGTATTACCAGCAGCTTTCTAAGTATTAAATTATCTCATCCTTAATTTAACATAGCAATTAAGAGCAGAATTCACTCAACCAACTAAGAATAGAAGAGGATTTCCTCAACCTGATAAAGGGCACCAAGGAAAAACCCACAGCTATCATACTTAATGGTCAAAGACTGAAATCTTTCACCCTAAGATCAGAACAAAAGATATCTGCCCTCACCATTTCTAGTCAGCATTGAACTAGAAGTTCTAGCCAGGAGAATTAGGCAAGAAAATGAAATAAAAGTCAAACAACTTTTTGTTTGTTTTTTGAGACATGGTCCCTCTCTGTCACCCAGGCTGCAGTGCACTGGCACAATCTCAGATCACTGTAGCCTCCGCCTCCTGGGTTCAAGTGATTCTCATGCCTCAGCCTCCTGAGTAGCTAGAATTACAGGTGTGAACCACCAAGCCTGGCTAATTTTTGTATTTTTAGTAGAGACGGGGTTTCACCATGTTGGCCAGGCTGGTCTCAAACTGCCAAGCTCAGGTGATCCACCTGCCTCGGCCACCCAAAGTGCTGGGATTACAGGCATGAGCCACCACACCCAGCCACAAGTCATACAACTTAAAAAAAAAAGAAAGAACTATTTTTATTTACAGATAACAAAATCTTGTATATAGAAAATAGTAAGAAATCAACTAAAAATTTATTAGAATAAGAGTTTAACAAAGTTCACTATAATAAGATTAACATATAAAAATCTATTGCATTTCTATACCCTTGAAACAAATGATCCAAAAATAAAACAATCTCATTTAGAGTAATATCAAAAATTAATTTTGCCAAAGAAGTACAAAACTTAATATTCTGAAAACTATAAAATACTATTGAATAAATTAAAGACATAAATAAATAAAAGACGTTCCATACTCATGAATCAAAAGACTCAAATCCTTAAGATGTCAACACTCTTCAAATTAAGCTACAGGTTCAAAACAATCTCTATCAAAATCCTAGCTATTTTCTTTGCAGACACTGGTAAGCTGATCCTAAAATTAATATGAAAATGCAAGGGTCCCAGAACAACCAAAACAATCTTGAAGAAGAAAAATAAACTTGGAGAACTCATACTTTGCATTTTTAAAAGTTATTACAAAGCTACAATAACCTAGACAGTGTGATACTACCAGTAAAATGACAGGTATATCCTTAGGATATATTTTGGAACAGAAATAAACCCTCACTTTTACAGTAAATTGTCTTAGACAAGGGTTACAAGACCATTCAATGGGGAAAGAATAGTATTTTGAACAAAGAGTGTTGGAAAAACTGGATAGCCACATGCAAAAGAATGAAGTTGGAGTCCTATTTCTTGCCTTATACAAAAATTAATTCCTATAAATGAAAGACCTAAATTTAAGAGCTAAAACTAAAATCTTAGAAGGAAACAAAGACATAAAATCTTCATAAATTTGGAACAGGCAATGGTTTCTTAGATATGACCCAAAGAGAAGAAGCAATAAAAGAAGAAGGAAAAAAAAAAAGTTTAACTGAACTTCATCAAAATTAAAACTGTTCGTGCTGCAAAGGAAACCACTAAGAAAGTGAAAAGACAATTCACACAATGGACGAAAATACTTGCAAACCATATACCCAATACGAGACTTGTATCTTGAATATATAAAAACTGTTACAATTCAATAATAAAACACCAAATAACTCCATTTTAAAATGAGCAAAGGACTTAACAGGCATTTCCACAAAAAGGCTTTTTTTTTTCTTTTTCTGTTTTTTTTAAAATTATTATTATACTTTAAGTTCTGGGGTACATGTGCAGAATGTGCAGTTTTGTTACATAGGTATACAAGTGCCATGGTGGTTTGCTGCACCCGTCAACCCGTCACCTACATTAGGTTTTTCTCCTAATGCTATGGCTTTTATAAGCCAATAGTTCATAGGCAGTAAACATCATTAGTCATCAGCAAAATGCAAGTCAAAACCACAATGAGATAACATCTCACACACACCAGGACAGCTATAATCAACAAGAATAATGAGTATTGGCAATGATATGGATAAATTGGAACCTTCAAACAATGCTGGTGGGATTGCAAAAAGGTGCAGCTGCTTTGGAAAACAGGCAGTTCCACAATATGTGAAACACAGAGTTGCCATATGATCCAGCAATTCCATTCCTAGGTATATACCCAAGAGAAATGAAAACATATGTCCACACAAAAACTTGTACACAAATGCTTTATAGAAGCACTACGCATAATGGCCCAAAACTGGAAACAACCTAAATGCCCTGTGACTAATGAATGGATAAATAAAATGTGGTATATCCATACAATAGAGTATCATTCAGCCATAAACGGAATGAAGTACTGTACATGCTACTACATGCATTAACTTTGAAAACATGCTGAGTGAAAGAAGCCAGTCACGAAAGGCCACATAGTGAATGATTCCATTTACGGTATTCCCCCTTATCCATAGAAGATACATTCCCAAACACCCACTGAATGCCTGAAACTGGATAGTACTGAACCTTATATATACTATGTTTTTTCCTATACATACATACATACATACATTTAACTTATAAATTAGGAACAGTAAGAGATTGACAATAACTAATAATAAAATAGAACAATTATAACAATATACTGTTCGTTTCACAGAAGTATAAGATAGTTCTTACTATAGATCTTAGAAACCTCAGCATATGATTCTTTCTTTCCTTTATTAAGTCAAAAATTTTAATCTTTTCACTTAAAGGAAGCACTTTACAGCTTCTCTTTGGCATATCCAAATTGCCAGCATCACTACTCTTGCACGTTGAAGCTGTTACTAAATAAAATAAGGGTGACTTTAAGACAAACATTGTGATACCAGCACAGATCTAATAACCCAGACATCTCCTAAATGACTAATGGGTGGGTAGCGTCTACAGTGTAGATATGCTGGACATACTGGACAAAGGGATGGTTCATATCCTACGTAGGACAGAAGAGAATGGCATGAGATTTCATCACACTACTTAGAACAGTGCCAAATTTAAAACTTATGAATTATTTATTTCTGAAATTTTTCCACTTAATATTACCCACGGTTGACTACAGACAGCTAAAACCACAGAAAACGAAAACTGTGGAGAAGGGGGGACTAATGTATATGAAATGTCCAGAATAGGCAAATCTATATCTATACAGACAGAAAGTGGCTTACCAATTGCCTAGGGTTGGAGGCCTGGGAGGAAATAACGGTTGGCTGCTAAAGGGTACAGGATTTCTTTATAGGGTAATATAAATGTTCAAACATTGATTGTGGTGATTATGCGACTGTGAATATGCTGAAAACCACTGAATTATACACTCAAACAGATGAATTGTATGACATGTGAACTGTATCTCAATAAACTAGATATTTTAAAAAAAATAGCAGAACTTCAGTTGAGTGTTTTTCATTTATTTTTAACCTAAACCCCTTTACTGGGTCACACTTCCAACATGGACAGAACAACTATACCAAGAGAACCGAGTGTTGGTTTATACTTTAGAGCGTTCACATTTTTAGGCCAACAAGTGTATCTGTGATTATATTGGTGGTGAAAGGCAGTATGTGTAAAATAGCAGCAGCCTTGTTCTCTTATGTCCTCATCTTGGATGAGCTCATTACTCTTTTTCCCTGTCCCAAATGGTACATAATTCTACAGTATGCTCATCTTGCAGGATTGCAGTAATGGGCATAAAATACTCACGCAAGATATTTAAAAACAAAAAACAAAAGACAAAGCAGTACTAAGCATGACACAGGTGACCCCTCCAGGAGCAAATATTAATAAAGTCTTCCGCATATGGAAAATTCAATTAACTATCTTTTACCAGAAAGACTAGAAAGTCTTAAGTGAAACAGAAACATTCTCTTTTATTATAAAATGGTACTATAACCAAAAGGCCTTATATGTAATTAATGATGATAAATGTTTTTAAATGAGGTATACTTCTTGAACTTTCTGATGTTACATATGGCTTTGTCACATTTTATCAATATTGTTTTTATTCACATGGCATGTTCTGCCACCATTCTCTGTATTTGCCAATGCTCTGAAGGTATCCTTTTAGAAATTTTTATTATAAATGGACTCTAATACTACATTTATGTATTGTTTAATGGAACACTTTGACATTTTTATCGAGTATCTAGTATAAAATTATTACTTCTTTCAAATTTTAATCTCTGTCAAATCTCAGGGAAAATTAATACATTTTAAGTGTCCAAAGCTTTGATATTAGAAAACATCTTAAATATGCTGATATCATGATGATGTGCTTCTGAGGTCATTTCACAAAAGAAGAAGAATATGAAGTATTCTAGTATAATATTAGTGAACTACGTAGTGTTGAGCACATAGAATACAATTAAGTATTGGCTAAAAGAATGATGCGCTATGTACACGTAACTGACATCTAAAATAATTCCTACATGAAAAAAACTATTCTTTTAGAAAGCAAAGACAATAATCTAGAACATTTTAACAGACTTGTAAACTAGCATGCTGGCATGTTTACATACAAAAAGTAATAAAATATACCCATTTATAAGTTGCCTAATAGAGGCAAAACAGAGCAGCATTAAAATTAATCAAATACACAAGAGAGTCATTTTTCAGCCTTTTATAAAGCTTGCTTAGTTTGATTTCCCATTTCAAAAATAAAATGCCCCTTTAAAAGAAATCTACCTTTGCTTCTTACTACATATTGATGAAAACCCTCTTTAAAATAAAAAACATACCCCAAAGGGAGCCCCCTGCAGCCATCTTATCAGTTCTTTCACAGCAACAGAAACTGAAATACAATTTACATAGTCACTGTGGTTGGCTAATAAAAGCAGCATCATGTAACCAATCAGGAAGATAGAAATTAGACAGCCATAAGAGAAGAAATTTTAAATCTGCCTGGCAACAGCCTAAAAATAGAAACAATATGCTAGCAGGAATCTTAGAATAGATGCGAATATAAAAGCAAAACTTCCAGCAAAAACACTCTATTTTCTTGGAAAAAAATATGTGCCTTGCATTTCATCACCTAAAATATTAACTTGACACCTTTACTTATTAGGTGCCAATTAAAGAAATGAATGTTAAGCTAAATAAATGGGCCACTTTCAAGAAACATGCCACTGTCCATATATATTTGTGTGTGTGTGTGTGTGTGTGTGTGCACATCAATATCTATATATTTAAGTGTTTTTCTATTTACAGGAGAATCATAAAACACTTGAATCACAGTCCTAATACATTAAAGTTTCTCTAAAATCTCAAATTCTAAACAGTACTACATTTTTCCTAGCACTTTTTTTCTGCAAGTTTATGAGTCAATCAGATTTGTTGGTTAAAAAACTGCTTAATATGTATTAAAAATACAAAGCTTAAATAACTTACCAAAGCAGACTTCAAAATAAGGTAGGAAGTATGCCTTATACTTTTTTTAACACAAACTTCTTTCCACAAAAAGTAGTGTCTTATACACAGTAGGCATTCAATAATTATTTTCTCAATTAAGTTAAAATAATTTCTATCAGTTAGAAAAACAAATTATCTTAAGATTGTGTCAAGTAAAAGTTAACCATGCACATAAATAATCTGTACAACACCGCTATTTTTGATTTTTCAACTTTGCCTAAAGTGGAGTAATGTTAAAGTTGACAATACTTGAAATTTCTTACTCCTTTACCCAGATAACAGAATGCATTTCATCATTCTACCTTTCCAGCCTAATAATGCTTAATAGGCATGTCTCTTTGTATAGTACAAATTTATTATGGAGTGGATTTTAATTCCTAAAGATGTCAAACAATGTATAGTCTAATATAACATCATGAAGAGGATTACAGATCAGTAGGAAATAACCAAACCAAACCAAACCAAAAAATAAATAGATAAATAAATAAGAAAGAGAAAACAAAAAGAAAAAAAAAACCTTTTAATTTCAAGAATTTAAATTACAGTTGCTGAAATGAATGGCTGGTTTGACAGCCAAGTCATGTTAAAACCAATGCTATTTATTAATGTACTTGTTCTATGCATTTCTTATATGAAACCATCCAGTAGTGTGTTTTGATGAAATGACAAATTAATTTTAAAATGTTTCTTTGGTCACTACTTGTTATCCAAAATGCAAAATGAATTCATATATTTGACACTACGAAAGCCTAAACACTTAATATAAAAATTATATGTAGAGGACTTATTTTAATCATGAACTAAAGATTAGAAACAATGCCTTTAAAACATATAGGAACACAGAACCATTTTAAGTAACAAAAGCTCCATTGGAGGAAGGGTAAAAATTATACGAGTAATCCACCAACTGAGGCTCTTTTTAACCAAATATTTAACAGTGGTTAGATTTTTAAATGAAATTTAACCAAGCTTTTAAAAACACTGTCCGGGCATGGTGGCTCACGCCTGTAATCCTAGCACTTTGGGAGGCTGAGGTGGGTGGATCACAATGTCAGGAGTTCAAGACCAGCCTGGGAAAGATGGTAAAACCCTGTCTCTACTAAAAATACAAAAAGTCAGCCAGGCGTGGTGGCAGTGAGCTGAGATCATGCCATTGCACTACAGCCTGGGCAAAAGAGCGAGACTCCATCTCAAAAAAAAAAAAAAAAACCCATAAATACTGTTATTTTAAACACTGGTCTACATGAAAAGTAGCTTAGCTTATTTTACTTTTTTTTTTTTTAAATGTTACATTCATATGCAACAGATATCCAAAATTTAACCACAATTATATTTATATCTAAAATATCTTAAAATAGTTCTTAACTTATACTGTTATCCTCATTGCAAGGAAAGCAATATTAATAAACCTATGAGTCACAACTAGTGAAAAGAGTATATCACAAACATATCAGATTTTGTTAATAAAGCACTACAGGCCAGGCGCGGTGGCTCTCGCCAGTAATCCCAGCACTTTGGGAGGCTAAGGCAGGTGGATCACATGAGGCTGGGAGTTCGACACCAGCCTGGCCAACATGGCGAAACCCCAACTCTACTAAAAATACAGCAATCAGCCAGGCGTGGTGGCAGACATCTGTAGCCCCAGCTACTCAGAAGGCTGAGGCAGGAGAATCACTTGAACCCAGGAGGCTGAGGTTGCAGTGAGCTGACATCACGCCACTGCACTCCACCTGGGCAATAAAGCGAGACTCCATCTCAAAAAATAAAAAAACAAAGCAATACAAGTGAGAACATTTAATAATCCCATATATCAAATATCACTTTAAACATGTCTTGGAATTTCACATTTTCTTTATTAAATTAGTTTTAATGCTTTTAAAATAATTTTTGCTCATACTGGCCAGTTTTGTTTCAAGAAAAGCAAGAAGACATGATGCTTGCAAAACATTATTCAAAGCAGTTACACATCACATACCAATCAAAATTTGAGGGAAACTGAATAACCAAGGCACCTTAGAACAATTAGTATAGCAACTAAAATGCCTTAGAATAGTTTAGAGAGTTCCAGGAACTTCACCCTGGATCTCTATCTTATTCCTCTTCTCTTCCAACTGCCCTACTAAAAACCCACAGGAGTTTAAAGTGGCAGCTGAGATGTCTGGGTGCAGTGGCTCACGCCTATAATCCCAACACTTTGGGAGGCTGAGGTGGGAAGACTGCTTGAGGCACCAGAAGTTCAAGATGAGCCTGGACAACATAGTGAGACCCTGTCTCAACAAAAAAAATTTAAAAATTTGCAGGGTGTGGTGGTGCACACCTGTGGTCCCAGCTACTCCGGAGGCTGAGGTGGGAGGATCACTTGAGCCTGAGAGGTCAAGGTCATAGTGAGCCATGATTGTGCCACTGCACTTCAGCCTGGGCCACAGAGTGAGATCCTGTCACAAAAAAAAAAAAAAAAAAAAAAAAAAAAAGATGAAAGAAAAAAGACCCTAAATCCTCTTCCATATTATGGAGGAAATTCAAATTCCTCTTTGTACCAACTATTTATCTTCTATAGCAGAGCAAGATTGCTGGTTATCCCTCTTTGTAGATCTAATTAAAATTATTTTTTATCACAAATTTTCCAGCCAATTCTATTTATAATTCTACATCTTCCTTCAGTTAAACCTTTCAAAGAAACTTACACTTTTGATAGCAAGATCTCTACTACTGGGCATACAACAAAGAATGAACCAGCACCTCCACTGGCAGCAAAAGAAAAAATTACATTTCCACTCTAAATTTTTCCTAGCAACAATGCCTAAGAATACAATCTACTTGTTTCTGGCAAATGTCTGCAATCGACTTAGTTTCATAGGATGGGCTGTTAAAAGCGATTAAAAAAAGTTTAATATATTTTAAGAAAGCACAGAGTTCTTTACCCAAAACCAAGAATTGCCACTTAGTTTCATCTTTTGGAACCTGAAAAAAAATCTGTAGAGTTCTGACCAAAAATTCTATACTTTGGAAACTCTCTTAACCTCCTAATCATCATATCAAATAAGCCAGTGGTCTCCATCCATTCTACAAATTTATTGACTGATACCCATGGTCTTCTGCTCTCAACTAAACCTGTTCATGTAAGTTGTGTTTGTTACTAAGTTGTACATTTTTTAATAAATTACAGAATTTAAATTTTGTGTAAACTGATGAAATATGAGTGCAAAAAAAAAGAGAGTTGTGAAATATGTAACAGTAAGAGAGACCAATGCAAAAAAACCAAATATACATACACACACCAGGGTATGACAGATCTTAGGCAAATCATTTAACATCGTTAGGTCTAAAGCTTTCCATGTGAAATATAAGGAAATTAAATCAGAAGACCTTAAAGAACCTTTCAGGTTTTTTGCTGATAACATTTTAATAAAGTGTACTTAAAAATGTACTGTTTAAGCAATAATAAAGATAGGTTGATTTACTCATGTATTCAATATTCATCAAATGCCTGTGGTCATGATTATAGGACAATTTTTAAGCCACTCTAAAGAAATGATGTGATGAAAAGTACAAGAACATAATCTAATAAAGTGTTCCTGTATGTAGATTTTAATGTAAATGTGGAAGATAAATACAGCAGTAATACAATATATGGATATTTTTCTACATGTATGACCATGAAAATTAGAAGTTCTGTTCTCTAGTTTCCATGAACTGCCTTGTCTCCATTATAGACTGTTTAGCACTGGAAAAAAAAAAAAAAGCTTACAAATGTGTAATTACAAAGATGCCCATATTGTCTTCCTGATAGGGTTAGTATTACCAATGTTTATGAGCCAGATTTCTGAAAACTGACTCTGCATTTAAAAAAAAAAATCACTCAAATTCAAGTGAGACGGGGGAAAAAAGAGTATGCCTTTCTTTCCAATCTCAATTTCAATTGCACTTCTGCTCATAACCCTATTTATAATTCAGTTATAGCCACAAGACTTCACAAGTAGTTGCTAAGCAACAGCAGCATGCTGAGTTCAGGGCTATTGGAAATCTGGCTCTCTGCCACATGAAAATATTTAACTGAGCCTAGAGCCTCCAGAATTAAAAAAAATAAAAAGGAGGAGGTGGAGAGAGAGAAGCAGGGGAGAAAAATTCCAAGGAAATTCAGTGATAAATGCAGTAAGCCACCAAGTACATATAACTAAGCTCTTTTGGAGGGTTCACAAATGCAGATCTAGCACCTTATTTTGGCATTTCCAAATACCATATTTCTCTTCTAAATTTTTAATCATCTTTTCTACTGTTGACATAAAGAGTCTGAAGCCATTTGACTGGTAAACAGAAAAAAATTCGATCAGCCACCTCACTGTTAACAGCACAACAATCAATTCAATAAATATACTGTGCAAAGAACAGTGCTTAGAGAGACTAGAAGAGCAGTTTGTGGAGCCTGACTGTGACTATGTTAGATCATTAAGGCCAGGAGGCAAGAAACTATACATTTTCTTCTAATTCCTTTATCCTCATATTCCTGGTTAACTACTAAAAGATGAGATTAACATCTCTATCCTAAACTGCACTGTTTTTCCATTTTAAACACCTCTAATAATTTTTAAAGCATATTAGGAAATTTATTGACAATATAAAAGGGGTAAACAAAAATTAACTCATTTCTTAACAGAAATTGAAAAGACACTAAATGTTTCAACACTCATTCACTGATAAAAATTAAAATTAAGCACTGATAAAAATAAAAATTAAGAACATAAAAATCATTCCTTTAGCTGATAAAGATCACTTCAAACTAACAAGAAATTCCATAATAATATACCACAGATATTTCTCTTAAACACAAAAAAACACCATAGTAATAAAACACCACAGACATTTCTCTTAAACACAAAACAAAGGGTATGCATACTATATCCAATACGTTGTGAAAATCCTGAGCAAAGCAGTAAAAGCTCAAACAGGAGTCAGAACATACAATAAAGAAAACATTCAGGCCAGGAGCTGTGGCTCATGACTGTAATCCTAGTACTTTGGAAGGGTGAGGTGGGTGGATCACCTAAGCTCAGAAGTTCAAGACCAGCCTGGACAACATGGAGAAACTCCGTCTCTACTAAAAATACAAAACATTAGCCAGGCATGATAGAATCCCAGCTACTCAGGAAGCGAGGCAGGAGAATCGCTTGAACCCAGGAGGCAGAGGTTGTAGTGAGCCAACACCGCACCACTTCACTTCAGCCAGGGTGACAGAGGGAGACTTTGTCTCAAAAAAAAAAAAAAAAAATCAGAATGGCAAGAAAAATGTATCTAGAAACACTTACATGACATATTAGAACTGTCTTATGAAATATTAGAGCTAAGACTCAATGTAAAAAAAAAATCAATTCTTCCTGGATAAAATTTATTAGAAGTATTGTCAGGGAGGTGACTAAAGAAAAAAAAGGGGAATTTTTAAAAGTAACTATAGCCAGGCATGGTGGCTTATGCCTATAATCCCAACACTTTGGAAAGCTGGGACAAGAGGATTGCTTGAGCCCAGGAATTCAAGACCAGTCTGGGCAACACAGCGAGACCCCATCTCAACAACAAATTTAAAAATTAGCCAGGTATAGTGACATGTGTCTCTGGCCCCAGCTCCCTGGGAGGCTGTGGTGGGAGAATCACTTGAGCCCCAGAAGTTAAGGCTGCAGTGAACTATAATCATGCCACTGCACTCCAGTCCGGGCTACAGAACGAGACCCTATCTCAAAAAAAAAAAAAAAAAAGAAAGAAGAAAAGAAAAGAAAAAGAGAGAGAGAAAGACAGACAGAAAGAAAGAAAAAAAAAAGAAAATTCCACCTAGATATTTTGTAGCATGACTAGCTTTTAAAACTTACTCTGAGGCCAGGCGCGGTGGCTCACGCCTGTAATCCCAGCACTTTTGGAGGCCGAGGCAAGCGCATCACGAGGTCAGGAGTTAGAGACCAGCCTGGACAACAAGGTAAAACCCCGTCTCTACTAAAAATACAAAAATTAGCCAGGCATGGTGGTGGATGCCTGTAACCCCAGCTACTCGGGAGGCTGAGGCAGGAGAACTGCTTGAACCCAGGAGGTGGAGACTGCAGTGAGCCCAGCGCCATCGCACTCCAGCCTGAGCGACACAGCGAGATTCCATATCAAAAAAAAAAAAAAAAAAAAAGCTTAATCTCTAAGTGAAACAATGCTAAAAACAGGGAAAAAATTGAAAACCAAAAGTAATGAAAAATGTTTGCCCTCTCAGATGTGACAGCATATAACAAAGCATTATTATCTTAAGTACAAAAAAAAAAAGAGTACAACAGAATAATCATCCAAAAGACAGACACAAACAATAAAAAAGGTAACTATGACAGAGAAGCATCACAAACAAGAAAGAAAGGCCAGGCACGATGGCTCACGCCACTAATCCCAGCAGTTTGGGAGGCCAAGGCAGGCGGATCACCTGAGCTCAGGAGTTTAAGACCTGCCTGGCCAACATGGTGAAATCCCATCTCTATTAAAATTACAAAAATTAGCCGGGCGTGGTGGCAGACACCTGTAATCCCAGCTACTCAGGAAGCTGAGGCAGGAGAATCACTTGAACCCCAGGAGGCGGAGGTTGCAGTGAGCCGAGATCACACGACTATATTCCAACCTGGGTGACAAGAGCAAGACTCTGTCTCAAACAAAAACAAAACAAAACGTAACAAATAAGGAAGAAATGGATTTTGAAATAAATAGTGGAAAATCTATCAAAATAGCAGTTAAGCATAATAGCAAAGACACTAGACATAAAATAATATAAATATTCAAAGGCACAGAAAGTACTACAAGTAACCACAAGTTAGGAGAAATACTTGAAAAAATGGCATAGTGATATAGGATTAGTATTCAGAATAAAAAAGAAAATCTATTAGTGAATGAAAAGGACAAACAGTTGGAAAAAAAATACAGAAACGTGAGCAGGCAATTCATAAAACAACATATACAAGAAAAGGCATTCAACCTAATCATCAAAAAAAGACAAAACAGAAAGAGAAAATACATTTTTAAACATCAGATTGGCAACTACTTGTGGTTAGCATTAATATACAGAAATGAGTGGTCTTATGTACCATGAGCAGAAGAGTTAACTGTCACATCCATTTTTAAGGACAAACAAGCAGGAATTGTGCATCATTTTGACACAGCAAAGGACCTTTAAGGTATCTATCTAACAATGTATCAACATGTTTTACAAAGGAATATATCAGGATGCCTAGTGCTGCACTGTCATAGAAAATACAAAAACAAAAGCCCTTAATATCCCAGGAATTAAAAAAAAAATCTCTGAGAAATATTATCAAGCACACCAAAAAAGCAGAACTCTTGCAATTAATAGTGCAAATACCAGGACCAGACATACCTTTTTAAATATTAATCCTATTAATTTCCTGGTTATCTATCTAAAATATATATCTTCTCCTTACCTCAGTAAAATCATCTATGAAACTGAAATAACAAAGTCTGTCTTCATGGAAATGTTATGGGAATTAAATGACATAATAAATAGAAAGTACTTAGATACTGTAAGCAGTCAATAAATGTTTCCTGTTTTATGCCATTATATTTTAAAACACACAAAAATCTAAACATGTATACAGGCATGCAAGTGATATTTTAAAGACTAAAAGGATAAATGTCAAACTAGTTAAAAGTACCTCACTTACACAGAGACAAGGCGATACAAATACAGACTTTCAATTTAGACCTGATACGCCAGTGTGAATCATCACATGAAAATTCACTCATGTAATTGGTATTTGAACAGTTAAGTTCATCAGACATTCTCTCTTCCATGCTAGTGCTAAACCAGGGCAGCAGTCACATTTGTGAATGCAGCTAGGGTAGTAACTTATATAGACACTATGTCCCCGGAGAGACATGGAGGCTACCATCCCAAAGACAAATTATCAGCATATCCCATGTGTAGCAAGTACCACTTCCCCACCACTCACAATCACCTGAACCATCAGCATCCAGCCAAAGTAAAACAGGAAATCTCAAATACAAAAATGAATACATTCAAGAATTCAAACAAAAGGTCAGGTGCCAAATCCCACAAAAAACACTAGCTAATTAGTAGGAGAATAAACAGAAGACATTTTAAAATAGTATATTAAAAAATCCTCTAAGTGTATGAGAAGATATTACACTCACAAGAACAAACAAACACATAAGAAATATACCCAGAAGCAACAACTTTCAATTAAGTCAAGTTTCTAAAAAAAAAGAAACAAGAAAAAAAGGAGGGAAAAAATAAGAAAATTAAAAAAAATCAGCAAAGCTGAAAAAATATACAAGTTTTCCAATAATAAAGGTCTATTGAATCCCAAAACAAACTAAATTAAAATAAGCAAAATAAAATTTTTTGACACCTAGGCATACTGCAATAAGATTTCAGAAAATCATTATAGGGAAATATTAATAACTTAGAATATCATTTAACTACAGAAGAGAAAGAATTAAACTGGCATCAGACTTGTCATCAGCAATACTGAAAGCTAAAAAAAAAACAATATCCTCAAAATTCATGGGAAAAGTTATTTTCACTGTGGAATTCTACAGCTAGCAAAGCTAGCAGTCAGCAAGAGTGAGGAAATAAATATATTACTTCTGAGCAAAGACAGAGAATGCAGACCTTTGCTAAAATGATTATATATAAATATAAGTACAAGACCAGACAGCAGAAGAACCTATGAAGAAATTCAGATAAGGAAATTAGCAAAGCTCCAAAAAACAAGTAAAACTCTTGAGCAGGCTGAAATAACTGAGGATCAATCATCTTTAAAATAAATATGTTATTTATCCAGATAATTGCAATGTGTAAGTTAACTAACAGGTTGCAGAATATGGGGCAAAAATAAAGAAAATTATCAATCAGGGAAAAACCTGATGGGTTTCAAGCGTGTAAAACAACAAAAATATCATTAGCTATGCACTATAAACGAGACATACCTTAGAGTAACAGCATAGAAAGGTTGAAACAGAAGGATAGAAAATGATACGCTAGGCAAATAGTACCACAAAAAAGGGTAGGTATACATATAAAACCTATATATGACATATAAAAAAGAATTCAAGTTGAAAATCAAGTAATAGAACAAAAAAAAGAGATATGTCCTATTGATAAAACAAGTTTAAATAATTCAGGAAAAAACTAATAAATTCACAATCAGAAATAAATCTATGGATGAAGAACACAAAAGTAATAAGCAATGAACAACCCATTAGCATGTCAGAATAACAAAAATAAATAGAACTGTATACCCAATAAACCCAAAATATAATTTTTTTCACAAATACAGCCAATGTACATCAATATTGACCATGTGTATGGCGACAAGAAAATCTTAACAAACTCAAAGACAAAAAAAAAAAACCACAAGGCTATATTCTGTAGTCATAATGTAATAAATATACCAACAAGATGACAGAAAAATTATCTCCTTATAAATAAAAAAAAAAACTTTTAGATGTAGGAGGAAATCAGTGATAAAATACCAACGAAGTATTAAAAGAATACAACCTAGGGAAATCAGCTAAAATGATATTCAGATTAAAACTGATAGCCTTAAATGCATATATTAACAAAAAACACAAACTCAAAAACATTAATAAAGGCAAAAAGGTATAATCCCAAAGCATGGAATTACAATAAAAGCAGAAAATTATGAAAGAAAACAAATGAGCAAGCAATTAAGGAACCAAAAGCCAGTTCTTTAAAAACACTATTAAAACAGAAAAAAACCTTGCAAGGAAGACAGACACAAAGCATAGTAAATATAACGAACAACATGAGAAATTATTAAGAAAACATAATAACGTAACAATTGTTTCAAATATTAAAGTATGTTAAAGTTTATCAATGAATATTAGGGAAAGACTGAGGTATTTTAACTTAATGCAAACTCAAAAAATCATCTCAAGGTGGCTGCCAAAAATGCTAATGCAAAGTTAAACTGTAGAACAAATAGCCAAGGAGAAGGGGAAAATTTTTAGAGTAATTATGTTTGGTTCTGAGCATCACAGATAAAGAAGGACTTATTAATAACTGTGGGATGACCATGCTAAAGAATGCTCTGGAACAGTAAGTTGTATGAGGAAATGTCAGGAAAAAATAAAAGATATTGATATTTAGCCTAGAAAACATAAGAAAATTTTAATGAGCTTTCTTTAAATAGTACATATTTGTCATGTAAAAGAGATACAAGAGAAAGAGAGCTACAGACAGACAGAAAGTGGGGGGCTATGAGAAGCAAAAATAAAAGTAATGAAAGGCAACTTCATCTCAAAATCAACAAATGTTAATTTGTTTGGATGCCCAATAAAAGAAGAAACTGATTTATGAAAATAGAGACTCTCCCTTCTGTCATTAGAAATAGTGAAGTATAAACTAGATAATTATCTGTCAGGAATATCAAACAGTAGGTTCCTGTGCAAAGTGCAATATTAGAAACTACCTGACCACTTAGGTTCATTTCATTTTGAAGATTTTGAGATTCTACATTGCTTGCTAAATACATTTTCTTTCTTAAAAGGAACACAAACACTTTTTAGGAACTCAAAGATTTTTATACTCCAAATTTTGGATCATTCACACTCAACTTCAATAGCCTCAAAGACTATATACCTTTATCCTCATTGTTTTTTTGGTGTTTTGTTTTTTTGTTTGTTTTTGGTTTTCTTTTTTAGAGACGGAGTTTCGCTCTTGTTGCCCAAGCTGGAGTGCAATGGTGCGATCTTGGCTTACTGCAACCTCCGCCTCCCGGATTCAAGCAATTCTCCTGCCTCAGCCTCCCAAGTAGCTGGAATGACAGGCGTGCGCCACCACATCTGGCTAATTTTTTGTATTTTTAGTAGAAACGGGGTTTCACCATGTTAGTCAGGCTGGTCTCGAACTCCTGACCTCAGGTGATTCACCTGCCTCGGCCTCCCAAAGTGCTGGGATTACAGGCGTGAGCCACCACGCCTGTAATCATACTCATGACTTTTATCTTTGTTTTGATTGTCTATGTACAAAATATACCTCTGTCCTACTATCCCTCATCTTTCTTTGCTATGACCTCCAACTCTAACAGCATTCAATAAATTCCTGTTTTTGTCTATCAACTCTTTTTCTCTTTGTCTATATGTAAAAACTAGCCCATCTCAACTATCTTCCCAGCCCAGCATTCCCCTAACCAATATAATAGCACAAGAGAAGTTTGAAAAACTTTTTCCTACTGTTTCAGATGTGTATGTCTTCCACACCAAGAAGCATGACCTTCTCCTCATCCAACCTCAAACACATCAATCAAAATTGATTTCTTTCTACTATCATCATTTTGTCAATCATAGGGAAATTGTTTACTGAGATGAAACATACACAAAAAAGTTACGTTTCTATACTTTAATAAAATATATGCTTTTTTTTTTTAAATCCAAGCAACACTGTCAAAAGGCAACAAGTAAGGAACAGTTCCTGCCCCTGAAACATGAGTATGGCTTCTATCACAGCTGGCCCCCAGTTTTAAAGTATACAACTATGTAGCAATAAGTGACCAAACTTTCAGAAACTAGAGAACTGGAAGTCCCACCTAAAAGTAACACTTTGGTTACAGAAAGAGCCTGCTGCTTGACTTCTAAAGAGGGAGGGAAAGAGCAGAGAGCTGCCTGACGTAATTCCTTTCTTTGATACACTACTCTAAGCTACCTCACTACCACTCTTCACTTTACTCTGCTATTCAACTCTTCACCCACCCTCCAAAAATTATTACAATCAGTAATATATTTCTGGCCATACTGATACGAATGAACACATACATTGGCATTTCTTTATAAACATACACCTTCCTATCTTTACAGCAATGGTAGTAGATTATTTTTATTGCAATGGAATTTTATATTTTTGTATACAATATTTCATGCATAGAAAAAAATAATAACAAATGACTGTGTTCCTTTAACCCAGGTTAAGAAATATGAAATTTAGTGGAATTCCTAATTAATACATTCATTTTAGACTTTTAAAAATCACTTTATTAAAATAATAATAAATTTAAATATAGAGAAATGGAAAGAATAAGGGTGGAAGTAGAAAATTGACCAAGTTATATGTATAAATATACATTATCTAATGTATGTCAATGAGCCATATTTGAAAACATAAGCACTCTGATTTGTAAAGGTGAATTCAAAGTGGTAAATTTAAACTAAAACTTTATACTTAAGTGAGGTTACAAAATGTCATCTCTCTGCGTGTACCAGTTGGTGTCACTACAAGTGAGAATATAGTAACAGACTATAATGAAAAGAGATCTAAAACTGATTTCTATGTAATATGAACATATTGTATGCATGAGTAATATTCATATATGAAGTCCACTGTTAGTTCATTTCAATTCAAATGTGAAGGAATTTTGAGAAGATGAAAATTACATTTTAAAAAATACCAAATCCAAATGTGGCATTCAAAATCTCCTGAATATTAACATTAAACGATCTACCAATCCTGTTTTCATTAGAACTAAAAACAAACAAATTTTTAAAAACTTCCAATGGTGAGAGAAAAACATAAAGCCTGGGGGGTAGGTGTCACAGAAAAAGGACCTGAATCTCTTACCTGTGGGCAGCTTGACACTGTGAAAAGGACTTCCTCTTCTGTAAACCACTGCTACTTAGTTCATTTGTATAAACATTAAAAGCTAATGCAGACTTCTAGGTCAGCCTTCTCGAGTCTAAATTTCTTGTTTGATTCATATTCATTAAAAAAAAAACAAGAATACAGTAGGTTGGCTACATATTAAAATTCCTTTCAAATAGTGGTTCACATCTGTTGGGTAGTTTGTGCAGCATACATCCCATTTACCACAAAAGCCAAAAAACGTCAGACAATATGTCAATGAAGCTCACAGAACACACAGAGTATATCTTCAAAATGACTATTTCAAAGTGAAAATGCCTAGAATCAGAATTCTTTGTACTGCTTTCTATGCTGCCAACTATTAGGTCTGCAGCAACTGTGTGCAGTTAAGTACCTCCCACATATTACCCAATAGTATCAATAGGTATAAACCTATAAAAGAACTAAAAGCTTAAAAGGCTTATAGCTTCTCACTATTTCACATATTCACTGTCAATTGTGGTCTCACTACTGCTATTCTAATGTATCAACTCTGTTCTTTCAGTCCAAAAGGCTGAATTCTTATACATTCCAAACAGAAAATCCATGACACATTTTATTTGCTACCCTAGCACAGCCAGACTGCAGTTACAGCTAGCTGGCGCCAGTAAGGACAATTTACATAAAGCAGTCCTCATTTCATGACCAAACTAAAGGAGAGTACTGCTGAGTAAACCCTCCCCATTCGTTCCCCAACATGTACTGACTGGTTCTAGAATATATCTAGTTATCTACATATATTTGATATACATATTTGAATAGAATTCAAATCCAGGTAATAAAAGAAAACCAATTTATAATTCTTATATAACTGAAATTCCACCCCCCACCACAAGAAAAATATTTTTAACTCTCAGAGATATTCAAAAGCCTTAGCTTACTTATGGCACAGACCACGTAAATTCAATGGTTGCTGTTTGGCAATCATTAAAAATACAAATTATAATTCACATTACCTAATGTTATCCTCATTCTACTCTACAACTACCTTTCAAATTTTAACTAATCAATTAAATAGTAAACATTATTAAGTAGATGTGCTCTTAGAAGTATATTGTTTAACATTTCACCAAATAATAAGAATTGTGTACCTTCAGGTATCACTATTATGATGGTTAAATAATTCAACACATTTACCACTAGTTAATATTACCAAAGCATGTGCTGAGTATAAAAACCTAGGCACATTAAATTACGAATGTCTTCCCAAGAAAATATTCTGTCTGTGCCACATTCTTTTCAAACCTGTATCATTCATGTATTGTTTTTACTGGCCAGATCTGACAAGGCAAGAGTTGAGTCATTATCTGCAAGGCCCTTTTCTTTATTTTTACTTATTTTTTAGTTAATTTATTATCTACTAATACATAATTCTACTCCACTACCATTTTCATTAAGGCTAGAGATATATTAAATTTCATTTTAAAGTAACAATCCAGAAACTAGTTTAGTCCCGCATCTGAAATAACAAAATGAAAAGAAGTACTTAAAATGCTTACTAGGGGTTATCCAAAATATTTTCCATATTTTTAAATCTTATTTTCAGCTATCTTCAACATACTTCTTAAGTTACCCCTATCACATAAAAAAGATAATGGGGCTATAAATGAGGGGACGCATAAAGTTATCATTTATCAATAGCAAATGGTAGACTTATATAGACAATCAAAAATATTATCTAGGTTATCAATGATAAATTTCCTCAAACAACTATATTCTCTTCTCAGGATCTATGACCCACCAGCAGCAGATGAAGTGATAGGGACAAATATAATGATACAATTTCATGCATAAATTAACTCTTGGTTGGAGGAAAGATCTTATATCAAAAGAGCTTTCTAAGTACCATATACTGATCATAAAATATGAGTTGAGAAAAAATGTTAGAAATAATCTAAGCATTGAGAACAGAATCTAGAAGTTAAAAATTAAAAAAAGAAATCACTTATTATATACCTTACAGTTTTAATTTTGTTCTCTTCCTACCTGTATCATGCATCCAACCATGAATAAAAGTACTTGAAAATCAAAAGACCTAAAATAACTTAGTCCAACATAAAATATAGTGTAAATAACATGGATGTAAGTATTTCTAAGCCAAATAAGCTAATTACTTGACAGTGAATTATTCATCAAAAGAAGCTGAAAATCTCCACAACATGCTTACTAATAGTACTAACAATGGCAACTGTTGATCTAGCTCACTGCTAAAATGAATACAGTAAAGACTGGTGTTTTATTTTCAACCCACTGTAGATCAATGCTATTGTAAAATATGGTGGCAATGAATTACCTGAAAAATGAAATTAAAAATAAGGCATATAAAATATGAGTTTTAATTGTTTTGACTCAACTGACATAAAATTACATTATCAGATTGATGTAAAAATTTCTATAAACTCTCAATTTCAGTTCTTATCTCACAGAGGACCAGAAGCGAACAGTTCTCAGACTGATCACAGGCCACATTTTGTGTAGTGCTCATCTAGCTCTTAGATACCTATTCTACCCTACCCCACAGCATTCACAATCCTTAAGTATTTGCAACCTTCTCTCATATTTATTGTCTGTGTCTTCCCACTCCCTCCACAAGTGTAAACTCCCTGAGAGAGAGCAAGGATCTTATATGCCAAGCATCAAACAGTACCTGGCAAATAATAGGTGCATAATAAATAACTGTTACATTTGTTGAGTAACTGATCAATTCACAGTCTGTTTTAGTTTTCACTCTACCATGCTGCCTTTGCACAAGTAAGAATTCTTATTTTGTCCCCTTTAGACTCTTCAAAGTCTTCACTTGGAGATTCTAAAGACCCTGCTCTGTGACATTTTTACTGTAAATCAGCCAGGCCCCTAAATACGCCCTCTCCCTAAAGATCCTTTTCTAAACTACCCAGTAGACCAGATTTCTCCCAACTCCATTCTTCCTGAAATGATGATTTTTAAAAGAAAAAAAAGAAAAAAAAAAGATCTGTGCTAAAGGGAGTCTTGTGAAACAAATGCAACCAATATTTAATTTGTGCTACACTTCACTTGACTTTATATTTGTTATCCTCATTTAAACCCCAATATTAGTTCTTTATGATAAACATTATTCCCATTTTAAAAACAAGAAAAACTGAGGTTCTGAAAATAAGTAACTTGCCTCATTCCATAAAAATACCTAAGACTTGGCCAGGCATGGTGGCTCACACCTGTAATCCCAGCACTTTTGGAGGCCGAGGCAGGCAGATCACTTGAGGTCAGGAGTTCGAGACCAACCTGGCCAACATGGTGAAACCCCGTGTCTACTAAAAATACAAAATTAGCCAGGCATGGTGGCGCACGCCTATAATCCCAGCTACTCAGGAGGCTGAGGCAGGAAGACCGCTTGAACCTGGGAGGCGGAGGTTGAAGTGAGCTGAGATAGCACCATTGCACTCCAGCTTGGGCAACAAGAGCAAAACTCTGTCTCAAAACAAACAAACAAACAAACAAAATACCTAAGACTTACTGAACACATAATCATAAATAGGTACTGTACTTTGAGCACTATATATCCATTTTTCATATAACCTATAACTAATGAGAGGAAGAACATGGATTCACCCTGACTCTGTTTGACTCAAAGTTGGTGTTCTTCCAACGACCCATCTCATTTAATGATCAGGGATAACACAAAGAGGTTAAATATTTATCCAAAACTACACAATTACTTAATAACAGTACGAGAGCAGAAGTAATCTTTTCCTAACTTCTATACTAATGTTTTCCACTATGTATGCCATGGTACAGGTATTTCTATATCCAACAAAGGGATACACGAGTCAGATAGTTCTACTGGCAGTTGGCTAGCTGTATCTGCCTTACTTCAGAAGGAAAGACAAGATTCCCTCAGGCAGATGCAGAAGCAACTCCTCAGACCTCTCTCCAGTGTTAAGGTCCCTCTTTCACTAAACTGATGAAGATTTGCTAAATCAATTTGTGCTGTTTTCACAATTTCCATATTCACATATTAATGACTAATAACAGACTGTTACATATCACCAACAGAGAACTCTTTGTGAGAGTTCTAACCTGAGCAATTAAAAAACAATCACTTATTTGAATAGACATTAGGCTTTCTCTCAAATCACTTTCTCTTTTCAAAGTGTGAAGAGCAGTAAAGCAGGGGAGTCACTGTTTCCTGTGCAAGTTAATCACTTTTTCAATTTTCTCTAAAGTTGAACTCTAACTAGAAAACCATTTTCCAAAAAGGCATAACATTCTTTTAGCACTTCCTTAGAGTTACCAATGTCGTGGTATTATTTGAATGTTAACAAGCTGGCTTTCACTCTGGGAAATGTGGAATTCAAATTTAAGTCAGATCAAGATTATAAATTATCATGTTTCATGCATCATCAAGGTAGTCTTCACATAGACACTGTAAATGTTAAATTAATAAATGTAAATAGATGTAAGTTTTCAACAAAAATAAAGTTTGTAATGGCCTAACGGCCATTATCTAATCTAGTGTACGGTTAAGAAAACATTCTATTAGGAAATTTACTCATTATTTTCAGTGATAAACTTCTTAGCTCAACTAATTTGAGCAAAAATCTTTTATAAAATGTTATTTCATTTATCTGTTCAGTAAACTGCATAGCTTGAATACACTTTAACTTTTTCTTATTCAGTATCACCATTAAGAACATCAAGTTGATAGTGATGTCCTTTAACACAGCGGTAACATTTAAAGAAAACAGAACTGATTATCACATAAAAGATCTCAAGGTACTTAGATGTTTCTAATTAGTATTTCTTTAATCTCTTCACTTTCAATCGTTACTTGTTGTTATGCCATTGGATCTCCTTCATTTGGCTCCCATGGCACTCTATATAAAATTAGGACAAAGTGAAAGGTTACAAAAGGTGCCATATCTTCTAAAGAGTAAACTGACTTTATATATTCTAAGTCTCTCCTACCAAGTAAAGTAGGCTAAATTTTACTTATGTTTACTTTCTTTTGGGTTAGAAGTTATATTTTAGATATTTAAGGCTGCCAATAAACTATCAAATACGTAGGATAGGTCTTTAAAAGGAACTGTCTTCCAAGGCCACGCAGGTAACGTGATTCAGTGAAGAGGACCAGAGGTGGGCAAGAGAAGGCCCTATCTGAAGGAGACAGCATCTATACTCAATTGTAGATTGCTATCCTCAAGCAAAAATGTTGTTTGCTTTTCAAGAGGCAAGACATCTAGATTTTTAGGTAAAATCTGACAACTTTAAATGTTAACAATTAGAGAAATGGGGCTGGGGGCGGTGGCTCACGCCTGTAATCCCAGCACTTTGGGAGGCCGAGGCGGGCGGATCACCTAAGGTCAGGAGTTCAAGACCAGCCTCAACATGGAGAAACCCAGTCTCTACTAAAAATACAAAATTAGCCGGGCGTGGTGGTGCATGCCTGTAAACCCAGCTACTCGGGAGGCTGAGGCAGGAGAATTGCTTGAACCTGGGAGGCAGAGGTTGCGGTGAGCCGAGATCGCGCCATTGCACTCCAGCCTAGGCAACAAGAGCGAAACTCCGTCTCAAAAACAAAAAAAACAAAAAACAAACAATTAGAGAAATGGGCTGGTGACTAAAGAATAAAAGTAAGTTTGCTGGCTGCCAGTTTATAGCTCTGAAAATGAATTTTTTTCAAAGAGAATTTACTGTTTTTATGATTCTTATTTGTACTGAAACACAGGAAACTCTAGGCCGTGAATTCAAGTCATGTTTTTAGATAAGTTATTTTCTCACAGTGTATTTGAAGAACTCAGCCAGACTATACCCAAAACACTTCTCCTACTCCTCTAAATTCTGTAATGTCAACATTCTATATTGGCTTTACTTAATAAATACATCTGCCATATCCATACACAACAAAGGATGGCTAATTTATGCTAACAGAGTAGGACCCAGTACTACAAAAACGAATATATAACATTACTAAGTGGATATGATGTTACTTAGCACTTCTTGCTTCTGAGCATGAGTTATATAAGAAATTTCCCATAGTTTTTAAATACACACTGATCCAATCACACTTGAAAAGGTATATGACACTCGAGAGGCAAATAAACTGAAATGCATTTGGATATTACTGAGAAAATTAGTATGCAAGATTTTTGCAGAGTATTTCAAGATACTATTCTGAAACATTATGTAAATTGATTCTGAGCATATGCTTACCAAATAGATAGGAAATTTCCCCCATTTTATAGACGAAGAAACGAAAATCAAAAAATGGAATGAACACAGGGCACGATGCCTCATGCCTGTAATCCCAGCATGTCAGGAAGCTGAGGTGGTCAGATCACTTGAGGCCAGGAGTTCGAGACCAGCTTGGCCAACATGATAAAACCCCGTCTCTACTAAAAACACAAAAATTAGCTTGGTGGCACATGCCTGTAATACCAGCTACTCAGGAGGCTGAGGCACAAGAATTGTTTGAACCCAGGAAGTGGAGGTTGTAGTGAGCTCAGATTGCCACTGCACTCCAGCCTGAGAAACAGAGTGAGACTCTGTCTCCAGTAAAGAAAGAAAGAAGGCTGGGCGCAGTGGCTCATGCCTATAATCCCAACACTTTGGGAGGCCTAGGCAGGCGGATCACTTTAGGTCAGGAGTTCAAGACCAGCCTAGCCAACATAATGAAACCCCATCTCTACTAAAACTACAAAAATTAGCCGGGCGTGGTGATGGGCGCCTGTAATGTCAGCTACTCGGGAGGCTGAGGCAGGAGAATCACTTGAACCTGGGAGGCGGAGGTTGCAGTGAGCTGAGATTTCACCACTACACTCCAGCCTCAGCGACAGAGTGAGACTCCGTCTTGAAAAAAAAAAAATTAGCAGGGCACAGTGGCTCACGCCTGTAATCCCAGCAATTTGGGAGGCCAAGGCGGGCAGATCACCTGAGGTCAGGAGTTCGAGACCAGCCTAACCAACAGGAAGAAACTTCACCTCTACTAAAAATATAAAAATTAGCCAGGCATGGTGGCACATGCCTGTAATCCCAGCTACTCGGGAGGCTGAGACAGGAGAATGGCTTGAACCCAGGAGGCAGGCTGAGACAGGAGAATGGCTTGAACCCAGGAGGCAGAGGGTGCAGTGAGCCGAGGAAGCATCATCGCACTCCAGCCTGTGCCATAAGAGTGAAACTCCGTCTCAAAAAAAAAAAAAAAAGAAAGAATGAAAGGAAAGAAAGAAAATGGAATAAGCTCGTCAATGTCAGAAAAAGGTAGCAAAAACAGTATTCAAATTCAGGTTTGGACCCTTGGCCAGTGCCACCACCCTAACATTTCTCTTAGAGGCTTATGCAGATGAAATTGTTCATGAAAAAGGGTAAACAAAAGGGGAGAATTTTTAAAAGTGACAAAATAACATCATAAAACTTCAATTATTCAGCTCCCAGATTTATTATGCCCTCAATTACCCAGCATAATAGCTAACTGGAACTTGGAACAGAAAATTTGAGAACTATCACCAATCCCAAAAGCAATCATCTCATTAAGGGGTAATTTATGCTTACAGTTGCAAAAATGCAACACAGCAGGGAAAGAATTAGCAATAATATCCTGAGTAACCATAGGGCATTAGTATTTCCTCATGTACAGGTAATAATCTTGTAGAGGGTAGCGGCAAATATTACAGTTAGCAATAGAAGGCAAAAAGACTGGGTTATTAAAATTTCCCTAAGATCCCACTCAAGACCAGCATAAACTGCTCAATAATTTCAACATGGACAGTTTTTCGACATTATATAAAATGTTTTGAAATACACATATTTTTAAACACTAGAGTCTCCTCCCCTCCCACTCTCGCCACCAAGAAAATGAGCTGTTATTACTATTAAAAGGCATGAAAATAAGAGTGATCAAGGTCACAGCACATTCACTTTTCTATGTCATACTCACTCCAAGGATAACCTTACTGAAAGGAATGATGAATAGAATCCCTCAAACACATTGAAATGTTTTTCTTTTTCTTTTTTAGGTACAGTTCATATGACTGAATGATTTACATAAATTAGTGTTCAAATTATGAGAATCTACTATGTCATATAAGACAGTCCTAAAGATTTTACAATGTAGTGACTAAAGTGAAACAAAAATGCTAAAGCTGTTGATGAAACTGAGATAAATACTGATCCCAGAATATATTTTAAGCCACTAAATAAATGGACACTGATTTAATTAGGAAAAACAATTATTTTGTTTAAAAAAAATGTAAATAACAAATATAAACACAAGGCTGAGACAAGTCAACAATTTTAAACTGTTAAGTCATGTACATATAGATCTTATATTCCATCTTCATGAACATCAAAAATCAACATAACGAAGACACATTCTAGAATAATTTTCAAACTGAATTCCACAGTGCCTTAAGAGGCCAAGGTTCTACAAATAAGTGAACTAGATCTGGATCTAATACAAGATTATAATTGTCATGTACGATCTCGTTTCCAAGTTTTGTTTATCTTAATAGCATAATTATTGTCATTTTATTAAATACACATGACATGTGAATAAGTTTACAATATAAAATAAGTACATAACAATAAAATATCACGTGTCCTTTTGTTTCTTAAGCCTTGCAGAATTAAGCAGAAACCATAAGTATCCCTTTTATATATTGGAATCCTCCCTAAGAGTTTAACATGCAAAAAGTTTCTGTTTTTAGAAAGCTGCTCTACTCAGAAAGTTTAGAACTTACTGTTCTATGTCATATAAGTCAGGGATATATTCTTAATACTCTACGGACAAAACCAGGAGTATATTATACCAGCTAAAAAATATTTTAACAGGTACTGCAATTTAAGTATTGCTGCTTAAAGTATGCCTTTTCTGCTATCTGAAATACTACGTGAATAAGAATTTCATTCTCCCATCTTTCTGGGTAACCACAGACTTACAGTATCTCAATAAACATTTCTACTCCAGAACGATGTTAAGAAAGCTTTTTAAACTTTTTGAAATTAAATTTACAAAATCATTGAGCTATATTTCTTTTAAATATACTACAGGTTTGAATTAAGACTAAAATGAAAATATAACTTAATTAACTGAGTACTTCAGCTCTGATGGTATTTGAATACATTAGATATATTTTTTAAAAAGAGGTATCCATGACTAGATGTGAATTTATTTCTAAATTCAAAATCTGAATCTGAATGCCAACTTAAGCAAAAAGTAATTTGAACAAAGAAGCAAAGCAGCATTAAAAATGTCAAAGAGTTGGATACTGGGAGGAGGCAGCATGATGAGAAAGAACTGCAACCCATAATGCCAAAAAAAAAGATTTTGGACAGTATTAAAAATTTTTTTTCATGATTTATATAATTACCCTTCTTTCCAAAAAGCTTCCACACAATACCTCACAAAACCGTAGAAAAATTGTAGTCTTTGTGCAAAACAAGGCTTACTTATGGATCCTTTAAAAAAAAAATCTATTCAGATAATATATTGTTTTAATTTCTACAAATAAATACCAAACACACTAAAATAGCCTACACAAAAGGAATATTACATTAATTAGGGCCAGAAATGCACTACTATGGTGATCAAATGTTCTGGCAATGACAGAACATAAAATGGTGAGAAATTACAGGAATTTAACCTTTGACCCCACCATGCTATGTACTGTTTCCATAATAAAGGCTTAAAGGTTCTACCAAACATTTCAACTTTTTAAAAACCAAGCTCTAAGTTCACCCCTCTAAGTAAACTCAGTTAAATTCCTTTTTAAAAAAGAAAAAAATGAGAATGTTTAAGATAAAAGAGTAATTGGTTCTTACCTCTGGTCCTGATGCATGTGACAAGTCTCCTCACTGACATACTTGCTGCCTAAGCAGCTACAAAGACTAGGTTAGCAGCCATTTTGAGACAGCTGCACAGTCTCAGTTGCACAAAAGTGTAATTAAGATGGCTGCAATGTGCACTCAAGAACTCACACAGTGAAAACTCAGCTATGTAACAAACAAAGCCCCTCCCACTTTGTCAGCCTGCAGGAAACTGAACATAGACAACAGCTAATGCATATACTGCAACAAACAATGCAGCTACACAGGACACAGAAAAAGAAAACAGAAGGCAGCAAGCCAGTTTTGTAACATAATGCCTGTGAATCCCGTCTTGCAATACAGACTTTGGGCACATCCAGATCCCAAACAACTTGAAATCCATGCCACATATTAGCAGTTACAGAGATGGAGCCAAATCACACAGAGCAAACATCAGGGAATTCGCTTGAAAGAAAGCCTCCATTTCAGTCCAGAAAAAAAAAAAAAAAGTTAAACCTTGCTCAAGGCCTTTTTTTTTTTTTTACCTTTTATAGTTTTATCATGAAAAGAATTTCAATTTTATAATTTCTAGAAAATTGTTTAAATCCTGAAAATGACTTGATTGATTAAGTTAATTTCAATTTATAGAAGGCTAAAGATTTTCTCCACAGAATCTAAAAGCCCCAAAGTGCTCAAATCTAGCAGAACAGTTAAAGCCTACAATTAAATTTTTGAACCTTGATAACAGAATCTCTAGAAGATGGCAAAAAGCTTATTGAGTAATTTACCATAGATATAAAAATAATTTCTTCTCTTCAGTAGTACAGATGGTCACAAACATTAACATCCCCAGGTGAGTGTTTAGTCCCAGGGCAAATTACATTTCATGCCCTGACAAAGACCTCCCAACTTTTTGATGTGAGTGAAAAGCAAATAAAAACAAAGAATTATAGGCACCCTGATGGAAAGAAGGGAATTTTAAAAAAGAGTAAAACTCAGTCTAATAGATATATTAGCAAGACAAATTTGAAAGAGCTCCAACAAATGTGGGTTGGCAGAAACATATCAATCAAAGAGAAGGGAAGGACAAAAGCACAGAGAGAACCTGTTCACATCAGCAATAGAATCCACATTTTCTTTCTCTCTTCCTCAGTCTACCTTCCTAAAATCTAGCTAACCTGTGTATCTTGTTCTATCTATCACTAAATATAGGTATTTACTAAAAAGTTTTAAGGGTATAGGGGAGTAATAGGGATATAGCTAAAAGGAGATTGGCCCTATGACTTGACAATGGTTCAAGCTGAGCAATGGGCACACAGAATTTATTATCTCATTCTATTTCAGTATATATTTGAAATTTTCCATAATAAAAGTTTTTTAAATTACTTATCTTTAAAAGGTCCTTATGTATTTTCCATGAGGCAAAATGAATAATGTATGTAACAACTTCAGTATATCAGAAAAAAAAAGTTAAACTTGATCCAAGCCATATTAATTCTTTAAAAATACAACTGTGATTCTCAAGCAAAGACTATTCATTAAAAGCAAGATTTAGGCCAAGCACAGTGCTTCACACCTATAATCCCAACACTCTGGGAGGCCAAGGCGGAAGGCTCTCTTGAAGCCAGGAGTTTGAGACCTGCGTGGCCAACAAAGCGAGATCTCTGTCTGTCTCTACAAAAAAAATTTTTAAAACATTAGCAGGTGTGGTAATATGAACCTGTAGTTCCAGCTACTCAAGAGGCTGATGCAGGAAGATCACTTGAGCCCAGAAGTTCAAGGCTACAGTGAACTTGAACCACTGCACTCCATCCAGCCTAGTCAACAGAGCCAGATCCTGTCTCAAAAAAAATTATAATTAAAAACAAAAGCAAGATTTGGTAAATTGAGAAAGGCTGGAACAGAATTGATATTACTGTAGCACTGGAATCTATGTTTAATTGGGGGGTGGGGAAAGATGGTACACATAGCCAAAATATTCAGAGCTGCCTAATGAACACTTTCTTACATTCTGGAAGCAAAGTGTTTTTAGGAAGTCTGATCCACAAAGATTTAAATTATGGAACACACTGTCAAATGGATGATATCTTCTTCAAGCCTCCCTTCTCTTGCCAAATACTTTTCCAATGTAAATCCTGACTACTTTTTTCTTAGTCTAAACATAGTCTACCAAGAGAAAGCTGCTGGCTACTAATAATACAGGTTGGACATCCCTAATCCGAAAATCCAGAATTCTCCAATAAGATTAAATAATTTCACAAAACTGATACAAGCAGAAATACAACCCAGACAACACTTAGTACCAGCTGACAGAGCTTTATCCATCCCTTCACACATTGGTTCTGTTTCTGTGTCTGATGAAACAGTTTAGAAAAGGAAAATAATTAGGCTGTTATTCAGATAAATAGTGTCAAGGCCAACACCTTTATCCCAAAGAAACTATCCTATTATAGTTTACTTGATATATCCTCTACATGATTCAACCTATATTACCCTATCACTGATAATTCTTTGCTTACTCTCTCCTTAATACGCACATCCCCAAACCAGGTATCATTACTCTCTCAATATCTTTTATGCATATCATCATTATACTTACCACCATTTCATTACTTGTATCTTTATGCAAATAATCTTTATATAAGGATATAAATCGCATCTTGATTCATTTTCCATTCTCTTCCATAGTATAGAACACAGTTATTTGCTCAATAAATAGTGAGCTGAAATTCTCAGTGTTTTTGTTTCTACCACAAAAATCTCAAAAGAACCTTCATTTTTAGGATCTCAACTCCTACTTTCTAGGAAGAAGTCAACTAATATGTCAACTAAGATTTTAGTCTTGGCCTAAAAACATCTGCAGTTCAGAATCCAAGATGGAAAAAATAACTTTTGTAGGGCACTTTTCAGGCACTACATGGGAACTACTATGTGCTTATTATGATAGATGACTCTGAGAAAATCTACAGGAAACAAAAGTGATTTAAGTTTTATTAATATTACTAAAAAAGCAGGATTCACCTTGACTGTATAATGTCACAGGTTTTAAGAAATTTGTTTTATATTGGGTCATTTGTAATGAGACCAATCGTTTATTTACAGAAGCATAAACACTTGCAACCAATTTCTAATGTTCAGTAAACAATTCCATGACTATCCAATGTTTAATCTTTTCCTAATTAAAAATCAGCACTTTTCACAAGTCTTTTTGTTTTTTCGTTTATTTGTTTGTAGACAGGCTACAGTGCAGTGGTGCAATCATGGCTCAGCTTACTGCAGCCTCAACTTTCTGGGCTCACGAGACTCTCTCACTTCAGCCTCTGGAGTAACTGGGACCACAGGTGTACACCACCACAACTGGCTAATTTTTAAAATTTTCTGTAGAGATAATGTCTCACTATGTTGCCCAGGCTGCATTCAATTTTTTTTTTATTTCACTCTTGCAATGACCATGTAAAATAAGAGCGCTACAATCTCAAATTTTTATGACCAGAGAATGTAATCATTTGCCAGGAGTCACACAATTAGTAAAGAAAGAAAAAAAAAAACTAGAATTAATTCTAGTCAACCATTACATTTTATATATATTATACTATTTGAAAACTCTGCATATGCAAATTATTGAAAACTATAGAATCTAAAGAAAAATTTTCACTGTATTTGGTTGAGAGTAAATATATGTTTTATTTATTTAATTAAGATGCTCTAATTGTAAGTTATTATTAACATTACACATATTTAAATCTAAAAGGCATGTTAGAATGGTATTAAGATGATGAACCAAAAACACCTAATCCCACTAAAACTACATAAATCCTAAAAAAACAGAGAGAAATAAGAGGTAACAGCTACTAAGATTTGGGAAGCTGAAAAATAAGCAGGACCAGCCGGACACGATGGCTCAAGCCTGTAATCCCTACACTCTGGGAGGCCAAAGTGGGCAGACCACTCAAGGCCATGAGTTCCAGACCAGCCTGACCAACATGGCAAAACCCAGTCTCTACTAAAAATACATAAATCAGCCAGGCATGGTGGCGCACCTGTAGTCCCAGCTACTCAGGGAGGCTCAGGCACAAGAATCACTTGAACCTGGGAGGTGGAGGCTGCAGTGATCCTAGATCGAGCTACTACACTCCAGCCTAGGCGACCGAATGAGACTCTGTCTCAAAAAAAATAAATAAGCACGACCAGTTGTAACTAATGTAGCAATCCCTAACATACAATATTCCAAGCTGCAGTGGTGACAAGTTAAGAACCAATCTGATTTACCTGGCAGAAATCTGAAAATCATAGAAAGTAAAAGAACCAAGCACCTTTGAAAACCAGAGTGAAGGGAGCAGAGAGAACGATAAAATGGCCAAAATAGTGACAGCTGTTTAAGAAGCAGAAAGATACCTTAGAAGCCTTTACCAAACACATTTAACAGTGACTATCTGCTCCTCCCAACCCTAACAAAAGTCTGAAGACAACATCTGCAGTTAAAAATGAGAGTACCTGGCCGGGCACGGTGGCTCATGCCTGTAATCCCAGCACTTTGGGAGGCCAAGGGAGGTGGATCACCTGAAGTCAGGAGTTCGAGACCAGCTTGGCCAACATGGCAAAACCCCGTCTCTACTAAAAATACAAAAATTAGCTGGGCGTGGTGGCACACACCTGTCATCCCAGGTACTCGGGAGGCTGAGACAGGAGAATCCCTTGGCCTGGGAGGCAGAGGTTGCAGTGAGCCAAGATTGTGCCAGTGCACTCTGGCCTGAGCAAGAGTAAGATTCTGTCTTAAAAAAAATAAAATAAAAACAAAACCTGAAAGTACTATATCAAAAAGAGAAGGACTAAGTCCTGACTGCAGAGATCCCTAGTCCCCTTCATGAATCTCCCAGAGTGCTGGCAATCAGAGCCTATTTCTCTATTGATAAAAATGGAAGACTATTCCCTGAGGGTGTCTGACCAGCACAAGACATAAGACCTAAGGTCTCTGGAGAACTCTCCCAAAATGGCTGACCCAGATCAGCCTAAAGGGAAGTTTCAAACTGTCGAATTTAGATAAGGCAATCAACTTTTGAATCTTCCACATCACATTATGCAGTTACCTAAGGAAGGCAATTGAGAAAAGTTTCCAACATGACAGAGACCAAAAGAAAACAAAAACAAAAAAAATACATGAAGCAATAGACTATGCAGGAATAAGAAAACTTCAAAAAAATGAATATATGCAGACAAAATGTTACATTCTTGAGTCAAGAATAGAATGCTATAGAAAAGGAATGAAAATTAAGAACATGATAGAAAAAAATGAAAAACTCAATAGGACTGGATGATAAAGTTGAAGAAACCAACCTTAGCAAAAAGACAAAATTACAAATCAGAAGAAAAGATACAATTGGAGTATCCATCCAAATATTCAAATTGGAATCACACACACACACACAAATACATCACCAATGAAATCATTTAAGAAAACTTTCCAGAGTTGAAGGGCAAGAATTTCCAGACCAAAGAGCCCAAAGCATGCCAGCAGACCATAATAAACAGATCCACACAAGGGCAGGTTCCATTGAAATTCCATAAGACTAAAGACTAATAACCAATTCTACAAGCTTCCACTGAGAGGAGAAATCTGAAATCAGAATGGCTTCAGATTTCTCAGTGGTGATAATAGTAGGAAGAAGATAATGGAGCAGTGTCTTTAAAATTCTGAAGGAAAAGAATTTCAACCTAGAGTTCTATACCCAGCCAAACTATCAATCAAGCATGAAAACATAGAATGACCTTTTTCAAACATGCATTGTCTTTAAAACCTGTATCTCCCATGCACCCTTTCTCAAAAAGCTACTAGAGAATGTGTAGCTTTCTACAGGCAGGGAGAATTCTAAGAATTCTCCTGCCAAGGACAGAATAAATCAATAAAAAGACATAGCATTTGGAAAACAAGGGTCCTAGAAGACAGGTGAAGGAAATCTTCACTGATGGTTGTATTAGTTCATTCTTGCATTGCTATAAAGAAATATTTGAAAATGGGTAATTTATTAAGAAGTTTAATTGGCTCACAATTCTGCTGGCTGTACAGGAAGTACAGTGTATCTGCTCGGGTTCTTGGGGTGGGGGCTCAGGAAATTTACAAACATGATGGAAGGCAAAGGGGGAGCATGCACATCACATGGCAGAGGCAAGAACAAGAGAAAGGTGAGAGGTGCTACACACTATTTAAATGACCAGATCTCACAAGAACTCACTCACTATTGTGGAGGACAGTACCAAGGGGGATGGTGCTAAACAATTCATGAAAAATCCAGCCCATGACCCAATTATCTCCCACGAGGCCCCACCTCCAACATAGAGGATTATGATTTAACATTAGATTTGGGTGGGGATACAAATCCAAACTATATCAATGGTGTACAAAATTCTAAGGATGACAGTTGTGTACGAGATATAGTGAGCAACTAAGCCACACAGGAGCAATGACACTCAAGAACTAAATGTGAGTCAAGATTTTTGCTGCCACCATACCTGAGGAATTGTGTCTTATAAATTAAGTCTTTTAAATAAATATCAAAGATTATTAGTAACTGTACCAAATCGTCTTAACTATTGCTATTTACATGGAAGAGACTCATGGATGCAGGCATCCTGGTATAAAGTTGACATCATGAGTCAACAACTGTCATAACTGTATCAAGGGAATGGGTCATGATTTTCATGATTATGTTGTACAAACCAGTCAATTCTGTGTAAGTAGGCTGCTTAACACAAGATCAAAAAAAGAAGAATTACCTAAGACTAAATGAATGATTTAATTGTGGTTAACATTTTATTTTAAATGGTCATAAGAGAACAATACTTTCATCTCAATCTATCTCTAACCCCCAACTTAAGGTATACTTTATAGAAATAGTAATATCTTTCCCCCTCAGAGATCAGGGAGAAAAATATCCTGTGAAAGGTTTTAATATAGGTTATAAGCTAAAGAAGCCACCAAAAACATTTTATGAATGATTCTGTAGAAAAATACTGAATATAGGGCCGGGCATGGTGACTCACGCCTGTAATCCCAGCACTTTGGGAGGCCGAGGCAGGCAGATCACCTGAGGTCGGGAGTTGGAGACCAGCCTGGCCAACATGGCAAAACTCCATCTCTACTTAAAATACAAAAATTAGCTGGGCGTGGTGGCATGTGCCTGTAATACCAGCCACTCGGAAGGCTGATGCAGGAGAATCGCTTGAACCCTGAAGGCAGAGGTTGCAGTGAGCCAAGATCATGCCACCGCACTCCAGCCTGGGCGACAGAGCAAGATTCCATTTCAAAAAAAAAAAAAAAGAAAAAGAAAAATACTGAATATATTGTTCAGTCTTGTCCAGAAACTGCTTAGACCAATGATTAAATACTGTATAAAGTATCATAACTCAATCTTTTTACTTTTTATGACTCAGTTTACACAGTTTCCATAAGAATCTGTTCTCCTGCCTACCAGGATAAAATTGGGTAAGTCAGACCAGGCACGGTGGCTTATGCCTGTAATCCCAGCACTTTGGGAGGCTGAGGCAGGTGGATCACCTGAGGTGATCCTCTTGAGGTCAGGAGCTCGAGACCAGCCTGACCAACATGGTGAAACCCTGTCTCTACTAAAAATAGAAAAATAAGCTTGGTGTGGTGGTGGGTGCCTGTAATCCCAGCTACTCAGGAGGCTGAGGCAGGAGAATCACTTGAACTCAGAAGGCAGAGACTGGAGTGAGCCGAGATCACGCCATTGCACTCCAACGTGGGTGACAGAGCGAGACTCTGTCAAAAAAAAAAAGAAAGAAAGAAAGGCCGGGCGCGGTGGCTCACGAGGTCAGGAGATCGAGACCATCCTGGCTAACACAGTGAAACCCCGTCTCTACTAAAAATACAAACAATTAGCCGGGCATGGTGGCTGGTGCCTGTAGTCCCAGCTACTCGGGAGGCTGAGGCAGGAGAATGGCGTGAACCTGGGAGGCGGAGCTTGCAATGAGCAGAGATCTTGCCACTGCATTCCAGCCTGGGCGACACAGCAAGACAACGTCTCAAAAAAAAAAAAAAAATTGGATAAATCAAATTTGTAACCGTAACCACACTGGAAATGTGAAATTTAAAAATGAATTTCGGGCTGGGCTCAGTGGCTCACATCTATAACCACAGCACTTTGGGAGGCCGAAGCAGGCAGATCACTTGAGCTCAGGAGTTCGAGACTAGCCTGGCCAACATGGTGAAACCCCGTCTCTACTAAAAATACACAAATTAGCAGGGCGTGGTGGTGCATTTCTGTAATCCCAGCTACTCGGAAGGCTGAAGCACAAGAATTGCCTGAGTCTGGGAGGTAGAGGTTGCAGTGAGCCAAGATCATGCCACTGCATTCCAGCCTGGGCAACACAGCAAGACAGTGTCTCAAAAAACAAACAAACAAATAAATAAACACAAATTTCCTTTAATTAGGTATGACAGGGAACAAAAATTGCATCTTTTTTCTTTTTTTTGAGATGGAGTTTTGTTCTGTCACCCACGCTGGAGTGTAGTGGCGCAATCTTGGCTCACTGCAACCTCTGCCTTCCGGATTCAAACGATTCTCCTGCCTCAGCCTCCCAAGGATTGCATCTTAAATATAGAAATCATGCCTACTAAATCTTCACAAGAAATCAATTTAGTATCTCTTCCACAGCTTATAGATTCCAAGCTTTGAAGAGAATAAAGAATAGTATTTCCCAAAAAACCAGGAATACTGACAAATGTGGGAATCTCAGAGAACCCCAAGATACCCTACAATTATAGGTACTGCAGATGAAAGCTCATTAAGTCAGATGATGCGGTTTCTGGTAGTGGAGACAAGCTAATAAATAAATAAGTCAATTATAGCAGTTCACAAAACATCCATACAGAGGTTAACTCTTACCTTCCTATCAAATGGACATAGTTTTGTTAAGCACACAATAGGGATGTATTTCTGTATTTTAAATCAACACCTCATTAGACCTATGTGAATCAAATGGCTAAAGAAAACATGAAAATATACCAAATCGGAAAATCATTTAACAAACTTTATGGCCAAATCTGTGCCTTAAGAGGCTGGAGCTTGATTTCAAGGAAGGGCTATGGATGAAAAATGATACTTTGTCTCAATTTTGAGTAAGCATGTCCAGCAGATGTTTTTAAAGGAGGGCAAGGAGGAATCCTATGTGGAATTAGTGCCCAAAATAAATGCCTTCATCCCTAACTTTGCCAATGATGAATGCTGCCAAACCTTGCAGATATGACAATCAATGTGAGAAAATGGCTGCTTTTTCACCAGGAAGATGTTTACTGTAAATTTAGTGAATTTAGTAATCGTGTGGCGTTTTTTCCTTTAAATACCCGTTTGTTTTTTAATGAGTCAGTCCTAAAACTGGTCTCCATCACAAACCTTTACAAGTAAACTACTTTCTTAAATGCTTATTTACCTTACTAATGAGTGGTAATATGAAACCGACCTTTCCAAGTTACTTTTTAAATGCATTTACATTCTAGCTCCAGAAATCAAGAATATTATTTTCATAAATCTCCCTGTACTGCAGGGCTCCCTGCACATAGTTGCTTCTTAATAAATATTCATGACTGACTAATTGATTCACCAATTGATTAAAGCTAGAGATATGTGTGAGGCACAGATGCTAAGCATTTTATATATCTAATCATATTTAACCCTCACAACACTACCATGTAGGTGGTAACACCACATTTTAAAGATAAAGAACACTGAGAGGAGACACTAATTGCCCAGGTCCCAATACAAAACTACTGTTCTTTCCACTTCACTGTATAACTAACTGATTTTAGGAAAATTTTTTGTTTTTTCTTTTGTTCTTCTTTTCTTTCTTCATTTTTTTATTTATTTTTATCTTTCAATGTTTAAATCATTTAAAGTAAGTTTGGTGGGGGAAGAGGATTATACAAACCTAAAATACAAAATAATTATATCATTCCATCTTTTCCTCAAACCCTTATTAATTTACATACGTAGGTTCTTCACAGTCATATTTTAGAAACTTTTTATTAACAAGCAACTGGTTCTTAATGGATGACATTGAAAACTGTTTTTCCTAAAAGCAACTATTTATTATTTTTCATATGTAAAGTGCCTGTCAAATCTTCCCATGACAATTCATCATGTGGGTATTTGCCATCTGAGTAAATTACATGTTTGATTAAAAAAAAAAAGTTCTGACATCTGTGGATAATGAGTTAAATAAAAGAAAATAATTAGAATATCTTATTCCCTTTTTTTTTTCACCTCCACCTAAAACGAAGGAATTCTATTCTTTCAATAAGCAAGTATTTATTGAATATTAAGGGAGGCATGGTGGAAAGCAAGGCATGGTGGAAAGCAATCTTACACTTTTAATAGTGGTCTTATCATACCTTATTAGAAAGGATTTGTCTTAAAAAATTGTCAGATATATCAATAAGATATGATTCCTAACCCCAGGAAACTTATAAAGTACTACACAAAAAACAAATAACTATAAATATAAAAGTGGAAAGGAATAAATGCCTTTAAAAAATATATGAAGTAAAGCAAAGAAAAATTAGAGAATTTCCAGTTGAGAGCAACAACATGCTTTAATAGGCATACTATGTGGGTGCCATGGCAACTATGACTTTTATTCACAAAAACCAAGGATTTGTATCACAGAGCTATTAAGAGTTCTCCTAACACACTACCTTCCTTTCTGGCTCTAAGATTTTGAACATACTATTTATTCTCTTTACTAGTATTATCTGTCTAATTCATTCCTTAAAATACAACTCCCATAAAATCTCCTTGATCTCCTTCCAACACTCTCACCACTTTCTGTACCCTACAAAAATATATATTGTTTTACTTGTCATATTCTGTAGAAAGCTACTTTTAACTACTTACTTATTAATCAGGTAAGTTTTGCCTATATGCAGAGAATTTACAACCACAATCTTTTTACCTGTGTATATTACAAGGCCCTTGGAAGTCACATTTTCGGCCAGGCACAGTGGCTCACACCTGTAATCCCAACATTTTGGGAGGCCAAGAGGGGAGGATTGCTTGAGCCCAGGAGTTCAAGACCAGCCTGGGCAACAAGGCAAGACCCCCATCTCCACAAAAAAAAAAAAAAAAAAAAATTACAAAATTAGCTGGGTTTGGTGGCATGTGCCTGTAGTCCAAGCTACCTAGGAGGCTGAGTCAGGAGGATCCCTTGAGCCCAGGAGGTCAAGGTTACAGTGAGCCATGATCACACCACTGCACTCCAGCTGGAGTGACAGAGTGAGACCCTAGTCTCAATTAAAAAAAAAAAAAGTCATATTTTCCATCATGGAAAATGTATATTTTATACATACAGTTATAAACAGAGAAAAAAAAATCTGGATAAAATAATGCAAACATAAACTATTCAAACAATTGTCACTCGATTCATCTACAGTCCTTTTGAATTAAGCAAGTTAACCTGTAAAGTTCAAAAATACTACACTGAGTTTTAAAAATTTGAAATTCTAATTCTTGCAAAACTAATCATAATGTTTTCAACGGCAAGCAGAGAGGGGAAGAATTCTATCAAATATAAATATTTATAATAACTGGGACCCCAACCACAAATCATGAACACAAAACCCCCAAAATACCATTTCAATGGAAAATATACAGTTATACTATAACTGAACCTAAATCTTAAAAGAGAAATAGTTTTCAGTACCAAATTATGAAGTACTTTGAGACCACTTCTCCCAATTCCTTATATAGCAGAAAATGCTATTCATTAATATCCATTTCTCTTTTATAAAATTCTCTAGTTTTAGCTAAGCATATGATTATCCAGCTAGATATATTTCCCAGACTTCCTTTCCCAGCTAAATATGTCCCAATGACTAAATGATCACACATAAACCATGAGTCAAAGTGCTATGTGCCACTTCCATATCATGCTCTCAAAAGAAAGAATATGCACTCCCATTGTTCTTTCTTCCTTGCCTCTAGCTAGTAAAACTAGAGAGTAATCATGTTTCACCTAGTGATGGAAGCCATATGTTAAGGCAAAACCACTTACAAACTCTAAACAGTCTTACTTTGTATGGTTACATGAGAAAAAAACATGTGTCATCTTTAAACAACAGGAATGGAGTCTCCTATACTGTGGCAGCTTAGTTTTTACTCTAATGGAATTCACTTCTGACATTTACCACCTAAAAGGAAATAAAAGAGTTCAAAAGCAGTCTCTCTTTTCCCTTACATGCTTTTTCCTATGACATTCTATCTAATAAGAGTAACAGGGCAGATATACATCTAAGGCTCCAAAGCCTTAGCTGGGAATAAGCTGCAGCAGTCAAGTCATCCTTTATTGTTCCATCAAACTCTTTCTCCTGGTCCTCAAAACAGCAGATTCCCTTTCCATCTTTTTAGCTTTATCCTTCTACAAAATGGTAGGCATTATCACTGAGAATTACTGAACCAAAGAAAGTTCCTTTTACAGCTTTGACAGTTCTGAGGACAACTATTCTAACATACAAATCAAATTTCTTATTAGAATGTTAAATTATTAGAATGCCAAGAGTGATGGACACATAATTTCTAGGTATCAAACCAGATAATACTTCCCCAAAGTAGCATAGGGCTATACAAACAACAAAGAAAGGGAGAACGGATCATATATAGTAAGACATTATGGCATTACTACCTCACATCACCATCATACAAAGGGGTCCTCTCTCCCAAATACAGCTAGTTACTACCAGTTATTGGATATAAAAGAACACAAAATGTTTCTTATAATATTCTGAGCAATGGAAAACTGCAGACATGAATAAGTGCATATTTCTGATGGCAAAGTTAATAAGTCATCTTCATTTCCCAGATTCTCATATTCATATAGGTCCAACTATAAAGACTCTCAGGAAGGTATAACTGTTCCCTTAGGCCTATGGTATTTTTTTTTTTTTTTTGAAAAGTGGCTGAGGTACCTGAGTCATCCTCTTAAAGATTCTAAACTCCAAATGATCGAAATTTAAAATTGAAACATTCACACCATATAAACAAGCACTAGTAGCCCTGATCTACTTATTCTTAACTGAAAGTGCTCCCCAGCACTCACTCTCTGTCTCCAATACAAAATGGTTTCCACCATGCAAGCTGAATCATCTATAAAAAGTTTAATTTTCTTTGTTTTCAACAAATTAAAATGCCTGGAGGAGCCCCTGATTTACTCTGTGGATGGCAGGACAATCTGAGAAAGAACATGGCAAAGTAATGTTTAAATACTCTTGGCCTCTCTAATAAAATATAAGGTCAAACAAGCAAGAAGTTTAAAAGAGAGTTCCACTAAAGGATAGGCAATTTCTAAGTACTCTAGGAAAGTGACAAGGACTATGGTCTCTGAAGCTAATTAATGACATTAAGGTAATCTGTTTAAATAATGTTAAAACATCACCTAATTTTTCAATCAATAATATGCCCCACAACTGTTAGAAACTCAAAAGGCAGGAACTTTATTCTCAAGCTTCTTTATACATGTGACTCCCTTGAAAAACAAGGTATGCAGCCAATGCATAAATTTTCCATAGGCCTCAAAACCTAAAAGAAAAAATTATAATAGAAATCCTTCTAAACTAAATCACACGCTCATTTCCCTTCTGAAATAGGTTAAATATAACAATATTCTCTGATTCAGAATCATTAATAAAATCATCAATTAATAATGAACATTCTATAACTACTGATTCAGCTCTGGGAATACTGATTCCCAAACTAAATAGCCTCATAACTAAGTTTATAAATTATTGCTTCTAACAGTAGAAATATAACCCTCCTTTACTATCATGATGCTGGACATCATTTCTTTTCCCTACCAAAATGCATTTCTCAAGTAGCACTTCTAATTTTTTACTCCTCATCTGTTATAGTCTAGAAACCAAGTATAATAATAAACCAGAACTAGAAAAAGTTCTCAACTTTCACAAAAAAGTAAAATATCTAAGCTGTTATAAGCAGTGTTGCTTGAAAAAGACCCAAAGGCAGGGATTTTTCATTAAAAAAGATAAACTGCTTAAGAAAGGCCAATAATATCTTAATATTTTATATCCATTTTCTAGATTTATTTTCATAAAGCCAATAATATTTTATCATTTGAGTTCTATATTTCCGTGATTTCTTCTTTTCATTCCTCCACTAATTTACAAGTTTAGTTCAATAAAAATGTTATTTTGGCAATAAACTGACTCCTGAATCAATTATTTAAAAGATATAAAGTAGAATTACAGCTGAAATACATCCTTATTAATCAAGATAATCTTTTTCAATGCAATCAGCATAAAAAAGAGATTTAATGGAAAATAAATTTATTCTAATAATTAGGGAAACATCCTTATCAGAAAATATAATAATTTAATGATACCAAGGAAACTAAAATAAAAATTTTTTATCTTTATTATGAGATTAAGCCTCACCCTGGCCAGAAAAGGAGTAAGGTACCTTTTCAAATTCCTCCATCAAAAAAAAAAAAAATTGTCTGTGTTTAACAAAAAAGGATTTTGATTTCGAATATTGTACAATACTTTATTTTGCGACTTATTTTTCCCACGTCTAACTTCATACTGATACTACTTTTATGTCATCATGTCCTAAACCAGATTGAAAACAGAAATATAACCTTATATTGTCTCCTAATTCATCCCTACTAAAATTATAGCTGCACCAAGAAAACATCCTCCTGAAAAGTCACAGATACCACAAATTCTCCCAGAGTTCCTAGGAAATAGTGCTTTTTGGTAGTCTACAGGAAGTGTGTAATACCGATGAATTAAAAAAAATAGTATAAGGTTATAAATTCACCCAATGTAAATTTAATGGAATTGTAACCAAAACCATTAGCTGGCTTTTTTTTCTTAATTAACCAAATGAACCTAAAGTTGATCTGCAAAAACAGTCAAAATCAGCTATGAAAATTGTAAAATAGAATTGTGAGTGGGTATTGGATTTTATATAGGATATAGCACTACAAACACATATTTAAATTGTGTACCGTCCTACAGCAAATAAAACAATGCAATAATGCTCTAAGAATAAGGCCCAGATACAGTCATTGTCAACCTCTGTTTAAACTTTATATCATATATTCTTTTGAGAAGCTAATGAAAGCTATCACTTTTTCCCCAGAAAAATGCACATAGGAGGCCAGGCGCAGTGGCTCACACTTGTACTCCCAGCACTTTGGTAGGCCGAGGCAGACGGATCACCTGAGGTAGGAAGTTCGAGCCAGCCTGACCAATATGGAGAAACCTCGTCTCTACTAAAAATACAAAATTAGCCGGGCATAGTGGCACATTCCTGTAATCCCAGCTACTCAGGAGGCTGAGGCAGGAGAATCATTTGAACCTGGGAGGCGGAGGTTGCGGTGAGCTGAGATCGTGCCATTGCACTCCAGCCTGGGCAACAAGGGCGAAACTCCATCTCAAAAAAAAAAAAAAATGAACATATGCAGACTTACATAAAATTGTGTATATCAAGGGATCGGTGGAACCCCTAGAGGACAATGGACCCCAGGTTAAATATACCTAGTATATGAATCAGAATTGTTTGCTACCAAAGCAATAAGAAATGGATCAAGTCTATGGAAACTAGATATCTGGAAAAAAATGGAAACTAGCAACTTATCTTAACACACAATATGTCAAAACACAGATATGTCCACATAGATGTAAAAGTATTTTTTAAGTTTATTAAAACTTCCAGAAAAAGTTCTAGTAAAAAATTAACAAAACACATGAACAAGGCTGTGCACGGTGGTTCACACCTGTAATTCTAGCACTGTGGGGGCCAAGGCAGGCAGATCACCTCAGGTCAGGAGTTCAAGACGAGCCTGGCCAACACGGGGAAACCCCGTCTCTACTAAAAGCAGGGCATGGTGGTGCACGCCTGTAATCCGCTACTTGGGAGGCTCAGGTAGCAGAATCGCTGGAACCCAAGAAGAGGTTACAGTGAGCCAAAATCACACCACTGCACTCCAGCCTGTGAGACAGAGCTAGACTCCACCTCAAAAAACAATAATAATAAAATAAAATACAATATAAACATACAATTCACCTTACAACAGGTAATATTTTCTGGGCAGACAAGTGCTGTAGAAATCATAAAGGAAAAAGGAAAGGCAGTACAGGCTGGACATGGTGGCTCATGCTTGTAATCTCAGCACTTTGGGAGGCTGAAGTGGGAAACTCTCTTGACCCCTGGAGTTCAAGACCAGCCTGGGCAACATAATGAGGCTTTGTTTATTAAAAAAAAAAAAAAAAGAAAAAATTAGCGGGGTGTGATATCCTTCACCAGTAGTCTCAGTTACTCCAGTGGTGGGAGAATTGCTTGAGCCTGGGAGGTCGAGGCTGCAGTGGGCAGAGATCACTGCCACTGCACTTTAGCATGCGCAGCAGAGCAAGATCCTATCTCAAAAAAAAAAAGGGGGGCAGTACATTTTACTACATAAAAATGCAAAACTTCTTAACATATACAATCATAAACCACTTAAAAGGTAATTTTAAAATTACTGTGACAAATATTAAAAGCTAAGGACCCCAAAGCCGTAAGTAGCTGTTACCAACAAATAAGAAAAACAGTAACACTCATCATAGAAAAATACACAAAAAGTCAAACAGCTAATTCACAGAAAATGAAAAAAATGCATATATAAAACAATAACAAATTCAACTTCACTAGTTATCAAAAAAAGTTAATGAGCTACTATTTTTCACCCATCTAATTGATGGTGGTATTGAATATGATAAAAAATGCTTTTCAAAAAAAAGTTTTTATCAATTTTGCAAATTACTTTAAAAGTCCTTTGAAAGTAATTTCAAAGAAATATTCTGAGGTATAGTACAAGAACGTTCACTGTAGCATTATTTTTAATAGAGAAATGAGCAAAAAGCAAAACAGGAAACAAAAAATGAAAGGTTTAATAAATCACAGTAAATTCTTCTTAGAGATAACAATAATATGTAACCATTTTAAAATGTGTTTAAAAAGAACATTTGATCATGTGGGATATTATAATAAAGTATCATGCAACCATTTAAAGACATATTTTAGAAGAATAATGAAATGGGAAAATACTCATAACATTAAAAGAGTAGAAATGAAATTATGGTACCAATGAAAAACTAATTAATAAACATTTATAGATTGCTCAATCATGGAAAAGTGAAGTCACAAATCACCAATACCTTTAGAGTGGTTATTTCTAAGCATTGTTAATTAATTTTCAATATTTTCCAAATGTTCTATAATGAATAAGTTTAAAAATATTTAAATACATTTATCACATATGCAAAACCTAATTTAAAGAAAAAATAGTTCTAATTGTTTAATAACTCAAACCTGTCTTTTCTAAACTACATATAAATTTTTAAATTTACAAAACTACAAAGATTTTAAATAACTTCAGTAACTTGGTATTCATTCCTGGAGTAACCTAGTCTTAATATTTATATATGTTGGATATGTGTCAAAATTTTGTGGCATCATAACCACCAAACTAAAATTTTAAAATATACTTGTTATTGACAAAGTACTAATAAACAAATAGTTGGTGTTCAGGCAATTAATTAATCTTATTAAGTTTACATGATTATATCTGCCTTGTAAGAAACATGACAGCAAAATCGTCCCATCAATAAATATGTTCTTCATATTCAAGAGCATTTTCAAATACCTCTTACTACCTTCAATATTAACCTAAAAAGCAATCATCTGTATATTCAAATGAAAACATACGCTTATATACACCAAACTATTTCATTTTTCTGGAAATGTAAAGTGTACCATGCCCTAAGATCAAAGATCAAAGTTCTTTTGTTAACCGAAATATTTATGTGTATGTTCAACTCGAAAATGCCTGAAATAGCATGTGGTAGAAAGGGGCTGCTAGGTAACCACTCCAGAAACATAAAAGGGAGAAAATTACACAACTGCTCTCTAAATATACTTCTGTGTAGAAGACCTCAGAGATCCAAGAATTACATCAGGTCAAATATTCTCTTGAGAAAAAAAGAAGAATCTTTCCTACCTCCATTCTATCTCATATGTGACGTCATTTAAAAATCCACCAACCAAAAGTATTACTTTCAATTACATCTAGGTAATATTTACTAATGGTATTTGTTTTAGGCAATAAAAATTTCCCTAAATTAACCGAGATTATAAAGCAAGAGGCACGTCTTCATTTGACAGTAGACTGATTCAAACTTAAAGAGTTATAACCAACCAAGAAACCAGTTGTTGTATATATGAACCACAAATGAAGTCTATGGAAAACATTTGCAAGTTTCTTTGCTTAGTAAGAAAGAATTTGCACAACGGGAGAATCATATCAAATCTTATATAACTTCCCCCAATTGTGTTACATAAGATTTAACTATAGTTGACACTACCATTTTAAACTAATCAGTAGCATATTTATAATTACCTTCCCTAAAAAACTATTAATAAAACCAGGAGCACACTTACAATTAAAAAATCAAACACAACTGTATCTTACACACATGCATACAGTACAGTGTTTAAAAGAAAAAAACAGATTTTTTTTATTAATGGTCCACTTTCTTCAAAGAGGCCTCAGGGTAATGGATGTTCTTTCTAGAATTCTTCATCAGAAAAATTTACCAAATAAATGTTATAGCTTACATATCATAGCAAACAAAAATGCTAAGAAAATGAGTTGATTAATTTCAAAAGTAACAATAATCTAGCTGAAGCAGTAATGAACAAGTCACCTAAGAAACTTAAAACATGTAAAATTCAAATGCCCAGAAACATACAAACTGATTAAAATTAAAACTTTATTTACTTAGGATCAAACATTTAAAACCAAAATAATCCTCAGATTGAGATTTCATTTTCGATTATACTGTAATTTCTTCCACTATTCCCGTTCCCCCAATATTCCCAAAACTAAAATTGTTTCTGTTTTGTAAACATTCCACACATCCATAACAGAACAGGTAAAAATAGGGTTAAAAATGTATTTGCAAATATGCAGTTCAAATAAATGCACTTCCCGTGAGAACACCACTAGGTGCTGATCTTTACCACCGTAAATATAAACCTGAATCCAGTAATACTTTAAAACTGAAATTATAATCAAGAACCACAAATGAAAATCATTTTTACAGAAAATTAAGTCCACAATTTTTCAAAAAATCGAAAAAACAGAGAAGAGCTTGAGGTCGGCCCAGGAGTACAACATTAGAGTAATGTTTTTCTTGAAAATTGTGAGAATTTAAGGTTAACACAAAGAAACCCCTCAAGAACGAGGAAAATTAAATCTAGAACCCAAATGGCGTCCAACAAGAACATTAGATCTTGAAAATGAATATTGCGCTTGCGCAGCCACCGCCCCGCCAGCTGCACAACTGCAGCTAGAGCCCGACCCCGCAAGATCACGTGCTCCCATGCAGCGCCGCCCGCAGCTCCGCAACCGCGCAGGCGCAGACACAACTCCCGCAGCCGCCATAATGCGGTCTTGACTCTTCAGAAATACAATAGTAATTTAAGAAAATGTGGTTTTAACAGCCCCTGGGATTCACATATACCTTTTGGGGCGGAAGCTGAGGGAGGGGGAACCAAGTTCCTTCCTACAGAGCCGTCCCGCGCAGCCGTCCCCGACGTTGCCGCCTCAGCTTTTCGCGCGCTTCAGTCGCCGCGCCGCCGCTGCCACCGCCGCCGCCTCCGCAGATTCAAAAACAAACCCGCTTCTCCCTTGCACGCGCCGGGGCCGTTATGCAAATTAATATGGGCGGGGCTCCGGGGGGTCGTGCTATGTACCCCGCCCACTGTGCTATCAGCCAATAAGCTCAAGGACTAGCCATTCCCCATGCAAATTCTGGTTTTTTATTTGAATGAGGGACATTGGCCCCGCCTCCTGCGTGGAAAAGAGAAGGAAGCCCGAGGTGGTGGCGCTGCGTCTCTCAGTTGCAGTGTGAGGTGTGTTTTTTGAGTGGATCTTCCTCAATCAATAAGTAGCACTTTGTGAGCGCCCTCTATGAGGCTTAGAAAAGAAAGAAGGAAGGAGGTAGGTGAGAGTTTAAAGAGCAGAGGGAAAGATTTTCATAAAAGCCAGGAGTATGTTGATTTATTCATCATTTATGTTTTAAATTCACAGAATGTACTTTGAATTGTATTAATAATGAAGGAATGAAAAAAACATACTTTCTTTCAGTTGCTTGGTAACAGAGCAAGCACTTTTTATCATACTCTCTCACCAGAAGTTGTATTCATCCCATTTATTCAATTTCATGCTGGGAGTCGGCCTTTAATGAATTCCACAGGAGGTAGTGGACAAGTCACTGCCTTACTGGTTAAGAGATCTGGGTTCAAGTTCAACTACTGCAGCTTCCTTGCCGGTTCCTCGGAATAAGTGTGTTACTCAGTTTTCTCACCTGTATAATGGCAATCATGACTATAGTTGAACTAGGTTGGAAGCACTAAATGATAGAATAAATGTACATATGTTTTGGCCAGGTGCCGTGGCTCAGGCCTGTAATCCCAGCACTTTGGAAGTCTGAGGGGGGGTGGATCACCTGAGGTCAGGAGATCAAGACCAGCCTGGCCAACATAGTGAAACCCCGTCTCTACTAAAATTACAAAAATTAGCTAGGCATGGTGGTGCGTGCCTGTAATCCCAACTACTCAGGAGGCTGAGGCAGGAGAGTTGCTTGAACTGGGACCTGGGAGGCCGAGATTGCAGTGAGCGAAGATCTCACCACTGCACTCCAGCCTGGGCTACAGAGCAAGACCCCTTATCAAAAAAAAAAAAAAAAAAAAAGAATAAAAGTACATATGTTTTGCAAGGCAAGAATAGCCTGAAAATAATATTAGATGGTACCGTGTGGTTATTGTTTTTTTATGTAACTTCTCATTATATGAATGTATTGGTTCAGTATTTATTTAGCAATCACTGTGTTGTAGATCTGTTAGGTGCCTGTCCTCAAGAAATCTGTACTCTAGTGAAGAAGACAGAAAACTGAACAAGAAATTTTTGTAACTAATAAGAAATTAGAATAGGGTTGTTAATACTTATTTTTATAACTGGAACCATTCAATTTACTTAAAATATAAGGTGGCCTTTAGAAATATCACCTAGGGCCGGGTGCAGTGGCTCACGCCTGTAATCCCAGCACTTTGGGAGGCCGAGGCGGGCAGACCATGAGGTCAGGAGATCGAGACCATCCTGGGTAACATGGTGAAACCCCGCCTCTACTAAAAATACAAAAAAAAAAAAATTAGCTAGTCGTGGTGGCACGCGCCTGTAGTCCTAGCTACTCGGGAGGCTGAAGCAGGAGAATCACTTGAACCCGGGAGGCAGAGGTTGCAGTGAGCCAAGATCACGCCACTGCACTCCAGCCTGGGCAACAGAGTGAGACTCCATCTCGAAGAAAAAAAAAAGAAATATCACCTAATCCAGACCTAGAGAATTAGAAAAGCCTTCCTAGAAGAGGTCATCTCTATCATGATAAATGATTTAATTAATTTTTTGCCTAAAAGTTGGACCTCATTGGGACAGCAATGAGGAATCATTTAAAAGGTTTTAAGTCGGGATATAACACAATTAAATTTGCATTGTTTAATCGCTAAATGTTGTAACATCATTAGCACAGTCCTTAGCATATACTCAATAAATTATAGATGCTCAATTATAATTTATTTATTATAATTTTCATAGTACATCAGTGCTCAATTATAAGTAGATGCTCAGAAAATTAGAAATATTGATATTAAATGTTACACTCCATAATAATAAGAGAAATTGGATTGGAATACTAGAGCCCATTATGTTTCTCTTTTTATGTCTTCTGTAAGCATATAAAAAAGAATCATTTTTATAATAGTCTATTCTTTTTTTTTTTTTTGAGACAGAGTCTTGCTCTGTTGCCCAGGCTACAATGCAGTGGCGTGATCTCAGCTCACTGCAACCACCACATCCCGGGTTCAAGCAATTCTCCTGCCTCAGCCTCCTGAGTAGCTGAAATTACAGGCGTCCACCACCGCGCCCAGCTAATTTTTGTGTTTTTAGTAGAGACAGGATTTCACCATCTTGGCCAGGCTGGTCTCAAACTCCTGACCTCATGATCCACCCGCCTCGGCCTCCCAAAGTGCTGGGATTAAAGGCGTGAGCCACCACATCTGGCCTTCTTTCTTTTTTTTTTTTTTTTTTTAAGACAGTCTTGCCCTGTTGCCCAGGCTGGAGTGCAGTAGCACGATCTCAGCTCACTGCAACCTCTGCCTCCCAGGTTCAGCGATTTTCCTGCCTCAGCTTCCTGAGTAGCTGGGACTACAGGCACACTCTACCACGGCCGGCTAATTTTTTGTATTTTCAGTAGAGATGGGGTTTTGCTATATTGGCCAGGCTGGTCTCGAACTCCTGGCCTCAGGTAATCTGCCCACGTCAGCCTCCCAAAGTGCTGGGATTACAGGCATGAGCCACCATGCTTGGCCTATGATAGTCTATTCTTGATTATCCATGCTAATAGCAAATGGAAAAATAATTCAGCATAACCACAGATTTATCAGTTTTCTTAGATATGCTCATATTCTAGACTTGCCTCCTGAAGACTCCAACTAGACAATTTTATTGGATTCGAATCTCCTCAGATATCCTCAACCACAGTTACAGTCTCTTCAGCCATGCAAACCCGCTGGTTGACCTAATCAACTATTCATTGATTTGTTCAATGAATACAATATTTATAATGTCTCACAAACTATTCTGGGCACTGGGGATGCCCAAAGGAAATGACACTGTTTCTCATGGGGAAAGAGTTGTAAATACAGATAAACATTATGAGATCATTAATATTTTGGTGGTATGTCTTAAGCATAAAAAAATTCTAAAATGAGAGAACCTAAATCTTCCTCATACTATATGGGAAAACTTCACAGAGGAAGTGATACTTGACCTGACTTATGATGTAGAACTTTGTACCTAGGCTGTCAGACTAGGTACAAAAGAAAGTATTCAAGTTAGAAAATAACAGAAAATACAAAAACAATGAAGAATGAAAAAAGCTGAACTTAAGACTTCTAGGTAGGACCACATTTAAAATATTTATCAATCCCTATATCACTGACCAATCAGAATGGAAGCAGGCTTGAAGACTTCCCTCCCCCCACCCTATTTTGTCAGGTGTTAATTCTTTAGTTGTAGGATCTTGAAGAGGTCCAGAGGCTCTTCAGCTGGGGACTGAGCCTGACTTGGTGGTATGAAGGGTGTGGTAGGATGGGGCAGCTACTTACCAGTTAGTACAAAAGGATTTTCATATTTTATCTACCATTATGTTTTTATTGGTATATTTAGGCTAAAATGATACAGGCTAAATATAATTTTCCTAGGAAAAAGTGCTAGAGTAAAGTAGGATCATAGAACCTGTCTCACAAAAAAAGAAAAAAAAAAAAGACCTAAACTAAAATAATAAATATAAACCAATACATTTCAGTTGTAGCAACTGAACAAAGAAAACAGAACTTTTTAAAAACAGCATAGGCCGGGCGCGGTGGCTCACACCTGTAATCCCAGCACTTTGGGAGGCCGAGGTAGGTGAACCACCTGAGGTCAGGAGTTCGAGACCAGCCTGACCAACATGTTGAAACCCCATATCTACTAAAAATATAAAATTAGTCCCACGCCTGTAATCCCAGCTACTTGGGAGGTTGAGGCAGGAGATTTGCTTGAACCCAGGAGGCAGAGGTTGCAGTGAGCTGTGATCATGCCATTGCACTCCAGTCTGGGCAACAAGGGCAAAACTCCATATCAAAGAAAAAAAAAGAAAAACAGCATAAACTCCGAAAAGCCATTGAAATGGAAAACTGAAGTTTCTGAGTACAAAATAATAAAACAGGAAGCTTAATCTAGTGCTTTCAGGTTCTGAAGGCTTACTACCTGAATTGAAACCTTGGCTCTACTTCTTACTTGTTTAGTGTCCTGAAATTCTCTACGCAAATGTTTCCCAGTCTATAAAATGGGGATGATAAAAATAGCCCTCCCGAGCAAGCACAGCTCATGCCTGTAATCCCAGCACTTTGGGAGGCAGAGGCAGGTGAATCACTTGAGCCTAGAAATTCCAGACCAGCCTGGACAACATGGCAAAACCAGTCTCTACAAAAAATACAAAAATTAGGCTGGGTGCAGTGGCTCATGCCTGTGATCCCAGAACTTTGGGAGGCCAAGGTGGGCGGATCACTTGAGGTCAGGCGTTCAAGACCAGCCTGGCCAACATGGTGAAACACCGTCTCTACTAAAAATACAAAAGTTAGCCAGGTGTGGTGGTGCATGCCTGTTATCCCAGCTACTCGGGAGGCTGAGGCAGGAGAATCGCTTGAACCTAGGAGGCAGAGGTTTCAGTGAGCCAAGATGGTGCCACTGCACTCAAGTCTGAGCAACAGAGTGAGACTCGGAATCAAAAATTAATTAATTAATTAATTAATATAAAAATTAGCCCAGTGTGGTGGTGCATGCCCGTGGTCTCAGCTACTTGAGAGGCTGAGGTGGGAGGATCGCTTGAGTCTGGGACGTGGAGGTTGCAGTGAGGGGAGACTGGGCCACTGCACTCCAACCTGGGTAATGGAGTGAGATAGTCTCCAAAATAAAAATAAAAAAAATATGGCTAGGCGCAGTGGCTCACGCCTGTAATCCCAGCACTGTGGGAGGCTGAGGCCAGCAAATCATAAGGTCAGGAGTTCAAGACCAGCCTGGCCAACATGGTGAAACCCCCGTCTCTACAAAAAATACAAAAAAAATAGCTGGGCGTAGTGGCAGGCGCCTGTAATCCCAGCTACTCGGGAGGCTGAGGCAGGAGAATCACTTGAACCTGGGAGGTGGAGGTTGCAGTGAGCCGAGATCGCACCACTGCACTCCAGCCCGGGTAACAAAGTGAGAGACTTCGTCTCAAAAAAAAAAAAATTATATATATCCCTGATCTCTTAAGGTTATTATGAAGACTAAATTCTGGTAAAATACTTGGAGTAATACTGGATATATAGTGATGGCCCAATAAATATTATCTAAGAGTAGTAGTAATAGTAGTACTTGTAGGAGTAGTACTAATACATAGTTCAGCTTGAACAGTTTCTATCAGTACTCCCCACCCTCCCATTAAGAGAGAAGATGAATCAACAACAACCTGATCATTTTTATTATTGTCCTCAAACTTGCAGAGAAGTTGAATGAGGTGTTAAATAGGCAAATTTGGAAAAACTTAAGAAACAACTCTTGAGAATAGGAAAATGACCTCCATGATCCTCACCTTCTGGTGATCACAGTCTCTATAATCCTCTTCTCTTGAGCGAGGGCAGAACCTGTAACTTGCTTTTAGCCAAGAATTTTGCAGATGTAATAAAGAACCAAATAAACTGATTTGGGGTTAACCAAAAGAGATATTATCTTGGGTGGACCTGACTTAATCTGGTAAAAGCCCTTTGAAAAGAAGCTGGATCCTCCCTGAGGAGAGAACTTTTCCTTGCTTGCTTGATGAAGAAAGCAGCCATGTTGAATAAGCCTATATGGAAGGTTACCACAAGTGGCCTGTAGGTTCTTTGGGTAACCTCTAGGACCTGAGAGCAGGCTCCAGACAACCAGGAGCAAAAAAAAAAAAAAAAAAAAAAAAAAGCCCGGTCCCTCAGTCATATAGTCCTGAGGAAATAAAAGCTACCAACAAACTGAATGAATTTAGATTTTTCTCCAACCAAGCCCCCAGATGAAAATACAACCCAGGTAACACCTTGATTGCAGCCTCTGAGACCCTGAGCAGAAGATACACCTATGGCCCAAACTCCTGACCCACAAAAGCTGTGAGATTATAAATGTGTATTGTTTTGTTACTAAGTTTGTAGTAATGTATTACCCAGCAATAAAAAACTAATACAGGAAGTAATTAGAGAAGGGAAAGGGCATCATTACCATCTTCCAACATAGATAGGCTACCTAAATAGGTGAAATGGTTCTTATTAGAAGATATTGAACTAGGACTCACTGAAAAGTATAGAACTGGTATTGCAGTTTTAGCTAGGTAAGAGGGACCTCTGTCCTGGTCCCCACAAAAGATATTTTTAAATGAGCAGCTGTCTAAGATGGCCAGGGAGTGAGAAAGAAAGGAGTTTCCACAATGCAAAGCTCTTCGGGGCAGAGCCGGGATGCCAGGTGAGACTCTGGGCCTTCTTCTTTTTTTTTTTTTTTTTTTTTGAGATGGAGTCTCACTCTGTCACCCAGGTTGGAGTGCAGTGACGCCATCTCGGCTCACTGCAAGCTCCACCTCCTGGGTTCACACCATTCTCCTGCCTCAGCCTCCTGGGTAGCTGGCACTACAGGTGCCCGCCACCATGCCCAGCTAATTTTTTGTATTTTTAGTAGAGATTGGGTTTCACCACGTTAGCCAGGATGGTCTCGATCTCCTGACCTCGTGATCCACCCATCTCAGCCTCCCAAAGTGCTGGGATTACAGGCATGAGCCATCGCACCTGGCCCTTTTTTGTTTTTTTTTTAGGAAGTGGGTTTTGACCATGTTGCCCAGGCTGGTCTCGAACTCCTGAGCTCAAGTGATCCTCTTGCCTCAGCCTCCCAAAGTGCTGGGATTATAGGCGTGAGCCACCATGCCTGAGACTCTGGACTTGTGAGTTAGTTTTGTAACAAGTTAAGACTTTGAGGCTATTGGGATGGAATGGATGTATTTTGCATGCGAGGACATAAATTTGGGGAGCCAGGAACAGAATGTTATAGTTTGAATATGTCCCCCAAATTTCATATTCAGTGTTGGAAATTTAATCCCCAATGCAACAATGTTGACAGGTGAGACCTTCAAGAGGGGATCAGGTCATGAAATCTCTGCCCTTATAAATGAATTAATGCTGTTATCTTGGGAGTAGTTTGGCTCTTTTAATAGTAGGCTCCTGATGGCCAGACACGGTGGCTCACGCCTGTAATCCCAGCACTTTGGGAGGCTGAGGTGGGTGGATCACGAGGTCAGGAGTTCAAGAACAGCCTGGCCAAGATGGTGAAACCCTGTGTCTACTAAAAATACAAAAATTAGCCAGGTGTGGGGGTGCATACCTGTAATCCCAGCTACGCAGGAGGCTGAGGCAGAAGAATCACTTGAACCCAGGAGGCGGAGGTTGCAGTGAGCTGAGATTGCATCACTGCACTCCAACCTGGGCGACAGAGTAAGACTCTGTCTAAGAAAAAAAAAAAGTTGGAGCTCTCTCTCTCTCAATATGCACATGTGCATATGATCTCTTGCCCTTCCACCTTCCACCATGGAATGACGCAGCAAGAAGGCCCTTGCCAAATGTAGGCCCCTCAACCTTAGACTTCCCGGCCTCCAGATCTGTAAGAAATAAATCTGTTCTTTATAAATTACTGCCTCCCAGGTATCCTGTTATAGCAGCACAAAATGGACTGAGGCACAGGGATTTCAATTGACTTGTATGGTTGAAGATTTGAGGGAATTACCATTTCTCATGTTCTTGCTTTGATTAGTGATTAATTTTCCATTAAATAAAAATTGTATAATATCCTTTTCACAGATTTTATGTGGTTAATGCTTGAGAGAAGTCTACTCACTTTTATTCTTTACAGTTTTTGTTTTTGTGTTGTTTTTGTTTTTTTGAGACAGAGTCTTGCTCTGCCACCCAGGCTGGAGTACAGTGGCGCAATCTCAACTCACTGCAACCTCTGCCTCAAGAGTTCAAGTGACTCTTATGCCTCAGCCTCTTGAGTAGCTGTTATTACAGATATGCACCACCATGCCTAATTTTTTTTTTTTTTTTTTTTTTTTTGTATTTTTTAGGTATGAGACACCACACCTAGCCCTGAAGCTGCTCTTGGTTGGGGGTCATCCCACACCTAAGAAAGAAAGATGATGGCTCTAAAGAAGATGAAAAAGTCATTGGTGTCAATCAACTCTAGGCTCCAACTCATTATGAAAGGCAGAAAGTAGGCTGGGCACCGTGGCTCACGCCTGTAATCCCAGCACTTTGGGAGGCCGAGGCAGGTGGATCATGAGGTCAAGAGATCGAAACCATCCTGGCCAATGTGGTGAAACACCATCTCCACTAAAAATACAAAAATAAGCTGGGCGGGGTGGTGCGCAACTGTAGTCTCAGCTACTTGGGAGGCTGAGGCAGGAGAATGGCTTGAACCCGGGAGGTGGAGATTGTAGTGAGTCGAGATCGCGCCACTGCACTCCAGCCTGGCAACAGAGCGAGACTCCATGTCAAAAACAAAAACAAAAACAAAGAAAGTGTAAAGTATGTGCTGGGGTACAAGCAAACTCCAAAGGTGATCAGACAAGGCAAAGTGAAATTGATTATGCTCACCAACAACTGCCCCACTTTGAGGAAATCCAAAATAGGATACTGTGCCATGTTGGCCAAAAGTGGTGTTCATTACTACAGTGGCAATAATATTGAATTGGACACAATGTGCAGAAAATACTGCAGAGTATGTGCACACTGATCCAGGTGATTCTGATATCATTAGAGGCATGCCAAACAGATTGGTGAAAAGTAAATGATGCAAAATGTTTCTTTTACGAAACTTGCGAAGGCTGGGTGCAGTGGCTCAACCCTGTAATCCCAGCACTTTGGGAGGTCGAAGCGGGCGGATCACCGGAGGTTGGGAGTTCGAGACCAGCCTGCCCAACATGGAGAAACCCCATCTGTGCTAAAATACAAAATTTGTCGGGTGTGGTGGCGCATGCCTGTAATCCCAGCTACTCCGGAGGCTGAGGCAGGAGAATCGCTTGAACCCGGGAGGCAGAAATTGCAGTGAGCCAAGATTGCGCCATTGCACTCCAGCCTGGGCAACAAGAGCGAAACTCCATCTCAAATTAAAGAAAGAAAGAAAGAGAGAAAAAAAAAGAAAGGAGGGAAGGAAGGGAGGGAGGGAGGAAGGAAGGAAAGAAAGAAAAAGAAAGAAAAGAAGAGAGAGAGAAAGGAGGGAGGGAGGGAAGAGAAGAAAAGGAAGGAAAGGAAAGAAAAACTTGTGAGAGCAAAGTCCAGAGTTTCATCTGACTCATCTATGAGTGAGACTCAAGGCACAATTCATTCTGTGGCAAATTCCTTTCCAGCTGTGAGCCTGTGAAATTAACAAGTAACATGCTTCTAAAATACAATGGTGGGACAGGCGTAAGATAGACATTCCCCTTCAAAAAGGGAGAAATAGCCATAAAGAAAGGGGTAACAGCTCCCAGGTAAGTCCAAAATCTAACAGGGAAAACAACATTAAGTCTTAAAGCTGGAGAATAATCTTTGCCTCCATGCTCCATATCCTGGGCACACTTGAGGGCATGGGGCTGGGCCTCCAGGGATGTAGGCAGCCCTACCCCTATGGCTTTGCTGGGCTTAGTCCAACCATCAATTCTTACAGGTTGGAGACTCCTGCCTGCAACTTTCCTAGGCTGGGAAAGATGGGAGCTGCATGCTGGTGGCTCTACAGTTCTGTGACTTTGAGGGCTGTCCCACTCCCGTGCCACAAAGTATTACTCTAGTGGGGGCTGTTACAATTACTCTGCCCAAGATAAGTAATTGCCTGGGCCCCTACAACAGGCTTTCTACAACATTCTTTGAAGTCTAGGTGGAGGCCATTATGGCCCCATAGCTCTTGCATTCTGTATTCCTGCAGAATTAGCACTCCATGGATACTACCAAAGTTTATGGCTTGTACCTTTTGGAGCAGTGGTTTCAGCCAGCTAACCTCACTTGACTCACAGCGGGGATAGGTGAGGAGCACTGCATTAGAGTTCAAGAAACAAAGTCTCAAGGTAGCACAGGGCAATGAATGCTGAGGTCCCTCAGGTGTCTCACTGGAAACCTTGCATTCAAGGTTTTTTGTTTTTTGTTTTTGTTTTTTTTTATTGATCATTCTTGGGTGTTTCTCGCAGAGGGGGATTTGGCAGGGTCATAGGACAATAGTGGAGGGAAGGTCAGCAGATAAACAAGTGAACAAAGGTCTCTGGTTTTCCTAGGCAGAGGACCCTGGGGCCTTCCGCAGTGTTTGTGTCCCTGGGTACTTGAGATTAGGGAGTGGTGATGACTCTTAACGAGCATGTTGCCTTCAAGCATCTGTTTAACAAAGCACATCTTGCACCGCCCTTAATCCATTTAACCCTGAGTGGACACAGCACATGTTTCAGAGAGCACCGGGTTGGGGGTAAGGTCATAGATCAACAGCATCCCAAGGCAGAAGAATTTTTCTTAGTACAGAACAAAATGGGGTCTCCTGTGTCTACTTCTTTCTACACAGACATAGCAACAATCTGATTTCTCTATCTTTTCCCCACATTTCCCCCTTTTCTATTTGACAAAACTGCCATCGTCATCATGGCCCGTTCTCAATGAGCTCTTGGGTACACCTCCCAGACGGGGTGGCGGCCAGGCAGAGGGGCTCCTCACTTCCCAGAAGGGGCGGCCGGGCAGAGGCGCCCCCCCACCTCCCGGATGGGGCGGCAGCCAGGCGGAGGCGCCCCCCACCTCCCTCCCTGACGGGGTGGCTGGCCGGGCAGGGGTTGCCCCCCCCACCTCCCGGACGGGGTGGCTGCCAGGCGGAGGGGCTCCTCACTTGTCAGACGGGGCGGCTGCCGGGCAGAGGGGCTCCTCACTTCTCAGACGGGGTGGCCGGGCAGAGATGCTCCTCACCTCCCAGACGGGGTCGCGGCCGGGCAGAGGCGCTCCTCACATCCCAGATGGGGTGGCGGGGCAGAGGCGCTCCCCACATCTCAGACGATGGGCGGCCGGGCAGAGACGCTCCTCACTTCCTAGACGGGATGGCGGCCGGGAAGAGGCGCTCCTCACTTCCCAGACTGGGCAGCCGGGCAGAGGGGCTCCTCACATCCCAGACGATGGGCGGCCAGGCAGAGACGCTCCTCACTTCCCAGATGGGGTGGCGGCCAGGCAGAGGCTGCAATCTCGGCACTTTGGGAGGCCAAGGCAGGCGGCTGGGAGGTGGAGGTTGTAGTGAGCCAAGATCACGCCGCTGCACTCCAGCCTGGGCAACATTGAGCACTGAGTGAACAAGACTCCATCTGCAATCCCGGCACCTCGGGAGGCTGAGGCTGGCAGATTACTCCCGGTTAGGAGCTAGAGACCTGCCTGGCCAACACAGCGAAACCCCGTCTCCACCAAAAAAATACGAAAACCAGTCAGGCGTGGCGGCGCGTGCCTGCAATTGCAGGCACTCGGCAGGTTGAGGCAGGAGAATCAGGCAGGGAGGTTGCAGTGAGCAGAGATGGCGGCAGTACAGTCCAGCTTCGGCTCGGCATCAGAGGGAGACCGTGGAAAGAGAGGCAGAGGGAGACCGTGGGGAGAGGGAGAGGGAGAGGGGGAGGGAGGGAGGGGGAGAGGGAGAGGGAGAGGGAGAGGTGCATTCAAGGTTTTATCTTCCCTCAAAGATCTCTGAAATGCCTTTGGGGTCATTTTTCCAGTGTCTTGATGAATAGAATCTGGCTTTCTTCTATCCATATTAATCTCTTTACCAAATAATTGCTTGGCCATGCTCTTAGTCTTGTCTCCTAAACATGCTTCTTTGTTCTATACATGGACAGGTTGAGTTTTCCAAATCTTTTCATTATGATTTTCTTTTAATTATACATTTTGTCTTCAAATCGTTCCTCTCTTCGCTCATTTTATTTAAAGTGGCCAAAATAAGCCATGTAGCACCTTAAATACCTTGCTACTTAGATACTTCTTTTGCCAGATACCCTAGTTCACTGCTCTTAAGTTCTGCTTTCCACAAAGTCCTAGGACATGGACATAATTCCACCAAGATTTTTACAACTGTGTAACAAGAGACATTATTTGGCTGTGTCCTCACCCAAATCTCATCTTGTATTGTAGTTCTGATGATCCCTGTGTGTCATGGGAGGGACCGGTGGGAGGTAATTGAATCATGGGGTTGGTTACCCTCATGATAGTGAGTTCTCATGAGATCTGATGGTTTTATAAGGGGCTTTTCCACGTCTTTACTCATACTTCTCCTTGTTGCTGCCATGTGAAGAAGGACGTGTTTGCTTACTGTTCCACTGTGATTGTATTATGCTGGTGCAAAGATAATTGGGGTTTTTGCCATTAAAAGTCATGTTTCCTGTGGCCTCCCCAGGCATGTGGAACTGTAAGTCAACTAAACCTCTTTCTTTTATAAATTACCCAGTCTCGAGCAGTTCTTTATAGCAGTGTGAAAATGGACTAATACAGTAAATTGCTACTGCAGAGAGTGGGATGCTGCTGTAAAGATACCTGAAAATGTGGAAGTAACTTTGGAAATGAGTAACAGGCAGAAGTTGGAACAGTTTGGAGGGCTCAGAGGAAGACAAGAAGATGTGGGAAAGTTTGGAACTAACTAGAGACTTGTTCAATGGCTTTGACGATAGTGATATGGACAATGAAGTCCAGGCTGAGGTGGTCTCAGATGGAGACAAGTAACTTGTTGGGAGCTAGAATAAAGGTGATTCTTGATATGCTTTAGCAGAAGGACTGGTGGCATTTTGCCCCTGCCCTAGAGATATGTGGAACTTTGAGCTTGAGAGAGGTGATTTAGGGTATCTAGTGGGAGAAATTTCTAAGTGGCAAAGTATTCAAGAGGAAGCAGAATGGCTGGGCACAGTGGTTCATGTCTGTAATCCCAGCACTTTGGGAGGCCAAGGCGGGTGGATCACCTGAGGTCAGGAGTTTGAGACCAGCCTGGCCAACATGGTGAAACCCCGTTTTGAACCTCTATTAAAAATACAAAAATTTGCAGGGCATGTTGGTGTGCACCTGTAATCCCAGCTACTTGGGAGGCTGAGGCAGGAGAATTGCTTGAACCTGGGAGGCAGAGGTTGCAGTGAACCAAGATCGCACTATGCACTCCAGCCTGGGCAAGAGTGAAACTCCATCTCAAAAAACAAATAAAAAGGAGTAAGCAGCACACAAAAGTTTGGAATATTTGTAGCCTAAAGATGAGATAGAAAAGAAAACCTCATTTTCTGGGGAGAAATTCAAGCCAGCTGCAGAAATTTGCATAAGTAATGAGAAGCTGAATGTTAATCACTATGACAATGGGGAAAATGTCTCCAGGGCATGTCAGAGACTTTTGAGGCAGCCCCTCCCATCACAGGCCTGGAGGCATAGGAGGGAAAAGTGGTTTCATGGTCCAGGCCCAGGACTACACTGCTCTATGTAACCTCAGGACATGGTTTCGAGAGCCCCAGCTGCTTCAGCTCCAGCTGTGGCTAAAAGGGGCCAAGGTACAGCCCAGGCCATTGCTTCAGAGGGTGCAAGCCCCAAGCCTTGGTGGCTTATATGTGGTGTTGGGCCTGCAGGTGCACAGAAGTCAAGAATTGAGGTTTGGGCAGGTGAATCACCTGAGATAGGGAGTTTGAGACCAGCCTGGCCGACATGATGAAACCCTGTCTCTCCTGATTATACAAAAATTAGCCGGGCATGGTGGCACCACCTGTAATCACAGCCACTTGGGAGGCTGAGGCAAGATAATCACTTGAACCAGGAGGCGGAGGTTGCAGTGAGCTGAGATCGCGCCATTGCACTCCAGCCTGAGCAACAAGAGCTAAACTTCATCTCAAAAAAAAGAATTAAGGTTTGGGAACCTCCGCCTAGATTTCAGAGGATGTGTGGAAATGCCTGGATGTCCAGGCAGAAGTCTGCAGCAGGGGTGGAGCCCTCATGGAGACCCTCTGCTAGGGCAATGCAGAAGGGAAATGTGGGGTTGGAGCCACCACACACAGTCCCCACTGGGGCACTGCCTAGTGGAGCTGTGAGAAGAGGGTCACCATCCTCCAGACCCCAGAATGGTAGATCTATTGACAGCTTTCACTGTGTGCCTGGAAAGGCCACAGAAACTCAATGCCAGTTATGAAAGCAGCTGGGAGGGGGGCTATACCCTGCAAAGCCACAGGGACAGAGCTTCCTAAGGTCATTTGGGAGCCCACCTCTTGCATCAGCATGACCTGGATGTGAGATATGGAGTCAAAGGAGATCATTTTGGAACTTTAAGGTTTAATGACTGCCCTATTGGATTTTGGACTTGCATGGGACTGTAGCCCCTTTGTTTTGGCCAATTTCTTCCCTTTGGAACAGGTATATTTACCCAATGCCTGTACCCCCATTGTATCTAGGAAGTAAATTTAAAGATTCATAGGTGGAAGGGGTTTGCCTTGTCTCAGATTAGGCTTTGGACTTGGACTTTTGAGTTGATGGAATGAGTTAAGAATTTGTATTTGGGGGACTGTTGGAAGGGCATGATTGCATTTTGAAATGTGAGGACATGAGATTTGGGAGGGGCCAGGGGAAGAATGATATGGTTTGACTGTGTCCCCACCCAAATCTCATCTTGAATTGTGGTTTCCATAATCCCCACATGTTGTTGGAGGGACCTGGTGGGAGGTAATTGAATCATGGAGGAGGTTACCCTCATGCTGTTCTGATGATAGTGAGTTCTCACAAGATCTGATGGTTTTATTGAAAAAAACTTCCGCCTCCCTTTGCTCCTACTTCTTGCTGCCATCATGTGAAGTAGGACATGTTTGCTTCCCCTTCCACCATGATTGTAAGTTTCCTGAGACTTCCCCAGCCATGTGGAACAGTGAGTCAATTAAACCTCTTTCCTTTATAAATTACCCATTCTTGGACAGTTCTTATAGCAGCATGAGAACAGACTAATACAAAAAGGATGACATTTACTCCAGGTTCCAGTACCTTCTTCCTCAGTTCCATCTAAGATATTGTCAGAATGGCATTTACCATCCATATTTTTACCAGTATTCTGATCACAACCACCTAACTAATCCCTATGATTTAGAATCTCTCAAAAGCTCAGCTTCTTCTGAGCCCTCACTAGAATTGCCTTTAAAACTCCATTCATGGAAATCTAAGCTCTTTCTAACCTGCTTCTCCAAATTCTTACAGCCTCTACCCATTACTCAGTTTGAAAGTCACTTGCTTATTTTGGGGTATTTATTATAACAACAATCCTACTTCTAATACCAATTTTCTCATTTAGTCCATTTTGGGATGCAATAACAGGATGCCTGAGACTAAGGAATTTATAAAGAACAGAGATTTATTTCTCACAGTTTTGAAGGTGGGGATGTCTAAGATCAAGGGGTCCTCATCTGTTGAGGGCATTCTGGCTACATCATCCAATGCTAGATGGCAGAGGGCAAGAGCGCACATGCAGACATTGAGAGAGTGAGAGAGAGAGATCAAACTTATCCTTTTATCAGGAACTCATTCCCTCAATAACCAACCCACTCCTGATATAATAGCATCACACTTCATGAGGGCAGAACTCTCATGACCTAATTACCTCTTAAAGCACCCACGTCTCAACATTGTTGAATTGGAAATTAAGTTTCCAACACATGAAGTTTGGGACACATATTAAAACCCCAGCACACTGCAATCTTATATTCTTTATTAAATGAAGAATCAATTATTTATTGCAAAACATCATCTGCACACAATAAAGTACACAGGCAATTATTAGGACAGTGCCACATATTATGTTGTTTTAAAGCAAGACAAAATGAAAATTTTGAAAGAATGTAAGAAATACTACATGGATCTAAATATTGTTTTTAGAAATTGTGGAAATCTCAATATGAGAATGATTAATGAAAGTAAGGTATTTTATAATATTTTCAGAGAGAATAACTTAAAATATGGACCACATTATAGTGTGAACACAGTATGTAAATATCTTCATTCTTTTTTTTAAACTAAATATACCTTAACAATGTTTTTGACAACTCTAAGTGTTACAACACAATTAAGTTAATCAAAATGGAAAGTTGTGGGAAAAATGAACTACCTAAGAACTATAATTATCTATAGAAAAGTTGCCTAATTTTGCTATAATTTCACTAGAACTAAAATTATGTAAAAATCTTGATTTTTAGCAACATTTTGTGATATTGCAGAGATGAAGACAAAAATGCTTAATGGAATAAATATACAATATTTTATGACATGTTTCTTTTTATATCTTGCAAACAATGCTGGCTCGTCAACATGTGTGGAATACCTAAACTTCTGCAATGATAAATTCAGTCACCTTCCACATTTTGCTGCCAGTCAATATGAATGGAAGTCCTTATCCTTATTGGTGAGCACAGGACTCTACATTCATTGCAGTTCTTTTTGTTTTTTTTTGTTTTTTTTTTTTTGTTAGACAGAATCTCTCTCTGTCACCCTGGCTGGAGTGCAATGGCATGATCTTGGCTCATTGCAACCTCCGCCTCCTGGGTTCAAGCAATTCTCCTGCCTCAGCCTCCCAAGTAGCTGGGATTACATTACAGGCATGAGCCACCAAGCCCAGCTAATTTTGTATTTTTAGTAGAGATGGGGTTTCTCCATGTTGGTCAGGCTGGTCTCAAACTCCAGACCTCAGGGGATCCACCCGCCTCATCCTCCCAAAATGCTGGGATTACAGGCGTGAGCCACTGCACCTGGCCCTCATTATAGTTCTTGTCAACATTTTAAATAGTAGTATAGGTGTAGTAATAGGTAATATGCTGCTCAAGTATGGATAGACAGGATAGAATAAAGTGGATACATTTGAAGGAAGTATATTTCTTTCATATTGTAACCATGGGGAAAAAAAGATAAAAATTCTACCTAAAATAGAAGCTATTTACAATGGCATGAAAAAGAATACAGTACTTACAGGTTTAACCAAGGAGGCCGAAGACTTGTACAATGAAAACTGCAAAACATTGCTGAAATTAAATAAGACAATTAAGACATGAATAAATAAAAAGTCACTTCATGTACATGGCTTTCCTAATTGCTCATTAGGAAAATGCAAATGGAAACCACAATAACATACCACTTCACACCTATTAAGAGAGCTGTCATTTAAAAAAGGAAAAGGTAAAATAAGTATTGGCAAGGAAGTGAAAAAAAATGGACAGCAGCTTGGCAGTTAACAAAAAGTTAAACACAGAATTACCATATGATCCAGTAATTCCACTCCTAGGTGTGTGTATATATATATGTATTAAAAAATGAATTCAGAGGTTTAAAGACTTACTTTGTACATAGTGTTTGTAGCACATTATTCACAATAGCCAAAAGGTGGAAACAACCCAAGTGTCCATCAACAGATGAATGAATACATATGGTATGTACATATAATGGAATATTACTCACCCATAAAAAGGAATGAAATTCTTCTACATGCTACAACATGAATGACCCTTGGAAACATTGTGCTGAGTGAAATAGGCCAGACAAAAAAGGACAAATGGTGAATTACTCCACTCTGATAAGGTACCTAGATTAAGAAATTCATGGGGATGGAAAATAGAATAGAGTTTACCAGGGCCTGGGGGAAGTGGGGAATGGAGAATATTGTTTAATGGGTACAGAGTTTCTGTTTGAGATGATGAAAATATTTTGGAAATGGATAGTAGTGGTGATTGCAAAAAATGGTAGATATACTTAATGCCACCGAGTTGTACATTTAAAAATGCTTAAAATTGGCCAGGTGCAGTGGCTCATGCCTGTAATCCCAGCACTTTGGGAAGCCGAGGTGGGCAGATTGCCTAAGGTCAGGAGTTCGAGACCAGCCTGGCTAACATGGTGAAACCCCTTCTCTACTAAAAAATACAAAAATTAGCCGGGCATGGTGATGCATGCCTGTAGTCCCAGCTACTTGGGAAGCTGAGGCAGGAGAATCACTTAAACCTGGGAAGTGGAGGTTGCAGTGAGCCAACATCACGCCACTGCACTCCAGCCTGGGTGACACAGCAAGACTCTGTCTCCCAGAAAAACATAAAAAATAAATAAAATGGTTAAGCTTATAAATTTGATGTATGCTTTACCACAATAATAAAAAAACACAGAGAGCAAGAGCAAGATCTGGGATATTATAAATATCCTCAGTAAAATAAAACAATTAAAGACAGAGTTTTAAAAAAAGGAAATTATTATTATGATTTTTTTTTTTTTGAGACGGAATCTTGCTCTGTCACCAGGCTGGAGCGCAGTGGCATGATCTCGGCTGACTACAACCTCCTCCTCCCTGGTTCAAGCGATTCTCTTGCCTCAGCCTTCTGAGTAGCTGGGACTACAGGTGTGTGCCACCATGCCCAGCTAATTTTTGTATTTTTAGTAGAGACGGTGTTTCACCATGTTGGCCAGGATGGTCTCGATCTCTTGACCTCGTGATCCACCCACCGTGGCCTCCCAAAGTGCTGGGATTACAGGCATGAGCCACCACGCCCAGCCTATTATTTATTTATTTACTTATTTATTTTTTGAGACAGAGTTTCGCTCTTGTTGCCCAGGCTGGAGTGCAATGGCGCGATCTCGGCTCACCGCAGCCTCTGCCTCCCTGGTTCGAGCAATTCTCCTGCCTCAGCCTCCCAAGTAGCTGAGATTACAGGTATGTGCCACCACACCCGGCTAATTTTGTATTTTTAGTAGAGACGAGGTTTCTCCATGTTGGTCAGGCTGGTCTCAAACTCCCGACCTCTGGTGATCCACTCGCCTCAGCCTCCCAAAGTGCTAAGATTACAGGCAAGAGCCACTGCACCTGGCCAGAAATTATTTTTTAAAAGGAGAGAATCAGTCTACAAGGTCTAACTAATAGTTGAAAAGAAAGGGAAAATATCTAACTGTGTTAGGGTTCTCCAGAGGGACAGAACCAACAGGATATATGTACATATGAAAGGGAGTTTATTAAGGAGAATTCACATGATCACAGGGTGAAATCCCATGATAGGCTGTCTGCAAGCTGAGGAGCAAGGAAGCCAATAGTGGCTCAGTCTGAGTCCCAGAGTTTCTAAAGTAGGGAAGCCAACATTGCAGGCTTCAGTCTGTGGCTAGAGGCCCAAGAGTCCCTGGCAAACCACTGGTGTAAGTCCAAGAGTCCAAAGGCTGAAGACGATGTTCAAGGTCAGGAAGCATCCAGCATGGAAGAAAGATAAAAGCTGAATACTCAGCAAGCCAGCTTCTTCCAACTTCTTCTGCCAACTTATTCTAGCCATGCTGGCAGCTGCTTGGATGGTGCCCACCCACATTGAGGGTGGGTCTTCCTCTCCCAGTCCACTGACTCAAATGTTAATCTGCTTTGGGCAACACCCTCAAAGACACACCCAGAAACAATACTTCACATCCTTCAATCCAATCAAGTTGACACTTATATTAACTTTCACACTAACAGACGGAAGGAAGTCTCAAAATTCAAAGGGTCCACTAATAGTACAAACTATGAGACGTGCACCTAGGCACATCACCTTGAAATTTCAAGATCTTGAGAATAGAGGAAGATTCTAAAAGCTTGTGGTAAAGTGGAAGTAAGGGGATAACAGGCCACATATACACAGGATCCAAAACAAAAATGATACTGGATTTCTCAATTATAATACTGGAAGCTAGAAGAAATTTTGAAGCATTTTGAAGCATTACCCTCAAAACTCAATAAAAATGCTGCTCAACATTATGTAACTAACTAAACTATTGATTAAACATGAAGTTAGAGGGTCCAGGCACGATGGCTCACTCTTGTAATCCCAGTACTTTGGGAAGCCAACGCAGGGGGATTGCTTCAGCCTAGGGGTTTGAGGCTACAGTGAGCTAAGATTGCACCGCTCCACTCCAACCTGGGCAACAGAGCAAGACTCTGTCTCTAAATATATATACAAACATAAAGCTAGAATACAGACATTTTCAGATCTGCTAAATCTTAAAAATTTACCTCTCATATACAATTTTGCAGAAATCTTAATCAAGGATACCATCTACAAAAAGTGACAACATAAACCAAAAAGAAGAAAATGAGTTTCAGAAAAGAGATCCCAATACAATTGAGAGATGAAGAAAATTCTAAGAATAAATACAAAGGAGGCCGGGCATGGTGGCTCACGCCTGTAATCCCAGCACTTTGGGAGGCTGAGGCGGGCGGATCACGAGGTCAGGAGATCGAGACCATCCTGGCTAACACAGTGAAACCCCGTCTCTACTAAAAACACAGAAAATTAGCCGGGCATGGTGGCGGGCGCCTGTAGTCCTAGCTACTCGGGAGGCTGAGGCAGGAGAATGGCATGAACTCGGGATGCGGAGCCCGCAGTGAGCCAAGATAGCGCCACTGCACTCCAGCCTGGGTGACAGAGTGAGACTCCGTCCCAAAAAATAAAAATAAAAAAATAAAAAAATAAATACAAAGGAAAAGAACAAATCCTGATCAGAGAGCAACACAAGGTGCTCGAGAGGCATCTCCAGAGGGAAATAATGGAAATACTAGGTTATCTGATATATTGGGCCATGTGAAAAGCCATTTTTAGAGGATGTTTAAGGATTTAAGAAGGAAATTCTCTTGAAAAGAACAACAAACTAATGAAAAATAAACCAATTACCTGTAGGAAAATTAAAGTTACTGAAGAAAGAAAATATAATCATAGGGCACTATTTGAGTTAGCAGCAAATAATATTTTCCTGGCCCTAATAGCATGAACAGTATTTGGCTCAAGAGCAAATAATATTTACCTGGTTTTAATAATGTAAATACTGAATGTTGACTTCATAATGATTTATGAGAGAGATCTATTTGGAGAATAAAGAGAAGGATAGTTTGGAAGAATGGGCAGAGGGAAAAGGGCATAAGTGAGATGAATTCTATTCTACCATATCAGTAAGCTACTATAATAAGTAAATGGTGAATATAGAGATAGTGATATATGCATGTCATTTAGAAGTACCAATAGCCATATACAGAAAATTGAAACTGGTCCCCTTCCTTACACCATATACAAAAATTAACCAAGATGGATTAAAGACTTAAGTGTAGAACCTAAGTCTAAAACTGTAAAAACTGTAAAAACCCTGGTAGACAACCTAGGAAATACCATTCAGGACAAAGGCACGGACAAAGATTTCATGACAAAGACACCAAAAGCAATTGCAACAAAAGCAAAAATTGACAAGTGGAATCTAATTAAACTAAAGAGCCTCTGCACAGCAAAAGAAACTATCAACAGAGTAAACAGACAACCTACAGAATGGGAGAAAAATTTTGCAAACTATGCATCTGACAAAGTATAATATCCAGCATTTATACAGAACTTAAACAAATTTACAAGAGAAAACAACTCCATTAAAAAGTGGGCAAAGGACATGAACAGACACTTCTCAAAAGAAGACATACATGCAGCCAACAAGAAAACAATCTCAACATCACTAATCATTAGAGAAATGCAAATCAAAACCACAATGAGATACCATTTCACACCAGTCAGAATGTCCATTATTAAAAAGTCAAAAAATAATAGATGCTGGTGAGGTTGTAGAGAAAAAGGAATGCTTATACACTATTGATAGGAGTGTAAATTAGTTCAACCATTGTGGAAGACAGCGTAGCAATTCCTCAAAGACCTAGAGACAGAAATACCACTTGACCCAGCAATTCCATTACTGGGTATACACCCAAAGGAATAGAAGTCATTCTATTATAAAGACACATGCATGTATATTTAATTGCAGCACAATTCACAATAGCAAAGACATGGAACCCACCCAAATGTCCATCAATGATAGACTGAATAAAGAAAATGTGGTACATATACACCATGGAATACTATGCAGCCATAAAAAAGAATGAGATCATTTCCTTCACAGGGACATGGATGGAGCTGGAGGCCATTATCTTTAGCAAACTAATGCAGAAACAGAAAACCAAATACCACATGTTCTCACTTATAAGTGTGAGCTGAATGATAAGAACACGTGGACACATGGAGGGGAACAACACACACTGGGGCCTATCAGCGGGTGAAGAGTGGGAGGAGGGAGAGGACCAGGAAAAATAACTAAAATGGGTACAAGGCTTAATACCAGGGTGATGAAATAATCTGTGCAATAACCCCCCATGACACACATTTACCTGTGGAACGACCTGCACATCTGCACATGTACCCCTGAACTTAAAATACAAATTAAAAAAAAAATGTAGCCAAGTAACAGAATTGTATTAAATAATGTATGTAGCAGACATCCCCTTTGTTGGAGGAATTTCTTAGATTGTTTATAATTCTTTTCTTTTACAAATGTTAAGCAGTGTTCCTGCTTAACTGCTGTGTATTGAGCTGAAGAATATGAAATAATTGATTAGAGTATAAAATACCTGGAGTAAAATTGTAGAGTCCAAATAGTCACAGCACTAAATGGCCTCAATAAAAGATCTGTGTCAAAATGGCATGAAAGCATTCTGCATAATTTGCATATCACAGCTCTCATCCAATGTGTTTTGAAAACACAACTTTTGGAAAATTAAATTAACTCCCAATATCAATATTTTTAATTCATCTTTGTAAAATTTTAGTATTTTCAGTTGTAGTAGAAATTGAAAATTGACAATACTGCTTTTGTGTGGGATACTGTGGTAAATAAAAATGCCTGCTCAAGGCCTGGGGAGAACTAAGATGATTGGGGCTTCGGCTGCCTCCAGCTGCCCATGATGGCAATGATAGTTAAGAGGGTCAGTGTATCTGGATATCTGTAACCCATACATGTCACATCAGTGAACCTGCCCACATCATTATACCTTGGTACATTAGATAGAAAGCTGTAATCTACAAGACCCAAATTGTTATTTTTTTCAAGAAAGGAAGATCCATATTTGTTTTTGGGGGAAGAAAGGAACAAACTGCAGAAAAAGAACAAGGTTTACTAGGATGCTGAAGGATAATATTATATATTATATATGTAAAATTCATATGAATTATATCATATATTTTGTATGTATTTGAAATATATATTTAAATATATACTATATTATATAGTTTTTTGAGGTTTGTTTTGAGATGGAGTCTTGCTCTGTCTCCCAGACTGGAGTGCGGTGGCTTGGCTTACTGCAACCTCCGCCTCCCAGGTTCAAGCAGTTCTCCTGCCTTGGCCTCCTGAGAAACTGGGATTACAGGCACACACCACCATGCCTGGCTAATTTTTGTGGGGTTTTTTTTTTTGTTTTTTTGTTTGTTTGTTTGTTTGTTTTTGAAACAGAGTCTCACTCTGTCGCCCAGGCTGGAGTGCAAGTAGTGTGATCTCAGCTCACTGCAACCTCTGCCTCCGAGGTTCAAGCGATTCTTCTGCCTCGGCCTCCAGAGAAACTGGGATTACAGGCACACACCACCATGCCTGGCTAATTTTTGTGGGGATTTTTTTGTTTTTTTTGTTTGTTTGTTTGTTTTTGAAACAGAGTCTCACTCTGTCGCACAGGCTGGAGTGCAAGTAGCGCGATCTCAGCTCACTGCAACCTCTGCCTCCCAGGTTCAAGCGATTCCTCTGCCTCAGCCTCCCGAGTAGCTGGGATTACAGGCACGCACCACCACCCCTGGTTAATTTTTGTATTTTCACTAGGGACAGGGTTTCACCATATTGGCCAGGCTGGTCTCGAACTCCTGACTCGTGATCCGCCCGCCTTGGCCTCCCAAAGTGCTGGAATTACAGACACAAGCCACCACGCTCGGCCTAATTTTGTATTTTTAGTAGAGACAGGGTTTCACCATCTTGACCAGGCCAGTCTCAAAATCATGACCTCAAGTGATCCACCCACTTTGGCCTTCCAAAGTGCTGGGTTTAAAGGCGTGAACCACCGCACCAGGCCTAATAATAGTTTATATGTATTATAAAACACTGAACTATATATTCTGTAGTTTTAGAAAGGGGAAGGAACAGGCCAGGTGTGGTGGCTCACGCCTGTAATCCCAGCACTTTCGGAGGCCAAGGCAGGCAGATCACGAGGTCAGGAGATCGAGACCATCCTGGCTAACACAGTGAAACCCTGTCTCTACTAAAAATACAAAAAATTAGCCGGGCATGGTGGCAGGTGCCTTAGTCCCAGCCACTTGGGAGGCTGAGGCAAGAGAATGGTGTGAACCCGGGAGGTGGAGGTTTCAGTGAGCCAAGATCGTGCCACTGTACTCCAGCCTGGGTGACAGAGTGAGACTCCGTCTCAAAAAAAAAAAAAAAAAACCAACAACAAAGAAAAATCAGTAATAGAGGCTGGGCACGATGGCTTATGCCTGTGATCCCAGCACTTTGGAAGGCTGAGGGTGGATCACCTGAGGTCAGGAGTTCAAGAACAGCCTGGCCAACATGGCAAAACCCTGTCTCTACTACAAATACAAAAAAAAAATTAGCCTGGTGTGGTGGCGGGTGCCTGTAATCCCAGCTACTCAAGAGGCTGAGGTGGGAGAATTCCTAGAACCCTGGGAGCAGAGGTTGCAGTGAGCTGAGATCGCTCCACTACACTCCAGCCTGGGTGACAGAGTGAGACTCCAACTCAAAAAAAAAAACAAAAAACAAAAACAATAATAGAGATGAAAATATGTCTTCAATGAGCTCATCAATTAGAGTCAATACAGGTAAGCAAAGAATCAATAAACTTGAAGATAGGTCAATAGAAATTATTCAAACTAAAATGCAAAGAGAAGAAAGGGATGAATGAAAAAACACAACAGAATATTCATAAGATGTGAAACAATATCAAATGGACTAACATTTGCATAATTAGAATTCCAGAAGGAGAAGAAAGAGAGAATAAGAATATTTCAGTAAATAATGGCCAAAAATTTTCCAAAGTTAGTGATAGACACTAAATCATAGATCCAAGATGCTCAGAAAACACCAACCAGGAGAAATACCAAAACCTGGTAACTTAGGCTATATCACATTCAAATAGCTGCAAACCAAAGACAAACAAAAATCTTGAAGCCAGCCAGAGAAAAAGACACATTACCTGTAGAGGTACAAGAATTAGAATTACAACAAATGTTTCATCAGAAACCATGCAAAAAAGAAGAAAATGGGGTAATATCTTTCAAATGCTGAAAGAAAATGTCAACTCAGAATTCTATTCTATACCCAGCAAAAGTATCCTTTAAAAATGAAGAAGAAATAAACATTTTCTCAAACAAATAAACACTGAGTGAATTTATTGCCAATAGAATTACTCTACAGGAAATATTTTAAAACAATTCCAGGGAGAGTAATTATGTAGGCCAGAAACTTGGACCCATACAAAGAAATGAAGAGTGTCAAATGAAATAAATGCAAGTAAAATATTTTATTTCCTCTGAAAGGTAACTTAGTATACAGGAAAATATTATTCTACCATTGCATGAGGACAGCTATTTCAGGTAATGGGGAACACAGTAAAACCAGCAAGTTCTATGAGGATAAGTATATCATCATACCTCGTTTGTTATAAAATGAATTCCTTGGTTGGAAGCAATATTCTTTGGGATATTATGATTTAGGCATTCTATAAATCCATGGATTGTGGTGGTTTTGGCAGAAACATTGCAGGCAGGGAATGTGAGTACATTTCCAAAGTAATAGTTGATTCCAATGAGAACAAAGTTTAGCCTTTGAATGACGTGATTTAATGTAATGAACCTACTACCAGGATTGGCTTGCCCTCCCTGGAATGGTGCTAAATCAGGGGTTCATTACTGGTGTCTGCTCTTGGTAGCTCAGGCACATTGCTGTGGTTTTGGTCAATGGAAATCCATGTTTCTGAGTCCATGAATATCCTCCATCCCTGCCCACATGACTACGTTGCACAAAAGCCCACTGGGCAAAGACAGGGATGCCTGGGGAAAGATACTGTCTGACATTTATAGACCTTATTATCTTATCATCTTTTCTACCTTATTATAAAGACCCTCTTTTGCTAAGGATGCTCTTTGGTGACATTCACTAGGGACAGATACCTCCTACTCACTGCTCATTTGGAGAAGTCTGTCTAATCATGTACCTCTATCCCAGACTGTCATGTCACCAATCTTCCAACTCTGTTCTTTTCGTGTCCCAGACCATCCAGCCAAGTGTCAGCAAATAACCATGAATCAATATATATCCATAGTTCTTGCCAATTCTTTACAGCAGGTACAGTGGACAACTAAATGTACCACTTGAAATTCTGCCACTGAGAGGATTTTCTTTCACCAATATTCTTCAGATTCATTCCAGATTAGACTATCGTACTGCATCCATCCCAATTTCAGGTGATGCTAACATATAATGCAGAACCAAGCCCATTTTTTTTTCTTCCTTAGCCATGGTAACTCATATGGTGTGAGTTCAGAGAGGGGGCAATGTAGCAGGAGTCAGGGCTACAATAATACAACTTACTTCCTCCTATAGGAGTTTCTCCAAGCTGGTCTAGATTAATGATAGAGTGCTACTGGACACACTTAATTTTATGGTTTGGTAAGTTTATAACATTTAATTCATAATGGGCAGCTTAGATCACAGGGTAACTTGGTGGCCAATGGTCAAGCTATCAGTCTGTACTGAACAGAAGCTATTTCTCAAAGAGACAATAGTAATCTGCAGACAATGGAATAGCTTTGCTACAGAATCCCATAGGAGCACACCAAAAGTTCCAAACAGTGTCCATATCTACCAAAGATGGTGCAAGCATAATTACATCTGCTGGGTTAATATGGCCCACGTGGCAGAATAGATTGAAGAGCAACCTGATCTCATGCTGAGATTCCTCTTTCTCTGGGATCCAACCAAATCAGCAGCCATTTGAGTTACCAGGTAAATGGGTCAGAATACTATATGCAACTATAGTATATGTTGTCTGTAAAATCCACAGAGGCCCATTAGGCATTATGTCTCTTTCTTACTGTTAGGAGGGATCAGATGAAACTACCTGTGCTTAACTTTGGAAGGTTTATTAGTCAGGGTTCTCTTAGAGGGACAGAATTAATGGGAGATATATATATTATATATAATTTTATATATATATAATTTTACCAAACCATAAAAGTAAGTGTGTGCAGTAGCACTCTATCATTAATCTAGACCAGCTTGAATAAACTCCTATAGGAAGAAGTAAGTTGTATTACTCTAGCCCTCACTCCTGCTACATTGCCCCCTCTCTGAACTCACACCATATGAGTTACCATGGCTAAGGAAGAAAAAAAAATTAATGGGATATTTATTTATTTATTTATTAAGTATTAACTTACACTATTGCAAAGGTACCACAACAGGCTGTCTGCAAACTGAGGAGCAAGGAGAGCTAGTCTGAATCCCAAAACTGAAGAACTTGGAGTCTGATATTCAAGGGCAGGGAGCATCCACCACGGGAGAAAAGCTGTAGGCTGGGAGGCTCAGCCAGTCTCTCCATTTCAAGTTTTTCTGCCTGCTTTATATTCGCTGGCAGCTGATTAGATTGTGCCCACCAGATTAAGGGTAGATCTGCCTTCCCCAGCCCACCAACTCAAATGTTAATCTCTTTTTGCAACACTCTCACAGACACACCCAGGATTAATACTTTATATCCTTCAATCAAGTGGACACTCAGTATTTACCATCACAAGTCCGCTCCTTGTCAACTTGAACGTATACACATCCTCTGAGATCATACATAATCTTCAAATAAAGACAATAATAAGGTCATAATTACGCCTAACATAATACAGCTATTCTTTGTACTACCAGAAACACACCAATCCCCAACCCAAATACTATTACATACAGTTAACCATGCTTAAATACTGATATGAAGTCAATAAATCTTACTTCACATGATCACATGATAAAAAAGAAAGGAAATACAATAAAGATATTTTCTTGTACATGTGTATACAAGCACAAACATGTTTTTAACAAAAGAAAGAGGGAATACTCATAATAGTTACAGTCCTTGTTTCTGCAGCTGGTCACATGGTCGTAGCTGGTGTTGATGACTACCTTCTACTACCCATTCTGTATTCCCTTTGACTTCAGCAAGCACCTCAGCAGGTAGTGGTTTTATTCCTGGTGGAGTGACCCATACCTTCATTCCTGAAGGGTCTGGGTCATTTGTAGTCCTGCTGGATTGGGCTGTTGTAGTTTCCAATTGATCTTAATCACAGGGCATGGTAATACTAAGAGACGCCCTAATGGATCTCCTGTATTCCACGTGTACTCTTCCTTACCTCTATTCTGGAGTAGTAGACTGGTTTCATCTTGATGGTCTGGGTCAATTACCCCAGCCAACACTAACTCCCTTCTTATGCTGTTGACTTAAAGATAGGAGGAGCCTAAAGTGTCCAGGTAGCAATCTTAACTTCCAGTTTAATAGGATAATTTTTGTGTCTCCTGGTGGCAGCGTTCCTCCCTCTGGAACTAAGAACTCTAGACCAGCAGAGTATAATGTTGCGGGAACAGGAAGCAAAAATTTTGTTAGTGGATCCCTAGGGGTGATGGTGAGTGATCAATCCACTTCCACCTGCAACCCTTGATTCCTGGACTCATGAATCCTGGCCATGGGAGAAACAGTACCATACATTGGATGCTGATTCAGAGCATACACAGTCTTCTGGAGAACTTTGCCCTAGTCCTGCAAAATATTGTCACCTAGTTGGTGTTGTAATTGTGACTTCAAAAGGCCATTCCACCATTCTGTCAATCTAGCTCCTTCAGGATTATGGCAAACATGGTAAGACCAGTGAATTCCATGAGCATACGCCCACTGCCGCACTTCTTTAGCCATAAAATGAGTGCCTTGGTCAGAGGCAATGCTGTGTGGAATACCATGACAATGGATAAGGCATTCTGTGAGTCCATGGATAGTAGTCTTGGCAGAAGCATTGTGCGCAGGATAGGCAAACCCACATCCGGAATAAGTGTCTATTCCAGGGAGGATAAACCTCTGCCCTTTCCATGATGGAAGAGGTCCAATGTAATCAACCTGCCACCAGGTAGCTGGCTGATCACCTCAAGGAATGGTGCCATATCGAGGGCTAAGTTTTGGTCTCTTGCTTCTGGCAAATTGGGCACTCAGCAGTGGCCATAGCCAGGTCAGCCTTGGTGAGTGGAAGTCCATGGTGCTGAGCCCATGTGCAACCTCCATCCCTGCCACCATGGCCACTTCGTTCATGGGACCATTGGGCAATCACCGGAGTGGCTGGGGAAAGAGGCTGAGTGGTGTCAACAGAACATCATATCCACCTGTTTATTAAACTCCTCCTCCACTGAGGTCACCTGTTGGTGAGCACTCACATGGGATACAAATATCTTCACAGTTTTGGACCACTCAGACAGGTCCATCCACATACCTCTTCCCCAGATTTGTCACCAATTTTCCAATCATGCTTCTTCCATGTCCCTGGCCATCCAGCCAAACCACTGTCCACATCCCATGAATCAGTATATAATTGCACATTTGACCATTTCTCCTTCCAAGCAAAGTGTACAACCAGATACACTGCTTGAAATTTTGCTTACTGGGAAGGTTTCCCTTCACAATTGTCCTTTGGGGATGTCCTAAAAAGGGGCTATAGTGCTGCAGCTGTCCACTTTTGGGTGGTGCCTCCATATCATGTAGAACAATCTGCGAACCAGGTCCCAGTCTTCTCTTCCTCTATCAGCTGGTGATAGGGAACAACCCATGAGGCCATAAGGGCAGGCTGTGGGAGAGAAGGCAGGGTGGTAGGTGTGGAGACCATGGGCATTAGAGCCACTTCCTCATGTAACTTACTTGTCCCTTCAAGACCTGCTTGAGCCCAATCACGTATATACCACTTCCATTTGATGATGGAATGCTGCTGTGCATTACCCACTTTATGTCTAGATGGGTCAGCAAGCACCCAGTTCATGATAGGCAGCTCAGGTCGCATGGTGACTTGATGACCCATCATCAAACATTCAGTTTCCACCAAAGCCCAGTAACAGGCCAAGAGCTGTCTCTCAAAAGGGGAGTAGTTGGCCAGGCGCAGTGGCTCATGTCTGTAATCCCAGAACTTTGGGAGGCCGAGGAAGGTGGATTACAAGGTCAGGAGTTCGAGACTAGCCTAGCCAACATGGTGAAACCCGATCTCTACTAAAAAAATACAAAAATTAGCCAGGCATGGTGGCATATGCCTGTAATCCCAGCTACTCGGGAGGCTGAGGAAGGAGAATTGCTTGTACCCGGGAGGTGCAGGTTGCAGTGAGCTGAGATCATGCCACTGCACTCCAGCCTGCGCAACAGAGCAAGACTCCATCTCAAAAACAAAAACAAAAACAAAAAACAAACAAACAAAAAAAAGGTTGGTAGGGATTAGTTATCTGCAGAAGATGGCAGGGCTTTGCTCAAAAATCCTAGAGGCTTCTGCTGTGATTACCTATGGAAGCCTGCCAAAGGCTCCAAACAGCATCCCTATCTGCCACTGACACCTCAAGCACCATTGAATCTGCTGGATCATATGGCCCAAGTGACAGAGCAGCTTGCACAGCAGCCTGGAACTGTTTTAGAGCCTTCTCCTATTCTGAACCCCACTCAAAACTGGCAGCCTTTCGGGTCACTCGATAAATGTGCTGGAGTAACACACCCAAATGAGGAATGTGTTGCCTCCAACATCCAAATAGTCCCACTAGGTATTGTGCCTCTTTCTTGGTTGTAGGAAGGGCCAAATGCAGCAACTTCTCCTTCACCTTAGAAGGAATAACTCGACAGGCCCCACATCACTGGACCCCTAGAAATTTTACTGAGGTAGAAGGTCTCTGAATTTAGGCAGATTTATATCCCATCCTCTGGCATGCAAATGTCTCACCAATAAGTCCAGTGTGTTTGCTACTTCTTTCTCACTGGATCCAATCAGCATAATGTCATCAATGTAATGGTCCAGTGTGATATCTTCTGGAGTCAAAAAGCAATCAAGTTCTCTCTGAATAAGATTATGACACAAAGCCAGTGAGTTCATACACCCTTGATGTAGGACAGTAAAGGTATATTGCTGGCCTTGCCAGCCGAAGGCAAATTGCTTCTGGTGGGCCTTATGGACAGGAATGGAGAAAAAGGCATTTGCCAAGTCAATGGCTGCACACTAGGTACCAGGAGATGTGTTAATTTACTCAAGCAATGAAACCACATCTGGTTTGGCAGCTGCAATTGGAGTCACCACTTGGTTAAGCTTATGATAATCCACTGTCATTCTCCAAGATTCATCTGTCTTCTCCACAGGCCAAATGAGATAATTGAATGGGGATGTGCTGGGAATCACCACCCCTGGGTCTTCAAGTCCTTGATGATGGCACTAATCTCAACAATTGCTCCAGGGATACCATATTGTTTTTGATTTACTATTTTTCTAGGTAGAGGTAGCTCTAATGGTTTCCATTTGGCCTTTCCCATCATCATAGCCCTCACCCTACCAGTCAGGGAGCCACTGTGGTGGTTCTGCCAGCTGCTAAGTATGCTTATGCAATTATGCATTCTGGCACTGGGGAAATGACACAGGATGTGTTGGGGGACCCACTGGACCCACTGTAAGTCAGATCTGAGTTAAAACTCCATTAATTACCTGACCTCCATAAGCCTCTACTTTAACTGGAGGACCGCAATGATGTTTTGGGTCCCCTGGAATCAACGTCAGCTCAGAGCCAGTGTCCAGTAGTTCCTAATGTCTGATCATTTCCCTTTTTCAATGCGCAGTTACCTTGGTAAAAAGCCAGAGGTGACCTTGGGGAAGAATGGGAGAAAGATTGACTGCGTTAATTGTAAGTAATGTAGTGGGGTCCTTCCTCAAGGGGAACCGGACTTCCCTTCATTCAAGGCATTCTGGGTCTGTAAACTGGCTCAAGTCTGGAAATTGATTGAGGGCCCATGATTCTCTGTTTTTATAATTCAATTAGTCTTGTCCCTTCGACCTAGAAATTTTCTATTTGTATAATTTAAGTAGGAATGCAGTAGGCTTCCTATCAATTTCACTTCTAGGAACACCGTAATTAATCAGCCAATGACAGAGCTCTACACGAGTCAGACTATTCTGATTGCCTCTTTGCCTCTGCTGTCCATAACGGAAGATATGCCCACCTTGCCTTTGATGGTTGAGTGCCGCCACTTGGCCCCTGCTACCTCGGGATCCAATTATTTCCATTGTATTTAACTTTTGTAGTTTAGTGACTGCAGTTCCCACCGTTAGATCTGACATACAGAGAAGAGCAATTACAGGTCCCTTCAAAGATACAGGTGCTGCCCTCACAAATCTATTTCGCAAGGCATTGGTTAAAGGTATATGGTCTGGACCCTCCCAGCTGGGATGAGTAGGTCTAAAGTGGCTAATCCACTCCAGCATCCCAATCTCCCTAGGTCTTTGGATCCCTTCCTCTACATTAAACCAAGGAGGATCAGGCATTTCCAGCTCACTCACAGTGGGCCATCTTTTAAACCATATTTCAGCTAATCAAGCAAATAAACTATTAGAACCTTTTTTTAACTCCCCAAGCTGCAACATTAAGTGCAGAGTCCCTAATTAGTTGGCACAAATCAATAAATTCAGCCTGATCCATTTTTCACCATTATCCCATACACTTAATATCCATGCCCAGCCAGGCGTGGCAGCTCATGCCTGTAATCCCAGCACTTTGGGAGGCCAAGGCGAGTGAATCACCTGAGGACAGAAGTTTGAGACCAGCCTGGCCAACATGGTGAAACCCCATCTCTACTAAAAATACAAAAATTAGCCAGGCATTGTGTGGCATGCGCCTGTAATCTCAGCTACTCAGGAGGCTGAGGCAGGGGAATCACTTGAACCCAGGAGCTGGAGGTTGCAGTGAGCCGAGATTGTGCCATTGCACTCCAGCCTGGGCAATGGAGTGAGACTCTGTCAAAAAAAAAAAAAAAAAATCCATTCCCATGCTTGTTCTCCAGTTGCTATTCATATAAATTAGAGAACTCAAACAGCTCTTTTCGCCTGTAGTACACCTCCTCATGGGTTACACTCTCAACCATCTCTAGGGGGCCGCCAGGACTTTAGTCTAGTTATAGGTCTAGAAGCAAACAGACGTGTTCGGGGTGACATCTGAGGAGAATCAACATTATCTTGCCTGGCAACTGTGTCAGGGGAGGCCATCACTCTTGCCTCAGACAGTGCAGGGTTTATTTCTTCAGAGAAAGGTGGAAAGGCTGATGGCAGCATGGGCTGGGGAGGGGAGGTTGCCACTACTCAGGATGGGGAAGCTGTTCCTTCTGGCAAAAAAGGTTCATCAGAGTTTACAAACTCAGCCCCCCAGCATCATCAGGGTCCTCCCACACATCCCCATTCCAAGTTTCAGGGTCTCATTCTTTTCCAATCAATGCCCTCACTTTAACAGTAGACACCTGGTGAGACTGTGCATGTGTATTTCATTGCAGGTCAGACACTGGCATGATAAGAGCTTGTGTCAGTTTTTCCACAATTTCAGCTCTTTCTCTGTGGGAGATAAGACTCTCACTCATGGCAATCTTAGCAGATTTGAGGCTCAGTATCTGCTTCTGAAGCTGGGAGACAGAATCCCTGAGTTTATCATTTTCTTTCATCACTTTGTCCACTGACCTTAGGAGCAACTGATCAGCTTCATTATGTTCATTGGTTCTCCACATATGGTCCATGGTATGATGTACAGAGTCACCAAACTCCTCTCACGAGCAGTGAATCAGGAGTGTCAGATGCATTTATTTTGCATAACTCCCAAAACAGTACACATCAGGGACTATCAGTGTTCTCTATAATATTAGAAGTAGAGTTCTTAGCATTTTTAGGTCTAATCATATTAAGCAGCCAATCCCAGAAAGCCCAAAACCAATGAAAGAATTCCATGCTTAATATTCTGTTCCTCTAGACCCCACTCCTGGTACCAAAATCTGTATTAGTCAGGGTTCTCTAGAGGGACAGAACTAATAGGATATATATTGTATTAGTTTATATATAGCATATATTTTATGTATAGTATTTTATATCTATAAAGTATATAGTATATATGTTATATTTTTATACTATATGCTTTATATAGTATATAGTATATACTTTATATAGAGAGTATATATATATATATATATATATATATATATATATATATATAAAGGGGAGTTTATTAAGTATTAACTTACACAATCACAGGGTCCCACAATAGGCTGTCTGTAAGCTGAGGAACAAGGACAGCCCATCTGAGTCCCAAAACTGAAGAAGTTGGAGTCTGATGTTTGAGGGTAGGAAGCATCCAGCACAGGAGAAAGATGTAGGCTGGGAGGCTAGGCTAGTCTCTCCTTTTCAAGTTTTTCTGCCAGCTTTATGTTCGCTGGCAGCTGATAGATTGTGCCCACCAGATGAAGGGTGGATCTGCCTTCCCCAGCCCACTGACTCAAATGTTAATCTCTTTCTGTAACACCCTCACAGACACAACCAGAATCAATACTTTGTATCCTTCAATCCAATTAAGTTGACACTCAATATTAACCATCACAGAAGGGATCCTTTCAAGTCCATACCCTGCATCACTGGACTTTATAAGGGTCATCACTGATTCTTCAGCCAAGAAGAGATGAATTTACACAAACAGAACACAAAAAGGCTATTTCTACTGCCAAATTTGCTAGGCAAAATTGGGGGTTTGATGTATTTAGCTTCATTGGAATCTTCTCTATGTTCTGACCCCAGTTCTTTCACTCATTCCCAATCAATGCCCTGACATTAATATAAAAAACCATGTGGTGTTATAAATTCTATTTTCACTGTAACTTAGCCATCCACATGATTAGCCTTTGAGTTTGGTCAGAAATCTTGACACTTTGCAACTAAAAGAGCTGAGAGTTTATTTTAGGGAATTTGCAAAAGCCATCTGGTTTCTTACCTGGATCCAGAGCCAGGAATTTAAACCTCTGAACTTACATGTTTTTTTGCCCCAATTTCTACAGTACAACTAGAAGCAAGCAAACAACTTTGTTATTTTCACACTTCCCCAAAACTGATATATGACAATAGCTATTTCTTTCTTCTTTTTTTTTTTTTTGAGATGGCGTCTTGCTCTGTTGCCCAGGCTGGAGTGCAGTGGCACAATATTGGCTCACTGCAACCTCCGCCTCCCGGGTTCACACCATTCTCCTGCCTCAGCCTCCCAAGTAGCTGGGACTACAGGCGCCCACCACCACGCCTGGCTAATTTTTTATATTTTTAGTACAGACGGGGTTTCACTGTGTTAGCCAGGATGGTCTCGATCTCCTGACTTCGTGATCTGCCCGACTCGGCCTCCCAAAGTGCTGGGATTACAGGCATGAGCCACCACACCAAGCTGACAATAGCTATTTCTGTAGGCACTTGATTACTAGAAACATGGGTTATAATTTTTTTTTTTTTTTTTTTGAGAAGGAGTCTCACTCTGTCGCCCAGGCTGGAGTGCAGTGGTACAATCTCGGCTCACTGCAAGCTCCACCTCCCAGGTTCACGCCATTCTCCTGCCTCAGCCTCCCGAGTAGCTGGGACTACAGGCGCCCGCCACCACGCCCGGCTAATTTTTTTTGTATTTTTAGTAGAGACGGGGTTTCACCGTGGTCTCGATCTCCTGACCTCGTTATCTGCCCGCCTCAGCCTCCCAAAGTGCTGGGATTACAGGTGTGAGCCACTGCGCCTGGCCTTATAATTTTTAATAATTATTTTAATTGATAAATTAAAATTGTATATATTTATCATATGTGATATATGTTGAACTATGCATACATCGTGGAATGACTAAATGATGCTAATTAACATATTCATTACCTCACATACTTAACATTTTTTGTGACGAGAACACTTAAAATCTCTCTTAGAAATTTTTGCGAATACAATACTTTGTTTTGTTTTTGTTTTGGAGACAGAGTCTCACTGTGTCACCCAGGCTGGAGTGCAGTGGCAAGATCTCCGCTCACTGCAACCTCTGCTTCCTGGGTTCAAGCGATTCTCCTGCCTCAGCCTCCTGAGTGGCTGGGATTACAGGTATGCACTGCAATGCCCGACTAAGTTTTGTATTTTTAGTAGAGTCAGGGTTTCACCATGTTGGCCAGGCTGGTCTTTAACTCCTGGGCTCAAGTGATCCTCCTACCTCAGCCTCCCAAAGTGCTGGGATTACAGCTGTGAGCCACCCAGTGCCTGGCCACAATATAATACTTTGTTATTAACTATAGTCATCATGTTGTACAATAGAGTTTTTTTTTTTTTTTTTTGACAGAGTCTCACTCTATCGCCCAGGCTGGAGTGCAGTGGAGTGATCTCAGCTCACTACAAGCTCCACCTCCCAGGTTCAAGCCATTCTCCTGCCTTAGCCTCCCGAGAAGCTGGGACTACAGGCACCCACCACCACGCCCAGCTAATTTTTTGTATTTTTTTTTAATAGAGATGGGATTTCACCGTATTAGCCAGGATGGTCTCGATCTCCTGACCTCGTGATCCGCCCACCTTGGCCTCCCAAAGTGCTGGGATTACAGGCGTGAGCCACCGCGCCCGGCAGTAGAATTCTTTAATTTCCGCCTAAATGAAACTGTATATCCTTTGACCAACATCTTCCCTGGGCCCCCTTCCCCTGGGCCTTGTTAACTACCATTCTGCTTTCTGCTTCTATGAGTGCAGCTTTTTTATATTTCTATTGGTCTTTCTCTGCCTGGATTATTTCATTTAACATAATGTCCTCCACGTTCATCTATGTTATCAAAAATGACAAGATATTTTTCTTTTTAAAAAATGAATAGTATTCCATTGGGTATATATACCACATTTTCTTTGTTTATTGTTTATTTTATTTTATTTTATTTTATTTTGAGACAAGAGTTCTCACTCTGTCACCCAGGCTGGAGTCCAATGGTGCGATCACAGCTCACAGCAATAGCTTCAACCTCTTGGGCTCAAGCAATTCTACTGCCTCAGCCTCCCAAGCAGCTGAATCTACAAATGCATGCCACCATGCCCAGCTAACTTTTTTCCATTAGAGAACAGGGGTCTCACTATGTTGTCCAGTCTCTAACTCCTGGGCTTAAGCGATCCTCCCACCTTGGCTTCCCAAAGTGCTGGGATTATAGGCATGAGCCACCATACCCAGCCCCAGAGAACAAAATTTTAAAGCCCCATCATCACGTCCCTGTTCCCCTGGAACAAATTCCTATACAAAAAAAACAAAAAACAAAAAACAGTGTCAGCTAGGGTTTAGTAAGAGAAGTGGAGACCCTAATGAGTTTTAGAAATAAGAGGTTTGTTATAGGATTTAAGCCTTCTACACCTATACTAAGAGCTGAAGAAGCAACAATCCAGGTAGGCTCTTTGGAGAAACAGAGAATGAGGCACCAACTAATTAATCTGAAAAGTCAAGCACATACAATTACCTAAGTGGGACTGCAAAGGGAATGCTATTGCCTCTGTATAGTTCTCCCCTCTGTAGGTCCACAATTAAGTGTCTGTTGGTGGACCTGGGGCCATTGTTGGTCAGCAGATTTAGCAGATAAGAAGACATGCCGGAGGTGAAGTGAACAAGGGTGAGGGCAACCTGGAATTTATAATCAACTCTTTGCCTGTTTGTCACCATCTCTGAGTAGGATGACCTTCAGAGAGTAATGGCCAGTGCTCTATTTCTGCCTTCCAAAAATATTACATACTTTCTCTCCTTGCAATATAAGGAGAGGAAGTATGAAAAATTGATTCCAGATTAAGTCAGTTGAACACAGTTCAACCACCACAAGTACTTCAATCTCCTTTTGAGGCACCACTCTTCCTCATTCTTAGCCTGAGTCATTCTTACTGGCCTGATCTTACCACCCCAACTTCAGGCCTTAATATGTGAACGAGGCCTGTCTAACCACAGTCACATTGACTGGTTCAGCAATGGAAATATAATCCATCTCAACTCTGAAATTCTTCCTAAATCCACTAGAGAAACAGTTTTCTCTCTACTGGCATTAATAAACTGACACAATGTATGATTAATGTTGCTTCTGTCTGTGTTTACTTGCCTGGGAATAAAACCGACAGCAGGAAAAGCTGAAATATGGAGAATGATAGACAACTAATATTGTTATGTGAGCAACTAGATTTAAATAAAGTCTTATCCATCCCTGGATTTTTCTATATTTTCTTTCTTTCTTTCTTTTTTTTTTTTTTTTTTTGAGACAGAGTCTCACTCTGTTGCCCAGGCTGGAGTGCAGTGGCACGATCTCGGCTCACTGCAAGCTCCGCCTCCCGGGTTCACGCCATTCTCCTGCCTCAGCTTCCGGAGAAGCTGGGACTACAGGCGCCCGCTAGCAGGCCCGGCTAATTTTTTTGTATTTTTTTTTAGTAGAGTCGGGGTTTCACCGTGTTAGCCAGGGTGGTCTCGATCTCCTGACCTCGTGATCCACCCGCCTTGGCCTCCCAAAGTGCTGGGATTACAGGCGTGAGCCACCACGCCCGGCTCATCCCTGGATTTTTTCAACAGGTGACAAGAGTGCCTGAAATGTAATAATCAATGCTTAATGAATGCTTGAATAAGTGAACCAATAAATCCCCCCCACTTTTTTGGGGTTAAATAAGTTTAAAATATATACGTATTACTTACACACAAAAGGTTAATATACTATCCGATTCATACTCCTGCTGAGAAAACTGCCCTACATTGACCATGTCCACATTCCAGCCCTCTACTCGCACATGTAGCTATTAAACCAGAAGTGGAAATTTAATGCATTTGTATGACCAAAGATTTTGTGCTAGATAAGACCTAGCACAAACAGATGAGGTAAGCCAAGGCAAGAATGTTTGCTGCTCTGTTTAAAATAACAAATACCTAAAAAGTGAAGTTATTCAACAGTGGGTGGTAAAGTGGAAAGATGCCATAAAATTACTAGAGGCCATGTGCAAGTTATGAAAGAGCAGCATGAGCCAGGCGTGGTGGCTCGCACCTGTAATCCCAGCATTTTGGGAGGCCAAGGCAGGCGGATCACAAGGTCAGGAGATTGAGACCATCCTGGCCAATATGGTGAAACCCCGTCTCTACTAAAAATACAAAAAGTAGCCAGGTGTGGTGGCGGGCACCTGTAATCCCAGCTACTTGGGAGGCTGAGGCAGAGAATTGCTTGAACCCAGGAGGAGGAGGCTGCAGTGAGCCGAGATCACACCATTGCACTCCAGCCTGGGCGACAGAGCAAGACTCCATCTCAAAAAAAAAAAAAAAAAGCCCCGGGGCAGTGGATCACGCTTGTAATCCCAGCACTTTGGGAGGCCCAGGTGGGCGGATCACGAGGTCAGGAGATCGAGATCATCCTGGCTAACACGGTGAAACTCCGTCTCTACTAAAAATACAAAAAATTAGCCGGGCGTGGTTGCAGGCGCCTGTAGTCCCAGCTACTCGGGAGGCTGAGCACAGAGAATGGCCTGAACCCGGGAGGCGGAGCTTGCAGTGAGTGGAGATCGTGCCACCGCACTCCAGCCTGGGTGACAGAGCGAGCCTCCAACTCAAAAAAAAAAAAAAAAAAAAAAATGAAATGTATGACATCATCTCTGCAACATTCTTGCCAGCCACACAAATTGAACCTCAATATTTAAAAATGTTTAGATTAAACAAGTTTAAGGGAAATACAGGGATAAAATAACAGTTATAATTAGCAAAATCCATAGTATGAGAAACTCTACATGACAAATAAACTACCTTTTTCTGTTCTTTCTTTTTTTAGAGACAGTCTTGTTCTGTCACCCACGCTGGAGTGCAGTGATGTGATTATAGTTCACTGCCATCTAGAACTCCTGAGCTCAAGCGACCTGACTGCCTCAGCCTCCTCAGTAGTTAAGACAATAGGGAGGTACCATCATGCCCAGCTCATCTATTTTTATTTTTTGTAGTGATAGGGTTTCACTATGTTGCCAAGGCTGAAACTCCTGGCCTCAAGCAGTCCTCCCACCTTGCCTCTGAAAGTGCAGGGACTACAGGCATGAGCCACTGCACCAGCCAAATTACCTTTCCAAACAAATAAATAACAAAGGGGCCGGGCGCAGTGGCTCATGCCTGTAATCCCAGCACTTTGGGAGGATGAGGCAGGCGGATCACCTGAGGTCAAGAGCTGAAGACCAACCTGGTCAACATGGCAAAACCCCGTCTCTACTAAAAATACAAAAATTAGCTGGGCCCAGTGGCAGTCGCCTATAGTCCCAGCTACTTGGGAAACTGAGGCAGGAGACTCGCTTGAACCTGGGAGGCAGAGGTTGCAGTGAGCCAAGATCGCGCCACTACACTCCAGCCTGGGTGACAGAGTGAAATCCCGTCTCAAAAATAAATACATACATACATACATACATACATACATACATACATACATACATACATACCAAAGGGAAGAAAAGGATGGCAGGGATAATATATGGGAATGCGATAAAAACTTATGTTCAGCCGGGCGCAGTGGCTCACGCCTGTAATCCCAGCACTTTGGGAGGCCCAGGTAGGCGGATCACCTGAGGTCAGGAGTTCCAGACCAGCCTGGCCTGGCCAACATGGCGAAACCCTGCCTCTACTGAAAATACAAAAATTAGCCGGAAATGGTGGCTGGCACCTGTAATCTCAGCTACTCGGGAGGCTGAGGCAGGAGAATTGCTTGAATCCAGGAGGTGGAGGTTGCAGTGAGCCAAGATCATGCCATTGCACTCCAGCCTGGGCGACAAGAGCGAGACTCAACAACAACAACAACAGCAAAATAAATAAGTTTATTGCAGCACTATTCACAATCGCTAAGATATGGAATCAACCTAAGTGTCCATCAACAGATGAATGGATAAAGAAAATGTGCTGTATACTTACACAATTAAATACTATTTACTGATAAAATTAAAAAGATTGATTCTGACATTCATGGCAATGTGGATGAGCTTGGAGGACATTGTTTTAAGTGAAATAAGCTAGGCACAGAAACATAAATACTGCATGTTCTCACTCATGTGTGGAAGCTAACAGAGTTGATCTCATAGGAGCAGAGAGTAGAATAGTGGCTACTAGAGCCTGGAAAGGGTAGTGAGGAGGGAGAAAAGCCAGGGGTTGGTTAACAAATACAAAAGCACAGCTAGAGAGAAGGAATACGTTCATAAATAAACATTATAAAGTGCATTTCTATAATCCCAGTACTTTGGGAGGCCATGGCAGGAGCATCACTTGAGCCCAGGAGTTTGAGACCAGCCTGGGCAACATAGTGAGACTTTGTCTCTACAGAAAATAAACCAAATTAGCCAGGCATGATGGCACAGGCCTGTTTCAGCTATTTGGGAGGCTGAGGTGGATTGCTGGAGCCTGGGAGTTCGAGTGAGCCACTGCACTCCAGCCTGGGTAACAGAGTGAGACCCTGCCTCCAAATAAATAAATAAATTTCACTTATAACTCTGCAGTTGAATGGCAACTTTGGTGAATGGGAAATAGGACGGAGTATAGCATGAAAGGGAAAAGTCATTCATTTGATAAACATTTGTTCAGTACCTACTAAGTACAAAGCACTCTTTTGAAAACTTGAGATCCGATGCTAAATAGTCCTATTTCCTTACCTGGAAGAACTTATAGTCTAGCAAAAAGTAATATTATGTTCAAACTTCAGTGCTCAACTTTGAAATGAAATGGGTTTTTTGTTTGTTTGTTTTTTGAGACATCTGGTTCTGTCACCCAGGCTGGAGTGCAGTGGCGTGATCTCGGCTCACTGCAAGCTCCGCCTCCCGGGTTCACTCCATTCTCCTGCCTCAGCCTCCTGAGTAGCTGGAATTACAGGCATGCACCACCAAGCCTGGCTAATTTTTGTATTTTCAGTAGAGACGGGGTTTCACCATGTTGGCCAGGCTGGTCTCAAACTCCTGACCTCAAGTGATCTGCCTGCCTCGGCCTCTCAAAGTGCTCGGATTACGGACATGAGCCACCATGCCTGGCCAAGAAAATAGACTTTTTAAAGATATTTAGTTATTTTTTATTTTTCTGGCACCTAACCAAATAGTTAACTGAAGAATGGGAGTGTTAGCAAAAGAGGCCTTCAATCATTATCCCTTAAAGTCATTATCCAAAGAAAAGGAAGGTAAAATGAAATAAAGAAAAGTTTCTAGCTGGTATGAAACCATTAATATTAGGACAACCTCCAGGCTTTGAGCTTAAAATAAAGATTATGTTTCATATTTTATCACAGTTCAGCTGTATCAAATATAAAGAAAGTTTTGTATATATGGGTATTCATTTTCTTTCTTTCTTTTTTTTTTTCTGAGATGGAGTCTAGCTCTGTCGCCCAGGCTGGAGTGCAGTGGCGTGATCTCGGCTCACTGCAGCCTCCGCCTCCTGGGTTCAAGCGATTTTCCTGCCTCAGCCTCCTGAGTAGCGGAGACTACAGACGTGCGCCACCACGCCTCGGCCTCCCAAAGTGCTGGGATTACAGGTGTGAGCCACTGCTCTCGGCCATTTTATTTACTAAACTTCACCTATATCAAATATATGTCAATGTGTGTAAAAAAAAAAAAGTCTATCGTCAGATACTAGAGAGAAGTGAAATGCTAGATTACAGCTGATGCATAGTTTGCACCCTAACTTAGTGGAATGCGGCCAGCCACAGGGGAAGCGTAGAGTGCAAGATGTCTGTACGTCGTACATTACAAGTTCTTCTGTTTAGCTCTGTCTGGCCACGACTCTGTCTTAAAACTGCTTAATGTGAATTTTCCATAGGCTTTGTGCAAACACACAAACACACACAATGATATAAGCCAAACTCTCCGTCCTCACAACATTTTGTGCAAAGTCTGCAACAGCTTCTCTAGGTGGGAATTCTGGTAACAATGTAGTTCTTTCCTTGTCTCTATGATGTAAACTGTGAAGACCTTTCCTTTTAGCTTCTTCCTTCATACTACCTTCTTATGTTTTTGGTTTTGTTTTTTGCTATATTTTCTGTAATATTTATTAGAAACTCAACATATCTTTTAAACTGTGCTATTATTAGCATTTTTGATACTGCTTTTGTTAAAATATTGCATAAGGTTTGAATAGTTTTAGTGCACAATTTTGCAAGATTAAACATTCTTCAAGAATGTGTATATCTAGTTACAGCAGTCATCCAACTATTTACAGTATTAGTGAGGCAGTAAGGAAAAATCCAGAGCTTCCTGCACCACTCTACATATCTTTGAAGAGTTCCACAAATCCAGTTCTATCTGCACTCAAATGAATACCTTTCCCCCACATGCAAATCATCTTGTTAATGTCAATTAGGACTGAAATATAATATCACTACCATATGCAACTAAGAAATGCCCTAATGAGTAGGACCTGCAATCTACTGATGGTCAGAAATGCAAATTTCTAAGCAGCGATAAGGAGGTTCCTGAACAAAAGTTAGTTATCTCTTACTATTGTGATATAATCACACCTGAAAGGAAGAGAAATTTTAGCAAGAATTGCTCATGTGTTGAACTAGAGTGAATCTGGAGAACAAAAATTCAGTGGGCTCCTAATATTATTTCATAAAAAGATGCTGCTGTGGTTTGACTGTGCCCCCTCCAAAATTCAGGTGTTGCCAATGCGACCTTATTAAGAGGTGAGGGCTTTAAGGGGGGATAAGGTCATTAGGGTTCTGCTCTCATTAAGGGGATTAAGGATGTTATAAAAAAGGCTTCATGCAGCTTTGAGTTCTCTTGCCCTTCCTTCTACTTTGTACCATAGAAGAACACAGCATCCCTCCCTTTCGGAGCCTGTAAGCCCTCACCAGACAACTGAACCTGCCAGTGCCTTGATCTTAGACTTCCTGGCCTCCAGAATTGAGAAATTTCTTTTCTTTATAAATTGCCCAGTCTCTGCTATTCTGTTGCAGCAAATGAAACTGTCCCTAAGACAATGGGATTCTCTTTAACTTGTCCTCTTAATATAGAATATGACATATTCATTTAGCTTGTTCTTTAGCTTTCCTGCCATGTGAGGACACAGTTTCAGGTTTATTGTTGCTGTGTTTTTTGTTTGTTTTTTGAGACAGGGTCTCAGGCTGTAGTATAGGAATGTAATCATAGCTCACCGCAGCCTCGACCTCCTGGGCTCAAGTGATCCTTCTGCCTCAGTCTCCTTAGGAGCTGGGACAACAGGCATGTGCCACCAGGTGCAGCTAATTTTTAAATTGTTTGTAGAGGCGTGTCCGGAATTAGTGGGTACTTGGTCTCACTGACTTCAAGAATGAAGCCGCGGACCCTCGCACTGAGTGTTACAGTTCTTAAAGGTGGCGTGTCCGGAGTTTCTTCCTTCTGGTGGGTTCGTGGTCTCGCTGGCTCAGGAGTGAAGCTGCAGACCTTCACGGTGAGTGTTACAGCTCTTAAGGCAGCGCGTCTGGATTTGATCGTTCCTCCCGGTGGGCTGGTGGTCTCACTGGCTTCAGGAGTGAAGCTGCAGACCTTCGCGGTGAGTGTTACAGCTCTTAAGGAAGCGCGTCTGGATTTGTTCGTTCCTCCCGGTGGGCTCGTGGTCTCGCTGGCTTCAGGAGTGAAGCTGCAGACCTTTGCGGTGAGTGTTACAGCTCATAAAAGCAGTGTGGACCCAAAGAGTGAGCAGTAGCAAGATTTATTGCAAAGAGCAAAAGAACAAACCTTCCACAGTGTGAAAGAGTACCCCCAGCAGGTTACCATTGCTGGTTGGGGCAGCCTGCTTTTATTCTCTTATCTGGCCCCACCCAAATCCTGCTGATTGGTAGAGTGAATGGTCTGTTTTGACAGGGCGCTGATTGGTGCCTTTACAATCCCTGAGCTAGACACAAAGGTTCTCCACATCCCCACCAGATTAGCTAGATACAGAGTGTGCACACAAAGGTTCTCCAAGGCCCCACCAGAGTAGCTAGATGCAGACTGTGGACTGGTGCATTCACAAACCCTGAGCTAGACACAGGGTGCTGATTGGTGTGTTTACAAACCTTGAGCTAGATACAGAGTGCCAATTGGTGTATTTACAATCCCTGAGCTAGACATAAAGGTTCCCCAAGGCCCCACCAGAGTAGCTAGATACAGAGTGTTGGTTGGTGCATTCATAAACCCTGAGCTAGACACAGGGTGCTGATTGGTGTATTTACAATCCCTGAGCTAGACATAAAGGTTCTCCACGTCCCCAACAGACTCAGGAGCCCAGCTGGCTTCACCCAGTGGATCCCGCAATGGGGCTGCAGGTGGAGCTGCCTTCCAGTCCCCTGCCGTGCACCCACACTCCTCAGCCCTTGGGTGGTCGATGGGACTGGGCGCCCTGGAGCGGGGGGCGGCGGTCATCGGGGAGGCTCGGGCTGCCCAGGAGCCCACGGAGGGGGTGGGAGGCTCAGGCATGGCGGGCTGCAGGTCCCGAGCCCTGCCCCGCGAGAAGGCAGCTAAGGCCCAGCGAGAAATCGAGCGCAGCACCGGTGGGCTGGCACTGCTGGGGGACCCAGTACACCCTCCGCAGCCGCTGGCCCGGGTGCCAAGCCCCTCATTGCCCGGGCCGGCAGGGCCTACCGGCTGCTCCGAGTGGGGGCCCACCAAGCCCACGCCCAGCCGGAACTCCAGCTGGCCCACAAGCGCCACGCGCAGCCCGGGGTTCCCGCTCGTGCCTCTCCCTCCACACCTCCCTGCAAGCTAAGGGAGCCGGCTCCGGCCTTGGCCAGCCCAGAAAGGGACTCCCACAGTGCAGCGGTGGGCTGAAGGGCTCCTCAAGTGCTGCCAAAGTGGGAGCCCAGGCAGAGGAGGCGCCCAGAGCGAGCCAGGGCTGTGAGGACTGCCAGCACGCTGTCACCTCTCAGAGATGGCGTCTTGCTATGTTGCCCAGGCTGGTCTCAAACGCCTGGCCTCAAGTGATCCTCTTGCCTCAGCCTCCTGAAGTGCTGAGATTACAGGTGTGAGCCACCATACCCGGCCACAATCTAAGCTATTTTATTGTAGTAGCACAAACAGACTGAGACAACATACGAAAGGCTGTAAGAGCTTTGTCAGATTTCTTATGCTATGTAACTGGACCATATTTGTGGTTTTACTCATCCTATCTGTTGTTTAGAAATGGCAGTAAAACCCTTGCTATATTCCGTTTATTGAGGCTTTCCAGTTTCCCTGGTACTCTGCTAGGTACTTTAAATATATTGCATCTTTTTTTTTTTTTTTTTTTTTTGAGATGGAGTCTGGCACTGTCGCCTGGGCTGGAGTGCAGTGACGCAATCTTGGCTCACTGCAACCTCCACCTCCCAGGTTCAAGGGATTCTCCTGCCTCAGCCTCCTGAGTAGCTGGGATTACAGGCATCCGCCACCATGCCCAGCTAATTTTTTGTATTTTTAGTAGAGACGGGGTTTCACTATGTTGGCCAGGCTGGTCTCGAATGCCTGACCTTGTGATCCACCCGCCTCAGCCTCCCAAAGTGCTGAGATTACAGGCGTGAGCTACTGCGCCCGGCTGCATCATATAATCTTTATAATTTTCATAGGTAGGCATAATCTTCAAAGTTGAAGAAGTTAAATATCAGAAAGATTAAGTGACAATCACAGAGCTAGCAGGTGGTAGGAACAAGATTTAAATACTTGACTTGATATGGCCTAATTCTTTCAAAACAACAGAGATTCTCCAATCATGGAGTGAAAAAGAACTACTGGAAAGAGAGAGAGAATGAACACTAAGGTCCTATCCTAGATCTACTGAATCTAAATCTCTCTACTCACTGGCCAGTCTTCATGTTTCAAACTCCACAGTCCAAATTACAGAGGAAGCAAGAGTATTTGTCTTAGATGTTTACGATCACCCCTACAAGTAATCTCCTAGGTTGTAAGCTAGGTTCTTGTAAATCATGTACCTACCATGATCTAATCAGTGACACCGTAATGCATTTCAGAGCAATTTCCCTGAGCAAGGCTTAAAATAAAGAAGGACAGTGGATGTGGCAGTTAGTATGACTTTTTTTTCCAATATATTTCCTTTCTTGGGTGTAACTCTCTATAATTCCAAAAATGATCTAGTATCATATGAAAGACTACAATATATTCACTACCTCCTTAACAAGCATGAACAATTAGTCTGTCCAAAAATAGCATTAAGAGATGTGAGGACAGATACAGTGGCTCATGCCTGTAATCCTAGCTACTCGGGAGGCTGAGGCAGGGAGAATTGCTTGAACCAGGGAGGTGGAGGTTGCAGTGAGCCAAGATCACACCACTGCACTCCAGCCTGGATGACAAAGCAATACTCCACCTCAAAAATAAATAAATACACACACACACACACACACACACACACGCACACGCACGCACATATATATATATAATTTCCTAGGTTATATATATATATAATTCTTTATTCTTTATTATTCTTTATTCTAGGTTCTATATATATATATATATATATTATTCTTTATTTATTCTTTGCCATTATTTAGTCTTTGGACTAAATTCTAAAGATATATATATATTAGGAGAAAAAAATGCCCCCATATATTCATTTCCTAATCTCCAGAACCTGAAAATACTACTTTATATTGCAAAAGAGTGAATATTACCTTGTATGGCAGAATATCTGATTAAGTTAAGGATCTTCAGAGGAAGCATTTATCCTGGATTATTGGATTATTATGTCCTTGATTATTCTCCTAAATACAATTACATATATCCTTAAAACAGAGAAGCAGGGGAAGATTAGAAAGACGCACACAGAGGAGGAGGCAATATGAAGGCGGAGGCCCAGATCAGAGAGATGTGGCTGTGAGCCAAGGAATGCCAAGAAATGCCAGATAGCTCCCAGAAGAAGCTAAAAGAGGCCAGATATCAATTCTCTCTCAGTGGCTCTGGAGGGAGCATGGCCCTGCTGACACGTTGATTTTTACACTTCCAGTCTCCAGAACTGTGAGAGACAGATGTGTATGTTGTTTTGGTAATTTGTTATGGCAGCCACTCTAAACTAATACAAGGGGTAATTTAAAGTTGTTTTTTCTCTTTGGTTCAAAATATCTAGGTATTTTATATCAGCCCTCTAGTTCCTTTGGGGACCTATATCCAGGTTTTATTATATTTTATTTTTTGAGACAGAGTCTTCCTCTGTCACCCAGGCTGGAGTGCAGTGGCGTGATCTCAGCTTACTGCTACCTATGGCTCCAGGGCACAAGTGATCCTCCTACCTCAGCCTCACAAATAGTTGGGACTATAGGCATGTGCCAGCATGCCCAGCTAATTTTTGTATTTTTTTGTAGAGATGAAGTTTCTCTATGTTGCCCAGGCTGATCCTGAACTCAAGTGATCTGCCTGCCTCAGCCTCCCAAAGTGCTGGGATTATAGGCATGAGCCACTGTGCCCAGCCCCAGGTTTTATTCTTTGCCATTATTTAGTCTTTGGACTAAATTCTAAAGACAAAAAACAGAGATACTTCCTATTGATCAGTGATTTACAAATATTGGTGGCATAAGAATATCCAAGGAGACTCATCATTAGTGGAGAATCCTGGGGCCCCACTACAGACTGTGGGGTAGCAACTAAATTTTGACAAGTAGCTCAGATAGATCCTTTTGATGGCCCTTAGACTGATCACATTTTGAAAAAGTGATTTAAAATAGTGGAAGAAATATGAAATATTAGTGTATTAAGTAGAACTAGACTGAGCTGTGACAGAAAATCTACAATAATACTGACTTTAAAAATATATCAGTTTATTTTCTCACACATAAAAAAATAGAGGGAGCCAATCCAGGGCTGGGACACCCCATCATAAGAGATTCAGGCTCCCACTAAATTGTTGCTCGTTTCTTCCGTCTTGCTGCTATTCCATCCTCAGCATGAACCTTTCACCCCATGGGTCCCAGATGGCTGTTTGAGTGCCAGTCCTTACATCCACATTTGTCATGTGGGAAATTACTTTGACTCAATAGTAGCCCCTAAGTATACTACCATGCAAGCTATCACAGAAGTCATCGTACAAAAAGCCATGCAGATTAAGTAAAGATGCCTGAATTATGTGGTTTATTGAATCAATTTAAAACGCAGACTGAGGCCAGGTATGGTGGCTCACGCCTGTAATCCCAGTACTTTGGGAGGCCAAGACGGGCAGATCACTTGAGGTCAGGAGTTTGAGACCAGCCTGGCCAACATGGCAAAACCCCGTCTCTACTAAAAGAAATAACAAAATTAGCTGGGTGTGGTGGCGTATGCCTGCAATCCCAGCTACTCAGGAGGCTGAGGCATGAGAATTGCTTGAACCTGGGAGGCAGAGATTGCAGTGAGCTGAGACAGTGCCACTGCACTCCAGCCTGGTCAACAGAGTGGGTGACTCTGTCTTAAAAAAATAAATAAAATAAAATAAAATAAAGACTGGGCCAGGCGTGGTGGCTGACTCCTGTAATCCTAGCACTTTGAGAGGCCAAGGCAGGCAGATCACTTGAGGCCAGGAGTTCAAGACCAGCCTGGCCAACCTGGTGAAACCCCATCTCTACTAAAAATTCAAAAATTAGCCAGGCATAGTGCCACATGCATGTAGTCCCAGCTACCAGGGAGGCTGAGGCAGGAGAATCACTTGAACCCATAAGGCGAAGGTGGCAGTGAGCCAAGGTCGAGCCACAGCACTGCAACCTGGATGACAGAGCAACACTTTGTCTCAAAAACAAAAACAAAAACAAAACAACAACAACAAAAAAACAGACTGAGCAACAAGGATAAAGGAATGAGATAACAGGTAAACATACTTAGGATAGGATACAGGTGGGGCAAAAAGACCACATAATGTGAATCATGGGTTTCCAAATGTGTACAGGTCCTATCTTTGTTTCTGCTACATCAGTCTTCCCTTTGAAGGTATGCTCATGAGGAGCAGAATTGGGATTTGGACAAGGGAGCCTAGCAGACAGAGAGTGCCTGGAACCAACTCACTCATTTGCTCTATAAGCAAAAGGCAAGGAGGGCAAGTATGCCTGACTACAACTGTAGCTCCCTAATTAACCTGCTAAACAGCTGTGGGTGTCATCTGTGTTTTTAGGGTAGAGCACAGATGAGACCAGAATGACACCATAATGAGTATCACTAATGAGTAGTTGTGTTTGTTTCCCATTTCTGTGTAACAAATTACCACAATTTTAGCAGCTTAAAGCAATACCCATTTACTAGCTCATAGTTATATAGGTTAGACATTGGGCACTGCATGACTGGTTTCTCTGCTCAAAGTATCACTAGGCTGAAGTCAAGGTTCAACTGGACTGAGTTCTTGTCTAAGGAAAATCCTAAGGAAAGATTCACCTCCAAGCTCATTCTTCTTCTTGGCAAAATTCATTTCCTTGCACAGGCTGACAGGCTGAAGTGTATTTGTATTTTTAGTAGAGATGGGGTTTCGTCATGTTGGCCAGGCTGGTCTCAAACTCCTGACTTCAAGTGATCCACCCGCTTTCTCCTCTCAAAGTGCTGGGAGCAGGCCTGAGCCACTGCGCCCAGCCAAGTTTCACCTGTATCTTATAAGCTAGTAGTTTACCTGATATGTAGGCTTAATACTTCATATGAGTTTCAAATATCTCACTTGTTTGTCCTAGCTTCTATGGACCAATTGAATACTCTCAAAATATACAGTGAACATACATTATGACTTTTCAGTCAGCAAGGAAAAGGAGGAAGTGAAAATGGTTTGTTCCTCCCCCAGCATCCCTCACCCTTTAAGGATTTTCACAAACAACACTTCTGCTTATACTCCACTGGTCAGAACTTAGTCACATGGCCATACATGGCTTAAAGAGAGATAAGGAAGAGCAATCTTTATTTCGAGTAGTCATGTGCCAAGAGAAAAATCGGATGTTCTGGCCAGGCGTGGTGGCTCACACCTGTAATCCAGCACTTTGGGAGGCTGAGGTGGGCGGATCGCTTGAGCCCAGGAGTTCGAGACCAGCCTGGGCAACATGGTGAAACCCATCTCTACAAAAAATACAAATTAGCCAGGCATGGTGGCGCCCCCACCTGTAGTCTCAATTACTCTGGAGGCTGAGATGGGAGGATTGCATGAACCTGGGAGGGGGAGGCTGCAGTGAGCCAAGATCTTGCCATTGCATTCCAGCCTGGGTGACGGAGTGAGATTCTTTCTAAAAAAGAAAAAAACTGATGTTCTGTTACAGAAGAAGAAGGGGGAAAAAGAAGTGACAGAGGACAATTAGTAATTTTCACAATTACCAAAAAACAAAATTAGCAATAATAATAACTTTGACATAGAGACTATGGCTAAAGCCCTCATGTCTGAAACTGGTTGTGAGGCGGTAGCTAGTATTTATGACTTATCTTTCTTTTTACCTGGACTGTGTTCTTTGCCGTCCAGCAACACTTAAGCTTGTATGATACTGCTCCTCTTCCTTCTCCTCTCTTACCTCCTCACCCCACCCTGAGCAGAGTGACTTGTACCTTCAATTCTGAGGGTGATGAATTATTTGTGATACTTCCAATAGGTCTCAGGTACTCTGGCACCATTAGATAGTAGTAAAAGGAGGTGACCCCAGGTGTTCCCTAGGATTCTTGCTGTATTCTTCATTTCCCCTATGTAATCAAGATCTATAATACAGCTAAAGTCGTCACATCCTTTTTGCGTCTTGCTCTGATGGCATATGGAGCCTGAAATGGCTAGGTGGCAGTTTCTACTTCAAATTTATTTCCGCTATTATCACATTCCACCTTTCTCTTGGGTACTGAGAATTGAGAGCTGAAAAGCCTGTGGTTACAAGTTGAGGAGACAAAAATTCTGAAAACAGATTATTACATGCAATCATGAGCAGTGCCCCTCCCAAGTACACTGCTAGTTTCCTGGAATCTTATTCCTTACTATGGGAGGGAAAGTATCATTGTTGGTCACTGGTTCAGAACATATATCACATTCTGCAAGACAGCTGTAACTTTGCAAAATGAGGTTCCCAATCTTATAGTCTGGTTGAATTTTCAATAAAATGTTCCAGTTTCTTATATGGCTGACTTGTAAGCACAAAAAAAGCATAATAACAAGAAATACTGTGGACTTCAGCTTCATTTCTTATACTATGAAGAATGGTCTAAGGCAATGTCTGAGTGGTGTATAACGCATTCAGTAAATTCATACATGATGACACTATAACCATGAAAGCAAATACACAACCAGAGGGAGTCTAAGTAAAGGCAAAACAGTGACAAATACATGTCAAGGGGAGCCAGTGAAACTGGCTGACCTGCAATCAGATGCATGACTTCCCTGTAAACTATGGATGGACTTTCTGTTCATTAGTCAGCGTGCTTTGCCAATTTAAACTTCAGCAGGTCAGGCCTGGTGGCTCACGCCTGTAATCCGAGCACTTTGAGAGGCCAAGGCGGGCGAACCACAAGGTCAGGAGTTCGAGACCAGCCTGGTCAATATGGTGAAACCATGTCTCTACTAAAAATACAAAAATTAGCTGGGCATGGCAGTGGGCGCCTGTAGTCCCAGCTAATCGGGAGGCTGAGGCAGGAGAATTGCTTGAATCTGAGAGGCGGAGGTTGCAGCGAGCTGAGATCATGCCACTGCACTCCAGCCTGGGCGACACAGTGAGACTCTGTCTCAAAAAACAAACAAACAAACAAACAAACAAACAAACTTTAGCAATGCTAGCAGACAAGTTAGCCTTAGTGAAGTGAATACTGGGTGATAAACTCCAGGTGATAAGCCTCCTTCACTACCAGGTTGCTACTTTGAGCAAGAACCAGGCCAAGGATTATTGACAACCACAATGTAGATCATACCATCCAACTAATTAGTCAGACATCATGTTTTAAGCAGGGACTATGTGAAACTTCAGGTTGAGTTCAGAATCTGATTGGGACAAAGGTGCAACAAATTCATATTAGAGTTCCAACTATTATATGATATCTTAAGGACCTTATTCTGGCTAATGAAAATAGTGGTGTCCTGGGTCCTACAGAATTTGCATGTTAGATTGTAGTCAGTATCAATAAGTCCACAAAAATTTTGTTATTTTATTTCTCCCAGCGTGTGATATTATATAATCTTTTCTGTGGGGTTCCCCATCTCTCATTCATTCAAATATTCCACATTTATAAAGGCATTTACGTCAGAGAACTAAGAGCCTGCCATTCCATTGTGGTGGTTTAAGAACTCTTCATTAGGCTCAGTGTTTTCTGAAATACATATTAAACAACACCTTGATAAGCTGGTTCAATTTTTTCTTGCAAATTCCATTGTCCCAAAGCTAAAACCATTGATATCTGGAGTAAGGCATCCTCTGGCAGGATTCAGATTACTCTGCTTAATTATCTGCTGCTTTTTCTTTTAACCTCTGTAACTCCTATGCCTGGATCACTCACTACACCCATTTTATTTCCTTAAATAGTTGCCACTTAAGGCCGGGTGCAGTGGCTCACGCGTGTAATCCCAGCACTTAGGGAAGCCAAGGCAGGCAGATCACGAGGTCAGGAGATCGAGACCATCCTGGCTAACATGGTGAAACCCCATCTCTACTAAAAAACAAAAAATTATGTTGTGGTGGTAGGAGCCTGTAGTCCCAGCTACTGGGGAGACTGAGGCAGGAGAATGGTGTGAACCCGGGAGGCAGAGCTTGCAGTGAGCCAAGGTCGCACCACTGCACTCCAGCCTGGGAGACAGAGCGAGAATCCATCTCAAAAAAAAAAAAAAAAAAAAAAAAAAAAAAAAAAAAAAAACATAGTTGCCACTTGGGCCAGGCCAACCTCAAATCTTCCTAATACAATAGTTACAATAGTTAACAATAATCCGGCCGGGGCACGGTGGCTTACGCCTGTAATCCCAGCACTTTGGGAGGCCAAGGCGGGCGGATCACTTGAGGTCAGAAGTTTGAGACCAGACTGGCCAACATGATGAAACCCTGTCTCTACTAAAAATACAAAAATTAGCCAGGCATGGTGGCGCGGCCTGTAATCCCAGCTACTTGGGAGGCTGAGGCAGGAGAATCGCTTGAAAACAGGAGGCAGAGGTTGTAGTGAGCTGAGATTGCGCCACTCTACTCCGGCCTGGGTGACAGAGCCAGACTCCAAAAAATAAAATTTAAAAAAAGTACAATTAGGGCCGGGAGCGGTGGCTCACACTTGTAATCTTAGCACTCTGGGAGGCTGAGGTAGGAGGATCACCTGAGTTCAGGAGTTTGAGAGCAGCCTGGCCAACATGGCAAAACCCCATCTCCTGGGTTCAAGTGATTTTCCTGCCTCAGCCTCCTGAGTAGCTGGGATTACCGGCACCTGCCGCCATGCCCAGCTAATTTTGGTATTTTCAGTAGAGATGGGGTTTCATCATGTTGGGCAGGATGATCTGGAACTCCTGACCTCAGGTGATCCACCCGCCTGGGCCTCCCAAAGTGCTGGGATTACAGGCATGAGCCACCGCGCCCGGAATTTAATTTATTTTTTATGCTAGAATTTTGCTGAGGATTTTTGCATCACTATTCATTTGTGATATTTGGCTAGTTTCCTTTCTTTTTCTTCTTTTCTTTCTTTCTTTTCTTTGTGTTTTTCTTTTCTTTTCTTTTCTTTTTTTTAATGTTTCTTTGGTTTTGTTATTCAGGGTAACACTGGCCTCATAGAATAAGTTTGGAAGTTTTCCCTCCTCCTCTATTTTTTAGAATAGTTTCAGTAGAATTGGTATCACTTCCTCTTCATATGTATGGTAGAAGTCAGCAGTAAAGCCATCTGGTCCCAGGCTCTTCTTTGCTGGGAGACTTTTAATCATGGCTTCAATCTTGTTCCTTGTTATTGGTTATTAGTTATGGACATGTTAATAATATTGAGTCTTCCAATCCATGAACATGGAATATCTTTCCGTTTTTTTGGTGTCATTTTCATTGTCAGGCATCAATGTTTTATAGTTTTGGATTTCTTCATGGTTCAATCTTGATAGGATTTATGTGTCTAGGAAATTATCAATTTCTTCTGGATTTTCCAATTTATTGGCATATAGTTGCTCATAGTAGCCACTAATGGTCCTTTGAATTTCTGTAGTATCAGTTGTAATGTCTCTTTCTTCATCTCTAATTTTATTTTTTCAGGTCTTCTCTTTTTTGTCTTAGTCTGATCAAAGGTTTGTCAATTTTGTTTATCTTTTTAAAAAACCAACTTCTTAATTAATCTTTTGTATTTTATTGTTTCAATTTTGTTTATTTCTGCTCTGATCTTTATTATTATTTTTTCTTCTACTACTTTTGTGTTTGATTTGCTCTTGCTTTTCCAGTTCTTTAAGATGCATCACTAGGTTGTTTCTTTGAAGTTTTTCTTCTTTTTGATATAAGTGATTATAGCTATAAACTTCCATCTTAGTACTGCTTTCACTGTATTCCACAGATTTTGGCATGTTGTGTTTCCATTATCATTTGTTTTGTTTGTTTTTTCTGTTTGTTTTTGTTTTTTGTTGTTGTTGTTTTGAGACAGAGTCTCACTGTCACCCAGACTTGAGTGCAGTGGCACGATCTCAGCTCACTGCAGCCTCCGCCTTCTGGTTTCAAGTGATTCTCCTGCCTCAGCCTCCAGAGTAGCTGGGACTACTCTGGGGCTAATTTTTTGTATTTTTAGTAGAGACGGGGTTTCACCATGTTAGCCAGGATGGTCTCAATCTCCTGACCTCGTGATCCACCTGCCTCAGCCTCCCAAAGTGCTGGGATTACAGGCATGAGCCACCGTGCCCAACTTCGATATCTTTTTTAATCCCTTCATTAACCCACTGATCATTCAAGAAGATATTGTTTAATTTCCGTGTGTTTGTATAGTTTCTATTAATCTTGTTTTTTGTTTGCTTGTCTAATTATTTGTGAACTCAAATTAAGTAAGCAAATATTTTGTGCCCACTGAAAAACTGGATATCTGGACTGGTGAGTTTCTGTGCTCTGTGTTAATTTTTTTACCCATGGCTAAGGTTGTGGAATGGAATCTGCAGGTTCTTAATGTGTCTTCATGTGTATAGTTTAAAATAGCCTATATGACCGGGTGTGGTGGCTCATGCCTATAATCTCAGCACTTTGGGAGTCTGAGGCAGGCAGATCACCTGAGGTCAGGAGTTTAAGACCAGCCTAGCCAGCATGATGAAACCCTGTCTCTACTAAAATTATAAAAATTAGCTGGGCATGGTTGGCACATGCCTGTAGTCCCAGCTACTCAGGAGGCTGGGGCAGGAGAATCACTTGAACCTAGGAGGCAGAGGTTGCAGTGAGCCGAGATTGCACCACTGCACTCCAGCCGGTGTGACAGAGTGAGACTCAGTCTCAAAAAAAAAAAAAAAAAAATCTGAGGGCAGTGGCTCAGGCCTGTAATCCCAGCACTTTGGGAGGCCGAGGTGGGCAGATCACGAGATTAGAAGTTGGAGACCAGCCTGGCCAAAGAGACCAGCCTAGCCAACATGGTGAAACCCCGTCTTTACTAAAAATACAAAAATTAGCCAGGCATGGTGTCGGGTGCCTGTAATCCCAGCTACTTGGGAAGCTGAGGCAGGAGAATCGCTTGAACCCGGGAGGTAGAGGTTGCAGTGAGCTAAGATCACATTATTGCCCTCTAGCCTGGGTGACAGAGCGAGATTCCGACTCAAAAAAAAAAGAAAAAAAGAGTTATATGTCTTCTCCTTGATTTGATCAGTAATATATATTGAGTACAATATAAGCATTTAAGATTATAAAATATATAAAATTATGTATTCAACTAAATTGAATTATAATACTGACAAACTTTCATATCAACAGTAATTATGTTCTGTACTATGTCAGCTTAATCTCCAGGATGCTTAGTCTTGAGACAAATCTTTAAGAACTTTAAGACACTGAATTACTACTATTAATTAATGGTTCATATTTGAACCTGGATATTACCTAAATATGATAGAATAATGAAACATTGGTCATCAAATATAATTTTTATATATACTTTTCCTTCTTATTTTATATGTTGTTAAGCAGCTGAAAGTGTTCATTTTCACCACCTTAAGAAAGTGTTAAAATGATGTGTGTGTGGCTATAAAGGTCACCTTAGATATGCTCCACCAACCTGTTAAAATGCTTACATGTGACAGGTATCAATATCCTACTTTCTGGTTCTCTCTGTGAAATAGCAGTTAGCTAATTTGATTAAAATACATATATATAGGCCAGGCACAGTGGCTCACACCTGTAATCCCAGCACTTTGGAAGGCCGAGGCAGGCGGATCACGAGGTCAGGCATTCGAGATCATCCTGGTTAGCACAGTGAAACCCCATCTCTACTAAAAATACAAAAAAATTAGCCGGGCATAGTGACACGTGCCTGTAGTCCCAGCTACTCGGGGGGCTGAGGCAGGAGAATTGCTTGAACTGGGGAGGTGGAGGTTGCAGTGAGCCAAGATCGCGCTACTGCACCTGGGCAACAGAGAGAGACTCCATCTCAAAAAAAAAAAAAAAAAAAAGTACATATAATATATTAATAATAATATAATAAATTGAGAGTATAGGCAGTCCTTGCTTTGCACAGTTCTGATATGCACAAATTTTAGTTAGCATGTGTATTAGTTTCCTGGGGCCACTGTTACAAAATATCACAAACGGAGTGACTTAAAACAATAAAAATTTCTTCTCTCATAGTTGTAAAGACCAGAAGTCTGATATCAAGGTGCTGGCAAGTCTGTCTCCTTCCTTTCCTCTTTCTAGTTTCTGGTAGCTCTAAGGGTTTCTTGGCTTATAGCTGCATAACTCCAATCTCGGCCTCTATCTTCACATGGTCTTTTTCTCTTATCTTCACACTGTCTTATAAAGATGTTATTCATATTGGACTAAGGCCCCACCCTACTCAACTATGACCTCATATTAACTAATTACATATGAAACGACCCTATTTTCAAATAAGTTCACATTCAGAGGTTCTGAGAGTAAGGACTCAAATTGTTTTTTGGGGTCACAATCCAACAGATAACAGCAAGGTTTAGTTAAATAATACCAGTGCCCAGGGCCAGGTGCGGTGGCTCACGCCTGTAATCCCAGCACTTTTGGAGGCTGAGGATCACGAGGTCAGGAGCTCAAGAACAGCATGGCCAACATTGTGCAACTCCACCTCTACTAAAGACACAAAAATTATCTGGGCGTGGTGGCGAGTGCCTGTAGTCCCAGCTGCTCAGCAGGCTGAGTCAGGAGAATCACGTGAACCCAGGAGGCGGAGGGTTCAGTGAGCCGAGATCACACCATTACACTCCAGCCTGGGCTACAGGGCGAGACTCTGTCTAAAAAAATAATACCAGTGCCCCAACAACATGGCTCAATTTCACTTATGATGGTATATTAATTGGGAATAAGTGCATGAAGTAAAACTTTTGCTGCTGTTTAGTCCAAAAATCACTATGTAAATAAAACATGCACATGATAATCAGGGATCTATCGTATCTCTTCTTTCAAAATCTGTCAGTGATTGATCATTGTGCCTCTGTTCATTTCACCCACAGACACCAAAGCATGTAGTTGTGTTGCTTTCTTCTCTCCAGTGATAAACCTATATAGCATTTTACAAAAATAGAAAATCAAAAAAGGAAGTTGGCCAACAAAGATGAAAGTGCAGCAAAGAAACTAAAGTTGATGATGCCAGAAGTGAAATGCAAATCAAACATAATGGAGTTATAGAAGAAATAGCTGACTTCAGGGATGTTCACATTGCTACCATTAACGAGATTCTACATACGCAGCCAGAGGAACTTAGTAAATAGTGAGTTTATTGACATAATTAAGAAAATGAGGCCGGGCGCGGTGGCTCACGCCTGTAATCCCAGCACTTTGGGAGGCCGAGGCAGGCGAATCACGAGGTCAGGAGATCGAGACCATCCTGGCTAACACCGTGAAACCCCGTCTCTACTAAAAATACAAAAAATCAGCCGGGCGTGGTGGCGGGTGCCTGTAGTCCCAGCTACTCGGGAGGCTGAAGCAGGAAAATGGCGTGAACCCGGGAGGCGGAGCTTGCAGTGAGCCGAGATGGCGCCACTGCACTCCAGCCTGGGTGACAGAGCGAGAATCTGTCTCAAAAAAAAAAAAAAAAAAAAAGAAAGAAAAGAAAAGAAAAGTAAAAGAAAATAATTGTGGTTAAAAAAAAAAAAAAGGATGGCTACGTCTCAGAGAAAGTGATGCTATCAAAAAAATCTTCATGTTAAAATAAAATCTTGGAGATATAACCTTGAAAGCACAAAAGATAAAATGTTGGAAGCTTATCAAACTAAGAAGGGTACATTACAGTTTTCCAAGGCATGGAAAATATGTTCCTCCATATTGTAAGTTATATGACAAAAGAAGATGACAACCACTGTAGAAACTACTCTTTTTTTTTTTGTACCAGAAGATTATCCTTGGATATGAGCTCCGTGTTCAAACTACTCTTGATACTTTTTTTTTTTTTTTTTTACAAATAAATATAACACTGTAGTTTCTCAATGTTTCTAATATTTTGAAGTATGGTGTACTAAAAATATTTTTCATTTCTTTTTTTCCCCTATATACATTTAGACTGACAGAAAGTTTTTAATGTCTTTTTTCATTTGTTTTTCAGTACAGACAGTGTCTCAGTATGTTGTCCAGGCTGGACTCAAACTCCTGGGCTCAAGCAATCCTCCTGCTTTGGCCTCCCAAAGTGCTGGGATTACAGGTATGAGCCACCACACCTGGCCGTTTTTAACATCTTGATAAAATTTTTTGAAGGTCAAAAGACAATTGTTATTTTTTCCACTTTTTTTTATTATGGTAAAAAACACATAACAAAATTTACCATCGTAACCATTTTTAAGCATACAGTTCAGTAATGTTAAGTGTATTCACATTGTTGTGAAGCAATCTCTAGAACTTTTTCATCTTGCTATATCCATTGATTGGTAAGATGACTTTGCTTGGTTTTGGCTTCCCCAATTATTTGTATGATCCTGTACTACCATACAAAGTAAGGTCTATCCTTATATGTATTAAGGGCTGATCAGAAAATAGAAAACTCGAAAAAATGGATTTAATATAAAAATTATTACTAAGTATGAATTTCTTAACTAGCCATGGAAAAAAGATAAAAAGACAACTCTGAGATATCATGGAAGTGGCAGTTGCAATAAGCAGCTAACACCCCAGCACTAAAACAACAAAGGGAAGAGGTTGGAATTATTAAAACTTAGAAATTGTCCAGGCGCGGTGGCTCACGCCTGTAATCCCAGCACTTTGGGAGGCCGAGGAGGGCGGATCACGACATCAGGAGATCGAGACCATCCTGGCTAACATGGTGAAACCCCATCTCTACTAAAAATACAGAAAAATTAGCCGGACGTGGTGGTGGGCGTCTTTAGTCCCAGCTACTGAGGAGGCTGAGGCGGGAGAATGGCGTGAACCCGGGAGGCCGAGCTTGCAGTGAGCCGAATCGTGCCACTGCACTCCAGCCTGGGCTACGGAGCGAGACTCCGTCTCAAAAAAAAAAACTTAGAAATTTATATATTTATTTATTGAGACAGAGGCTCACTCTGTTGCGCTGGCTGGACTGCAGTGGCACTATCTCGGTTCACTGCAGCCTCCACATCTCGGGTTCAAGCGATTCTCCTGCCTCAGCCTCCCAAGTAGCTGGGATTACAGGCATGTGCCACCACGTCTGGCTAATTTTTTTGTATTTTTGATATAGACAGGGTTTCACCATGTTGGCCAGGCTGGTCACAAACTCCTGACTTTAAGTAATCCAACTGCCTCAGCCTCCCCAAGTGCTGGGATTACAGGCATGAGCCACCGCACCCAGCCTAAAACTTAGAAATTTAAAGGAGAGGTTCTGTGGAGCTAAAATCCAGACTTCTGAAGGGATGCTGAAGGAGTGCCAGTCAGCTGGTGCTGATGTCTCTGAGGGTATTGGAGGTACATGGAAATTCATTATGCCCCTGTTAGAAAAACTGCAAACTAGAGGGAGTTGATGTTATAATAAGAAACTGCCATGGCAAGTGTAAAGAAGCATTGCTGGCATGATGTTCACAGGAAGCACAAGCAGATACAAAGGGGCAGGTCCTTTCTTCTTCCTCTAGCCTTGCAGTCTCCCTTTATTATTATTATTATTAGAGACGGAATCTCTACTGTCGCCCAGGCTGGAGTGCAGTGGCGCGATCTCGGCTCACTGCAAGCTCCGCCTCCCGGGTTCACGCCATTCTCCTGCCTCAGCCTGCCGAGTAGCTGGGACTACAGGTGCAAGCCACCAGGCCCGGCTAATTTTTTGCATTTTTAGTAGAGACGGGGTTTCACCGTGTTAGCCAGGATGGGCTCAATCTCCTGACCTCCTGATCTGCCCACCTCGGCCTCCCAAAGTGCTGGGATTACAGGCGTGAGCCACCGCGCCCGGCCAAATTTATTCTTTTTTAAGATTGCTTTGGCTATTCAGGGTTCCTTAACATTGCATGTAAATTTTTTCAACTGATACATGATAAATGTACATATTTTCAAGTTACATGTGGTAATTTAATACATTCATTTAATTTGTAAAGATCAAATCAGTGTGCTTAAAATATTTATCACCTTAAATATTTGTTATTTCTTTATGCTAGAAACATTTAAATTCTTCTCTTCTAGTGATTTTTAAATGTACAATTGACTACTGTAAACTATAGTGACCCTACTGTCTGACACTAGGCTTTATTTTTTTCTATCAAACTGTCAATATGTAACCACTAGTCAACTTCTCTTTATCTTCCCCATGTGAATTTTAGGATAGATTTCTATTTCTAAAAAAAAAAAAAAAAAAAAAGTGTAATGAGACTTGGCATCTCTCCAAAATCATGCTCTGTGCTTTGTGCTGTCTTATTTATTACTGTTCTATTTTTTAGTTTCTCTGCTGTGGTTTCAATGTTCCCTCCAAAAATCATGTGGAAATTGAATTACCATCATGACAGTATTAAGGGATGGGACCTTCAAGAGGTAATTATGTCATGAGGGTTTATGTTCATGAGCAGATTACTGCCATTATTGTGGGATTGAGTTATTGTGAAAGTTCAGCTGCCTTTTTCTCTGTGTGTCTTATGGTTCTTTGCCATGTGATGCCATCTGCCATGTTATGACATGGCAAGAAGGCCCTCATCAGATGTGGCCCCAGATCTTGGAGTTCTCACCTCCAGAACCATAAGCCAAATAAATAAATTTATTTATAAATTACCTAATATGCACTATTCTGTTATAGCAGCAGGAAGTGGACTAAGACATCACCCTGAAACTGCTATGTTTTCCTGCAATTATGTTACCTTCTGTCATGTTTAAATGATTTCATTGTCACTTTGATTAATAAGCAGCCAAGCTATAACCATTTATTTTATTTTATTTTTTTTTTTTGAGACGGAGTCTTGCTCTGGCACCAGGCTGGAGGCAGTGGCGCGATCTCGGCTCACTGCAACCCCCGCCTCCTGGGTTCAAGTGATTCTCCAGCCTCAGCCTCCCGAGTAGCTGGGATTATAGGCATGCGCCACCACACCCAGCTAATTTTTGTATTTTTAGCAAAGACGGGGTTTCACCATGTTGGCCAGGATGGTCTCGATCTCCTGACCTCGTGATCCGCCCACCTTGGCCTCCCAAAGTGCTGGGATTACAGGCGTGAGCCACCACACCCAGCCAGCATCTGTTATTTGTTGACCTTTTTATTTTTATTTTTATTTTGAGGTGGAGTTTTGCTCTTGTTGCCCAGGCTGGAGTGCAATGGCACTATCTCAGCTCACTGAAACCTCCACCTCCTGGATTCAAGCCATTCTCCCGCCTCAGCCTCCTGAGTAGCTGGGATTACAGGCACATGCCACCACACCCAGCTAATTTTTGTATTTTTATTAGAGACAGGGTTTCACTGTGTTGGCCAGGCTGGTCTCGAACTCTTGACCTTGTGATCCACCTGCCTCGGCGTCCCAAAGTGCTAGGATTACAGGCGTGGCCTTGGCCTCCCAAAGTGCTAGGATTACAGGCATGAGCCACCACGCCCAGCCATTTTTTGACTTTTTAATAGTAGCCATTCTGATTGGTGTGAGATGGTATCTCATTGTGATTTTGATTCGCATTTCTCTAATAATCAGTAATATTTAGCTTTTTTTTAAATATGCTTATTGGCCACATGCATGTCTTCTTTTGAAAAGTATCTGTTCAAGTCCTTTGCACACTTTTTAATGGGGTTGTTTTTCTCTTGTAAATTAGTTTAACTTCCTTATAGATGTTGGATATCAGACATTTGTCAGATGCATAGTTTGCAAACATTTTCTCCCATTCTGTATATTGTCTGTTTACTCTGATGATAGTTTCTTTTGCTATGCAGAAGCTCTTAACTTTAATTAGATCCCATTTGTCAATTTTTGTTTTTGTTGCCATTCCTTTTGGTGTCTTTGTCATGAAATCTTTCCATGTTCCTATGTCCAGTGTGTCATTGTCTAGATTTTCTTCCCGCATTTTTATAGTTTTAGTTTCTTTTTTGCTTCTTTTTTTTTTTTTTTGAGACAGAGTCTTGCTCTGTCACCCAGGCTGGAATGCAGTGGCGTCATCTTGGCTCACTGCAAGCTCCGCCTCCCGGGTTCACACCATTCTCCTGCCTCAGCCTCCCAAGTAGCTGGGACTACAGGAGCCCGCCACCACACTCGGCTAATTTTTTTTGTATTTTTAGTAGAGACGGGGTTTCACTGTGTTAGCCAGGATGGTCTCGATCTCCTGATCTTGTGATCCGCCCGCCTTGGCCTCCCAGAGTATATAGTTTTAGTTTCTACATTTCAGTCTTTAATCCATCTTTAGTTGATTTTTGTATATGGCATAAGGAAGGGCTCTAGCTTCAATCTTCTGCATATGGCTAGACAGTTATCCCAGCATCATTTACTGAATAGGGAGTCTTTTCCCATTGCTTGTTTTTATCAACTTTGTTGAAGATGAGATGGCCACAGGTGTGTGGCCTTACTTCTGAACTCTGTATTCTGTTCCATTGTCTGTGTGCCTGTTTTTGTACCAGTACCATGCTGTTTTGGTTACTGTAGCCCTATAGTATAGTTTGAAGTCAGGTAACATGATGCCTCCAGCTTTGTTCTTTTTTGCTTAGGATTGCCTTGGCTATTTGGGCCTTTTTTGGTCCCATGTGAATTTTAAGGTAATTTTTTCTAGTTCTGTGAAGAATGTCATTAGTAGTTTGACAGAAATAGCACTGACTCTTTAAATGGTTTTGGGCAGTATGGCCATTTTAATGATATTGATTTTGCCTATACATGAGCATGGGATGTTTTTCTGTTTGTTAGTGTCTTCTCTGATTTATATGAGCAGGGTTTTGTAATTCTCATTGTAGAGATCTTTCACCTCCCTGGAGAGCTGTATTCCTAGGTATTTTATTCTTTTTCTGGCAATTGTGAATGGGATTGCCTTCCTGATTTGGCCTCTTGGCTTGGTGCTGTTGGTGTATAGTAATGCTAGTGATTTTTTTACATTGATTTTGTATTCGGAAACTTTGCTGAAGTTTTTAATCAGCCTAAGAAGCTTTTGGGCTGACACTATGGAGTTCCCTAGATATAGAATCATGTCATCTGCAAACAAAAATAGTTTGACTTCCTCTCTTCCTATTTGGATGCCATTTATTTCTTTCTCTTGCTTGATTGCTAGGGCTAAGACTTCCAATACTATGTTGAATAGGAGTAGTGAGAGAGGGCATCCTTGTCTTGTGCCAGTTTTCAAGGGGAATGCTTCCAGCTTTTGTCCATTCACTATGAACTTGGTTGTAGGATTGTCATAGATGGCTCTTATTATTTTGAAGTATGTTCCTTCAATACCTATTTTATTGAGAGTTTTTAACATGAGGGGATGTTGAATTTTATTGAACGCCTTTCCTGCATCTATTGAGATAATCATGTGGATGTGTCTTTAGTTCTGTTTATGTGATGAATCACATTTATTGATTTATACATATTCAACCAATCATGCATCCCAGAGATGAAGCCTACACAACTGCGGAGAATTAGCATTTTAATATGCTACTGGATTCAGTTTGCAAGTACTTGTTGAGGATTTTTGCATCAATCTTCATCAAGGATATTGGCCTCAAGTTTTCTTTTTCTGTTGTGTCTCTGACGGTTTTTGTTGTTGTTGTTGTTTGTTATTTACTTTTATTCTGCCAGGTTTTGATATCAGGAAAATGCTGGCCTCATAGAAAGAGCTGGGGAGGAGTTCCTTCCCCTCAATTTTTTGGAATAGTTCTGTAGGAATGGTACCAGCTCTTCTTTGTACATCTAGTCAAATTTATCTGTGAATCCATCAGGTCCTGGGCTTTTTTTGCTTGGTAGACTATTTATTAGTGATTCAATTTTGGAGCTCATTATTGGTCTGTTAAGGGAATCAATTTCTTTCAGGTTCAGTCTTGGGTGGGTGTATGTGTTCAAGAATTTATTCATCTCTTCTAAGTTTTCTAGTTTGTGTGCATAGAGGCGTTTGTAGTAGTTTCTAATAAATATTTTTATTTCTGTAGGGTCAGTAGTAGTATCACTTCATCATTCCTAATTGTGTTTATTTTAACCGTTTATTTTCTAGGGAGCTGTAATGGTTAATACTGAGTGTTAAGCAACTTGATTGGCTTGAGGGATACAAAGTATTAATCCTGAGTGTGTCTATATGGGTGTTGCCAAAAGAGATTAACATTTGAGTCAGTGGGCTGGGGGAAATCAGATCCACCCTTAATCTGGTGGATGCAATCTAATCAGCTGCCAGCAAACATAAAGTAGGCAGAAAAATGTGAAAAGGAGAGATGGGCCTAGTCTCCCAGCTACATCTCTCTTCCATGCTGCATGCTTCCTGCCCTCAAACATCGGAATCCAAGTTCTTCAGTTCTGGGACTCAGACTGGCTCTCCTTGTTCCTCAGCCTTCAGACAGCCTATTGTTAGACCTCGTGATTGTGAAAGTTAATACTTAATAAACTCCCCCAATAGGATATACATATCCTATTAGTTCTGTCCCTCCAAGAGAACCCTGACTAATACAGATTTTGCTACCAGGAGTAGTTCTAGAGGAACAGAATATTAAGGATGGAGTTCTTTTATTGGTTTTGGAGTTTCTGGAGTTGGCCACTTAATATGATTAGCCCCCAAAATGCTAAGGACTCTACTTCTAATAGTATGGAAAACACTGATAGTCCTTGGAAGAAACTGTTTAGAGAGTTATACAAAATAAATGCATTTGACACTCCTGATTCAGCGCTCGTGAGAGGCAAGGAGTTTTGTCACCCTATACATAATACCTTTGACCATATGTGGAGAACCAAGGAACATAATGAAGCTGATTGTTTGCTCCTAATTTCAGTGGAAAAAGTGATGAAAGAAAATGATGAACTCTTCCCAGCACTTTGGGAGGACGAGGCGGGTGGATCACGAGTTCAGGAGATCGAGACCATCCTGGCTAACATGGTGAAACCCCGTCTCTACTAAAAATGCAAAAAAAATTAGCTGGGTGTAGTGGTGGGCGCCTGTAGTCCCAGCTACTTGGGAGGCTGAGGCGGGAGAATGGCGTGAACCTGGGAGGCAGAGCTTGCAGTGAGCCAACATTGTGCCACTGCATCCAGCCTGGGTGACAGAGCGAGACTCCATCTCAAAAAGAAAATGATGAACTCAGGGATTCTGTCTCTGGCTTCAGAAGCAGATACTGAGAATCAAATCTGCTAAGATTGCCCTGAGTGAGAGTCTTACCTCCTGCAGACAAAGAGCTGAAATTGTGCAAAAACAGACACAAACTCTTATCATGCGAGTGAGTGGCTGACCTGCAACAAAAGACGCATGCACAGCCTCACCAGGTGCCTACTGTTAAAGCAAGGGCATTAATTGGAAAAAAATAAGACCCTGATACTTGGAATGAGGACGTGTGGGAGAACCCTGATGAAGCTGAGGAAAACTGAGTTTGTAAACTCAAATTAACTTTTTTTCCCAGAAAGAACAGCTTCCCCATCCCCAGTAGTGGCAACATCCCCTCCCTGGCCCAGGCCGTCTTTCCACCTTTGTCTGAGAAGATAAACCTTGCGCTTCTTGGACAACAATGATGGCCTCCCCTGAGGCAGTTGCCAGGCAAGATAATGTTGATTCCCCTCAGAAGCAACCCCTAGTATGTCTGTTTGCTTCTAGACCTATAACTAGACTAAAGTCCCAGCAGGGCCCTAGAAGTGAGGTTGAGAGTGTGACCCATCAGGAGGTGTACTATATGCGAAAAGAAAAGAACTGTTTGAGTTCTCTAATTTATATAAATAGCAACCTGGAGAACAGGCATGGGAATGGATTTTTTTTTGTTTTGAGAAAGAGTCTCACTCTGTCACCCAGGCCAGAGTGCAATGGCACAATTTCGGCTCACTGCAACCTCCACCTCCCTCCACCTCCCAGATTCAAGCGATTCTCTTGCCTCAGCCTCCTGAGTAGCTGGGAATACAGGCATATGCCATGAAGCCAGGCTAATTTTGGTATTTTTAGTAAATACAGTGTTTCACCATGTTGGCCAGGCTGGTCTCAAACTCCTGACTTAAGGTGAAATGTCCACCTCAGCCTCCCAAACTGCTGGGATTACAGGCATGAGCCACCGTGCCTGGCCAGGAATGGACATTAAGGGTATGGGGTAATGGTAGAAGGAACATAGAGCTCGATCAGGTTAGGGAGTTAAAAAAGATTCTAATAGTTTATTTGCTTGGTTAGCTGAAATATGGCTTAAAAGATGGCCCACTGTGAGTGAACTGGAAATGCCTGATCTCCCTTGGTTTAATGTAGAGGAAGGGATCCAAAAGCTTAGGGAGATTGGGATGGTGGAGTGGATTAGTCATCTTAGACCTGCTCATCCTAGCTGGGAGGGTCCAGAAGATATACCCTTGACCAATGCCTTGTGAAATAGATTCGTGAGGACAGCACTTGCATCTTTGAAGAGTCCTGTAATTGCCCTTCACTGTATGTCATATCTAACAGTGGCAGCTGTAGTCACTCGACTACAAAATTTAAATACAATGGGAATAATTGGATCCTGAAGTGGCAGGGGCCAAGTGCCAACTGTCAAAGGCAAGGCGGGTATAGCTACCATAAAGGAAAGCAGAGGCAAAGTGGCAATCAGCATAGACTGACTTCTGTAGAGCTCTGGCATCGGCTAATTAATCTTGGCGTTCCTAGAAGTGAAATTGATAGGAAGCCTACTGCATTCCTACTTAAATTATACAAACAGAAAACTTCTAGGTCAAAGGGACAAGACTTATTTGAATTATAAAAACAGAGAATCATGACCCCTCAATCAGTTTTCCAATTTGAGCCAGTTTACAGACCCAGAACGCCTTGAATGAAGGCGAGTCTGGGTCCCCTTGAGGAAGGACCGCACTACATTACCAACAATTTATGCAGTGAATCTTTCTCCCATCCTTCCCCAAGGAGACCTCTGGCCTTTCACCAGGGTAACTGTGCATTGGGGAAAGGAAATGATCAGACATTTCGGGGATTACTGGACACTGGCTCTGAACTGACTTTGATTCCAGGGGACCCAAAACATCATTGCGATCCTCCAGTTAAAGTAAGGGCTTATGGAGGTAACGTAATTAATAGGGTTTTAGCTCAGATCTGACTTACAGTGGGTCTAGTAGGTCCCGGACTCATCCTGTGGTCATTTCCCCAGTGCCAGAATGCATAACTGGCAGAGACAATTATGTTAGGTTAGCAGCTGGCAGAGCCCCCATATTGGCTCCCTGACTGGTAGGGTGACAGCTATTATGGTGGGAAAGGCCGAATGGAAGCCATTAGAGCTGCCTCTACCTAGAAAAATAGTAAATCAAAACAATATTGCATCCATGGAGAGATCGCGGAAATTATTGCCACCGTCAAGGACTTCAAAGACGCAGGGGTGATGATTGCCACCACATCTCTGTTCAACTCTCCTATTTGGCCTGTGCAGAGGACAGCTGGATCTTGGAGAATGACAGTGGATTATCATAAGCTTAAGCAAGTGGTGACTCCAATTTGAGCTGCTGTACCAGGTGTGGTTTCATTGCTTGAGCAAATTAACACGTATCCTGGTACTGGTGTGCAGCCACTGACTTTGCAAATGCCTTTTTTTCCATTCCTTTTCATAAGGCCCACCAGAAGCAATTTGCCTTCAGGTGGCAAAGATAGCAATATACTTTTACTGTCCTACCTCAGGGGTTTATCAACTCTCTGCTTTGTATCATAATCTTATTCGGAGAGAACTTGATAGCTTTTCACATCCGCAAGATATCACACTGGTCTATTACATGGATGACATTGTGCTGATTGGATGCAGTGAACAAGAAGTAGCAAACTCACTAGACTTATTGGTGAGACATTTGTGTGCCAGAGGATAGGAAATAAATCTGTCTAAAATTCAGGGAACTTCTACCTCAGTAGAATTTCTAGGGGTCCAGCAGTGTGGGGTCTGTCAAGATATTTCTTCTAAGGTAAAGAAGAAGTTGCTGTATTTGGCCCCTCCTACAACCAAGAAAGAGGCACAACATCTAGTGGGCCTATTTGGATTTTGGAGGCAACACATTCCTCATTTGGGTGTGTTATTCTGGCCCATTTATTGAGTGACATGAAAGGCTGTCAGTTTTGAGTGGGGTTCGGAACAGGAGAAGGCTCTGCAACAGGTCCAGGCTGCTGTGCAAGCTGCTCTGCCATTTGAGCCATATGACCCAGCAGAGCCAATGGTGCTTGAGGTGTTAGTGGCATACAGGGATGCTGTTTGGAGCCCTTGGCAGCCTCCCATAGGCCTAAGGCCTCTAGGATTTTGGAGCAGGGCCCTGCCATCTTCCGCAGATAACTACTCTTTTTTTAAGAGACAGCTGTTGGCCTGTTACTGGGCTTTGGTGGAAACAGAACGTTTGACTATGGGTCATCAAGTAAGTCACCATGAGACCTGAACTGCCTATCATGAACTGGGTGCTTTCTGACCCATCTAGCCATAAAGTGGGTCATGCACAGCAGCATTGGAAGTGTGCTGTGCACACTTCATCAAATGGAAGTGGTATATACGTGACTGGGTTCGAACAGGTCCTGAAGGCACAAGTAAGTTACATAAGGAGGTGGCTCAAATGCCCATGGTCACCACTCCTGCCACCCTGCCTTCTCTTCCCCAGCCTTCACTGATGGCCTCATGGGGAGTTCCCTTTGATCAGTTGACAGAGGAAGAGAGGACTAGGGCCTGGTTCACAGATGGTTCTGCATGATATGGCGGCACCATGTGAAAGTAGACAGCTGCAGCACTACAGCCCCATTCTAAGACATCCCTGAAGGTCAGTGGTGAAGGGAAATCTTCCCAATGGGCAAAACTTTGAGCAGTGCACCTGGTTGTGCACTTTGCATGGAAGGAGAAATGGCCAGATGTGAGATTACATACTGATTCATGGGCTATAACCAATGGTTTGGCTGGATGGTCAGGAAGAAGAATGATTGGAAAATTGGTGACAAAGAAATCTGGGGAAGAGGTATGTGGGTGGACCCCTCTGAGTGATCAAAAACTGTGAAGATATTTGTATGCCATGTGAGTGCTCACCAACAGGTGACCTCAGCGGAGGAGGAGTTTAATAATCAAGTAGATAGGATGACCTGTTCTGTGGACGCCACTCAGCTTCTTTCCCCAGCCACTCCAGTGATTGCCCAATGGTCCCATGAACAAAGTGGCCATGGTGGCAGGGATGGAGGTTATACATGGGCTCAGCACCATGGACTTCCACTCACCAAGGCTGACCTGGCTACAGCCACTGCTGAGTGCCCAATTTGCCAGCAGCAGAGACCAACACTGAGCCCTTGATATGGCACCATTCTTTGGGGTGATCAGCCAGCTACCTGGTGGCAGGTTGATTATATTGGACCTCTTCCATCATGGAAAGGGCAGAGGTTTGTCCTCCTTGGAATAGACACTTACTCTGGATATGGGTTTGCCTATCCTGTGTGCAATGCTTCTGCCAAGACTACCATCCATGGACTCACGGAATGCCTTATCCACTGTTATGGTATTCCACACAGCATTGCCTCTGACGAAGGCACTCACTTTATGGCTAAAGAAGTGCAGCAGTGGGCATACGCTCATGGAATTCACTGGTCTTACCATGTTCCCCATAATCCTGAAGCAACTGGATTGATAGAATGGTGGAATGGCCTTTTGAAGTCACAATTACAATGCCCACTAGGTGACAATACTTTGCAGAGCTGGGGCAAAGTTCTCCAGAAGGCTGTGTATGCTCTTAATCAGCATCCAACATATGGTACTGTTTCTCCTATAGCCAGCGTTCATGGGTCCAGGAATCAAGGGTTGGAGGTGGAAGTGGATCGATCACTCATCATCACCCCTAGGGATCCACTAGCAAAATTTTTGCTTCCTGTTCCTGCAACATTACGTTCTGCTGGCCTAGAAGTCTTAGTTCCAGAGGGAGGAATGCTGTCACCCAGAGACACAATGATTCCATTACACTGGAAGTTAAGATTGCCACCTGGACACCAGGGAGGGTGGCTCATGCCTGTAATCCCAGCACTTTGGGAGGCCGAGGTGGATGGTTCGCCTGAAGTCAGGAGTTTGAGCCCAACCTGACCAACATGGAGAAACCCTGTCTCTACTAAAAATACAAAATTTGGGAGGCCAGGCCTAGTGGTGCTTGCCTGTAATCCCAGCTACTCAAGAGGCTGAGGAAGGAGAATCGCTTGAACCTGGGAAGCAGAGGTTGCAGTGAACTGAGATCGCACCATTGCACTCCAGCCTGGGTAACAAGAGCGAAACTCCAACTCAAAAAAAAAAAAAAAGATTGCCACCTGGACACTTTGAGCTCCTCCTACCTTTAAGTCAACAGGCAAAGAAGGGCGTTACAGTGTTGGCTGGGGTGATTGGCCCGGACTATCAAGATAAAATCAGTCTACTCCTCCACAACAGAGGTAAGGAAGAGTATGCATGGAATACAGGAGATCCATTAGGGCGTCCCTTAGTATTACCATGCCCTGTGATTAAGGTCAATCGGAAACTACAACAGCCCAATTGAGGCAGAACTACAAATGACCCAGACCCTTCAGGAATGAAGGTATGGGTCACTCCACCAGGAAAAACACACGACCTGCTGAGGTGCTTGCTGAAGGCAAAGGGAATACAGAATGGGCAGTAGAAAAAGGTAGTCATCAAAACTAGCTACAGCCACGTGACCAGCTGCAGAAATGAGGACTGTAACTGTCATGGGTATTTCTTCCTTCTTTTGTTAAAAACATGTTTGTGCATGTAGACCCTTGTACTAAGAAAATATCTTCATTTTATTTCCTTTTCCTTTATCATGTGACATAAGATTTATTGACTTCCTGTCAGCATTTACGTATTGTTAACTTTATATAATACTATTTGGGTTGGGGATTGGCGCATTTCTAGTTGTACAAAGGATAGTTGTATTATGTTAGGTGTAATTATGACCTTATTGTCTTTAAGATTACATATGATCTCAGGGGATGTGTATGGGTTCAAGTTGACAAGGGGTGAACCTGTGATGGTTAATACTGTCACCTTGATTGGATTGAAGGATACAAAGTATTATTCCTGGGTGTGTCTGTGAGGGTGTTGCCAAAAGAGATCAACATTTGAATCAGTGGGCTGGGGGAGGCAGATCCACCCTTAATCTGGTGGGCACAATCTAATCAGCTGCCAGTGAATATAATAGTGTAGGCAGAAAAATGTGAAAAGGAGAGAGACGGGCCTAGCCTCCCAGCCTACATCTTTCTCCCGTGCTGGATGCTTCCTGCCCTCAGACTCCACGTTCTTCAGTTTTGGGACTCGGACTGGCTCTCCTTGCCCCTCAGCTTGCAGACAGCCTATTGTGGGACCTTGTGGATCCTGTAAGTTAATACTTAATAAACTCCATATATATATATATATATATCTTATTAGTTCTGTCCCTCTAAGAGAATTCTAATACAGGAGCATATAATTCTACTTTTACCAAGTGGCCAAGTCTCCTCTGTTTTTTAATTCCCATGATTAGACCCTAAATTTAAAAAAATAATAATTTCAAGAAGTCTTTTAAACTTATACTATCTTAGAGGTTTCCCAGAGAGTCCTTGGCAATCACAAAGATTTGTTTTTTTACCTCTTAGAAGGGAAGGCCAAAGTGGAATTTTGTCTGGTATCCTTTATATTTTGTAATTATTTCAACACTATTTTAAGAAGCACATAGTAAGAATTGTCAAATCAAAACAGAAGTGCGACTTTCTGTTGGTTAATTTTGAACAAGTGAAATATTACTAAGATAAATATGAGGCCAGGCATGGATGGTGGTTCACTCCTGTAATCCCACCACTTTGTGAGGCTGAGGCAGGAGGCTTGCTTGAGCCCAAGAGTTCAAGACCAACCTGACCTACATACAAAATACCCATCCATACCATTTTTTTTTTAATTAGGTGATTGTGGTGGCATGTTAACTGTGGTCCCACAGTACCTGGGAGACTGAGGTAGGAGGATTGCTTGAGCTCGGGAGGTGGAGCCTGCAGTGAGCCATGATTGTGCTACTGTACCCCAGGCTGGGTGACAAAATAGACCTTGGCTTAAAACAAACAAAGAAACAAACAAAAAACATAAATATGTTTCAGGTACTGTGTATACTTTACATGTAGGAGATTTGGCAATGCTCTCACTATCCCTAACATGTTCTTATCTTCAGGAAAATGTTTATTAATATTTAATAGAATTGTTATATATTTTTCCCTATAAAGAATTATATTCTCCGTCGGGCATGGTGGCCCATGCCTGTAATCCCAGAACTTTGGGAGGCCGAGGCAGGCAGATCGCCTGAGGTCAGGAGTTTGAGATCAGCTTGGCCAACATGGTGAAACCTCATCTCTACTAAAAATAGAAAAATTAGCCAGGCATGGTGGTGGGTGCCTGTAATCCAGCTACTCAAGAGGCTGAGGCAGGGGAATCGCTTGAACCCAGGAGGCGGATGTTGCAGTGAGCTGATAGCACGCCAGTGCATTCCACCTTGGGCAACAGAGTGAGTCTCTGTCTCAAAAAAAAACGAAACAACAACAAAGAATTTTATTCTCGGCCAGGCACGGTGGTTCACACCTGTAATCCCAGTACTGTGAAAGGCCAACATGGGTGGATCACCTGAGGTCAGGAGTTCGAGACCAGCCTGGTCAACATGGTGAAACCCAGTCTCTACTAAAAACACAAAAATAAGCTAGGTTTGTTGGCGCTTGCCTATAATCCCAGCTACTCGGGAGGCTTAGGCAGGAGAATCGCTTGAACCTGGGAGGTAGAGGTTGCAGTGAGCCAAGATCAAGCCACTGCACTCCAGCCTGGGCCACAGAGTGAGACTCCGCCTTAAAAAAAAGAATTTTATATTCCATTCTGATATTATTCGCTACTCTTACTAATTAATCAGAGCCATTCAGTCTTATCACCAACATGTGGTTCTGCTTTTCTCTCATGCTTGCTTAAATGCTCTGTCATAAGCTATAAGTAAAAATTGGGTCTTCATCAAAGAAGAACATCCTCAGAGCCTTATGAACAAGACTGTATCAGATACTCTAATTATTAATACTGCAGTGAATAAACTCGTGGGTATAGGCTTCAAGCTGGCATTGCTTATACTCTGTCTCACTATATCAGGGCACTTAACTGTGGTTTCAAGATTATTTTTAGATCAGAAGCAGATGACTCTGTGGAAACCCACTAACCCAATATCCTGTGGAGCAAGATTTACATAGAACTGAAAATCTAATAGTGACCATTTGTTTGATGAGGAATATTGTTATATTATTCCTAATGTTCTAGTTTCTGATGTGTATATGGGAAGCCCTTTATTTTCCTTCAAATTCTATCTCCAACTCTGAATGTAGAAAACTACTTTTTCAAGCTGGGTGTGGTGGCTCATGCCTGTAATCCCCACAATTTGAGAGGCTGAGGAGGAAGAATCACTTGATCCCAGGAGTTTGAGACCAGCCTGGGCAACATAGCAAAACCCTGTCTCTACAAAAAATGAAAAATTAGCCAGGCATGATGGTGCACGCCTGTAGTGCCCACAACTTGGGAGGCTGAGGTGAGAGAATTGTTTGAGCCTGGGAGATGGAGGCCACAGTGAGCATGTTCGTGCCACTGCACACCAGCCTGGGTGACTGAACAAGACCCTGTCTCAAAAAAAAAAAGAAGCCTTCAAAGTTTTATCTCAAACCTAGCAAATATATTTCTCTATGCATTTTCAGATTATTACATATTTCTTGCTCTTATAATTCTTCTTTAAGTTAACTTATTATCTGACTCATTAATGATTTAAGTAATAATCACTGACACGTGTTCATTCTATATTTATATGAAAGCCATGCTTTTAAAACTTATATACTTTTAAAATTATACACTGACACTTCTTAACAGCTTCTCTGATTTCTCTCTTCTAATTCAACCTACATACTGCTGTCAGTGTGGTCTTCCTAAAATATCATTTATGTCACTAACTCCCTTTCTTGCTGAAACCTCCTATCAACAAGATAAATTTCCAAAAGTCATCAGCCTAATATTCACAGTCCTTGACTGTTGAGCTCCAAGCACCTTTAGAACTTTATAGTCTACACAAATCTCTTTTAGGCCAAGCAAAAATACTGTACTTATTTTATTTTACCAGTTTATCATATTAAAAAAATTTTTTTTTAAATCTCATCTGAATGGCTTTCTCTGTTCTTTATCCTTCTTGGAATTTCTATTCCTTCAGGCCAGCTCATTTTATCTCAGCCAGTAGCCCCCAGTGGAAAGTGGGTAACTGAACACTTATAGCATTTAATACAATATAAAGATAATATATATTATATGTATGTATAACATGTATATACATATAATATATTACGGTATAATAAAGAGTATATCTGGTCTTTGTCTCAGTTCTTGGCATAGAGCTTCAAAAATTTTTGGAACTTCCAGAGTGACAGAAATGTCTTTGTAATACTAGGGGCATGACTCATTTTGGGCCACTAGCCTCAAGATGGTGACTGGTCATCAGAAAGATCAACCATGTGATTAGAGGATTAGATGGTTGGGACTTTGAGCCAGGCTGACCTGATTGAGTTCATTCACTTGGTCAATGATATACTCAATCAATCATGCCTACATAATGAATCTCCAATAAAAACTCTGAATACTGGAGCTCAGTGGAGAATCCTGGTTGGTGAACCTTGATGTACCAAGATGACAATTCATCCAAATTTGTTTAGGAGAGGTGACCAAAGCTCTGCCTTCCCTCCCAGAACTTTCCTTATGTGTGTCTTCAATTGATAATTCTTGAGCTGTATCTTTATAATAAAGCTAACAATAAGTAGATAATTTTCTTGAGTTGTTTTAGTAAATTCTCAAACCTGAAGGAGTTATAAAAACCTGAAATGTGAAGCCAAATTAGTCAAATGTATGGGTGGCCTGGGGACCTCTGGCATTTGTGGCTGGCATCTGAAGTAGGGCAGTCTTAAGGAAGACTGAACCATGAACCTGTGACATGTGCACTACCTCCAAGTGGTTAGTGGCAGAACTGTATGGCACTATACTCCAGCTGGGACTGAAACACAGTACATATTGAACACTGTATTATTTTAGAAGTCTACATTTTATGTATGAAGAAAACATGTTACTTCCTTTGTCTGCTTTATCCAGCCATCTTGGGAATTCTCTCCCATAGCAGTGGACTATGTAATTTTCCCCACTGGGCACAACTGTTCAGAGTGGATGCATGACCCAGCTATAGCTGAGACACCACGATTCTGTCTTTCAGAAATGTGTATAGGAATACTGAAATGTTCATATGTTGGATGGTGGTACTGGAGCAAGAGGTGTCTGGCATAGTAAGTATCCAACAGATTTTTGTTGAATGAGTAAATGAAAGAAGTGCCTGTGGCTGGGCGTGGTGGCTCACGCCTGTAATCCCAGCACTTTGGGTGGCTGAGGCAGGTGGACCATGAGGTCAGGAGTTTGAGACCAGCTTGGCCAACATGGTGAAACCCCGTCTCTACTAAAAATACAAAAAATTAGCCAGGCGTGGTGGCAGGCGCCTGTAATCCCAGCTACTTGAGAGGCTGAGGCAGGAGAATCACTTGAACATAGGAGGCAGAGGTTGCAGTGAGCCAAGACCGTGCCACTGCACTCCAGCCTGGGCAACAGAGCAAGACTCCGTCTCAAAAAAAAAAAGGAAGTGTCTGTAACTTCAGGGCTTTGATAGCCATTTCTCCCATGTACATGGAAAAGCAGAGAAAATCAGTTTTCTGAAAGAGAAGAGAATAAAGCATGAATGCTTATATCCCCCCAAAATTCATGTTGAAACTCAATCACCAATGTAATTGTATTAAGGGTTAGGGCCAGTGTGGTGGAGCACACCTGTAATCTCAGCACTTTGGGAGGCCAAGGTGGATTACTTGAGGCCAGGTGTCCGAGAACAGCCTGGGCAATGTAGCAAGTTCTTGTCTCTACAAAAATTACAAAAATCAGCCAGGAATGGTAGCAGGCACCTCTGGTCCCACCTACTTGGGAGGCTGAGGGAGGAGGATTGCTAAGCCCAAAAGGTTGAGGAGGCAGTGCACCAAGATCGTCACTGCACTCCAGCCTGTGTGACAGAGCAGAGCAAGACCCTGTCTCAAAAAAAAAGGCCCTTAGGAGGTAATTAAATAATGTAGGCAGAACCTTCATAAAGAAGCTCAAGTGAGTTGTTTACCCTTTTTACCATGTAAGGACACAGAGAAGATGCCATCTATGAAGCAGAGAGCCCTCACCAGACACTGAATCTGTTGATGCCTTTATCTTGGACTTCTCAGCCTCCAGAACTATAAGCAATAAATATCTGTTGTTTATAAATTTCCCATTCTAAGATTTTTTTTTTTTGAGATGGAGTTTTGCTCTTGTTGCCCAGACTGGAGTGCAATGGTGCAATCTCGGCTCACCGCAACCTCCGCCTCCCAGGTTCAAGTGATTCTCCTGCCTCAGCCTCTCGAGTAGCTGGGATTGCAGGCATGCGCCACCACGTCTGGCTAATTTTGTATTATTATTATTTTTTTTAGTAGAGACGGGGTTTCTCCATGTTGGTCAGTTTGGTCTCGAACTCCTGACCTCAGGTGATCCACCTGCCCTGGCCTCCCCAAGTGCTGGGATGACAGGCGTGAGCCACTGTGCCCGGCCCTAAGATGTTTTGTTATAAGAGTCCAAAAGGAGTAAGACAAAGCAGATGCAAAGTGAGAGGCAGAGACAAAAGATCATGTGGCTTTGGAAAAATGATAACTTCTTGGGTCTCCTAAAGATTTTTCTGTTCTAGATCTAGTGAAGCCTTGATGCATCCTGCCTTAGTTTCCCTTGAAATGGGCCTATATATTCCCATTATATTTCTCCATTTGACCAAGTTAGTTTGAGAGTTTCTCTGCTCCTAATGTTAAAGGATTTTTTCTAATGACAAAATCATGAATCTCAGCCAGGTGCAGGTGGCTCACACCTGTAATCTCAGCGCTTTGGGAGGCTGAGGCGGGCAGATCACTTGAGATCAGGAGTTCAAGACCAGCCTGGCCAACATGGTGAAACCCCATCTCGACTAAAAATACAAAAAACAAATTAGCCAGGCATACTGGTGCACACCTATAATCCCAGCTACTTGGGAGGCTGAGGCAGAAGAATTGCTTGAAACAGGGAGGCGGAGGTTTCAGTGAGCCAAGATCGCACGACTGCACTCCAGCCTGGGTGATGGAGCGAGACCCTGTCCCCCTGCCACCCCCCAAAAAAATTATAAATCTTATATAAATATAAAAAGAATGTGTTGAAGATTTTACTGACTCTTTCGTTAAATGAGGAAAACAGTTAAGATATTACAACAGGTCCAAAGGAGAATCCAAACAACAGGTATATGTATAAATCATAAACATTAAATTTCCAAGTGGATGTAAAACTGACTTTTGGGAGAGAAGGAAATTTGTCCCCTCACTGGACAGAATTCATCCACATGGTTATGGATAAAAATAATTTGTATTGCTTCTTGTTTTCTGCAAGATAATTTTAGTCTCTAAGGAGTTGTACAACTCTCTAGTCAAAGCCAAGTAAATATCCTTAGATGATCAGGTAATCCCAGGATTGTACCATTCCGCTGAAAGTATATCCAGAAATCTCTCTTTTTTTTGAGACAGAGTCTTGTTCTGTCGCCAGGCTGGAGTGCAGTGGCATGATCTCGGCTCACTGCAACCTCTGCCTCCCGGGTTCAAGCTATTCTCCTGCCTCAGCTTCCTAAGTGGCTGGGATTACAGGCGGGCACCACCACGCCTGGCTACATTTTGTATTTTTAATAGAGATGGGGTTTCGCCATGTTGGTCAGGCTGGTCTCGAACTCCTGACCTCATGATCTGCCCACCTTGGCCTCCCAAAGTGCTGGGATTACAGGTGTGAGCCACCACGCCCGGCCTGAAATCTCTTTTGTTTATTATCATGTTACGTGTTTCGTTATACTCATAAACGAATGATCCTTGTCTAAAGCGAGTGTTTCTCCTATCTCTATGAGAAACTCATCTGCTTTGTGAAAGATCTGCATAGGTGGAGAGAGAAAAGAAGGGAACCACTGCTGCTAACAATGGCTGAATCAATCCTAGCAACCAAAGGATAATAGAATCCTTTGAATCCAATCTCTCTAACCAGCTGGGTGCGGTGGCTCACACCTGTAATCCCAGCACTTTGGAAGGCTGAGGCGAGTGCATCACTTGAGGTCAGGCGTTCGAGACCAACCTGGCCAACATGGCGAAACCCCGTCTCTAACTAAAAATAGCCTGTAATCCCAGCTACTTGGGAGGCTGAGGCCAAGAGGCAGAAGTTGCAGTGAGCTGAGATCCTGCCATTGCACTCCAGCCTGGGCAACAAGAGTGAAACTCCGTCTCAAAAACAAAAAATCTCTCTAACCAAATTTTAAGCCACTTGAGTACAGGAAACTTGTCTTATATCGCCTAGCTTGCTTTCACAAAGTACCCAGTAAGAAACGGGTTAGAAAAATATTTGCTGCCGGGCGCAGTGGTTCACGCCTGTAATCCCAGCACTTTGGGAGGCCGAGGTGGGCGGATCACAAGGTCAGGAGATCGAGACCATCCTGGCTAACATGGTGAAACCCCATCTCTACTAAAAGCACACACACAAAAAATTAGCCGGGTGTGGTGGCGTGCGCCTGTAGTCCCAGCTACTCAGGAGGCTGAGGCAGGAGAATGGCATGAGCCCGGGAGGCAGCGCTTGTAGTGAGCTGAGATCTTGCCACTGCACTCCAGCCTGGGTTACAGAGTGAGACTTCGTCTCAAAAAAAAAATTTTTTTTGCTAATTGATTGCTCGAAGTCAGCAAATTGAAACAGGAAAGTTGTGACCCCGTTTGAAGATTTAAAACAGGAATGAGCCGGGCGCGGTGGCTCACGCCTGTAATCCCAGCACTTTTGGGAGGCTGAGCGGGTGGATCACGAGGTCAGGAGATCGGGACCATCCTGGCTAACATGGTGAAACCCCGTCTCTACTAAAAATACCAAAAAAAAATTAGCCGGGCGTGGTGGTGGGTGCCTGTAGTCCCAGCTACTCGGGAGGCTGAGGCAGGAGAATGGTGTGAACCCGGGCTGCGGAGCTTGCAGTAAGCCGAGATCGCGCCACTGCACTCCAGCCTGGGTTACAGAGCGAGACTCCATCTCAAAAAAATAATAAAACGAAATAAAAAATAAAATAAGAGAGTAAGGACAAAAACACACAAACTAAAAACAAATATTTTTCCTAGCCTGCAGTTAGCCAGAAATTGAAGAGTCTTGTGATCTAATGAGTGCCAATAAACTCATATCAAACTTTACAGGCTTTGCCATTATCATATTTCAGGAACATTAAAAAATCTCTACAAAACACATGACCAATTATACAACAAATGTCACTTATATGGTATGCTTTTATATGTATAAAAGAAAAATGTCTGTAAAACGCCTGTAAAAAATGTCAAAAGTTGCATGTACAAAGTGCTAGAAAAGTGGGCTGATTGTATCATTCTTGTTTCCTTTTCCTAACCCTCTCTCCCATCCCCAGGAAGCTACTGCGAGCGGGAAATGATAAAAGAGACCTGATAGTGGAGGCAGCTAAGCACTCACCCAGATACAGCTAAGAATGAGGCCTTGAAAATGAGGGAGGACTTCTTCCTGGGAGCTGACTGTTGGGTCAGGAAAGCGTGGCCTCCACGGAGATTCACTGGCCCAGTTTGCATGAGGAGGCCAATCACTGACCAGGGTTCCCCCATCTGCAACAGCTGCATGAATGCTTAGGCATGCTTGGGGAGATAAATATGAGACTAATGACCATAGATAATAAATTCAGAATGTTATGACAGCTAATTGAGAACTCACACATGGGCCTGCGGACTGCTCAGCCAAGGGCCCTGTCTCAATGCTGGCTGCGTTCTCCTTCCCTCCTGGTTGTGTGGGCTGTGGCCTTCTTTCTCGCCTTTAGGTGCTGCTGCTGTGTACACAACTCCTAGTGGTTCTCTTCTCGTCTGACCACACAGTCCCTCTTTAGGAAACCAGACTATGTCACCCCCAAATACGCTTCTTTGACATAAAAATTATTTTTGAGCTGAAGGCAATTGAGAAGCAGCAAACGGGGAAAAAACTCTTATCCTCTAGCTTTTCTTCCTGAAGACAGGATATAGATTCTCCCTTACTGGAGACAGCTCTACATTCCTGTCAGCCCTGAGAGGCCCCAGGAGAGTCTGCAAACAAACTTGACTCCCATGTATTTACCTTCCCATAATTTCCCATGCTTGGAAACCTAAAACCACTTTTCTTTGTCCTGTCATTTCTCTACACGTTTGTTTTTCTTTGTTGAAGATGCCTTGTAAGTGGAGTTCTAAGCCACCATTTTGAGTTACTTTTCACTGACGTTTCTCCCTTGAGATGTGCGCTGCATGCCTTAATAAACTGTTTTTCTTGTGTTAATGCGTCTTTTGTTACAGAAGTCTATTCCAAGGAAGAGCTTAGGAGGGTTGAGGAAAAACATTATCTTTCCTCCCCTGCATCCCCATCCTTCACTTTTCTTTCAGGCTCTAAAGACAAACCCATGACAGGAGGTTTTTTTTTCTCTCTCTCTTTAAGAGTTCTGTTGTTAATCACCACCACCAGGAACCAAGTAAGCGTGAAAAACCATGAGAGAAAAATGAGAAGTTGCAATGTTCTCACAAAACCCCCCCAGTTTCCAACTTAGTAAATGACAAGTGGAAAACAATTTTTGAATTTTTTCCCTCTTACCTTCATTTCTCCAGTGGACGAAAAGGTGGAGTTTTCCTTCTGTGTCACTCTCTTGCTCCACATTTAGATGTAAATTAGGCCTGAAGAAACGATTCTGGTCCAACAATAAGCATCCCTTTGGTACAAGTGGCAATTTACATCTTTCAAAACCCCTAGAACTTTTTCCCCGCCCAGGCAGAATCTTTTGTGCAAAATTGGGACCAGTATAATCCCAAATGGGTTACTTACCTCCTTTTGGAAAGAGTAGAAGAAAAACTTCAGTTTGGTATTTGGAATTGCAAATTTTGTTACTCAGGAGAAGTCTGTATGTAAAGATCTGGCTCCCTGAAAGAAGCATAATTATGAGGAAATTTGTAATTTTTTTAGAATTTTGGTTTCAGAAAAACCTCTAAAAATCTTTAAAATTAAAGATTTAAGGAACTAAAGAATTCTGATTTGGGAAAATTTTGCTCAGTAATATGAGAATTTAGTTTAATAAGTTCTTCACAAATTGAGGTGAAGTTGGGTTACAAGTGCCTAACCAGACTAGCAGTTCCCTTTGGGAAAAAAGGGGCCTTCTTGGGTTGGGTCAGAAAAATCCTTTTTCTTCTGCGACTAAAGACATTACTTTAGCATTAACTTAGGAATACTACCTGATACTTGACCAACATAAAAACAATGCTTTGTGTGATTTTACAGCAAAGTAAATTTAGTAATTCGAGACTGTAACTTTTTTTTTCTTTCCAACGTTTATTTTAAGTTCAAGGGGTGCATGTACAGGTTTGTTACATAGGTAAATTGTGTGTCACAGGGGTTTGGTGTACAGATGATTTTGTCACTCAGGTAATCAGCATAATAACTGATAGGCAGTTTTTCAGTCCTCACCCTCCTCCCACCCTCCGCCCTCAGGTAGGTCCTGGTGTCTGTTGTTCCCTTCTTTGTGTCCATGTGTACTCAATGTGTAGCTTCTACTAATACATGAGAACACACAGTATTTGGTTTTCTGTTCCTGAGTTAATTTGCTCAGGATAATGGCCTCTAGCTCCATCCATGTTGCTGCAAAGGACATGATTTTCTTCTTTTTTATGGCTGTGTAGTATTCCATGGTGTATATATACACATTTCCTTTATCCAGTCCACCATTGATGAGCATCTAGGTTCATTCTATGTCTTGGCTATTTTGAATAGTGCTGCAATGAACATACTCATGCATGTGTCAATACTGCAACTTGGCTGAGTGCATTGACTCACACCTGTAATTCCTATGCTTTGGGAAGCTGATCACCTGAGGTCAGGAGTTCAAGAACAGTCTGGCCAATATTGTGAAACCCCATCTCTACTAAAAATACAAAAATTAGTGGTAGTGGTGGCAGATGCCTGTAATCCCGGCTACTCGGGAGGCTGGGGCAAGAGAATCACTTGAAACTGGGAGGTGGAGGTTGCAGTGAGCCAAGATCATGCCATTGCACTACAGCCTGGGCGACAAGAGCAAGACTCCGTTTCAAAAAACAAAAACAAAAAAACCTCACAACTTAACTACCAGGAGAGTTGCAGATTGGATCGTGAAATAGGTGAAGCTTATGTTCTTCCCTTTCTAATGCTTTCATCCCTTTCATGTTTCCCTACTTTCCAGCTTCTTTATTTTCCAAGTCCTTCTCAGTTAGCTAATGTCTAGTAATTTTATTTTTATAATTTAAAAGTGGATTCTTAAACACCTGAGGGTGTAAAGGAAAGACTCCTGGTAGAATTGAAGCAAGGTGACCACCTATAGATATCTCTATCTGAATGCCTCATGCTGTGATATGCATCTGGTTTCTGCTTGGATGCTTAGTCACTGCCAAGTAATCTTCTACAATTGCTGTTGGCTCACTTACAGCTTGAATTATAGAAATGTTATTAAATTCTTGTTTTCCTTTCTTATCTTCCAAACAAAACATAGCAGGATCTGGCCAGGCGAGGTGGCTCACACCTGTGATCCCAGCACTTTGAGAGGCCCAGGCGGGTGGATCACGAGGTCAGGCATTCGAGACCAGCCTGGCCAACATGGCGAAACCCCATCTCTACTAAAACTAAAAAAATAAATAAATAAATAAAAATAAAAAAAATAAATTGCTGGGCGTGGTGGTGGGCGCCTGTAGTCCCAGCTACTCGGGAGGCTTAGGTAGGAGAATCGCTTGAACCTGGTGGGCGGAGGTTGCAGTGAGCTGAGATTGCGCCGCTTGCACTCCAGCCTGGGCGACAGAGCAAGACTCCATCTCAAAAAAAAAAAAAGAAGAAGAAAAAGAAATACGGCAGGATCTATGATCAGTTATTTATACCTTGACTGAAACTTTCGCTTTGTTCTGCCACTCTCAGCTTCAGTTGCCTTTGTCTTGTACTTGTGATAAACTTTCACCTAATAGACCTGGACACCTGGCCTGCCAACCCTCTTTCAGACTTGACTGAGTCAAATAATCCCAATTTATGTCAGATGAAAGCTGGGCACTGTAATCTCAAGGGAGTCCTCACGTACCCAGCCAAGGCAGGTGGATGCCGTAATCCTGAGATGGGCACTAAATGCTCACAATAGACCACTTTCAACCAGCTCTGGGCTTGAATAACTCATGAACCCAGGAAGGAGTAGCCAATGACATCACTCAGAGACCTTGCTTTCTTAATATGGGACAGATCTAGTTTACTGTATTTTGACTTCAAAGACTATCTCATTTTTTTTCTCCCCTAAGCCTCATTCCCAAGTCTACCTGAAGAGCTAAAATGAACTCTCTGTTTGGCAGTAAACACCTTTTCACTAAGCTCTCCATGTGTGCTCTCTAATAGTCTTATGTTTTTCTTCAACATCTTTGTGAAATAGAAGGCTTTATCTCTTTTCAAACAAATTTCTGGTGTCAAGGGACAGAGAGAAGAGTATTTGAGGAGTGGAGTAATGAGTAGGATAACCTTTCCATGGGCCATGAGATGTTACTTTCCTGACTCATGTCATCATAGCCAGTTGAGAATCACTAAATCTTCTTTTTTAGCATTAGCAAAGAACTGGTCAATTTTTTTTTTTTTTTTTTTTTTTGAGACAGAGTCTTGCACTTTCACCCGAGCTGGAGTGCAGTGGCATGATCTCGGCTCACTGCAACCGCCACCTCCCAGGTTCAAGCTCCTGCCTCAGCCTCCTGCGTAGCTGGGATTACAGGTGCCCGTCAAGACGCCCAGCTAATTTTTTGCGTTTTTAGTAGAAATGGGGTTTCACTATGTTGGCCAGGCTGCTCTTGAATGCCTGACCTCGTGATCCACCCACCTCAGCCCCCCAAAGTGCTGGGATTACAGGCGTGAGCCACCACGCCCAGCCAGAACTGGTCAAATTTTACGTGCTGTTCTTTGTGTTATTGATATGGTTTGGCTGTGTCCCCACCCAAATCTCATGATGAATTGTAGTTTCCATAATCCCCATGAGTCAGGAAGGGACCTGGTGGGAGGTAATTTAATCATGGTGGGGGTTTCCCCAATGCTTGTCTCACAAGATCTGATGGTTTTATAAGGGGCTTCACCCTTTGCTCGGCTCTCATTCTCCTTCCTGTGCCATGTGAAGAAGGACGTGTTTGCTTCCACTTTCTCCATAATTGTAAGTTTCCTGAGGCCTTCTCAGCCATGCTGAACTTTCAGTCAATTAAACCTCTTTCCTTTATAAATTACCCAGTCTCGGGTATGTCTTTATTAACAGCATGAATACAAATTAATACAGTTATTAAAGTCATATTAATACTTATTTGCTCCCTAAATAGAAAAATTAGCATATAGAATATACTTATTCACACTGCACAAATCCTCAGTGGTACAACAAATATACTATTGATCTGTGCTTGGCTTTTACTGGTTAGCATTCAAGAAATATGCTAATAATATAAATTTAAGAAAGTATGCCAGACATAAGACTTTTTTTTTTTTTTTTTTGAGGCGGAGTCTTGGTCTGTTGCCCAGGCTGGAGTGCAGTGGCGCCATCTCAGCTCACTGAAACCTCTGCCTTCTGTGTTCAAGTGGTTCTCCTGCCTCAGCCTCCAGAATAGCTGGGATTACAGGTGTGTGCCACCACGCCCAGCTAATTTTTTGTATTTTTAGTAGATACAGGGTTTCACCATGTTAGCCAGGATGGTCTCCATCTCCTGACCTCGTGATCCACCCAGCTCGGCCTCCCAAAGTGCTGGGATTACAGGTGTGAGCCACTGCACCCGGCCCATATATTTTATTCCTTAGAAGTCCATTCCAGGCCAGGTGTGGAGGCTCACTTCTACAATCCCAGCACTTTGGGAGGCTGAGGTGGGAGGACTGTTGGAGTCCAGGAGCTTGAGACCAACCTAGGCAACATAGTAAGACCCCGTCTCTACCAAAAAAAAAAAAAAATGTATATATATATATTAGCTACGTGTGGTGACACACGTCTATAGACCCAGCTACTCAGGAGGCTGAGGCAGGAGGATCATTTGAGCCAAGAGGTAGAGGCTGAAGTGAGCCATAATTATGCCACTGCACTCCAGCCTGGGTGACAGAGTGAGACCCTGTCTCAAATAAAATTCCATTCCAGTTTTCCGTATGTATATGGTTTATTCTCTAAGGTTTCTTTAAGTCACAGTGAAGTAGCTTCATACTCAAAATATCAGCTAGATTTTGTGCTGTTGATGACAGTGAAGGACTATGAAGAAGTAGAAGGCTAGGTTTCACTTCTATATGGTGATTATAAAAAGTTATCCATAGAAGGTAGGGAGGCTGTGCAGGTGTGGGGGCAGTAGGTACACGGGAACTCTCTGTACTTTCCACTCAATTTTGCTGTGAACTAAAACTGTTCTAAAAAAAGTCTATTTTTAAAAAAAGTTACCCAAGTCAGAGTGAAACAACAAAGAACTGACTGTGTAGGCTCCTGCCTGGGCCACATTTTGATACAAAAGATAGTTAACACAGTGAATTGTTAAAAGTATGATGGATATTGTGCAATGTGATTCACCTGCTAGAGCCAAGACTGCTATTTGTGATTAAATATCTGTTCTTGCCTCCCCCTTAGTAATAAAACCTTCAATTTTTAGTTGGACATTTGGCTTCCTAGTACAGAGGCTTCATTTTCTAGCTGCTCTTTCAGGTAGGGGTGCCAAGTGACTAAATTTCTGGCACAAAAATAGGACACAACTGGAATTGGTGAGTATTTTTTCTGGGCAGTGTACCCAAAGAGACAGAGCATACTTATTTTTTCTTTTTCTTTTTCTTTTCTTTTTTTTTTTTTTTTGCCTTTTCTTCCTAACAGCTTGGCAATTAAGCTGTATTCTCACAATTGGCTGAAAGCATCCCTTTCAGCTAGGTGTGCCATAGGGTTAAGTTATAACCAATAGGTGTAAACAAAAGTACTACCATGTACACTTCTGGAAAATTGTCTTTAAAGGGAGGTAACATAATCTTCCCGACTTTCTTCTTTTTACCAGCTAGATGCTTCAGCAGATTTGAGGAAAAAAAAAAAAAAAAAAAAAAAAAAAAATATATATATATATATATATATATTTTTTTTTTTTTTTTTGAGATGGAGTCTGGCTCTGTCGCCCAGGCTGGAGTGCAGTGGCACGATCTCCGCTCACTGCAAGCTCCGCCTCCCAGGTTCACGCTATTCTCCTGCTTCAACCTCCCAAGTAGCTGGGACTATAGGCGCCCGCCACCATGCCCAGCTAATTTTTTTTTATTTTTAGTAGAGAGGGAGTTTCACCGTGTTAGCCAGGATGGTCTCAATCTCCTGACCTCGTGATCCGCCCGCCTTGGCTTCCCAAAGTGCTGGGATTACAGGCGTGAGCCACCACGCCTGGCCAATTTGAGGAATATTTTTGAGGATGGAAGAACAATAAGATAGAAGACTGGGTCCTCGAGGACTGCTGAGCTGCTTTCAGGCCCTGCTCTATTTCTTTCCAATTTAGTACACATGAAAGAGAAAAACTTCCATCTTGTTTAAATAAGTGTCAGTTTTAGGTTGCTGTGTTTCATGCTAAATGGATTCCTAATAGATACAGGATTAAGAACTTGGAAGTGGAATACTAAGAAAAACCAAAAACATGATACTAGGCTTAGAAGTTGAGTGGCAGGTGGTATAGACTCAACATCACAGGCTGGTCATTTTGTGGCAAACATTTCCCTGCTTTAACTTGAAAAGGGGACCACATGCTGACTGAGGCTGTAGCTTTAGGGGAAATGATAGGAAAGATTAATGATTTTTGTGGGTATTGGTTGCCTACTGATGCTTTCAGAAAGCCTTACAGGCAAGAAGGCAGTGGAGAAACAGAGATAGAAGGGACTACAGCTTTGCTAAAAGATTGCTATTTTTCTCAAGTCTACAATCAAAGTTGACCATTTGGACCCTTGCAAGAATAAAAGGGCAACTGCTTTTGCACTCAAAATTGAACCAGTTATAAGCAGTGGTTGAAAGCCTGCAACCTTAGTAAGAGAGAAAACTAGTGACCCCTCATACAAAAGCATTGACCTGCTAGCAAAGAGTAGATTAAGGGTACTTCTCTCCCATCCAAGTGTGTTTTAAACAACTTTCAAGGTAGTTGCCATTAAATTGAGGGATAAGGCTGGGTGCAGTGGCTCATGCCTGTAATCCAAACACTTTGGGAGGCCCAGGCAGGCAGATTGCTTGAGCACAGGAGTTTGAGTTCGGCCTGAGCATCATGACAAAACCGTGTCTCTACAAAGAAGTAAAAACATTAGCTGGGCATGGCGCGTACATGCCTGTAGTCCCAGCTACTCAGGAGGCAGAGGCAGGAGAATCACCTGAGCCTGGGGAGGTTGAGGCTGCAATGAGTCTGGGCGTAGAGTAATACCCTGTCTCAAAAAGTTTAAAAATTGAGAGTAAAGCTGGGCACAGTGGCTCACACCTGTAATCCCAGCATTTTGGGAGGCTGAAACAAGTGGGTCACTTGAGGCCAAGAGTTGGAGACCAGCCTGACCAACACGGTGAAATCTTGTCTCTACTAAAAATATAAAAACTAGCTAGGTGTGGTGGTGCATGCCTATAGTCCCAGCTACTCAGGAGGCTGAGGTGAGAGGACCGCTTGAACCTGGGAGGTGGAGGCTGCAGTGAGCCGAGATTGTGCCACTGCACTCTGGCCAGGGCAACAGAGAGAGACTCTGTCTCAAACAAAACAAAACAAAACAAAAAAGATCTGTCTTCAGGCTTTAAACAAACAAACGAAAACACTGTGGCTAGACAAGATCTTTGGCTGTACTTACAAGGACAGAGAATTGAATGAAAATAAATTTTAAAAAATTATATTTGAAAGAATTATATTGCCTGCAAAAATCTGTGACTATTATAGCCCTATAGCAATCCCCAAGCCTGCACAAAAATGAAGTGGATTTAATAAAGAGTGTATCTCCCGAAAAAGGGATGACTCAGCAAAGCCAGTCTCAGATGTGGCCATGGAGGAGGCTGATGAAGGAGGAACTTCTGAGAGAGCAGAGCTAAGGACCAGGAAGTGCATCAGTCTTCTATGGTTGCCATAACAAAATACCACAGATTGGAGGTCTAAACAACTCTTTATTTTTTCATGGTTCTGGAGGCTGGAAGTGCAAGATCAATATATCAGCAGGTTTAGTTTATCCTGAGGTCTCTCTCCTTGGCTTGCAGATGGTCACCTTCTTGTTGTGTCTTCACATGGCCGTTCCTCTCTGCATGTACGTCCCTAGGGTCTCTTCCTCTTCTTCTTAGGACACTAGCCATATGTGATTAGGACCCCAGCCTTATGACATCATTTAACCTTAACTGCCTTTTAAAAGGCTCTATCTCCCAACAAACAAACAAACAAAACAAAAACAGTCCCATTGGGGGATTGGGTTCTACCCCAAATTCACATGTGGTGAATTTGGGGTAGAACACAATCCAGTCCACAACAAGGATAGTAATTGAAAAAGCTCATCTCAGAGAGCAGAACCAAGGGCTGCCTGGTGAGCTAATCAAAGAACTCCCTTCTCAGGCCAGGGAGTTCTCTGCAATTAGTGCTCAGCAGGGTTTGATAACTCCTATGGACCAGTACCAGTGAGTGTTACATGTTTCCTGCTTTCCTCTTCTCCAGTTGAAATTTTAATTAAGGTTACTCTATTCCTGTTTCACCACTATACAGTATACTGAATATGACCAAAAAGGCAGGATAAATAACTTTGTTTATGAGTTTCTGGAGCATGAGCCACTACATCTAGATAAGATGGAGATGACTCCATATCACCCAGAGTTTCTCAACTTTGAGCTTAAAGCAGTAACTAGAGGACACTTTGGAGTTCTCTCTCCTAGAGAGGAGGGCTCTATATAAAAAGAAGGAGCTTATGGATGAGAGGACTGTGGCAAGGACTGCTACGTCTCCCTTGATAGGTTCTTTCTTCCTCTTTCAAGTTTTAGCTGAACATAACAATTCCTAAAATAAAGGCTACACTTTCCAGCATCCCTTGCAGCTCTGTGAGATTTCCAGGACATGTTGTTTAAAAGAATGTGTGAAGGCAGCCAGGCGCGGTGGCTCACGCCTGTAATCCCAGCACTTTGGGAGGCCAAGGGGGGCAGATCACGAGGTCAGGAGATCGAGACCATCCTGGCTAACACAGTGATACCCTATCTCTACTAAAAATACAAAAAATTAGCTGGGCGTGGTGGCAGGCGCCTGTAGTCCCAGCTACTCGGGAGGCTGAGGCAGGAGAATGGCGTGAACCCAGGAGGCGGAGCTTGCAGTGAGCGGAGATCGCGCCACTGCACTCCAGCCTGGGCAACAGAGCGAGACTCCATTTCAAAAAAAAAAAAAAGAATGTGTGAAGGCCCGGCATGGTGGCTCATGCCTGTAATCCCAGAACTTTGGGAGGCTGACGCGGGTGGATCACCTGAGGTCAGGAGTTTGAGACCACCCTGGCCAACATGGAGAAACCCCATCTCTACTAAAAATACAAAAATTAGCCAGGTGTTGTGGCTCGCACCTGTAATCCCAGCTACTCGGAAGGCTGAGGCAGGAAAATTGCTTGAATCTGGGAGGCGGAGGTTGCAGTGAGCCGAGATCATGCCATTGCATCCTAGCCTGGGAGACAAGCAAAACAACTCCGTCTCAAAAAAATAAAAAAAATAAAAAAAAAAAAATAAAGAATGTGTGAGCCCAACTTACTCTTTTCTTTTTCCTGCTGGTTGGAATGACGACATGATTTTTGGAGCTTCACTGGCCATTTAGACTATGGAGTAAAGCTGCTTGCTGTGGATAGTAGTGCAAAAAGATCTAAAGAGCTAGGTTCCTGTCACTGTAGAATGACTTCGTCTAGACTTGTATGGCATGAGACAGAAATAAACTATACTTTTAAAGCCAATATTATTTGGGGTATGCTGGATTGTTCTGTCGTCAACATGACTAATCTGGGCAGAATTTTTTCCGGAATCCCTTATATGGACCTAGGTTAGAGTTGATCTCACGAGGAGCTTGCTCATAATTTGCAAGGCAGAAGTGAAACGGTAGCCATGCCTCTCTGAAGATCTTCATTGTGCCGCATGGTGATAGACAGATGTCAAGGTGCCCAGTGGGTTCAGCTTGTCCACTTTCCTCTGTTCTACACCAGGCTGTTCTTCCCAAATGCTAGCCCTGCTGGTCAACAGCAGTTGCAGGCCCACCACCAGACACTTAGCATACACAGAGGTGTCTTAAGAGGGGCATGGTTTCCCACACAATGCTTAGTGAGCTCCCTTTTTGCAGTACCAATTTGGCTGATGAATGTCCTGGATTTCTCAGATTTCCTTGCAAGCTTCGACTTGTCTGCTCACCCCAGGGCTTTAGGGGACTGCTTAGTGACTATTTCTCCAGCTTCCCCTTCCGGATCTTTACTTTCTCAACTCCTCCCACAGTTGTGTAAGTACTAGTTCCTATAATAAATCCCTTGCCTAATAACACTCACAGTAGCTCTGTTCCTTCACTGAACCCTGACTGATATATTGGATTTTATGACATGTAGATCACCTTTATTCTAACAGAGTCACATACATTATCCTGCTAAATCTTCCTAAGAGCCATGGGAAGGTAGCACTGTTGTTATCTCTATTTTACAGACGTGGAAATGGGTTTAGAGAAGTTAAATAATATTCTCACTGTCATACAGCAAGTAAGTGGGGATGCCAAGTTTGTAACCCAATCTGCCTCCTGCCAGAGCCCGAGAGCTTAACCACAACACCTTAATACATATGTACTTCCTGTCCAGAAGTTCTACGCTAATTCATATTCCTTCTTGCTTTAGTGTTTTTGTGTTTAAAGTCAATCATGCTACCTAATCAGACAACCATAATGTACGAACAACAAACAATAAAGATTGCTAGTGTCAACAGGGTTTACTTAATAGCTTTGGAAAGCGTCAGTGTTACTGACCGTCTGTTTGTTTATTTCCACTTCAGCTCTCTAAAAGCAAAACCCTTGGCCAAGTAGAGCTCCACTTCAGGCAAGAACTAGGGTCCATTTGGGAGGCTTATTTAATATTTAAAAGCTGAGGAAAGATTAATACCACATCCTTGGCATATGCCTGCTAAAGCAGAGACTGTAGGCTCAGATGCCAACAATTAATTCTGAAGGAACAAAAGAACAGGTCAGAGCTTAATATTGGGGTGTAAATGAAAATGAAGTCAGGGCCGGGTGCGGTGGCTCACGCCTGTAATCCCAGCACTTTGGGAGGCTGAGGTGGGTGGATCACCTGAGGTCAGGAGTTTGAGACCAGCCTGGCCAACATGGTGAAACCCCGTCTCTACTAAAAATACAAAATTAGCCAGGAGTGATGGTGCATGCCTGTAATCCCAGCTACTCTGGAGGCTGAGGCAAGAGTATCGCTTAGAACCTGGGAGGCAGAGGTTGCCCTGAGCCGAGATTCGCCAGTAGCACTGGGCAACAAAGGGAGACTCTGTCTCAAAAAAAAAAAAAAAAAAGAAAGAAAAAAAGAAAAGAAAAGAAAATGAAGTCAGACCTAGGGAACATTTTCGGGATTTACTAAACATCTACCCACAGGGAAGGAAGAAAGAATGTCAGCGATATGGACAGTTGCTATCATACATTTTTGGATTCTCTTAGATCTCAGTACTTTATAGGGAATCAGAGTCCTCATTTTTTTGGCCAGTGTGGAAGATCCTGTCAGTACCATGCTCATATCCCTGCAATACTTACTGTTTCTATATGTGCAGACGGTATCCTACTGCTAGTACATGATGCTGCCCGAGGGCTTTTCCTCAGTTCAGGTGTAGAGAAAGTCCTCAGCGCTGTAGAGTTAACACTCCTGGAAGCAACTATAAACTAATGACTGATAGTAATTAGAGGACAAACTCCAGCTTCCTCTTCCCCTCAGGTGGGACAGCTCCCACAGGTTCCCAGCATGACTGACCCTCGGTTGCCCCCATTGGTAACGTAATGGTCTAGGCTTCCCTCACTTCCCTGTCTTACTGCCCCTTTCCCCTGTCAGTGCTTCCTATGATCACCACTCAAACTACTTACATTTAAACCTTTTGCTTAGGGTTGGCTCCTAAAAGAATCTGGCAGAAGACAGCCTAATTATGGGGAAAGCACTCCTGCCCAAAATAATCGGCTAAATTTCTCCATTTTTTCAAGTTTCAAATTCTATCCATTAGGGGTGCATATGGGGGGCCAGGCATGGTGGCTCAAACCTATAATCCCAGTACTTTGGGAGGTTGAGGCAGGTGGATTTCTTGAGCCCAGGAGTTCGAGACCAGTCTAGGTGACATAGTGAGACCTCATCTCTGCAAAAAATACAAAAACTTGCCAGGTGTGGTGGTGCATTCCTGTAGTACCAGCTACTAAGCGGCTGAGGTGGGAAGATCGCTTGAGCCTAGGAGGTCAAGGCTGCAGTGAGCTGTGTTCATGCCACCGCACTCTGGCCTAGGTGACAAAGTGAGACCCTGTTTAAAAAAAAAAAGGGATGCATACGTGGTGTCAGGTGTCAATTTGGGAAATTCAGATACTCCTTGCAGGGTTATGAAGCAACCATCATTTTTTCCACCATATCTTAGGGAAAATGGTTGGTGACATTGCTTTCTTCTTATTACTATTTAATCTCACCCAAAATAATTGGCTAAAATTATTGGCTAAAATAATTGTCTGCTCAAAAGAATCATTAGCCATCATAAAGTAAGTAAATTCTCACTGCCTCATTCTGGGGCAGGCTCATGTCTGAAGGAGTGTGATCTCAAGTGTACATCTGCAATTTGGAATCGAAAGACTGCAATTTGAAGTTGAAATACAAATGGGCAGTGGCTGAACCATAGATAACAACAGAACTCTGACCCATGAAGGGGATCAGAACATGTTGCCCCCAAATACGCTGCTTTAGCATATTGATTATTTTGAACTGAAGGCAATTGAAAAACAGCAAATGGCCTCTTGACCTTCACTTTTCTTTTTTTTTCTTTTTCTTTTTTTTTTTTTTCGAGATGGAGTCTCACTCTGTCTCCCAGGGTGGAGTACAGTGGTGCCATCTCTGCAAGCTCCGCCTCCCAGGTTCACGCCATTCTCCTGCCTCAGCCTCCTGAGTAGCTGGGACTACAGGCACCGGCCACCATGCCTGGCTAATTTTTTGTATTTTTAGTAGAGACACAGTTTCACTGTGTTAGCCAGGATGGCCTCGATCTCCTGACCTCGTGATCTGCCTGCCTTGGCCTCCCAAACTGCTGGGATTACAGGTGTGAGCCACCACACCTGGCCTGACATACATTTCCCATGAGAAAGGTGCTCTCCCATAACCAGAAAGAAAACATTCTTATCAATGGAAATGGAGAATTGACACTGATTGTTTGTCTGCACAAACAAACCTTATTAATATAGCCCTTATCTTCCATTAGTTTTCCTCATATACTTCCTAGGTACTTTCCAAAAACTTACCACCTGTAGAAGCCCAAACCCCTGTCCTTTATCTACCTATGTCTTCACAATTTATTGCCTTTTGTTAAAATGGTATATAAACCTCTCTATCCACATGTTTTGAGGTTTTCACATCTTCTCTGTGAAGCCCTCCATGCCATATAAAAACATTAACACCAAATGAAATTGTATATGTTTTTCCTGTTGTAATATTTGTCAGTTTAATTTGCAGGCCCCAGGTACCTAATAACATAAGAGGGTAAAGTTCTTCCTTCCTTCATTGACAACATGCAGCAACCTATCCAGGAAACTAATCACTTATTTTCAATAGCCAACCAGTGAGACAGTCTGCTGTAAGTCAGATTTGTTGGGAGTCACAGATCTTTAGTGACAGTCTAAGAGGCCAAACAATAACAGTTGTTTCCTGTGACAACAAGCCAATATGGCCAGGACTTGATTAATAACTGACCGCTTTTCTAATTTTTGTCCCTGCTTCCAAATTAGGACCAATCAGAGGAAACCGGATGGGTGCAGTGGCTCATGCCTGTAATCCCAGCACTTTGGGAGGCTGAGGCAGGTGGATCACCTGAGGTCAGGAGTTTGAGACCAGCCTGGCCAATATGGTGAAACCCAGTCTCTACTAAAAAAAAATACAAAAATTAGCTGGGCATGGTGGCGCACGCCTGTAGTCCCAGCTACTCAGGAGGCTGAAGCAGGAGAATCGCCTGAACCCAGGAAGCAGAGGTTGCAGTGAGCCAAGATTGCGCCACTGTACTCCAGCCTGAGGACAGAGTGAGACTCTGTCTCAAAAAAAAAAAAAAAAAAAAAAAAATCAGAGAAAGCCAAATGTGTACCCCTAACCAATCACATAGGAATTCCTGTTTCTAGTTTGCCTGCTTACAGCTTCCTCATGCCAACAGCCTCTAACTGGGGCATAGTTGAAGCCTTTCCTTTTTCCTACAATAAAACTTTCCTACTCCTCTGCCTGCCTTGGAGTGTCTGCCAAAATACAAGTGACAGTGGTTGACTCCCTAGCTATAGCAATCTCTGAATAAATAGAATTTGCTTGTTCTCATTTGGTTTGTCTTAGTTTTTTTCCACATTCTGTCCACCCTTGTAACTTTCTATTTGGGGGACTTGTATTTGATATTATGCCTTATTCTCTCCATCCACTTTGTCCTAAAGTGGATGACATACTATTTTAGAGTTCCAATTGTAAAAATGCCTTTTATCCCTGGATAAGATTGCATTTTGATCCTTTTAATCTCAATGAGCCAGAAGTTTTAGGGCACCAAGAGAAAAAGTCTGGAGGGTTTCATATGTCCTTTTCCCCACTATCAAATGCAATCACAAAACAGTATTTCAATATTATCAGTACTGCTTTTGTTCCTATCCCTTATCTGAAGTCGAGAATCTTCAATTGTTTAAAGTTTCCTAGTTAAAGTTTCCTAGTACCTTCATATAGCACTGCTTGCTAGGTGTTTGAGGACAGGAGACTCTTGACTGCCTACAGGTTTACCATTGAGTCTCTACAGAGACTCTTCTTGGGAAGGCGAGTGAGTGTCTTGGCCTTTTTAGGGTCCATGTGACAGAGTGTAACTTTCTTACGACTTATCAGACTGGTTATTTGTTTGTTCTTGCGGACCTTGAATATCTGAGATAGGTCTCAGTCAATTTAGCAAGTTTATTTTGCCAAAGTTAAGGATGTGCACCTGTGACACAGCCTCAGGAAGTCCTGATGACATGTGCCCAAGGTGGGAAGAATACAGCTTGTTTTTCTTTTTCTTTTTTTCTTTTTTGAGACAGAGTTTCACTCTTTCGCCCAGGCTGGAGTGCAGTGGCTGATCTAGGCTCACTGCAATCTCCACCTTCTGGTTTCAAGCGATTCTCCTGCCTCAGCCTCCCAAGTAACTGGGATTGCAGACGCCTGCCACCACACCTGGCTAATTTTGTATTTTTAGCAGAGATGGGGTTTCACCATGATGGCCAGACTGGTCTCGAACCCCTGACCTTGTGATCCGTCCGCCTAGGCCTCCCAAAGTGCTGGGATACAGGCGTGAGCCACCGCTCCCAGCCCACAGCTTGGTTTATACATTTTGGGGAGACATGAAACATCAATCAACATATGTAGGATGAACATTGGTTCAGTCTGGAAAGGTGGGATGACTTGAAGCAAAGGCAGGACAACTCAAAAAAAAAAAAAAGGTGGGACCACTCAAAAAAAGCAAAAGCAGAGAGGAGGCTTTCAGGTCATAGGTAGAGAAGAGACAAATGGTTGCATTCTTTTGAGTTTCTAATTAGCCTTTCCAAAGTAGTCAATGAGATATGCATTTATCTCAGTGAGCAGAGGGATGACTTTGAATACAATGGGAGGCAACTTTGCCCTCAACAGTTCCCAGCTTGACTTTTCCCCTTAGCTTAATGATTTTTGAGGCCCCAAGATTTATTTTCCTTTCACATTTTCAACCTTCATTCTCACACTTCTGTGCTCTGCTGTGTGTTAGATTCTGTAATCTACATTTACAAACTTTTGGTCAGATTCTGCCAATGGAAAGAGATTAAAAGGCAAGAGGGAGGGAATTGTGACTCTCTTTTTCTAGTTTTGAGCAGTTGAAAAAGCAGCTGTTTCCAGCAGTTCCAGCACTACACACCAGTGATAAAAGAATGGAGGCGGCAATAGCGTTGATGGCAGGGGCAACATTAGTAGTGAAGTCTGGGGCAGACGAAGCCACGGGGACTCCGACAGCAGCCTGCGCTTGCAGGCTCCTGGGCTCCAGTTCAGGTAGCTGGGCTTCAATAACAGAAGCCTTAGCTGCATGCACCCTTGGCCTCTGCTCAGTGATTTTGCTTCCCCAGTCTAGAAATGGTTAGTAGTTACTACTCATTGAGTAAGCTTCTCGTCCTCTGGACTTCCCAACATTAACTAATTCCTTCATTTAAATCTCTACTGGTTGAAATGACTAGAGTGGGGTTTTTTTCCTCCTTAATTTGCATAATGAATGATAGGCTCCTCTCTTGGTGAAATCCAGTTAAAATTCCACCATAGTAGAATCTCAGGGCATCTTTCTTTGTTTTGTTTTATTTGAAATATAAAGGAACAAGTTTCCCTCTTATTTCTTTGGGAAGATATCTGCCTTAGAGAAATAAAGCCACTGGCAGTGGATTTGCATAGATTATTCCTTCTCCCTGAGCACAGATATGTAAATATATTCCAAGAAGGGGCTTGGTGACTTTGATCTACTCTATTTAAGATTAATAGCAGCCGGGGCACGGTGACTCACGCCTGTAATCCCAGCACTTTGGGAGGCCGAGGCGGGCGGATCACGAGGTCAGGAGATTGAGACCATCCTTCCTAACACGGTGAAACACCGTCTCTACTAAAAATACAAAAATTTAACCAGGCATGGTGGCATGCGCCTGAAGTCGCAGCTATTCAGGAGCCTGAGACAGGACAATCCCTTGAACCAGGGAGGCGGAGGTTGCAGTGAGCCAAGATCCTGTCATGCCACTGCACTCCAGCCTGGGTGACAGAGTGAGATTCTGTCTCAAAAAAAAAAAAAAAAAAAAAAAGCCCTGGCCGGGCGCATGGCTCACGCCTGTAATCCCAGCACTTTGGGAGGCCGAGGCAGGCGGATCACAAGCTCAGGAGTTCGAGACCAGCCTGGCCATTTGGTGAAACCCTGTCTCTATTAAAAATACAAAAAAATTAGCCAGGCGTGGTGGCGGGCACCTGTAGTGCCAGCTACTTGAGAGGTGGAGGTTGCAGTAAGCTGAGATCGCACCACTGCACTCCAGCCTGGACAACAGAGCTAGACCCGTCTCAAAAAAAAAAAAAAAAAAAGAATAATAGTCCTTTGTGTAGGCAATAGTCCCAGCTACTCTGAAGTCTAAGATGAGAGTATCCCTGGAGCCCAGGTGTTGGAGGCTACAGGGAGCTATGATCACACCGCTGTATTTTAGCCTAGATGACAGAGCAAATAACAGTCCTGATATTTTAGTACTCTTTTTTTGTAAATTTAAAAGAAAAAAATAAATAACAGAATAAGAAATTAGAAAATAATAATTACATGACCAGGACCAAACTTCACATGGAGACTTTCCAAAGTATCTCACAAAATATACGTTTTTCCCAATGAGCAATCTGAGATATGGTGAAGGGTTTGTGAAGGTAAATGAATACCTATCATCCTCAAACACAAGGCTCCTTCTGTGTCTAGGTGTGTTTTGCATTGGTGTGGAAGCACTGTATTTTTGTTTGTTTGTTTGTTTGTTTTTGAGACAGAGTTTTGCTCTTGTCGCCCAGGCTGGAGTTCAGTGGCACGATCTCACTCATTGCAACCTCCGCCTCCTGGGTTCAAGCGATTCTCTTGCCTCAGCCTCCCGAGTAGCTGGGATTACAGGCGTGTACCACCAGACCCAGCTAATTTTTGTATTATGAGTAGAGACGGGGTTTCTCAGTGTTGGTCAGGCTGGTCTCGAATTCCCGACCTCAGGTGATCCACCTGCCTTGGCCTCTCAAAGTGTTGGGATTACAGGCGTGAGTCACCATGCCCGGCCTTCACTGAATGACTATTGATTGAAGACATTAACATTGATTTTATTAATAAAAATAAAAATTAACACCTCCATAGTACTTTCTCTATATGGTTCTATTCTAAAAGGATATTAGCCAGGTGTGGAGGCTCATACCTGTAATCCCAGAGCTTTGGGAGGCCTGAGCTCAAGAGTTCAAGACCAGCCTGGACAACACAGTGAGACCCTGTCCCTATAATTTTTTTTTTTTTAATTTGCCAGGCATGGTGTTGTGTGCCTGCAGTCCCAGTTACTTGAGAGCCTTAGGTGGGAGGATCCCTTAAACCAGGAGTTTGAGGCTGCTGTAAAGTATGATCACACCACTACACTCCAGCCTGGGTGACAGACTCTGTCTCAAAAATAAATAAATAAATATATCAATAAATAAAAGCATTATTAACTCATTTGTGAATTGAAATTATCATCACCAACCGTACCCTATTTTACAGATGAGAAAACTAAGGCACAAAAAAATTATTTAAAACGTATCTGGTGGCTGGGCACAGTGGCTCACGCCTATAATCTCAGCACTTTGGGAGGGTGGCTAATTTTGTATTTTTGGTAGAGACGGGGTTTCTCCATGTTGGTCAGGCTGGTCTTGAACTTCCGACCTCAGATGATCCGCCAGCCTCGGCCCCACAAAGTGCTGGGATTACAGGCATGAGCCACCACGCCCGGCCACACCAAAGGTTTTTTAAAATCAACAAATTATTTGGAAATTATTTGAATAATTTTTTAAAAATTGCACAAAACTTATATGGTAAGCAGTTTTATACATACACATACATATATAACTGTATATGTAATTGAATAAGCAGTTTTATACATATATAATTTAAATAATTTAGAAATGGAGATTATATTTTTCAAATGTTTACATTTATATATTGATATCTAGGTTAATTTACAATATGTATTGTGGGTTAGATACGTTGATTTCATTCCCTACAGGAAATATCAGCAAACCTCATTCAAACAGACTGAAATGGTAAGGGAAGAAATTTACTTTTTTTCACATAACTAAGTAGTCCAGCGTAGGTTCCAGGCATGGTAAGATCAGTGGCTCAGTGATGTCATCAAAATTCTTTCCATGTCTGTTCTGCTTTCCTCTCTGTTAGGGTTTACCCTTAGGCTAGATCCTCCTGTTACTCAATATGGCAACAGCACTTCCTGCTGTTACATCTGTGGTGGTTTACAATATGTCCACAAATTCCTTAATATTCCTCCTTCCCTGCAAAAGTGCAGCCTAATTCCCCTCCTCCTAAATGTGGGCTAGACTTAATGACTTCCTTTAATGAATAAAATGAAGTCGAAATGATGGTGTGTTGTTCCTAAAATTAGGACATAAAATATAATGGTTTCCTCCTGTTCTTTTTGTTGGGATCACTCTGGGGAAAGCCAGCTACTACGACAGGAGGACATTCAAGTAACCCCATGGAGTGGATCACAGGGTAAGTAACTGTGGTCTTCTACTAAGAGCCAGCAATGAACTGAGAACTTATGCCAACAGCCATATAAGCCATCTTGGAAGTATATTCCCTAACCCCAGTCAAGCCTTCAGATGAATGCAGCCCTGGCAAATGTCTGGAATGGAACCTCATGTGAGAATCTGAGCCAGAACTGTCCAGCTCAGCTGCTCCTGAATTCCTGACTCACAGAACCGTGAGATAATAAAATAATTGTCATAAAAACATCCAGAGGGAGAAAGGCACATCCTTTCTCTCTCTCTCTGAGAAACTGCTGAGACTTCCTGGCAAACTTACTAAACCAGTTAGTGATTAGGAACTAATATTACCATGATTCTTATACTGAACCACCCTGTGGAGCTGGAGCTGGAGTCAGTGTCTTCTGAAGCCTAGGACTGTGTAGAAGACACAGCTTCTGATGGGAAGAAATGAGGGTACAGAAACAGATATCGACAGGTGACTAATCAAGCTAATTTAGGTTGTACTGTATAACAAATATCCACCAATTCTCTCAATGGCTTAACACACCAAAAGTTTGTTTCTTCCTCATACTACATGTCTAATGTGCCTTGGCAAGGAGATCTTGGCTCAAAGAGGTTTCAACTCAACACTTGCTTCCTTGATCTCTCAAACAGTGACAAATTGTTTATTAGATCTGAAAGCTTTTTCCTGGAAGTTACACATATCATATTACCTCCTCTTTTACCTTATTGACAGAAGGTCTAATTTCAAAGAGGTCAGGTCATACAATATTACATTGTGACCAGAAACTGAAATTTTTTTTTTTTTTTTGAGACAAGAGTCTCCGTCTGTCGCTCAGGCTGGAGTGTAGTGGCACGATCTCAGCTCACTACAACCTCTGCCTCCAGGGTTCAAGTGACTCCTGCCTCAGCCTCCTGAGTAGCTGGGACTACAGGCGTGCGCCACCACACCCGACTGATTTTTGTAGTTTTTAGTAGAGATGGGGTTTCACCATATTGGCCAGGCTGGTCTCAAACTCCTGACCTCATGATCCCCCCGCCTCAGCCACCCAAAGTGCTGAGATTACAAGCGTGAGCCACTGTGCCCGGTCCGAAAACTGAAATATTTTAACATCACTGATGAGTACCAGCAAGGGAAAATCAGGGTCTGGATCTGGGTGTGGTGGCTCACGCCTGTCATCCCAGCACATTGAGAGGCTGAAGCAGGTGGATAGCTTGAGCCAGGGCAACATGGCGAGACCCTGTCTCTACCCAAAAAATAGAAAAATTACCCAGGCATGGTGGCACATACCTGTAGTCCCAGCTACTGTGGAGGCTGAGGTGGGAAGATTACTTAAGCCTGAGAGGCAACGGCAGTGAGTTGTGATTACACCACTGCACTCCAGCCTGGGCAACAGAGCCAGATCCTGTCTCAAAAAAAAAGAAAAAAAGAAAAGAAAATCAGGGTCTGGAAAACGTGCTTACTAAGGGACTCGAAATTGGGATGTTACAACAGCAACAAACTTTCTCTACTTCAGCCCCTACAAGTCCCCGTATCTTTTAAGGAATCTCTCTTTCTTCTTTGCCCTTTAAGAGTCAAAGTGGTTAAATAGATTGGATGTTAGGGTATGTGGCACAGGGATAAATCCTAACTTAATTGCTGCTAGATCTTAGCCTAGCATGTGTGAACAGGTCTTAGCAGACTACTTGAAAACTTTAGTGAAAACATTAGTACTGACTCATGATCATGTATCTAATAATTACTCTTCTAATATTAGGTCCAGTAATGTGTAGTTTTGCTAAGAAATCTAAAGTTATAAATAACATGTTGAAATTTTAAAGTGCTTTGGATGTTGAAATCTGCATGTCAATAGCTCACCTTTTCTCAGGGTTTTCGTGCTAGTAGCTTAGTTATTATCCTGATAGGATGTTTGGAAGTTTCTGGGTAAGGAAACAGATCTGTTCTTCTGCTGGGCTAGTCCACCTGTTTCAGGTCCTGAAAAGCTACTGACCTAGTGGACTTCAGACTCCTTGCTTTGTCTTAGCGTTTGAGTTCTTTTAATTCTGGCTGGTAGCTGACCTGTTTGTTAATACATCTGGAATGAAAAGTCTGTTTTTCTAGCCAGGCGCGGTGGCTCACGCCTGTAATCCCAGCGCTTTGGGAGGCCGAGGTGGGCGAATCATGAGGTCAGGAGTTTAAGACCAGCCTGGCCAACATGGTGAAACCCCGTCTCTACTAAAAATACAAAAAATTAGCTGGGCATAGTGGTGAGTGCCTGTAATCCCAGCTACTCGGGAGGCTGAGCAGGAGAATCTCTTAAACCTGGGAGACAGAGGTTGCAGTAAGCCGAGATTGGCGCCACTGCACTCCAGCCTGGTGACAGAGTGAGACTCTGTCTAAAAAAAAAGAAAGAAAATTCTGTTTTTCTGACTGCTAGCTCTGGTTTTATTCTAGCTAACTCCATCTCATTTCTCAGCTCTTTCTGAGAAACTCACTGGCTATATCTCACTCCACTCAACCTTACTGTTTTTCATGTCCCTCCTCTTTTCTCCCATATCACATCCTCTTTTTCCTATCCTTATAAAGGATATGCCATGTCACTCTGGAATAGCTGACTTCCTGTGTATCTTCCCAGCCTGTAAGCTCTTTGAAAGTACATTCCACGCTTTATGTGATTTTTAAAACTCACAAGCCCAGCGTAGCCAATAGTACCATATTGCCTGGTTGTTAGGAAGTTTTCAATGAATGTTGAATTAATGTTGAATACAAGAATCAAACTTTGGGGAGGAAGATTATAACAATGTAAGAGTCTTTAGAAATTCACTACAAAGATCCATTAATTTGACTTCCTAAAGCGGGGTAAATTAACTTTATCTACTGAAATGTAAGTGTCTTTCCAGGCAAGGTGGCTCACGCTTGTAATCCCACCACTTTGGGAAACCAAGGCGGGTGGATCGTGAGTTCAGGAGTTCAAGACCAGCCTGACCAATATGGTGAAATCCCATCTCTACTAAGAATACAAAAAAAATTAGCCAGGCGTGGTGGCACATGCCTGTAGTCCCGGCTACTCGGGAGGCTGAGGCAGGAGAATCACTTGAACCCAGGAGGCAGAGGTTGCAGTGAGCCGAGATCATACCACTGCACTCCAGCCTGGTGACAGAGTGAAACTCTGTCAAAAAAAAAAAAAAAGTTTCTGTGGAATGGACAACATATTTGGGCCTTAATTTAATATCCATAGTTCATCCAATTAACTCCTTCCAAGGGTTCTCTGGCAGTGGTTCTTAACTTAGTCCCTGGGGGTGGGGGATGGGCAGGGACTGCATTTCCTGTCACCAAGTGACCTTAGGGCAACAAAATCTCTAGCGTAGACTGGAAAGTGTGCGACCCATGACTTCTCCAGTAATGAGGGACCCTCTCTCCTCCATCACTGCACAAAGGGACTGCTGCAGAGGTGTAGGTCTAGTTCTGGCTTTTCCGATTTTGTCATGGATTGGGCTCCTCGGGGACACCCAGACACAGAGAGCAGGACTTTTATTGCCACGAGGTAGCCGAACTCTTAACCTTTCTGGTTTATATAACTATTAAAAAATGACATTATTTGTAAGTGTGGACACTGATGGAAAATCGTCGGTTATTAGGCATACAGTAACTGCTGTTGTTCCTGGTCTTGCAGGCCTGGACTGACTACCGCGATGTTACCCTCATCTTTAAGGGCTGTCACACCCTAGCTCAGAGAGAGCAAGGGACAACCTTCAATGCGCTGGGTGTAGTCAGGCTGTAGATCATGTGAAAGCCTGGAGGAGTACAGTCACCAGCTGGTTCACTGTCTTCCTTGCAGCCCACTTAGCAGTAGTTTCGGAACTCGCTGGAGGAGGCTTGCGGGGGTGGGGCTGGAATGCCTCCTGCATTCCTCCTCGCCTCTTCCTCCTGGCTGCATTTGCGGGTGCGGGGGAGGGGCGAGCGCAGGGAGCAGAGCGCAGCGGCTGAGTCCAGCCAGCGCTGGTGGCTCCCAAGGCCCCGAGCACGTGGACACCAACCCTCCTCACATTATCTGGTAGGTTTATCACAAAGTCGGCAAAGGCAGGGCCTCCTTCACAAAGCCTTCTAAAAGACGCCCTGGTTCTCAAATTACAGTTTTGCAGAGGTCAAGTTCATTCATGCTTACTAATCTCTCATCTATAAAATGGGGATAAAAGAAAAATTACAGCAAATATTATTCACAAAAAGGAACCTTGCCTAACAATGCAGCGTTCATTTCCTGTGAAGAGTGGAGAGGAACTAAGTAATTGCACTTTGTTGATTTTATTTCAGCCAGATAACAAAGAAAGATCCTATACAACAAATGTTTCCCCTTTGTTCCCCGCCTTGTAAAGAGTCATTTCTCTATGGAGAAAGACTCCCCTTTGTGCATTCCCTAACCCGACAGGCCACGGGGATTATGAAGAGCGAGCTCTCTGGAGCTGTTTTCCTGGTTAGAGACATTGTTCTGGAAAGCAGACTGGGTTGCCATGGTGACGGCTCCCGGGGCCTCGCCCTGCCCCTCTCCACCCCGCCTGCTTGTGCTGCCTCCTGGTACCCCGCCAGGCCCGATTTCAAGTGTTCCTCCCCGCACAGCACGGAAATGGCAGGGAAATTCTAAACTCTTTTTCCCAGAGTGCCTCTGGGGGCGAAAGGCAGAAAAAAAAAAATCCCTTGTCAGACCGTTCTGAATTGTCCTTGAAAAAAACAGGCATTAGATTGAAAGCTTGTTGAAGGCAGGAACCAACCATGTTCTCATCACTGAACCAATTCTTCCCCTCTCGCTATGACCATCTTCCCCCAGCCGGAAGTAGGCTGACACGTAGTAGGATCTGAAAAAGGGTTTATAATCCGTTGCCAGTGAGGTGGCGGGTATAGTATCAGCTTAAATGTATGGATTTTGGAGCCAGAATCTTTACCTGCCACATTATAGATGTGTAACGTTGGTAAAGTACCGAATCATTCCAAACTTCATTTTCCTCATCTCTAAAATGGGGACAATAATTCCTAACTTGGAAATGTACGGTGTGTATGTTATAATTTAAGATAGGAAACACTTGGTACTGCCTGGTTTATAGTGAGTTCTCAGTATTATGGTTATTACTGTTTTTTAAAATTTATTTATTTATTTATTTTTTGAGACAGAGTTTCACTCTGTCGCCCAGGATGGAGTGCAGTGGTGGCATCTCGGCTCACTGCAACCTCTGCCTCCCTGGTTCAAGCAATTCCCCTGCCTCAGCCTCCCGAGTAGCTGCGATTACAGGCGCACACCACGACGCCCAGCTAGTTTTTGTGTGTTTTTTTTTAGTAGAGACGGGGTTTCACCATTTTGGCCAGACTGGTCTCAAACTCCTGACCTCAGGCAGTCTGCCCCCCTCGGCCTCCCAAAGTGCTGGGATTACAGGCGTGAGCCACCACACCCAGCGGTTATTACTGTTATCCTCTCCAGCCTACTGCATCTTCATGTGGGGCAATTCATTGTTCCCTACCAAAAAAGAAACAAATCCTAAAGAAAGAAAAGACCTATCAGAATCCCCAGCAGTCCAGATCTAATAGTTAATGAAATGGACGTAGAAGAGCTTCATGAGTTACTTATTTGTGTAATAAACATTAAATAGAAAATGTCAGCAACATGTTTCGTGTGTTTGATTTTCGCACATTAATAATGTAGAGTGGATTGTGTTCCAATTTTCCATCTATGTATCCATGGTAAAAGGAATAAAATAGCATTTTCACATCTTTCAGCTGATCTTCTTCCTTTTCCCTTCCCCAGTCTCTTAGGAATATTTCTGAAACCTACAGCCCTGCTTATAATTGAGCCTGTGCATGGGAGAGTCGTAAGCTCCATGCCCTGCCCCCCAGCTCGCACCAGGGCTGACTTCAGTCAGAGAAGCCCTGGGTCTGGAGGCATTTAGTGCCTCTGGAAGATTCTAAACATCTTTGGACACTTAGGGGAGAGGGAATTTACACACACACACAGTGTCCCACCAGGCCGACCTGGACTTTGTGTACAACTCCTAGGAATTTTTGGTGGGGAAGGGCTGTACTGGTTCGGGAAGGTTCTGAGCCAAACTTGGCCACAGGCAGTGCACAGCCTCCACAGCTGCAGACCACAGTTCAGTCTACTAGACAGTGTTAGAGGAGCCATTTCAGGGTGGGACTGATCAGATCTTAGGAGGTTCTGGCACTTGGGGGAGGGGAGCGGAGGACAGGATTATCATTCCATTGTTACCTAATACTGCTGTGTCTCTTAGTTGAGAAAGGCATGTACGGCTTGTATGTATTTCTGGACGCAGATGAAAAGAGAATGTTGACAGTATTGGGTATGGGTACTGCCATTTCATGCATAGGGCTGAAGGAGGTCCGATAATGACTTGTACAAGTGCCACTTGTATGTGGGGCGCTCCCACAACGCCTATGTTCAGTGTATTTTGAGGTTGTGCAATACAGCAAAGCTGTTGGAAAGGTGGTGTGAACTGCAGGGTGTGAAGTGCTGTTCCCTCTCCTTCAGACCCTCTCGCACATTCCCCCCCCCACCACCAGGCACACACATGAAACTACAGGAGACACATAATCCTCCCCTCCCCCAACATTGCAGACAGCTTTCTCTGAAAACTGATACCCTGAGGCCCTTTTTCCCTTACCAGCCACAATTAGGAGCAGCAAGACAGAAAATGCGGACTGGATTATGGCACAGAGACAGTGCTGTGTGATTTCTCTTTCTGGAAGAGGCCACTGTCCACGCTCCAGGCCTTATATTTCATCTGACTTTGCCACTACTGGCAGCAGCTTTAGGCTCCAGCGAGTCCAGGCCAAATCCAGTTCTTTCTGCGAAGTCCATGCTGGATTTTCTCTTTCACCCTAGTGAAGTCTCTGCCGAGGCTGTTGTTCTCAATCCAGCTCAGAAACTGGCTCAAACCGCCCTGAACTGGATTTGGTGGCTGTTGAGACACAGTTTCTGCCTCTTTGTTAGGGCGGATCCGGCCTCATTCGCGCTTCAGTTTCCCTCCCTCCTGTTTTCCCAGAGTCATCTACAGCCATTCCCCTCCCCCGGCCTCTCCAGTTTGGCATTTTTTTTTTACCCTTCCCTGGGCCAAGACCCCATAAAGCAGATTAAATTCTTTAATAAAAAAGTGGATTTAGATTGTAAACCTTCTGCTTTTATTACATTAAGTTCTGCTTTCCTCAAAGTTGTTATCTAACCAGTTGACATGGTGCCCTTAAAATCTTGGCTCGCATCCTAACCTAGAAATAACTTTAATTTTCACTCTGGATGGGAATAACTTTAAATTTCCCATCAAAGACTGAAGGGCTTTGGTGCAGTACATTGTTCATTTCCGTTTTGTAACCATATTTAAATTAAAACAATTTATTCATTTCTTTGCTGATAAATGACATAGTATGTGTAGAATTTTTAAAACAGTCACCTATACTGGCTTGTCTATTGCAACTGTGCAATTCCTAGAGGAAGAACTAAAGAACTGGGATGTTTTTGGTTTTCGAACCTGTAATTGTAACCCTGAATCCGATTCTATGAATTGTACAGTGACGAAGGCTGTTGGGGGAACACGTGGGGACCATTCCTGACAGAATACCGGTGGACACAAAACTGGGAATGTGACGAAATAAGGAGGATAGGACACGCCTGGGTTTTTGCAAGTTCCCTTTATAGAAAATTTAAACATTTCTTATGTTTTGGAACTAGATAGAGGTGACGGTTCCATAACACTGTGAATGAGGTAGATGCCACTTAATTGCACACTTTAGAAGGGCTAGTTTTATGTTATGTGGATTTTGCTTCAATAAAAAAGGGGCTTTGTTTTAAGAATTTCTCATTTTCTTTTTGTGTTTTTTGAAAATTCAGAGAAGAGACAGATAATAACCCTAATCTGGGTGTGGCTTCGTTGCGTGCTTCACGACTCTCTGGTCTCCCTCTGCTGGCCAAACTGCGCAACATGTCACCATGTCCCAAGGCCTCTTGAGAATGTCTCAATTTTATGTCGAAGCACAAATGCAAGGCTACGTTACTAAGAATCACTCTCCAAACCTGGTTTCATGTGCATTTTACGTGTGCAATATACTGAAAGAAGAATCAGATGTTTTGTTTCTATGATGTTACATAGGATTAATTATATATTAACGATTTAAAATTTGCCCCTAAGTCTCAAAACAGAGACAAAACCGTTGTCATTTCCCCTGGGCTTAAAACCAGAGTGAAATTGCTCATTTAAGTGTTTAGTTTCAGTAGAGCATAAAGCCCTGGAAAAAAAACAATTACAACAGTAGATATGGAAAAGCTATTTTTGTACACAGGAGGGGAGGGGTTGGCTTTGTCTAGTGAGTCAGTACGCTCAGAAGGATGTGGGTGCCGGTTTGGGCTAAGATAATCTTCAAAATGTATGTTAAAAGGACGTGAATTCATCAGTTGAATTTGTTTTTGTGAGATTTAAGAGTCATCAGTTATTGTGGGAAGGCACACAGTATATGCTACACGGGATTTTCCAAAATGTTCAGTATCAAAGGGGATTCAAGAAGGGTAGAGGTCAAGCCATCCAAACTGGCCCTCTGATTCTTAGAGATGCTTTTATTTTAGGATCTTTGCATTTTTCACTCCACCTTGAAATCTCCACCCTCCCCCCCCACCCCTTATTCCTCTCTCCTTTCACTGTCCTCTGAGTTCCTCCTACCCTCTGGTCAAGCTTTGCCTTCCTCAGAGGCCTTCCTGAATGCTTGGTCCAAAGTAAATTCCTTATACCTTCTTATCATCTTACATGGCAACCTCTTTTTTTCTGTTGTAGCACCACTGTAACTTACAATTATATATATTTGTTTTCTTGTACATTGGCTCTCCCCCTTCACCCGCAACTAGCTTTCTAAGTACCCTTGGGCCGTGTCTGTCTGATCAAAACTGTATAACAAGCATAGGACCTGGCAAAATGTTAGCAAGGAGCAAATATTTGTTGAACAGATTAATTAAATTCAAATATTATTTCTCTGGTCCCAGTCCACTACTTTCTGGCTTCTTCTTTTATACCAGTTAGTTCTTTTACGATTCAGTCTGTTTTCTTACTCTTGTGAACTTTCAGGAACAACTGATTTATTTCAGGGTTCCTCTTTACATAATGAGAGCTACTGAGTAGAATAGAATCTTCACAGCTTCTGGGGGGTACCAGAAAGATGCCCAGAAAGGGGGTACCATGGCCATTACTGGCACCTCAGACAAGGGCAGGCTTCAAACAGGGAGGCCTGTGGCAACCCCTCCCCTATGTCTGAAGCTGAGGGGATGGGGGAGCTAAGAACAAAGGAAAGAAGAGAAAAGTGTCCAGGGAACAGGTGGGGACCATGGTCTTCTTGCCCCATCTTCCTCAGGGGTTGGGGGGTACAGAGTTGGTGGTGGCCCATCCTGCTAGGTCCCACTGCCCCTCAGAAGAGGCCCCAGTCCTTCAGGTTGTTCTTGATGATGACGTCGGTGATGGCATCAAACACGAACTACGTTCTTGGTATCGGTGGCGCATGTGAAGTGTGTGTAGATCTCCTTGGTGTCTTTGTGCTTATTCAGGTCCTCAGACTTACTCTGGTTGTAGCTGGCTGCCTCATCATACTTGTTGGACCCTGTGTACTCAGGGAAGCAGATGGTCAGGGGCTGTGTGTGATCTTCTCCTCCAACAGCTCCTTCTTGTTGAGGAAGTAGATGATGGACGTGTTTGTGAACCACTTGTTGCAGATGCTGTCAAACAGCTTTTATCCCCTAAGAAAAGACACACTAGTCTTATAATTCTTACCGTCTGTGTTTTCTCATCTGTAGTACTTGATTTTACTCTGAGATGGAATTCAACTTGGGTTTTGGTTTCTGAGTCTGGAGTCATGCACATGGTTTTCCCCCTTCCATCTTTATCAAAACTGTCCCTATCACCAGAGGGAAAGGATTTACCAATTCCTCCTTTAAAAGAGTATCCTGGCGGCCAGGCCTGGTGGATCATGCCTGTAATTCCAGCACTTTGGGAGGCCGAGGTGGGTGGATCACCCGAAGGTCAGGAGTTCGAGACCAGCCTGGCCAACATGGAGAAACCCTCATCTCTACTAAAAATACAAAAATTAGCCAGGGGTGGTGACGGGCGCCTGTAATCTCAGCTACTCGGGAGGCTGAGACAGGAGAATTGCTTGAACCCGGGAGGTAGAGGTTGCAGTGAGCTGAGATCATGCCATTGCACTCCAGCCTGGGCAACAAGATTGAAACTTCGTGTCACACACACACACACACACACACACACAACGGGCATGGTGGCTCACGCCTGTAATCCCAGCACTTTGAGAGGCCAAGGTGGGCCGATCATGAGGTCAGGAGATTGAGACCATCCTGGCTAACACAGTGAAACCTCACCTCTACTAAAAATACAAAAACTTAGCTGGGTGTGGTGGCATGCACCTGTAGTCCCAGCTACTAGGAGGCTGACGCAGGAGAATTGCTTGAACCCAAGAGGTGGAGGTTGCGGTGAGCCGAGATCGCGCCACTGCACTCCACACTCCAGCCTGGGTGACAGAGCGAGACTCTGTCCCAAAAAAAAAAAAAAAAAAAAAATGGATCCTAGCTGGGCGAGGTGGCTCACGCCTGTAATCCCAGCACTTTGGGAGGCTGAGGTGGGTGGATCGCTTGAGGTCAGGAGTTTGAGACCAGCCTGGCCAACATGGCAAAACCCCGTCTCTACTAAAAATATAAAAATTAGCTGGGCATGGTGGTGGGTGCCTGTAATCTGAGCTACTAGGGAGGGGATACAGGAGAATCGCTTGAACCCGGCAGGCAGAGGTTGCACTAAGCTGGGATCGTGCCACTGCAGTCCAGCCTGGGTGACAGAGCAAGACTCAGTCTCAAAAAAAAAAAAAAAGATTCTACTCCTGGCCAGGGACTCATCCAAGCAGAAGTCTAATGCCACAGAATTTCAAGTAGGCAATTTGCATCTCTGAAAACCTTCAGATGAGAGAGAGAGAGAGGGGCCACCAATTCACTGGATTTCAGCCCAACACAAGAGTAATGTCTTTGGGGCTTTTTTTTTTTTTGAGACAGGGTCTCACTCTGTCACTGATGCTAGCTAGAGTGCAGTGGCCTGATCCTGGCTCCCTGCAGCCTTGACTTCTGGGCTCAAGTGATCCTCTCACCTCAGCCTCCAGAGTAGCTGGGACTATAGGCATGCACCATCACACTTGGTTATTTTTTTCTATTTTTCTTTTTTTTTTTGAGACAGAGTCTCACTTTGTTGCCCAGGCTGGAGTGCAGTGGTGCAATCTCTGGTCACTGTAACCTCCACCTCCCTGGTTCAAGCGATTCTCCTGCCTCAGACTCCCTAGTAGCTGGGATTACAGGTGCCTACCACCAAGCCTGGCTAATTTTTGTATGTTTAGTAGAGATGGGCTTTCGCCATGTTGACCAGGCTGGTCTTGAACTCCTGACCTCAAATGATCCACCCGCCTGGGCCTCCCAAAGTGCTGGGATTACAGGCATGAGCCACCATGCCTGGCCTATTTATTTTTTTATTTTTTCACAGAGACAGGGTCTCTCTGTGTTGCTCTGGCTGCCCTCAAACTCCTGGCTTCAAGTGACTCCTACCTCTGCCTCCCAGTGAGGTGGGATCACAGGCATGAGCCACTGTGCCCTGCCTGGAGCATTTCTTCACCTAAGCAAATTAGCTGTTCTAAAAGCTGTGCTAGGTGTTGGAGGACATTTGAAGCACAGCTTTATTGTGTATTTATTGCAAGGTTTTGATTGACTCGTTGTGAAACTGGTAGGATTTCCCTAACTGACTACAAAATTCTGTGACTTTCACTTCTTTTTTTTTTTTTTTTTTTTTTTGGGATGGAGTTTCGCTCCTGTTGCCCAGGCTGGAGTGCAATGGCACGATCTCAGCTCACCACAACCTCCGCCTCTGGCGTTCAAGAGATTCTCCTGCCTCAGCCTCCCGAGTAGCTGGGATTACAGGCATGCGTCACCACACCCGGCTAATTTGTGTTTTTAGTAGAGACAGTTTCTCCATGTTGGCCAGGCTAGTCTCGAACTCCTAACCTCAGGTGATCTGCCCACCTCAGCCTCCCAAAGTGCTGGGATTACAGGCGTGAGCCACCACGCCCGGCTGACTTTCACTTCTTTTAACTGGTTCAGGGTAATCAATAGTTGAGAGACCGAATATTGAGGTCAGAAAAACTCAAAGCTCTGAAGCCGTGGTTTCCTCATCTATTTTGTTTTTTCATCTATAAAAATATCTCTATAAAGTTGTAATAATCATTATAAGAGCAATTACATAGCAATACTTTGTGCCAGTTTACTGTTATGATATATATGTATATATAGTATGTATAAACCACATTGTATATATAAACTGTTTTCCTCATAGCCACCCTTTGGAGAAGGTACAATTGTTCCCATTTTATTTTTATTTTTTATAGTTAGGATCTCTGTCTGTTGCTCAGGCTGGAGTATAGTGGTGCAGTCATAGCTCACTGTGGCCTTGAACTCCTGGGCTCAAGTGATCTTCCTGCCTCAGCCTCCAGAGTAGCTCAGACTGCAGGCTTGTACCACTGCTTCTGGCTAATTTTTAGATTTTTAGTAGAGAGGAAGTCTTGCTATGTTGCCTAGGCTGGTTTTGAACTCCTGGACTCAAGTGATCCTCTCGCCTCAGCCTCCCAAAGTGCTGGGATTACAGGCGTGAGCCCCTGTGCCTGGCCCATTGTTCCCATTTTCTGCTGGGGACAAGGAAACACAGAGAAGTTAGGTAACTTGCCCAAGGTCACACAGCTAGTAGAAGGCAGAACACAAACACAAACCCAGGATGCTTGAGTCTCTACTTTAAAAATCCTAGTGCTAATTACCTGGCACAAGATAAGTGTTGTTAAATCTTAGTTTCTTTTTATATCCTCCCTTGAACTTTCACGAAAAATGGTTATTCCTTCTTCAAAGTATCTTAATACAAAATTAACCCCCTGCCTTTTCAGATGAGGAAACGGAACTCCAGAAAGCTTGAACCATGTGTTTTGTGTGGCCAGATAGGACTAGATCCTAGCTCTCCTGCCTAATCTGGGAAGGAATAATGGTTCTCCATATTATTGTGTTCCATCTACTTCCTTCCTTAAGTATGGTTTTGTTCTTGTTATTTTTGTACCATTTTTGAAAAGAAAGGAAAATAATTTCCTTCCTGAATCTCACTCTTATCTCCAAATTGTTTTCTGCAATTAAATAACACTCGCCGTGCTGACAGAGGCATAACTAAATGGAATGTGCTGCTTTTCTACCAGAGTGCACAAAGGGAGTGAGCAAGAGTCTATCACTGCCAAAGTGAGGAGAGGAAGACTAGTTGGCATTCATTTTCTTTCTCTCTTTTCCATCTTCATCCCTTCCCTCCTTGTTTCTGCCTCCAGCTCTCTTTTCCCTTACCTGGATTAGGAGTATGGGACTATTGCTGGTGTCACCCTAATAAAAATTCAAAGATAGGTTAATAAGAGATAGTGCCCAGAGATGGGTAGTAAGCTAGGGTGTCAGTAGCTGCTGCCTGGTCTCTTTTTTTTGAGACAGGGCCTCACTCTGTCACTCAGGCTGGATGGTAGTGGCGCTATTAAGGCTCACTGCAGCCTCAACCTCCTGGGCTCAAGCAATTCTTCTACCTCAGCCTCCCTAGTAGCCGGGACTACAGGCACATTGCCATCATGCCCAGATAATTTTTGATTTTCAGTAGAGATGGGGGGTCTCACTATGTTGCCCAGGCTGATCTAAAACTCTTGGGCTCAAGTGATCCTCCCGCCTCAGCCTCCCAAAGTGTTGAGATTACAGGTGTGAGCCACCATGCCCAGCTTTGCTGCCTAGTCTTTTCTTGTCTCTGAATGAAAACAGAGAAAGCCCCGAATTCCTGTCTTTATTGTGTCATCATCTCAATACATGCCTTTGCATAATTTAGTTAACCTGTACTAGCCATCCATGATTTTCTCAACTTTGTATGAAATACTATCTTTCCTATTATCTGCTCTCAAAGAATTTTGGCTTGGCCATGAAATAGTACAGTGACAATGACAATGTTCAAGAGATCATGGTGTTTTGTTTTATTTTGTTTGGCTTAAATAAAAATTCTCAGAAGTATCACATATATGTCTATAGTTGCAAAAGTGCAACATAGCTTTATAGTCTTTGAATAGCACTATTCTAAAAGGCCTTATGATTTTGGAACCTATAGCTAAATAATATATTTGATCATCCTGAAACATCTATTGCACAAAAATGAAAGGAAAACAGGATTACCACAGTAAAAAAATACCGTTTTCAAAACAGAAGAAACAATGCTTGCTTCAACAGCACATATACTAAAATTGGAATTACACAGAGATGATTAGCATTGTCCCTCTGCGGGGATTACGTGCACGTCATTTGTGAAGCATTCCATATTAAAAAAAAGAAAGGTTTGAGGTGGTCATTAGAATAGAGTTCCTCTCTTTTTTTTTCTTTAGCAGAAACCTTTTGGGAAGGTTTGGGGGCTTTGGGTATTGATTGGCTTAGATGCTGAGTAATCATAGGTCTTTGTTTGCTAGGCTCAGGTTTTTTTTTTTTTTTTGACAGAGTTTCGCTCTTGCTGCCCAGGCTGGAATACAATGGCGTGATCTTGGCTCACTGCAACCTCTGCCTCCCGGGTTCAAGCGATTTTCCTGCCTCAGCCTCCCGAGTAGCTAGGATTACAGGCATGCACTACCATGGCTGGCTAATTTTGTATTTTTAGTAGAGACAGGGTTTCTCCATGTTGGTCAGCCTGGTCTCGAACTCCCAACCTCAGGTGATCCGCCCACCTCGGCCTCCCAAAGTGCTGGGATCACAGGTGTGGGCCACTGCGCCTGGCCAGGCTTAGGGTTTCTAAAGCAATATAACTTACATATAATGTTAGTACTTTTTTGTTTTCTATTCACATTCCCCAAGGTTATAACCAAAACCAGAATTCTTTTTATCTTGTTTCTTAGAACAAACCAGTGCTTGGGCCGTCCACTACTTTGTAGCTTGTTGACCTCTATCATGGCCGTATCCGAGGTGGAGAGGCAGAGTGAGACAGTCCCTTCTTTTCTGGCTACATTCTTTTGACTGGCTCTTTGTAATGAGAACAATTGTCCCCTTTGTCATCCAGGGCATGAATAACAGGAAGTAACTGGGAGTGATCTGTGGATATCAGTATCCTGGCCTCCTTAGCGTTCACTTTATTTTTGGGTATAGAATTTTGACATTCTAATCCTGGAAAGCCAGAACTGATTATTGGCCATCCTGGATTATTAACCTAGGCAAAACTGTGTTTTTCATATTTTCTATTTCTAGACCAGCTAGGTTCAAACAAAGTTTGACTCTTTCTTGCTGGACTTTACCAAAAAGCAAACATTTCAACATAGTGAATATTCTATCAAGTCTCCAAACATCCAGCCTTGTTATTGTTTAATACATGAAGAGTCCTAATATAAAATAGGCAGCAATCTAACCAGGCGTTTTTTACCCAAAACCAGTAATTGATAATCATTCCTAACTGGGGAGTGGGGAAATTCTCACTACTTTATACCTCACCTCAATTAGCCAATTCCACGTTTTAGGGACTGTTATTATTTATTTATTTATTTATTTGAGACGGGAGTCTCGCTCTGTCGCCCAGGCTGGAGTGCAGTGGCGTGATCTCAGCTCACTGCAACCTCCGTCTCCCAGATTCAAGTGATTCTCCTGCCTCAGCCTCCCAAGTAGCTGGGACTACAGGCACGTGCCACCATGCCCGGCTAATTTTTTGTAATTTTAGTAGAAATGGGGTTTCACCATGTTAGCCAGGATAGTCTCAGTCTACTGACCTCGTGATCCGCGCCACCTCAGCCTCCCAAAGTGCTGGGATTACAGGTGTGAGCCACCGTGCCTGGCCTCTTGTTATTATTATTTTTTGTGACGGTGTCTTACTCTGTCACCCAGGCCGGAGTGCAGTACTGCGATCTTAACTCACTGCAGCCTCCACCTCCTGGGTTCAAGCGATTCTTGTGCCTCAGCCTCCTGAGTAGCTGAGACAACAGAGTGCGCCACCACACCTGACTAATTTTTGTATTTTTTTTTTTTTTTGAGACGGAGTCTCGCTCTGTTGCCCAGGCTGGAGAGCAGTGGCACGATCTCAGTTCACTGCAAGCTCCGCCTCCCAGGTTCACGCCATTCTCCTGCCTCAGCCTCCGGAGTAGCCTGCCACCACGCCCAGCTAATTTTTTTTTTTTCTTTTTGGAGACGGAGTCTTGCTCTGTTGCCCAGGCTGGAGTGCAATGGTGTGATCTCGACTCACTGCAACCTCCACCTCCCAGGTTCAAGCCATTCTCCTGCCTCAGTCTCCCAGGTAGCTGGGACTACAGGCATGTGCCACCATGCCCAGCTAATTATTTTGTATTTTTAGTAGAGATGGGGTTTCACCATGCTGGCCAGGCTGGTCTCAAACTCTTGACTTCAAGTAATCTGCCTGCCTCGGCCTCCCAAAGCACTGGGATTACAGATGTGAGCCACTGCACCAGCCGTATTTTTTGTTTTTTAGTAGAGACAGGGTTTTGCCATGTTGGCCAGTCTGGTCTCGAACTCCTGACCTCAGGTGATCCACCTGCCTTGGTCTCCCAAAGTGCTGGGATTACAGGCGTGAGCCACTGCGCCCAGTATGACCTCTTTAAAGGCTCTGTCTCCAAGTGCACTCACATTGGGGGTTAGCGCTTCAACATAGAATTTTGAGGGGGCACAATTTAGTCTGTAATAGCACTATTTTTGGATGCATTTGGATTCAGGACCTAAATGAAATCATTGAGACTCTGTCCAATCCTTATCATGTTAAATAGGCTTCCATGCGCTGGCCTTTCACAACTCTAAATTATATTCTTATTATTTAATAACTCCAACGCAAAGAAAACACCTTTGTCTCAATGATTCTAGCAAAATATTCTGCAGTTGCTCCTCATTGGCCTGGGGAGGAACATGTGCATATCTTTGGAATAATCACTAGATCCAGGGAAATGGGATATGTTGATTGTTCGTTCCTGGGTCTTATGTCCACTCCTGGACCTAGGATGGGGGTGAATTGTTTCATTTGAAACACAGGAACTCAGAATAGGTAAGAGGGTGTTTCTCCAAAGGAAAATCAAGGTGTTGCTATCAAGAGAATGAGGAACAGATGATGGCAGGCGAAATGCAATAAATACTACTTCGTGATGTCTAAATTTTCGTCTAATGCCAATATGCTATGCTTTAATCTTGAGTCACTGAGTATCTTGAATGATACTGGTCCATTGTTTTATAGGACAGTGCTGCCATTGTTTATAAAATTCAGCATTCTTTCCATAATCTCTGGAAGAGTAAAAGAAATATGTTATTAATTTTGAAGTTCAAAGTGTATGGAAGTACATTTCTCTACTAAAAATGTAAAATTGGACCCCCAAGGAACTATGCACCAGCCATCATCTTAAGAAGTGCAAAGTTGCCCGGTGCGGTGGCTCATGCCTGTAATCCCAGCACTTTGAGAGGCTGAGGCGGGCGGATCATGAGGTCAGGAGATGGAGGCCATCCTGGCTAACACAGTGAAACCCCGTCTCTACTAAAAATACAAAAAATTAACGGGCATCGTGGCGGGCACCTGTAGTCCCAGTTACTCGGGAGGCTGAGGCAGGAGAATGGCGTGAACCCGGGAGGCGGAGCTTGCAGTGAGTGGAGATCATGCCACTGCACTCCAGCCTGGGCGACAGAGCGAGACTCCATCTAAAAAAAAAAAAAAAAAAAAAAAAAAAAGAGAAGTGCAATGGTTCTGAGGAGTATAAATTATACAGTCCCACGTCCTGGCAATGGTTTATAAAATGTGGGATGCCCCACTTCCCGTCATTTGGCATGAGCTGTTAGTTTCGTGCAATATTTCCTTTTCCTTAGTTGTGAATTTAATTTCTAATATTGTCATTCATACATGCATGGTCACTACCTTTCTCTTCTATACATGACCAAGGATAAGAGGTTTGTCTCTTGAGTAAAATGGAGCCCACCATGGGATGTACTCCTAATTAAATTTTAAAAAACAAATTAATGTTATTTTGAGGATTATTTGTTCCTATTTTCTTTGTCTATACTAACAAGATGGTTAACTTCTGAACAGAAATGAAATAGGGCATGGCACTTTAAATACTATCTGTGAACAGAAATGATGGACAATGCACTGTTTTTTTTTGTTTGTTTGTTTTTTGGGATGGAGTCTTGCTCTGTCACCCAGGCTGGAGTGCAGTGGCATGATCTTGGCTCACTGCAAGCTCTGCCTCCCGGGTTCACACCATTTTCCTGCCTCAGCCTCCCGAGTAGCTGGGACTGCAGGCGTGTGCCACCACGCCCAGCTAATGTTTTGTATTTTTAGTAGAGACAGAGTTTCACTGTGTTAGTCAGGATGGTGTCGATCTCCTGACCTCGTGATCCTCCTGCCTTGGCCTCCCAAAGTGCTGGGATTACAGGCGTGAGCCACCGTGCCTGGCCGGATAATGCGCTGTTAATATACTGTTTACCTCTGGAAATTAAGACTAGAGGTTAGGCTGGGTGCAGTGACTCATGCCTTTAATCCCAGCACTTAGGGAGGCAGAGGCGGGAGGAGAGCTTGAGCCCAGGAGTTTGAGAGCTGCCTGGGCAATGTAGCAAGACCCCGTTCTCCACAAAAAGGAAAAAAAAAAGACTAGAGGTTAGGGTGCCATGGAAAGTTGGAAGTACTCCTTATTTATTTATTTATTGAGAAAGGTTCTCGCTTTGTCACCCAGGATGGAGTGCAGTGGCATGATTTCGGCTCACCCACCTCAGCCTCCTGTGTATCTGGGACCACAGGCACACACCACCACACCCAGCTAATTTTTTATTTGTAGAGGCGGGGTTTTGCCATGTGGCCCAGGCCAGTCTCCACCTCCTGGGCTCAAGTGATCTGCCTGCCTCAGCCTCCCAAAGTGCTGGGATTACTTACAGGCATGAGCCACTACACCCAGCTGGAGGTATCTTTTACATTATAAAATAAACTTTTCCATTTAAGCATAGTTTATACTGACAAAAGTACATACATTTTAAGTATATAGAGCAATGATTTTATGAATTTTGACAAGGGGAACACATTCTGACCACCCCCAAGTCAGGAAATAGAACATTAACCGAACCCCAAGCTCCCTTTGTGTTCTTGCCAATCACTACTTCCTCTTTCCCAAAAGTAAACAACTATCCTGAGTATTGACAGCATAGGTTAATTTGGCCTGTTTTGGAACTTAATATGAACTTTATTCCTTGGACCTCGCTTTTTCTACTCAACATTGTTTGTGAGAATCATCTATAATGTTGTGTATGCTCACATATTTATTGCTGTATAGTTTTGCATTATAACCACCATTTGTATTTTCATTGTTCCAGTTTTTTGTTTTTACAAAATGCTCCTAGGAACAGTTTTTCATTATTTGACCTTATACACTATACTAAGGTTTTTTTAAAAACCACAAAGATGATTTAATTAAAAGAAAACTATCATTAATGAGGATTACTCCACATCCTTAACAATTCTTAACCCTTTGACTACCCATTCTTCATGTTCTTTTTCAATTCCTCTTTCTCCCACTTCTCAAATGTGTTTACAACTTTAAGATTGAGTCTTAATCTCTGTTGCTTTTTTTCTTTACATTAGTTCCTTCACAGAATTATTGCTGTGAGGGCTTTCATGTTGCTTCTATATAAATGACTTAAATCAGTGTCCCTTCCCCAACCCCACGCTCACACTCATTAGTCAGTCCTTAAGCCCTACATTTCATTTCAGTCACTTTCCTATTTATTACACTAGCTTAGCACTAATCCTATGGCTTTATACCCAGCTTAACTGTAAAAGGCAAATACTTTTTTATATGAGGGTCCCTGTCCATATAAACAATTTGAGTCACTCAAAATCAGCAGTTCAATCTTGTGGGATCCCACAAAATAATACTGCTCTTACTAGTCACCTTTCTAGAAGTAGGCTGACTGCAGCCACAGCATAAGCATGGGTCCAGGATTTCCTCTGGACATCTGGGAAACCCCACTTGGGGGAGAGTAGAAGAGGAACCAAATGACAGGTAGGGTGTTGGAGAGTGCCCTGAAGGGATGCAATGGACATGAGGCCACTGTCACCTTGCCTGGTCTCAGGCAGTGGACAAGACTTGGAACTATTTGAGAAAGGCACTCCAAAGCATGGGGGTCAGAGAGAGGAGGCCCTGAGGCCCAAAGCCTAGGAGAGGATTCTACTGTCTAAAGGCAGTCCGGTCTTCTTATTACCTTCAGGGTAAAGTCCAGTCTTCTGTAACATTTTAATTTCTCCACAATCTGGCATAACTCTCTAACATTTGTAGAGGAAGGACCTTGATTCAATGGTATGCTGGAACTAACTTTCACTGCTTCCAAGAGGCAATCATGGACATTTCTTCCCAAGTCCATGTTTAGTTATGTCACATTGGTAGCTTGAAATTTTCCATGGTGGCTTATTCGCAAATGCTACAAATCATGTTTTTCTGGTTTAAGAGCCAGTTAAACATAGCCATACATCACTGCATAGATTACTGTGGAAGGAATGTCTTCTTACTAGAGTGAGAGACGTATGTTTTACTAAGGCCCCCAAGAAAAGGCTGTTTTCAGAGTGTTTCCTGGTCAGAGAGTTTTTTGGAACTGAAGAATTTGAAGGGAGAGTAAGAAAATTTACCAGAAAAGGATGGAATTCTAGGAAGGTTTTATTTATTTACTTGAGACAGAGTCTTGCCCTGTCACCCAGGCTGGAGTGCAGTGGCGTGATCTCAGCTCACTGCAACTTGGCCTCCTGTGTTCAAGCGATTCTCCTGCCTCAGCCACCCAAGTAGCTGGGACTACAGGCATGAGACACCATGCCGGGCTAATTTTTGTATTTTTAATAGAGATGGGGTTTTACCATGTTGGCCAGGCTGGTCTCGAATGCCTGGGCTCAAGTAATCTGCCTGCTTTGTCCTCCCAAAGTGCTAGAATTACAGGTGTGAGCCACTGTGCCTGACCAAGGAAGATTCCTTTATATAAACTTAATTTAAGGCCTTTGTTATCAGGCAAACATGGAAAAGTTGGACATCTCTGTCATTATTTTTATAAATTTAGATGATTTTAATACCAAAGACTAATAAGGAAGAAACAAAATTAGATCCAAAATTTATATAAAAATATTAGTAAGTATAATCCAAGAGTTAAAAATTGGTATTAATAATAAAGAATACCCAATTAGGGGCTGGGCAAGGTGGTTCACACCTGTAATCCCGGCACTTTGGGAGGTTGAGGTGGGTGGATCACGAGGTCAGGAGATCGAGACCATCCTGGCCAACATGGTGAAACCCCATCTCTACTAAAATACACAAAATTAGCCGGGCGTGGTGGCATGCGCCTGTAATCCCAGCTACTTGGGAGGCTGAGGCAGGGGATTTGCTTGAACCCGGGAGGCAGAGGTTGCAGTGAGCCAAAATCACGCCACTGCACTCCAGCCTGGCGACAGAGCAAGACCCTGTCTTAAAAAAAAAAAAAAAAAAAAAAAAAGATTACCCAATTTAGGACTTATTGTAGGAATTCAAGGATAGTTCAATATCAGGAAAACTCTCAGTATAATTAGTTATATTAGCAAGTTTTTTTTTGTTTGTTTTGTTTTTTTTTTTGAGACGGAGTGTCACACTCTCGCCCAGGCTGGAGTGCAGTGGTGTGATCTTGGCTCACTGCAAGCTCTGCCTCCTGAGTTCACACCATTCTCCTGCCTCAGCCTCTGGAGCAGCTGGGACTACAGGCACCTGCCGTCATGCCCAGCTAATTTTTTGTATTTTTAGTAGAGATGGGGTTTCACCGTGTTAGCCAGGATAGTCTCAATCTCCTGACCTCGTGATCTGCCCGCCTCGGCCTCCTAAAGTGCTGGGATTACAGGCGTGAGCTACTGTGCCTGGCCTATATTATCAAGTTTTAAATAATCTAAGTAGATTTTGAAAAGATAGTTGATAAATTTCAACAGCCATTTCTAATAAAACTCTAAAGTCAATGAAACAATTGATATATTTGACTATATTAAAATTAAAAACTTCTGACTGGAGCAGTGGCTCACTCCTATAATCCTAGCACTTTGGGAGGCCAAGGTGGAAGGATTGCTTGAAGTTTGATACCAGCCTGGGCAACTAAGCAAGACCCCATCTCTACAAAAACAAAACAGAAAAATTTGCTGGGTGTGGTGGCGCATACCTGTAGTCCCAGCTACTTGGGAGGCAGAGGCAAGAGAATTGGTTGAGACCAGGAGACAGAGGCTGCAGTGAGCTATGATCATACAATTGCACTCCAGCCAGTGTGACAGTGAGACCCTGTCTTAAAAAATAAAACAAAATAAAAACTTATTTTCATGAAAAGATACCACATACAAAATGAAAATGTAATCTGTAGACTGAGAGAAAATGTTTGCAATATTTGTATTTTCACAGAATTTTTTTTTTTTTTTTTTTGAGATGGAATCTTGCTCTGCTTCCTAGGCTGGAGTGCAATGGCACCATCTCAGCTCACTGTAACCTCTGCCTCCTGGGTTCAAGCAATTCTCTGCCTCAGCCTCCTGAGTAGCTGGGATTATAGGCACCTGCCACCATGCCTGGCTAATTTTTTTGTATTTTTAGTAGAGATGGGGTTTCACCATCTTAGCCAGGCTGGTCTTGAACTCCTGACCCTGTGACCCTCCTGCCTCAGCCTCCCAAAGTGCTGAGATTACAGGTGTGAGCCACCACACCAGGCCAGAAGTTTTTTTTTTTTTTTTTTTTTTGAGACTGGGTCCTACTCTGTTACCCAGGCTGGAGTGCATTGACATGATCATGGCTTACTGCAGCCTTGACCTCTCAGGTTCAGGTGATCCTCCCACCTCAGCCTCCTGAGTTGCTAGGACCACAGGTGTGCACCACACTCAGCTAATTTTTATTTTTTATTTTTTTATTTATAAAATATATTAATTAAAAAAAAACAGAGATAGGGTCTTGCTATGTTGCCCAGGCTGGTCTTGGTTTCCTGGGCTCAAGCAGTCCTCTCATCTCAGCCTTACAAAGTGCTAGGATTACAAGTGTGAGCCACCGTACCTGGCCTAGTCAGAAGATTTAAATAACTTTTTTTTTTTTTTTTTGAGATGGAGTCTCACTCTGTTGCCCAGGCTGGAGTGCAGTGGCACTATCTCGGCTCACTGAAATCTCTGCCTCCCGGGTTCAAGCGATTCTCCTGCCTCAGCCTCCTGAGTAGCTGATATGACAGGCATGTGCCACCACACCCAGCTAATTTTGTATTTTTAGTAGAGACAGGGTTTCACCATGTTGGCCAGGCTGGTCTCGAACTCCCAACCTCAGGTGATCCGCCTGCCTCGTCCTCCCAACATGCTGGGTTTACAGCCATGAGCCACCATGCCCAGTGCTTTGTTTCTTAAGTTGTGTGGTCGGAAAAAGGTTATTCTTTATTTTTCCTCTCTAGCTTCAAGGTCCTCTTATCTGTTTTGTGTCCCAGGAGGCAGAGGCTGACCTACATGACCTGCACCAATGAGCTTCCTTGCTCTCTGGCTTCCAATTGGGTCCAGCTAGTAGGGATCGTAAGGAGATGGGGAGGGGTAGAAGAGTAAAGCTGGGCTATCATCCTCATGTTTCTCTTTCGTTCAGGGTTTTCTTATTTACTTAAATAGTCTATGTGAACATGGAGAAAATATGGCAGACACAAATCCAGTTCTTGACACGGGTGTGGTAAGAGTTGGGGGTGGGGTAGAGGTGCTGATATGAGTGCAAGGGAAGGAAAGAAGAAAGAGAAAGCCAAACCCAGAAGGAAAAATAAAAGGATGTAAGGGTCAGATCCGGGCATTTTATGAAAGCTCTCTAGTGAATTCTGTTTTTCATCTAGACAGAATCAGCCAATGCAAACTCTTTGAGGCAGAAGGAGGCCAGCATGGCTGGGCTGGGTGACTGAGGGGCAGGATGGTAGGAGTAGAGGTGAGAGGTGGGGTGGGGACACTGTAGGAAACAGGATTTGGCTCTTACTCTGATGTCTGGACTAACAGCGTTTTGCTAATCTCATCCATAAATTCTCTTATCACTTGGGAGGAGATTTGTCAAACTCTCCCCTCCCCTTCACCGCCACCCTTATGGGGTTAGTCTCACTGTGCCTGGGGCTAAGGAGTGGGGCATTTCTAACCCTCGGCATCTGCGCAAAGGGCTGATGGGTAGTTTCCAAGTCAGAACTGGAAGAACAAGTCAAATCTGGGTTGCCAGTCAGGTGGGATAAATAAAGAATGGGAGCCAAGGTAGGGAGTCAAATGCAGGGCTTTAAGGAACCACGCCAGACAGGAGGGAGGGGCAGCGGTGCAGGCCAGCGGGAGGGAGGGATTCAGGAAGTGAGGCGCAGACATGGCAGTTTAATTTATCTTCATCACAAATCTTGAAATCACTGGAGCAGCTACTTGCCCTCTTACAATCTAGACATCAATCTAGAGTTTCAATTTCCTCTTACCAGTCTTCTATTTTTTCATTTGTAAGATATTCCCCTTGATAAAGAAAAGAGAAGTGAAATTGTTAAAATACCAATTTTCTTTGTTTGTCAGCGTCGCCATCTCAGTCCATTCTCTTCCCACAGCCACAGCAATCTTTCTAGTAAGCAAAGCTGATTGTGTCTGGCTCTCTCTCACATTTACAATAAAATCTAAACTTTTCTCTCTTTTTTTCTCTTTTTTTTGGGGGGTGTCAATAAACCTTCCCTAATTTTATCCCCGCCCCCTTTTAGAAAACGTTCCTGGATCATCGCTGCATTTTTGCTATTCCTTTCTGTAACCTTGCCATTCAAAGAGATGCCATTTGCGGTTACAGCAGTTTTTCAACAGTGGCAGTATTTGAGGTCAGATAATTCATTTGTCGTGGTTGGCTGTCTGTGCACTGTGGGACGTTTAGCTGCATCCCTGACCTTTACCCACTAGCTGCCAGTAGCACTCCTCCAGTGGTGACAAGCAAAAATGTTACCAGACATTTCGAAATCTCCCCCGGGAGCGATATTGCCTCTGGTTAACCATTGGGATAGGGTGTGCTGTTTCATGTCTACCCTCCCCTACGCCTGCTCCTCTTTCTGCAGGCAGTGGCCTTCTCCCTGTGGTTATCCTGGCAAACGCAGGCTCATCTCTCAAAATCTCTGCTCCGTGCTCCCTCCCTGGTGAAGCCTTCCCCGTCTGTCAAGGTGGAGTTAGGCAAGTTGGCCCTCCCATTTAGATGGCACCTTGCTATTAGAGTCAGATCGAATTGTAATTCAATGGAGTTGTCTGTTTCCATCTCAGGCTGAGGGTTTAGAAGGTCAGATTGTTTTTTAGTATTTTGTCTCCTGTACCCAGTTAAGTACCTGGGCCAGAATATTGACATCTAGGTGTATCTTTAACAATTTATGTTTCAATGTTGGAAATGATTAAAACAGTTTAGAAATAACATTTAAAGGCAGATTAATTTTTTTTGCCTCATAACTGATATGATGTCTGTGATATCTAGATTTTAATAAGCCACCACATCTCACATATGATATTTTGTATATGATTTGTGAATAGTTGCCTCTAGTTATTAAACTTGTTTTTGTCAGGTCGGGCCACACAGTCCCACGCCTGTAGTCCCAGCACTTTGGGAGGCCGAGGTGGGAGGATCTCCTGAGCTTAGGAGTTTGAGATCAGCCTAGGCAACATGGTGAAACCCCATCCCTACAAAAAAATATAGAAATTAGCCAAGGGTGATGGTGCATGCCTGGAATCTTACCCCAGAGGCTGAGGCAGGAGGATCACTTGAGCCCCAGAGACGGAGGCTGCAGTGAGCCAAGATAGCACCGCTGCACTGCAGCCTGGGTGACAGAGCGAGACCCAGGTCTCAAAAGAAAATAAAAGAAAAAAGAAACAAATAACAAACTAAGACACAAACACACTCATTATCCTAGGCCTCATTAGGCGATAGAAATTTTTCAGCCCCGTTGTAATCTGTTGTATTTTCAGTCCGAATATCTACTGAACTGTCATGTGTCATGTGAGTGTACTCTTGAATAACCACCTGCATAAAGCCACGCTATTATTTGACAATAATTTAGTATTTCTGCATTTTTAGTTATTTAGGACCAACTATACTTTAAAACGTTATTCCATTTGGGAAGCTCATTATCTATCAATAATAATTGTGAAAAATATTTTTAACATTTGATTTTTAAATACCTTACCAATGCTGCCATCTCCTGGATGCTTTTAAGCACTGTAACAATCAAGGAAGCTTACAGTTCTTAATAGTGGTTTCCAAAAATAACATGATATATGCCTATCAAAAGCTTTTATTTTTTGCCCCGTTCTTTTTCTTTTTATTTTTTTGGTTAGTTTGCAGAAGGCCTGTATACATTTTTACTATTTGCTCCATAAAATAGTTGACTATCTACCTACCTTTCTAACCTCCCACCGCTGGAGACAGAATGGTGTAGTAGTACTGTAGTGTAAAGTGATTATGCTACTTTTATTTTGCCTCTCTAGACCAATATCCACCCTTCTCTACTCTGCTTTGTGTCCTAGGAGGCAGAGACTGACCTATATGGAATGCATCAAGAAGCTATCTTGACTTTTAGCTTCAAATTGGGTCTGGGCAATGGGAAGCACTCAAAGGAAATTAAAGAGAAAGAAGAGCGTAGAGCTGGAGAGTTTATCCCCCCCAGCTCCCTTCTTATGAGGTCCCAGGGCTCTGTCCCTTCAATGAAGGTCATATCCCCAACAAGAGCCCTTACCAAAATAGTTCACTCTATGTTAGGGAAATAGTATTTACATCCTTTCTATATCTTTCAGGCCTAAAGATGATAACAGTACCTAAATGTTGTGAAACCCAGAGCACTTTGCTGTCCCCTGGGGTTATCCTACATTCTGTCCATACCTTTTAGATGCTCCTTTTATTAAATAGCTCCTTAAATTACCTAGCTTGAATATATTTCATTTCGTCCCGACCAAAACAATGAGAATAATGATAGCACTTAACTCAGGCTTGTTACAAGTGTTAAGTAAGTTAAAACGTGATTAATGTTTAAACCATGTCTAAGAAAAGAGATAAAAATGAAAGCAATAGGAAAGAAAATGATAGTGATAGGAGACAAAGATGATCCAATACTAGGATAATTGCTATTTGTTTAGTGGTTAGAAGTTCCCCCAAATCAAATATTTCTATTGAAATTGTCTTTAAATAAACAATTCAGAGATAAAAAAGAGAAAAACTTTTGTTTTAACTGTAAAATAAGTTTATTGGTGGTAACCTTATATAATTTTATTCCTGATAATTGATGTTACAAACTTTGGGGTCTTTGAGGTATGCAGTATCCTTGTATGTAACTTGCATAAACCCCATTATTTGAGCTCTCTTAATTGCTTTTGTGATTTCTTTCCGTGTCTTCCCACAAAGACCTGTTACGTGCCTTCCATAAATGCATCCAGTAAATGGAGAAATAAAATGAGACAAAAGCGGTACATTCTTATAATTTACATGCTTTCCACATGATATCTATGTTAAGCGTGTCTATATAAGAGACCACCTGAGCAGGCTTAGTGTCAGCAACAAGGCTGTTTATTCACTTGGGTGCAAGTGGGCTGAGTCCGAGAAAGGAGTCAGTGAAGGGTGGTGGGATTATCACTGGTTCTTATAGGTTTGGGATAGGCGGTGGAGTTAGGAGCAATTTTTTTTTGTGGGCAGGGGATGGATGTTACAAAGTACATTCTTAAGGGTGGGGAGGATGTTACAAAGTACATTCACAAGGGCAGGGAGGAGGTATTGTCACAAGGAGGGGGTGGGGATGTTACAAAGTACATTTACAAGGGCAGGGAGGGTGTATTGTCACAAGGCAGGGAGGAATGTTATAAAGTACATTCACAAGGATGGGGAATATCACAAAGTACATTATCACAAGGACAGGGGAATGTCACGATGGCTTGATCATGGTGTGGCCAGCTCAGAGGACCTTACATTCCTGTCTTTTTATGTTAATAATGAAGAACTAAAACGAGAAAGAGTAGTGAAAACTTGAGGCGAAAATTTTGGGGGTGGTCTGGAGGGGTGATGGGCAACGTTTCTCAGGGCTGCTTCGAGCGGGATTAGGGGTGGTGCGGGAACCTAAAGTGGGAGAGATTAGACTGAAGTAAGATTTTGGGGTAAGGGGTGATATTGTCAGGTTGTTAAAAGCAGCATTTGCCATATAGAGTGATTAGTGATAGCCTGGATGCGGTTTCGTAGGAATTGAGAGATTAACCGGAAGACACGAGGCCCGAATAAGAGAAGGAGGAAGATAGGTATTAGAGGACTAACAATTGGAAGAAGCAGGATACCCAGTTTTTAGAGAGTGGCCAGGTGGGTCCAGGATAATTAGTTGCCTGATTAGCACGTTTTTGAGCTCTGTCTTTGAGTTTTTTGATGTTATCATATACCAGGCCAGATTGATTTAAGTAAAAACAACACTCTTCATTAAGAAATATACAGAGTCCTCCTTTTTCAGCAGTGAGTAAATCGAGGCCTTGGTGGTTCTGGAGGACAGCTGCAGCTAAAGAGTCAACCTGGGCTTGGAGGACAGATAAAGTTTGTGATATATCTGTAATGCTAGCAGAGAAGTCATTAGAGAGGCTGCAGAATGTTGCGGCAGCGGTTGAGATGCCTGCTATTCCAGTTTCAAGTGCAATAGTGGAGGCAGAAAGTCCTAGACCCACAAGTAAAGGGATTAGTGGGATGACTCTTTTTTGTTGTGTTGGTGTCATGAGGGGGACAGGCAGTTGATCGTTCCCATCTGCAAACTGGATTTTGGGGGTAAGGAAGACTAGAGTACATGTGCCTGTCCAGTTGGCAGGTAGGCACATGTAGGTGGAAGAGCCACATAAAAAGAAGAGACCTTGTGTCAGGCAGAACTGGAAATGTAAAGTGAAAAGGTGAGAGGGTGTACTGAAAGAGGAGACCTGTGCCCAGAATCCCAGCAAGGGCAGCAGCCATTAGAGGTTGTAATGGGAATTGATGGTGCAACTGCATGGAGGCAGAGGTTCGGTTCTCATGGTGTATGAGAAAGCACATAGTGTCTACGAGTAACCTTTCACTGTTATTCATGGGGCTGGGTATAAGCAAGCAAGAGGAGGGGCTAGGAGGAGAGTCAGATGAGCAGGGGGAGGGTAGCCAAGGCTGGAGTGAGATGCAGGGTAGGTGTCTTCCTAAACAATAGTGACTGCCAATGTTTTTTAGTTTGTCAGTAATGATAGAGGCTTATCAGTAATGTGAAGTTGGAATGCTCCCATCTGTTTGGTAATGTGTGTGGCTGGGTTCTGGAGATAAAGAGTAAAGGAACATTTGGACGGTGGAAGGTTGTCTAAAGGGATTCCAGTAGGCTGTTGTCAGGAGATGCATAAAGGAATGGCAATAGGGATAGTTGTTTGTGTGGTTAGGGGTCCAAATATGGGGGCAAGGGTGGAATTGACATAAGGAGAAAGGTGCCATAAGTAGATGTTGAGAAGTGTGGCAGCTCGTTGGTGCGAAATGTCTGGGGAGTTCTCACCTAATCTGTCTAGAAAGTAAAGAAGTTCCTCAGATGGGTAAAGATGAGGGCTATTAAAGGAAGGTTGGAGGTGCAGGGAGACAGGAGAGGTAGCCCAGTTGGCCTGTAGAGCGGGGATGGCTGTATAAGAGCAGGAAGAAAGGGAAATGCATAGCCAACAATTCTTTGCTAGAGAAGGATTGGAGGCAGTGAGGAGAGAGTGGGTGAGATTGATAGTATGCTGGAGGTAACTAGGGAGAGGTAGAGAGTGACTGGAGAATGGGGGCAAGGATAAGAGTGAGTAGAAAAGTAAAAAAAGGACTTCATCAGGATAGAATTGGAGTGTACCTTGCCACTGAAGATCTTCTATCCACTCCAAGAGAGAGTTAAGGGTGGTGGTTTGAGGTAAAACCAGGAGATATCAGTTATGATGGTTTGGAGGAAAAGTGTAAACTGGCAGTGTAAACAAGGGCAGGGCATTTGCGAGTAGTTGAGAATGGTGAATAGGAGTATGATTAGACAGAAGATAGTAGGAATGACAAGTTTTTGGGGTGCAGTCCAAGTAGTGGGGGTGATTGCGTAAAGCCCTGTTGTAAAAAGCAGGGTAAGGACCAATAGACCTAATAGAATGAAGGGATGTATTAGGCTCATAAGGGTTATTACTGTTCTTCAGAAATGTGAGTTTAAGGGAAGTAGGGGAGAGTACTTGTGACTTCCAAGAGGAAGAGGAGAGATCAGGCTGGCTGTCCGAGGGACACAGCTTTATTCTGGAATGGTGAACCCAATGGGGAGGGTCCTGCAGGTGGATGGCAATTGGGGTACTATAGATGACTAAGTAGGGTCCGGTCCGTCAAGGTTGTAGAGTTTGAGGGGTCAGATTTGTAACAAGAACTGATCATCCAGCTAGGGTGTCTTCATATAGCTGGGAGTCTGGAGTAGGCAAGAGAAGATTAGCAGCCTGGTGAATTTCCTGTCTAGCCTGCTGGAGGACTGGAAGACAGTCACCTAGAGGGCTGGTGTCTGTCACGAGGTTGGGGCTGAACAAGAAGGTACGTCCATATATTGAATAAGGTGAGAAACAGATGGACGGAAAGAAAGTAAATTATGAAAAAGAGCTTGACTAAAGTAATGGGGGCTGTCTCTGAAGCCTTGCAGCAGTACAGTCCAGGTGGGTTGCTGAGATTGGTGGGTGTCAGGGTCAGCCCATGTGAAAGCAAAAAGAGGTTGGGATGAGGGGTGCAAAGGAATAGTGAAGAAAGCATCTTTGAGGTCAATAATGGAGTAATGAGTTGTGGAGGGAGGTATTGAGGATAGGAGAGTTTATTGGTTTGGCACCACAGGATGGATAGGTAAGACAATTAAGTTAATAAGGCGAAGATCCTGAACCAACCTGTAAGACTCGTCCGGTTTCTGGATGGGTAGGATAGGGGAGTTGTAAGGAGAATCTGTAGGCTTTAAGAGGCCATGTGGTAACAGGCGGGTGATAACAGGCTTTAACCCTTTTAAAGCCTGCTGTGGGATGGGATATTGGCATTGAGTGGGGTAAGGGTGATTAGGTTTTAATGGGATGGTAAAGGGTGCCTGATCGGTCACCAAGGAGGGAGTAGAGGTATCCCATATTTGTGGATTAAGGTAGGGAGACATGAGAGGAGGATGTGAAGGAGGCTTTGAACTGGGGAAAAGGGTGGCAATAAGGTGTGGCTATAGCCCAGGAATAGTCAGGGAAGCAGATAATTTAGTTAAAATGTCTCGACCTAATAAGGGAGCTGGGCAGGTGGGGATAACTAAAAAGGAGTGCATAAAATAATGTCCAAGTTGGCACCAGAGTTGGGAAGTTTTAAGAGGTTTAGAAGCCTGGCCATCAATACCAACAACAGTTATGGAGGCAAGGGAAACAGGCCCTTGAAAAGAAGGTAATGTGGAGTGGATAGCCTCCATATTGATGAAGAAGGGGACGGATTTACCCTCCACTGTACGAGTTACCCAAAGTGTCTGTGATGGTCCAGGAGGCTTCCAAGGTAATCGGCAGTGTCAGTCTTCAGCCGCTGAGCTGAGAAGATCTGGGAAGGAGTCAGTCAGAGAGCCTGGGGCCAGAGTTCCAGGGGCTCTGGGAGTGGCTGCCAGGCGAGTTGGACAGTCTCATTTCCAGTGGGGTCCCGCACAGATGGGACACGGCTTAGGAGGAATCCTGGGCTGCGGGCATTCCTTGGCCCAGTGGCCAGATTTCTGGCACTTGAAGCAAGATCCTGGGGGAGGAGGTCCTGGAGGAACGCCTGGCTGGTGTGGTTTAGGCATTTTGAAGTTCTTGTATGCTGGAGATATGGCTGGGGTTTCTCTCACAGTGGAGGCAAGTAATTGCAACTCAGAAATACATTGCCACTTGGTTGCCTCTTCTCTATTATTGTACACCTTGAAGAGAAGATTAATTAAGTCCTGTTGTGGGGTTTGAGGGCCGGAATCTAATTTTTGGAGCTTTTTGTAACGTCGGGAGTGGACTGGGTAATAAAATGCATTTTGAGAATAAGACAGCCTTCTGGGCCCTGTGGGTCTAGGGTGGTAAAGCGTTTAAAGGTTGTTGCCAAACGGGCCATGAACTGGGCTGGGTTTTTATATTTGATGAAAAAGAGTCTAAACGCTAACTGATTTGGGAGAGGTCAGATGAAGAAAAAGGAGCATTAACCTGGATTATGCCTTCAGATCCAGCCACCTCTCTAAGAGGAAATTGTTGGGCAGGTGGGGGAGGGCTAGTCGTGGAACAAAAGTGTAAGCCAGACTGGGTGTGAGGAGGGGAGGTGATAGAAGGATTATAGGGTGGGGGAGCGGAGGCTGAGGAAGAATTGGGACCTGGCTCAGCCTGGGGAGGAGGGGAGAGGTCAGATGGGTCTGTAGAAAAGGAGGATTCAAAGGACTCAGAGCTTGGGGTGGAGACTGAAGGACCAGACAGGAGAGAAAGAAGAAAGATTTGGGACGAGTTGCATTGGGAGCAGAGACTAGGAAGTGACTGATGTGTAAAGAATGCCTGGATGTCAGGCACCTCAGACCATTTGCCCATTTTATGACAAAAATTATCTAGATCTTGTAGGATGGACAAATCAAAAGTGCCATTCTCTGGCCACTTGGAACTATTGTCGAGTTTGTATTGGGGCCAAGCGGTATTACAGAAGAAAATAAGACGTTTAGGTTTTAGGTCAGATGTTAGTCGAAGGGGTTTTAGGTTTTTAAGAACACAGGCTAAGGGGGAAGAGGGAGGAATGGATGGTAGAAGGTTGCCCATAGTGGAGAAGGTAAGTTTAAAGAGGAAGGTAGAGACACGGAGAAATGGAGGTGGGCAGATACCAGGCTTCCAGTATGCGTCCCTGACTGAGTCCTGGGCTGTAATGTGGGTGAGCAGCCAAAGCAGGTGTCCCTGCAATTGACCTGCCACCAAGGGAGTGTGGGTGAATGATGAAGGCAGGCGTCCCCGCTATGATCAAACACCAAGGGAAGACTGTCTTCCCAAATCTGTGACGGACATTGGAGTTTTTGAGTTCACAGATAAAATGTGTCTCCTTTGTCTCTACTAGAAAGGAAAAGAACTGGAATTGGAAGGATAGGGAGACTGAAGGGTAGCAAGAGAGGCTGGAGAAGAGAGTGAAGAGACCGCTTCCTGATTTGAAATTGGTGAGATGTTCCTTGGGCTGATCTGATGACACCTCCAAAGGAACACAATGATTCTCTAGTAACAGACTTGAAGAAAAGGAAATCAATGAAATGCCTGAAAAGAAATTCAAAATAATGATCTTAAGGTAACTCAGTGAGATACAAAAGAATACAGATAGACAATTTAACAAAATTAGGAGAGAAATTCACGATCTGAATGAGAAATTCAACAAATAAATAGATATCAAAAAAAGAAACCAAACAGAAAATTTGGAGCTGAAGAATTTAACAAATAAAAAATATGGTTGAGAGCTTCAACAATAGAGTAGATCAAGCAGAAGAAAGAATTTCTGAAACTCTTTTGAAAGAATTCAAAAAGACTTTTGAAATAACCCAGTCAGACCACCAAAAATAAAAAGTTAAAAAGAAAAATCTGGGCACATGGGCTCATGCCTGTAATTTTAGTTACTTGAGAGGCTGATGTGGGAGAATTGCTTGAGCCTAGGAATTTGAGACCAGCATGGGCAGCAAAGTCAGACCCCATCTCTGGGGGAAAAAGATTAGCCAGGTGTGGTTGCATGCATCTGCAGTCCCAGCTACTTGCGAGGCTAAGGTGGAAGGATCATTGTGCCCAGGAGTTTGAGGCTGCAGTAAACTATAATCATACACTGCACTCCAGCCTGGGTAGCAGAGACTCTGTCTTTAAAACAAAGAAAAGAATGAAGAAAGCAGCCTAAGGGACTTGTGAGGCATGATTAAGTGAACATATATTTACACTATGGATGTTTAAGGAGAAATGGGAAAAGATATAGAAAAACCCATTTAATGAAATAACAGCTGAAAACTCCCCAAATCTTAGGAGAGATATAGATGTTAAATCCAGGAAGCTCAAAGTTTCCCAAATAGATTCAACCCAAAAAGGTCCCCTTCAAGTCACATTATAGTAAAACTGTCAAAAAGACAAATAATTCTAAAAACAGCAAGACAAAAGTGTTATTGCACACAAGGAAATCCCCATTAGAGAAACAGCAGATTCCTTGGCAGAAAGCTTACAAGCCAGGAGAGAATAGGATGACATATTCAAAGTGGTGAAAGAACAAAACTGCCAGCAAAGAATACTATACCCACCAAAGTTATCCTTCAGAATGAAGGAGAAATAAAGACTTTCCCAGGTGTATTTGGCCGTTCTTGCATTGCTACAAAGAAGTACCTGAGATTGGGTAATTTATAAAAGGAGAGGTTTTATGGGCTAATGGTTCTACAGGCTGTACAGGAAGCATAGTGGCATCTTGCTTCTGGGGAGGCCTCAGGAAGCTTCCAATCATGGCAGAAAGCAAAGAAGGAGCAGGCACATTACAAGGAGAAAGCAGGAGCAAGAGAAGGTGGGGAAGTGCCATATACTTTTAAGGGGCCAGATCTCATGAGAACTTACTGCTGGCTGGGTGTGGTGGCTCATGCCTGTAATCCCAGCACTTTGGGAAGCTGAGGTGGGTGGATCACAAGGTCAGGAGATCGAGACCATCCTGGCTAACACGGTGAAACCCCATCTCTACTAAAAAAATACAAAAAAAAAAATTAGCTGGGTGTGGTGGCAGGCCCCTGTAGTCCCAGCTACTTGGGAGGCTGAGGCAGGAGAATGGCGTGAACCCAGGAGGCGGAGCTTGCAGTGAGCCAAGATCACGCCACTGCACTCCAGCCTGGGCGACTGAGCAAGACATCGTCTCAAAAAAAAAAAAAAAAAAAAAGAGAACTCACTACTGAGGACAACACCAAGGGGATAGTGATAAACTATTCATGATAAATTTGCCTTTATGATCCAGTCACCTTTCACCAGGCCCCACCTCTAACATGGGATTACAAGTCAACATGAGATTTGGGCAGGGACACACATTTAAACTACATCACCAGACAAGCAAAAGCTGAAGGAATTGATTATCACTAGACTAGCCTTATAAGAAATGCTTAAGAAAGTCCTACGTTTGGAGGAAAAGGATGATTACTGCCATCATGAAATCACGTGAAAGTATAAAACTCACAGGTAGAACAGTTATCCAAATGAGAAAGAGAAAGGAATCAAACCTCATCACTACAGAAAACCACCAAATCACAAAGATAAACAATAAGAGAGGAAGAAAGGAAGAAAAGAAATCTAAAACAACCAGAAAACAATTAACAAAATGTCAGGAGTTTTTTTCTTACTTATCAATAATCTTGAACGAAAAACAAAATCTTGAATGTAAACATTAAATCCCCAATTAGAAAGATATAGGCTGGCTGAATAGATAAAAAAATATCAAGACTCAACTATATACTGCTTACAAGAAACTCACTTCACCTACAAAGACACACATAGACTGAAAGTGAAGGGATGAAAAAAGATATTCCATGCAAGCAGAAACCAAAAATAAACAAGAGCAGCTATGCTTGTATCAGACTTAAACAGACTTCAAGTCAAAAGCTATAAAAAGATACAGAGAAGGTAATTATATAATAATAAAGGGATCAATTCAGTGAGAGGATATAACAATTCTAAATAAATATGTACTCAACACTGGAGCACTCAGATATATAAAGCAAATATCATTAGATTTAGGGGGAGAGATAGATATCAATACAATAATAGTTGAGGACTTAAATGCCCCACTGTCAGCATTGGGCAGATTATCTAGACAGATAATCAACAAAGAAACACCGGATTTAAACTGCACCATAGACCAAATGGACCTAACAGACATTTACAGAATATTTTATTTAATAGTTGCAGAATAACTCATTTTTCTCATCAGCACATGGAACATGCCATATGTTAGGCTACGAAGCAAATCTCAACAAATTTTTAAAAATTGAAATCATATCAAGTATCCATGTTGCCCACAATGGAATAAAATTAAAAATCCATCACTAGAGTAACTTTAGGAAGTGTACAAATACATGGAAATGAAATAACATGCTTCTGAATAACCAATGGGACAATAAAGAAATTAAGAAGAAAATTAAAAATTTTTTGAATCAAATGAAAATAGAAACACAAAATACCAAAACCTATGGGAGATATAAAAAACAGAGCACGGTGGCTCATGCCTGTAATCCCAGCACTTTGGGAGGCCAAGGCGGGTGGATCACGAGGTCAGGAGATAGAGACCATCCTGGCTAACACAATGAAACCCTGTCTCTACTAAAAATGCAAAAAATTAGCCAGGTGTGGTGGCGGGCGCCTGTAGTCCCAGCTACTTGGGAGGCTGAGGCAGGAGAATGGCGTGAACTGGGAGGCAGAGCTTGCAGTGAGCAGAGATCGCGCCACTGCACTCCAGCCTGGGCGACAGAGCAAGACTCCGTCTCACAAACAAACAAAACAAAACAAAAACAAAAACAAACAGGAATAAGTCGGAAGTTGATGGCAATAAACAGCTATGTCAAAAAACTAGAAATTTTTTAAATAAACAATCTAATTATGTAGCTTGGGAGACTAGAAAAGCAAGAAGAAGCCTAAGTCAAAATTAGTAGAAGGAAAGAAATTATAAAAATTAGAGCAGAAATAAACATAGTTGGGACTAGAAAAATGCAAAGGATCGATAAATCAAAAAGTTGGTTTTATGAAAAGATAAAAAAATTAGACAAACTTTTAATTAGACTGAGAAAAAATGAGAGAAGACCCTAATAAATAAAATCACAAATAAAAAAGGAGACATTACGACTGATATCACAGAAATACAAAGGATCATTAGAGACTATTGTGAACAACTATACATCAACAAATTGGAAAACCTAGAGGAAGTGAATAAATTCCTGGACACATACAACCTACCAAGGTTGAACCGTAAAGAAATAGAAAACCTGAATAAACCAACGATGAGCAAAAAATTGAATCAGTAATAAAGTCTTCCAACAAAGAAAAGCCCATGACCAGATGGCTTTACTACTGAATCCTACAAAATTTTTAAAGAACTAACACCAATTTCTCTCAAATTACTCAAAAAAATTGATGGGGTGGAAATTCTTCCTAACTCATGAGGCTGGCATTGCCCTAATACCAAAACCCGACAAGGACACAACAACAACAGCAAAAAACTGTAGGCCAATATCCCTGATGAACATAGCTACAAAAATCCTCAACAAAATACTAGCAAACCAAATTCAACAGTACATCGAACAGATTATACCCCATGATCAAGTGAGGTTTATCTCTGGGATTCAAGGATGGGGCAACATACATAAATCAATAAATGTGATATATCATATCAACAGAATGAAGGACAAAAACAATATAATCTCAATATCATTCTGCATCTCAATATCTTTCCGTTTTTGAGAAAATTTAACATCCCTTCAAGATAAAAAAAACTCAACAAATTAGGTATATAAGGAATATACCTCAAGACAATAAACTCCATGTATGACAAACCCGCAGTTAACATCATATTGAACAGGTAAAAGTTGAAAGCATTTCCTCTTAGAACTGGAGCAAGACAAGGATGCCCACTCTCATCACTCTTCTGCGGCATAGTATTGGAAGTTCTAGCCAGAACAATTAGGCAAGAGAAAGAAATAAAGAACATCCAAGTTGGAAAGGAGGAGATCAAATTGTCTGTTTGCAGATGACATGAATGTTTGTGTGTGTGTATATATACATATGCATATATATATACATATGCATATACATATACATATACATATACACGGTAGTAGTCATCTCTCTTTACAAACAAGATATATGACTGGTTGTACTGCTTGAAGTTTTTCCCACTAGCAGAATTTCCCTTAGCTATTGTTTTGAGGGACATTGTATTATACTATAGTACTACAGCAATGAAACTACATTTTACACTAAATGTAAGCATTTAGTGTAAAACCATCTATAAACCCACTCTTAGTTAAGTGGCTGTAAGGAATTTTCCATGAGGCCATGCATGTATATTGAGGGGAGGTAACGAAGCAGGAATAGATGTTCTGGAAATCTGCGGTCCCTGTTTAAGCAACCAGCTTGTGCCCTCAGTACCTTTTGAGACTGATATAATATACATTATTTCCACTTTGTGATGAACTAGCTGCTGTGTCTGTCTAACACACAATTTGTGACGGGTAGCTCAGTTCTCATGATCATTTGAGTTATGATGATCAGGCATTTAATCTTTGCCAGAGCTCAGTAGAACTCCAAGACATGTTTCTCCAAAGAAGACATGTTATCTGCAGAAGAAAGCAAGCCTTACTTCAAAACTTTAAGTGGAGACATTGTGATTCTTCTATTGCCACGTTCTAGTGGTTCTGAATAGCATTCTTTCTGTTGCAAAAGCTGACTCTTATTGAATCTGCTAGGTCATAAGGTCCAGGTGGCAGAACAGCTTTTAAATTTCATCCAGGACCTGCTGTAGAGCTTTCTTTTACTTGTGGATTCACACTGGCAGTATGCTCAAATATCTATTTGTTGGCTATCAGATCAAGAGAGATCCAAATCATGTGTGTCTCTGTTTTCTTCTCACGAAGTGCAGTGTTCAGCAACTTCTCCTTTATTTTAGAGGAGCTATCTCGACATGACCCAGACTACTGAGCGCCTAGAGATGTCACTGAGGTAACAGAGTATTATCTGCCATCCTGGATCACATATGCGTATCACTTTGACAAATCGGATACTTGCTATTTTCTGCTCATCAGTTCTACTCAGCATGTTGTGATCTGTGAGGTGGGTTGGCATGATGTTCTGTGGCATTTCAAGACAATCAGCGTCTCTGTGAATTCGATCAGAGGTTGATATTTTCTGTAAAGGACCATGTGCTGAATATTTTAGGCTTGTGAGCTGTGTAGCCTGTGTTACAACTATTCAACCCTGTAGTGTGAAAACAGCCATAGATAAATAATATGTGAGCAAATGAGTATGGCTGTGTTCTACCAACACTTCATTTATTATTTTATTATTTATTTATTTTTAAATATCTTTTATTACACTAGTCAGAGAAATTAGAATTTCATTTAATTCTTATTTATCTTTAGATAAATTCATCATTTAATTTTTGTCAACCGTTTAAAAATATGAAGACGATTCTTAGCTTACGGACTATACAAAAATGTATCAGGATGAATTTGGTCTGTGGGTTGCAATTTTCTTATACTTGGGTTAGATTATGGCAGAAAACAAGAAAATTGACATTGACACCTAAGGAAAGACCATGAAAGTATACTGCTGACTCTACCAGGTGAAGGCAAACTGTTCCTGTGATCCTTACACATTGTTATTACAGAAATAAACATATAACACTGCAGAATAGACGCCACAGGCTGTATTGATTCACTCCACTAAAGAAACCATATCTGAAACAGTAGCTGCAACTGAACTCACCACCTAATTTATTTTATGATAATCTATAGTCAGTCTCCATGATACCTCTGCCTTCTGACATGTCATATAAGCAAGTTAAATGGTAATGTAATAGGAATCACTACCTTAGAATCTCAAGTTTTTGATAGTAACACTAATCTCTGCTATTCCTCCAAAGAATTTTAAAGTATAATAAAATACAATTAGTTAGAAATAATTATGTAGAGTATAATGGTGATTTACATATATATGTTTTTATGCATATATATATAACTAACGTATATATTACACTATTAAAATGGTTTTTATTGGCCAGGAGTGGTGGCTCACACTTGTAATCCCAGCTCTTAGGGAGGCAGAGGCAGGAGGATAGCTTGAGCTCAAGAGTTCGAGACCTGCCTGGGCAATATAGTGAGATCCTGTTCTAAAAAAAAAAAAAGTTTTTATTTGGTCATGGAATTATGTTTAATATTTTTTACTTTTGTACTTTTAAATATTTCATTTCTTGCAATGAACATATATTCCTTTACAGTCATAAAAAAAATCTAGTTTGGGCGGGGCGCCATGGCTCACGCCTGTAATCCCAGCACTTTGGGAGGCGGGTGGATCACCTGAGGTCGGGAGTTCGAGACCAGCCTGACCAACATGGAGAAACCTCGACTCTGCTAAAAATACAAAATTAGCTGGGTGTGGTGGTGCATGCCTGTAATCCTAGCTACTCAGGAGGCTGAGGCAGGAGAATCACTTGAACCTGGGAGGCAGAGGTTACGGTGAGCCGAGATCACGCCATTGCACTCCTGCCTGGGCAACAAGAGCAAAACTTCGCCTCAAAAAAAAAAAAAATCTAGTTTGTTTTTTATGTGAATCACTTTTATTTTTAAACTTTTTGTAGAAGCCAGCTGTGGTGGCTCAAGCCTGTAATCCCAGCACTTTGGGAGGCCGAGGTCGGTGGGTCGCTTGATCTCAGGAGTTTGAGATCATCCTGGGCAACATGGTGAAACCCCATCTCTACAAAAAATCCAAAAATTAGCCAGAAATGGTGGCTCGTGCCTGTAATCCCAGCTACTTGGGGGGCTGAGGCGGCAGGATTGCTTGAGCCCAGGAGGCGGAGGTTGCAGTGAGTTGAGACTGTACCACTGCACTCCAGCCTGGGCAGGCAGAGTGGAAACCCTGTCTCAAAAAACAAAACAAAACCCAACTTTTTGTAGATATGAGGTCTATGTTGCCCAGACTTGTCTCAAACTCCTGGTCTCAAGTGATTCTCCTGCCTCAGCCTCCCAAAGTGCTGGGATTATAGAAGTGAGCCACTGTCTCTGGCCTGAATCACTGTTAAAGTCAGAAAACTAAATTTAACTAGATGAGGGTCTATAAATGTAATCCTGAGAATAGTTGTACCAAAACTAACCTCAGCAGATTTAAATGTTTGAATCAAAAGTCACTACACCAATTTCACAACAATTTCAAATAGCTCATTATTCTTATTTTATTCTTTAATTAAATATTTGAATTAACACACATTTGGTCTTTATCATTTTACATATATTTTCAAACAGAATCCTCAAAGCTTTAACTTTTAAGTGAAAGAAAATTAATTAATGGTACATGATTTTTATAAATGCTTCCCATACTAGTGTTAATAGTGTATGAAATACATAACATTAAACTAACTAGACAATTCAGTACTGTTGCGTTTAACCACTGTGTTATTAAGATAGAGGAAGGGCTGGGCGTGGTGGCTCACGCCTGTAATCCCAGCACTTTGGGAGGCCGAGGCGAGTGTATCATGAGGTCAGGAGATTGAGACTATCCTGGCTAACACGGTGAAACCCCGTCTCTACTAAAAATAAAAAAAAATTAGCCAGACGTGGTGGCGGGCACCTATAGTCCCAGCTAGTAGGGAGGCTGAGGCAGGAGAATGGCGTGAACCTGGGAGGCGGAGCTTGCAGTGAGCCGAGATCACGCCACTGCACTCCAGCTTGGGCGACAGAGCGACTCTGTCTCAAAAAAACAAAAAAACAAAAATATTTTGTGAAGACATACCAAGTATGGTGTCCAGACCCTACTTCAGTGAAGGAATTGTTTTCCCAACTACTGGGAGTGCTACGAGGGGAAAGCCTTCAGCTAGCAGTGTCTTCAGGGACTGCATCAGCTTCCTGTGTGACTAAGGTGGGGCACCCTTACCAGGACAGCCTACATCCAGTGATCAAGGTGGAGGTATAAAGGCCTGGCTGTTTTAGTCCACTGTGGGACAACTCTGCCAATTCAGCTTCCTTTTAAGAAAATTAAGCTAGGGTCAGGCGTGGTGGCTCACGCCTGTAATCCCAGCACTTTGGGAGGCCAAGGCGAGTGGATCACGAGGTCAGGAGATCGAGACCACACTAGCTAACACGTTTAAACCCCATCTCTACTAAAAATACAAAAAATTAGCTGGACATGGTGGCGGGCACCTGTAATCCCAGCTACTCGGGAGGCTGAGGCAGGAGAATGGCATGAACCTGGAAGGCGGAGCTTGCAGTGAGCTGAGATTGCGCCACTGCACTCCAGCCTGGGAGGCAGGGATACTGTCTCAAAAAAAAAAAAAAAAAAAAAGAAAATTCATCTGGGATTTTTTTTTCTTTTCTTTCTTGAGACAGAGTCTCGCTCTGTTGCCCAGGCTGAAGTGCAGCGGCGCAATCTTGGCTCACTTCAACCTTGGCCTCCTGGGTTCAAGCGATTCTGCTGCCTCAGCCTCCTGAGTAGCTGGGATTACAGGGGCCTGCCACTGTGCCCAGCTAATTTTTTTGTATTTTTAGTAGAGATGGGGTTTCACCATGTTGGCCAGGCTGGTCTTGAACTCCTGACCTCAAGTGATCTGCCCACCTCGGCCTTCCAAAGTGCTGGGATTACAGGCGTGAACCACCACGCCCTGCCCTTTTTTCTTTTTTCTTTTCTTTTATTTTTTTTGACGGAGTCTTGCTCTGTCACCCAGGCAGGAGTGCAGTAGTGCAATCTCGGCTGGCTGAAAGCTCCGCCTCCCGGGTTCATGCCATTCTCCTGCCTCAGCCTTCCGAGTAGCTGGGACTACAGACGCCCGCCACCACGCCCAGCTAACTTTTTGTATTTTTAGCAGAGACGGGGTTTCACCATGTTAGCCAGGATGGTCTTGATCTCCTGACCTTGTGATTGCCTGCCTTGGCCTCCCAAAGTGCTTGAGATTATAGCCTTCTGTTTTTTTTTGTTTTTTTTTTTTTTTTTTTTTTTGAGCCAAGATATGGCTGTGTTGCCCAGGCTGGAATGCAGTGGAATGAACCCGGCTCACTGCAACCTCCTGGGCTCAAGTGATCCTCCCACCTCAGCCTCCTGAGTAGCTAGGACTACAGGCACCTACCACCACTCCCAGCTATTTTTTTTTTTTTTGTATTTTTTGTAGAGATGGGGTTTTGCCATGTTGCCCACACTGGTCTTGAACTCCTTGTCTCAATCGATCTGCCTTCCTTGGTGTGAGTCACTGTACCAGGCTGGGATTCTTTTTTTTTTTTTATGGCAGCAAGATTTAGTAAAGCGAAAGGGAAAGTAAAGGGAACGCAAAAGTAAAGCTTCCATGTGGTGGAAGGGGACCCAGAAGGATTGTGTTTTTTGGCTTGGGTGTCTTATGCTTATATCCCCTTATGACTCCTCCCCTTTTCTTTTTCTGTCCTATAGGATTGGCTAATTTTCTATCCACTTGTGGGTTGGCAGACCTGATTGGTTAAAAACATCAGGCTGCAGCTAGAGCTTGAACTCCCTATATGATTGGTTGAAGTTTCAATCCCTTAGTTTGTAGCTGTGACTCATTTTGGCTTAGGGGAAAGTCCCCTTTGATTGGTTGAAGTTTCAATCCCTTTAGCTTGCAGCTATGACTAATTTTGGCTTAGGGGAAAATCCCCTTTGATTGGTTGAAGTTTTAATCTCTTAGCTTGCAGCTATGACTCATTTTGGCTTAGGGGAAAGTCACTTTAGGGAAGTCCCTATTGACCCAGGAAGTCCAGCCAATTTAGCCACTTAGTCCCTCAGTCCCCCCTTTCAACAGGAAAGCCCAAGTGCTGTTGGGAAGTTGGATGACGATTGTTCTAGCTACTTCCTGCTGAACTGGGGGGTAGAAGGGGCACTGCAGTTGAGGTTTCCTCAGGAGGGGAGTCTTTGGTGTCGTGGTGTGAGAACAGGTTGGTGGGTGGGTCTAGGGGTGCTTGATAGTAGGTGCTAGTGGTGGTCACTTGGGGCTCCATTTGTAGAACCATTTGCAGCTTCATGGATTCTATTCTGGAAGAGGCAAATTTTACAAGGAGGTTAAAAATGCAGGGTCCAAAGATAAGCAACATCACAATAGCCACCAAGGGCCCCAAGAAGGGGAGAAGCCAGGGCATCCATTGATTGACAATATTCCAAGGTCCTGTGTCTTGGAGCTCTTGTGCCCAGCACTGTATCCCATCTCAAAACTCCTTAACCTTCTTGGTGACAATTCTGGATTGATTAACGAAATAGCAGCACTCTTCTAGAAAAAGAGGTTCCACCTCTTTCAGCTGTTAATAAATCTAAGGCTGTCCGATTTTGAAGGGCTACTGTTGCTAAAGAATTAAGCTGGCTTTGTAAGGTGACCAGCGAATCTGCGATTCATGCCATGTCATCATTTAACTCTTGTGATAATTTGTAATAGAATTGGATGGAGGTTGTAATGCCTCCAATGCCGGTTCCTAGTCCTCCTCGTATCCCAGCTCCTATAATGAATGGTAGGACAGTCCAGGTCAGCTGAGACCCTGGGTTTGACGGATCTTTAAAGGCAAATAAAAATTGAGAGTCAGGATGCAGAGGGATGCAGAAGAAAGTGTCCTTAAGATCTAGGACTGTAAACCATTCTGCTTCCTCTGGTTTCTAGGAGAGTAGAGTATAAGGATTAGGTACAACTGGATACAGAGGAACAACTGCCTCATTGATAATTCTGAGGTCTTGCACTAACCTCCATTGTCCGTTGGGGTTTTGTATGCCTAGAATACGAGTGTTGCATGGACTGTTGCATGGTTTTACTAATCCCTGTGCTTTTAGGTCTTTGACGATCTTTTGTAATCCTTGTTGGGCTTCTGGTCTGAGGGGGTACTGCCTTTGATAAGGAAAGGAGGTAGGATCCTTTAATTTAACTTGAACTGGACAAGCATTTTTTGCTCATCTGTATTGTCCTTCCTCTGCCCAGACATCAGGATTAACTCCCTCCACGAGTAGAGGGCAGCAAACAGGTATTTCTTCTTCTATATTCAAGTTTATTATGGCCCCTCCTTTAGCTAATATGTCCCTCCCTAGTAAAGGAGTAGAGCTCTCAGGCATGATAAGAAAGGCATGTGAGAAAAATAAGGCTCCTCAGTCACAATTTAGAAGGTGGGAGAAATACCTAGTGACTGGCTGTCCTAGGACCCCTTTGATGGTGACAGACCTGGAGGATAGTTGTCCGGGACAGAAGACTAAAACTGAGAAGGCTGTGCCAGTGTCCAGGAGGAAGTTAGTTTCCTGGCCCTTAATGGTTAAGCTTACCTGGGGCTCTGTGAGGGTGATGGCACGGGCTGGCGCCTGCCATGGGTACCCTCAGTCCTGTTGTTGGACCATCAGGTTAGTGGCCTCTGGCCCAGAGGACCTTCACCCTCAGAGGTAGTGTGCCTTCCAGTGATCCCCCTGGCACAAGGGACATGGACAAGGGGGTGGCTTATTTTTGTTTGGGCAGTCCTTTTTGAAGTGCCCCTGTAAGCCGCACTGATAACAAGCCCTGTTAGGCTGGTTGCCTGCCCAGCCCTTCTTTCTTTCAGAGCCACCGAAGTTCGTCTGCCTGAGGGCCATAACTAAGGCGGGGCCATGAGTAAGGTGGCGGCCTTTTTCTTGTCTCCTCTGTCTCATTCAGCCTGCTCCTCCTGATCCCTATTATAAAACACTGAAGTTGCCAAATTCAATAGAGTTTCCAAATTTTTCTTGGGGCCTGGGGCAGACTTTTGAAGGTTTTTTCTAATGTCTGCAGCTGACTGAGTGATAAACTTATCCTTTAAAATTAGTTGGCCTTCAATAGAGTCAGGTGACAAGGAGGTATGCTTTCTTAATGCCTCTCTTAGTCTCTCTAAAAATGCTGTAGGGTTTTCTTCCTTTCCCTTCATTGTGGTTGACATCATTATGTAATTCATTGGCTTTTTTCTGGTCTTTCTTAATCCCTCTAGTATACAAGTCAGTAAATGGCTGTGCTCCAAACTGAGGTCCCAGTGGGGATCCACACTGGGAACCGCCTGTTGGCCTGTAGGGAATTGTTCCCTTTCTTCTGATCTCATTTTATCATTTACCTGGCTTAGGTACCAGAGATCCCCAAACTCCCGGGATGCAGCTAAGGTGGCCTCTTCTTTGTTGGGAGTTAATGCTTGACCTAACAACAACAACATATTTCTCCATGCTAAATCAAAAGATTGTCCTAATCCCTGTAAGATATCTATGCGTCAATCAGGATTATCTGAGAATTTTCCTAGGTCCAGTTTGATCTGTTTTAAGTCTGAGAGGGAAAAGGGGACATGTACTTGCACTGGGCCAAAGTCTCCTTCTCCTCCCACGACTTGGAGGGGGCACAATTGAGGGCCATTGGCGCCTTTTGGTTCCTTGACTTTTTGTCTGGTTCCTTTTGGGCCATAAGGGCCACAGGAGAGTCCTTACTAGTTGGAGGGGGAGCTATGGGGAGACCTGAGTATGGGGGTAGGCTTTGAGGACCCCCAGTAGGATGTAAATTACATTTTTTTTTACATAATTGTGGGTTATCCCTTAGTGAGAAAAAAAACCTATACATATGGCACTTCACTCCATTTGCCCTCTCATTTACAAAAGAGATCTAGCTGTAGGATGGTATTATAGTTTATACTTCCCTGGGTGGCCGTGTCTCTCCTCTGGGAAGAGGATATTGTGGCCAGGTGGTGCTGCAGAAAAATATAAGTCGCTTCTTCTTCAGTGTTTGAGGGTCAAATTGGTCCTAATTATCCAGAATACACCTCAGGGGTGGCTTTGCTTTTGAGGGAATGTCTTCCATCTGAAAGGAGAACATAGGAGTGCCTGCACCCCTAGTCATCCCCTAGTGAGCACTAGCCCTAGTGTGTCCCCTATGGTTCTAGTGTCCTTTTCTTTCCAGGTTTCCAGGGTGCACAGTCACCCATGGAACCATGCTTATTGGATTTAATTGCACTTACTGATGTAGCAGTTTTGCCCACACCGTTTCCCACCCTTTTTTAGCCACAAAAAATGGGGCTGGGGCTGCTGGATTTTAGTGGCTCCTTACCAGCATGCACACAATTGCCTTTGCATCTGCAAGTGGGTCTTAGGTTCAGGGTGTATTTTGAGTTCAGAGACCAGGCACCAGTTAGCATATTTCTGGGCTTGGAGCTGTCCCAGCAAGATAAATTCCTTGAAAATAGCACTGAAGCACAACAGTTTTAGGGTAGGTAGTGGCAAATTGGAGGACCAGTGCTTTTCATACCTGAATTTTCTGTCCCCTGTTTGCCTTCATAAGAATATTCATTGACATTTGGACTTGGATTGGGGACCTATTGTCTATTATATTGTTTTTGGCCCATACATCTGACTGCTTCGAGTGGAGAAGTTCTACAGTTCTAATTGCTGATCCCAGACAGGAAAGGTGGTAATTAAAGTAGCCTCTACAATCTGGAGAAAGTTTAGGGCAACAAAGGGAAAAATGTCCTAGGCCTTCTATCAGCCACTGACATGCCTTTTGATGTCCCAGATAGTGCCTAGGGTACAGGTTATGAGGGACAGGTCCTGTATAAGTATACTGATACTCATTTGCATAAGAATAAGCCTGAGGACACCATGGGCAAGGGTCTTTGGATTGCCAGCCCCCTCGACTTAGGCTCCTAGCCAAAAGATTCTTAGACTCAGGGGTAGGAAAGATCCTAGAGGACAGGGCCTCAAGAAAGTCTTCTCTGAGGATGTTAGGACCCAGGAGGCATAGGTCAGAAAAGGCAGGGAACTCATGCATGGGCAGTTGTGGAGTAGAGGCTTCTCACTGTGCCATGATCTCCACTGGGTCAGTGCCAGGAGTTTGGGAAGACAGTTTTCCACCTCTAGCCAGCCCTCGGCTTTTCCCAGGAAAGGTAGAGAAAGGTGGAACTGGTTCCAGTTAAACCAACGCTCCCAGCTTGGAGGGCCGTGGGTTGCTAGAGAGCCCTTTCCCAGAAAGCCTCACACCCATGTCTTAAGTCTGGGCTGTGCTTGTCACTTTTAAATGGCTGACAGGTGCTGGGTGTTTTCCTCCAATTTCTAGTGAGAAGATAGAATAGCAACTGAAAGGGGTCCGAGGTTACTCACCGCTTTGGAGAAATCCCGGACCAGACCCCAGAAATGAGATGAGAAGTCTTCTCCTTATCGAAGGTTTTTCTCGATTGAAGGGTTCGTGGTCTCACAGGCTTCAAGAAATGAAGCTGTGGACTGCAGTGATGAGTGTTACAGCTCGATTAGAGAAACACACAGACCCAAAGAGTGTGCAGTGGCAAGATTTATTAAAGTGAAAGTGAAAGTAAGGCTTCCACGTGGTGGAAGGGGACCCAGAAGGGTTGCCCAGGATTCTTTAACTTAATTATTCTGTCTCTCTCTCTTTTTAAATTGAGGTATGTTCATTAATGAATTATGAGTAATTATCACTAACCCACAAAGTATTTTGGACCCATGACCTCATTCAAATAAATTGAGTGAATCATTTCCTTTAGGAAACCCCAATTAGAAAACTATTTTTCATTTTCTTCTGTCCTTTCTCTATGTTATATCAAACTTTATTTTATTTATTTATTTTCTCAGATAGGGTCTCGCTTTTTCATCCAGTTTGGAGTGCAGTGGTGCGATCCTAGCTCACTGCGGCGTCGAACTCCTGGGTTCAAGTGATCCTCCTGCCTCAAGTAGCTAGGACTACAGGCCTATGCCACCACACCTAGCTAATTTTCAAGTTTTGTATATCATAAAAGTTTATGGGTGGGGCGTGGTGGCTCATGCTTGTAATCCCAGCACTTTGGGAGGCCGAGGTGGGTGGATCACTTGAGGTAGGGAGTTCCAGACCAGCCTGGCCAACATGGTGAAATCCCATCTCTACAAAAATATAAAAATTAGCTGGGCATGATGGTGGGTGCTTGTAATCCCAGATACTCAGAAGGCTGAGGCAGAAGAATTGCTTGAACCTGGGAGGTGGAGGTTGTAGTGAGCCGAGATCGTGTCACTGCACTCCAGCCTGGGCGATAGAGCAAGACTCCATCTCAAAAAAAAAAAAAAAAAAAAAAAAAAAAGAAAAAAAAGTTTATGGGTGAGGAAGCTGGGCATTTGATCCTTCTATTATTTATTTTATTTTATGTTTTTTTTTAATTTTACGTTATTTATTGTCTGTGTTTCCAACAAGACTAAGTTCCTTGAGAGTGGAAAGCTTGTTCTCATAGCTTGTTTCATAGTAGGCAGGCAGTAAATACTGTATAATTTAATCTGCAAAAACCCAGCAAAGCATGTGAATGTGTGTGTGTATATAATTTTATTATTATTATTTTTCAATATATCCGAAAACTAAAGCTCATTTAAAGCCAAAGTCATTTAGCTTATAAGTGCAGAGTACCTTACAATTTTACAAAGGCATGCTTCTTTTTAAGAGTATTTCAAATATACCTTCCTTTTCTCTTTTGTATTATCCATGCATAATATTCTTAATGTCCAAGAACAATATTCTTTTTCTGTTTTTTGAGACAGAGTCTCGCTCTGTCACCCAGGGTGGAGCGCAGTGGCAAGGTCTTGGCTCACTGCAAACTCCACCTCCTGGGTTCACGCCATTCTTCTGCCTCAGCCTCCAGAGTAGCTGGGACTACAGGTGCCCGCCACCACGCCTGTCTGGTTTTTTGCATTTTTAGTAGAGACGGGGTTTCACCGTGTTAGCTAGGATGGTCTTGATCTCCTGACCTCGTGATCCACCTGCCTCAGTCTCCCAAAGTGCTGGGATTACAGGCATGAGCCACCGCGCCCAGCCACGAACAATATTCTTACTGTTCTTTACCCAATGCCTCATTTTCTTCTCAGTTATTCTCATCTCAAAAGACTCTAATATTTAAAAAAAATTCACTTATGCCTTCTGACTTGTAAATAACAAAGAACTGCTAATGACCCCGAAATATAATTGTCCAACCTATGGACTATGGCCCTGGAAATGTAAACTGATCCCAAATTGACATTTAATTAAATTTATCAAACATTTGAACCATACTAGATAGTTTATGCTACTAATGTGATTTGTGGTGGGGGTCTTGGGCCATGCTGAATCAGTTTGACCCCCAGAGGGGCTGGAGACTGAGTAAGGTCAGCCACATGGGTGCTCTCTTCCTACATGGCCAATCCCTAATTAAAACTCTAGACAGCAAGACTCAGGTGACCTTCTCCAGTTGGCAAGACTCCATCCATGTTGTCACACATTGTTGCTGAGAGAATTAAGTGCTGTCTCTATGACTTTACAGAGAGAGGAAAACTAGAAATGTGTTCCTGGTCTCTCCTGGACTCTATCCTTTGTGTCTTATTTTGCTGGGTTAAATCTTTATCCTTTCATCATAACAAACGGTATGAGTTTAACAGCTTTTCTGAGTTTGGTGGTCCTTCTAGTGAATTGTCAAACCTGAGGGTGGTCTTGGGGTGCCCCGTCACAGCTGCTTAGTAAATGTATCAACTTTGGGATTCTTAATGTAGGTTTCAAACCCGACTCTAAAACTTTCTGTGTGCTCCTGATCAGGTTAGTCAGTCAAATTTTTCCTCTGTTTCTACATAACTAAAACTAGCACAGTAACAGCTGCATTACAGTGTTAGTGTAAGGATTAAATAAGTAATGTAAGACAGGTGCCTGGCAAGTGTTTAATTAAATGTAGCTGTTTTTTTTATCATATTGGGGTAAGGGGTGGAGGAATACAAAGATTATTAAGACATTTTCCAATGGCTAGTAATCTTATCAAGGGAAAATCCTTTTCTTGAGGACTGTGGGGAAATGAGGTTATTTTCCACTTGGTCCACTCTTTGGAGACTGACAGCTCGTTCAGTCAGCCATACAAACTGTCCCTCCTACTCATATGCACTGCTATCCTGGGGCTGGGGCAGGGACAGGACAGGCAAAGAAGGAAAGACTTTTTCTACCTGAATCTGAAGATATATCTAAGATTTATGTACATGCAATTAGCCTATATATATCTCTCTTTTATCATATCAGTAGTAGGACATGGACCTTCAACAGGGTACAACTGGCCTTTAGTAACTTCGTAATTAATCATTCAGGACAGCCCCAAATGTTCCTTTTAGCCTTATTTTGCTTGAATAATGACACTGGAATGCAAGGAGACACCATGGGAGTGGCCTTCACTTCCCATTCTTTCCATGCCCCCTGGGTCCCCTGATACACATTGGGCCAAGTAAAGCCCTGCCTAGGGAATGGCAAGAGAGGACATGGAGTCAAATCTGTCTCTTGAAATCCCTGTTAGTAGAATAAACATTTTCAAACATCTAAATCAGTCTAGGTTATTTTTTGTTTAAAGATTTCTTTTCCTGGCTGGGCACAGTGGCTCACGCCTATAATTTCAGCACTTTGGGAGGCTGAGGCAGGCGAATCATCTGAGGTCAGGAGTTTGAGACCAGCCTGGCCAACATGGTGAAACCCCGTCTCTACTAACAATACAAAAAAAAATTAGCTGGGCATGGTGGCACACACCTGTAATCCCAGCTACTCGGGAGGCTGAGGCAGGAGAATTGCTTGAGCCCGGGAGATGGAGGTTGCAAAGAGCCAAGATCGTACCACTGCACTCCAACCTGGCTGATAGAGTGAGATTCTGTCTAAAAAAAAAAAAAAGATTTCTCTTCTTTTTGGAACAGGATCTCACTCTGTCATCCAGGCTGGAGTGCAGTGGTGAAATCTTGGCTCACTGCAGCCTCAACTTCTTGTGCTCAAGCAATCCTCCCACCTTAGCCTTCCAAGTAGCTTGGACTACAGGCATATACTCCCATGCCCAGCTAATTTTTTATTTCATTTTATTTTTATTTTTATTTTAAGTTCTGGGATACATGTGCAGAGGGTGCAGGTTTGTCCATGGTGGTTTGCTGCACCTATCAACCCGTCATCTAGGTTTTAAGCCCCACATGCATTAGGTATTTATCCTAATGCTCTCCCTACACTTGCCCCCATCCCCTGACAGGCCCCAGTGTGTGTTGTTCCCATTCCTGTGTCCGTGTGTTCTCATTGTTCAACTACCACTTATGAGTGAGAACATGTGGTGTTTGGTTTTCTGTTCTTGTGTTAGTTTGCTGAGAATGATGGCTTCCAGCTTTATCCATGTCACTGCAAAGGAGATGATTGCACTAATTTTTTATTTTTTTGTAGAGATGGGGTCTCACTATGTTGCCCAGGCTGGTCTAAAATTGCTGGGCTCAAGCGATCCTTCTGCCTGGGCCTTCTAAAATGCTGGGATTACAGGCATGAGCCACTGCAACCAGTAAGCAAAGGAGTTTTTAAGAGTGGGACTCTTTGGGTAAAAAAAGACTAAAATGACCTTTATTTGCATTTAAAGGAGATCTAGACTTGAGGACTCTCCCAGGCATCCTGGAGCTAGGCACTGGCTACCGCAGAGCGTTTTGTAGTTAGGAAATGTGATGTGGACTTGGTTAGTGGCAGAAGAGCGTCAGGAATGGGGAGGGAAGTATTTGCATATATCCTTCAACCTTCCCCTTTCCTACTGTTCCCACTCGTTTCTAAATACAAAATCTGCTCTGGGCCATGTGAGAAGCAGGGCAGGACTTTGGCTTCACTGAGGTGGAAGTAAAAGGAATAGGCAGGGAATTCTTAGGCAAGGGAAGCTGAAAGAAAGGAGTTTCTGGGATATAAATCAGAGGCTCCAGTATGAGAAGCCAAATAGCTTTTCAACAGACTGTATTGAGGTCACAGGGAAACTGCAGAGCAACTTGTCTCTTCCTTAAGAATGGAGACATGTGTACTGACCCAGTTTAAAGCCACTTACCCTGATTTTTCTATTCATATCCAGACTCATATCTATGTTATTTCCTCAAACCCACACCCCTCTCCCAGCACAAAGCAAGCCGATCTCAGATATTTACAAATTCACTCCTGCGGTAGAGCTCTCCTTCCATTCAAACCCTATTGAATAGATAAAGTACACATTTGACTGCCATAAATGCTCAGAAAAGAACAAAGTCCTTTAGTCTGTCTTGATTCAAAGTAATCTGAAAAATTAATCTTTAGCCAACAATACTGGAAACAATGTGAAAAAGTCCCCACATATACACACATGTAAGGATTATTGAAATTTTCACTCAAAAAAGAAAAAAGTTATTCTTTTTTTTTTTGAGATGGAATCTTGCTTTGTCACCTAGGCTGGAGTGCAGCAGTACGATCTCGGCTCACTGTTGCAATCTCTGCCTCCTAGGTTCAAGCCATTCTCCTGCCTCAGCCTCCTGAGTAGCTTGGATTATAGGTACACACTGCCATGCTTGGCTAATTTTTGTATTTTTAGTAGAGGTGGGGTTTCACCGTGTTGGCCAGGCTGGTCTCGAACTCCTGAACTCAAGTGATCCATCTGCCTTGGCCTCCCAAAGTGCTGGGATAAAAAATAATTCTGAACCTAACGATATGTGATCTCAGGTAGAGAATCTATTTTTCTTTGTTTTTTTGAGACAGGGTCTTACCCTGTCGCCCAGGCTGGAGTGTAGTGGCATCATCATGGCTCAGTCATGGCTCACTGCAGCCTTGACCTCCTGGGCTCAAGTAATCTTCCCATTTCAGCATCCCTAGTAGCTGTGACTCCAGGTGTGCACCACCATGCCAGGCTAATTTTTATATTTTTTGTAGAGGTGGGGTTTCACCATGTTGCTCAGGCTGGTCTTGAACTCCTGAGCTCAAGCAATCTGCCTGCTGCAGCCTCCCAAAGTGCTGGTATTACAGATGTGAGCTGCAACTCTCAGCAGCGTTTCCATTAAAACAAATAAAAGGAGACTGACTTAGGTCCATATGTACTGGTTCCAAAATCCCAGAAGAGAAAAATTAGACTGTGCAGCTGAAGCCAGGAGGACAGAGACACGTAGCGGCTGAATACTTAGAAAGGATTATGGGAGCAGACTCTTAGAGAAGAGAGAATGACAAATTCTCTTTTAGGAAGCATGGAGACAGAGAGGAAATAATTGGCATTTCGAATACGGAAATCTTATTTATCATTCTATCCCTTGTACCTAGTATATATAATGATGTTAAGTAAAACTGAGTTGAACTAAGTTTTAAGATAACTTAGTTATCTTAAGTTAAAGATAGGCAATTGCAAGTATATAAGATAAAGATTGAATCTATTTTGTTTCAGGTAGGAGGCACTGACTTTCCTTCGTCTGTACTGTGGGTGCTGTGGTGTGCTACCCAGATACAAATTCCCATCCCATCTAAGGCTTGAAGAATTCCTCCAGCTGTGGGAGTACTGGCAATCAACAACTCTCAGCTGAGTCTCTCTTCTAGCATTGCCCTTGGCTAAACAGAGCTGCCTAGCCCAAGGTCATACCTCCTTCCAGGAGGTAATTCATATCCAAAGACTGGTAAATGCAGGGGCACACAGGCCTAGCCCTATGACTCCAATTTGGGGCAACTCTGAAGGGTCATCCCAACTCTAGAGCTCCTAATAGGATGCGCTGAGGCCTTTGTTTTGACAGAATCATAGTTTGACTTTTCTCTGTAAACAATCTTGGGTTTTTTTGTGCCCCCACAGGAATTGATCCTAAGATTATTCGCCAATAAAGTTCCTACATGCAAATCTCTGCCTCAGAATTTGGTTCATGGGGAACTCAACTGGAAATAGCTGGCACCAGGAGGGTCTGAAAATGAAAACTCTAAGACAGGACTTTGGAAATGGATCATTCACAGGCCAAATATCAATGAGGGCCCCATCATTGGTAGTAGGTGGCACACAGACAGCAAATAGTCCATGGCATGCAGTAGCAATGCAATTTTTTGAACTTTCACTAGCAGTGAACTTGGATAGTCTACCAATGGAAGGAATGCACTTGTAGGTGCAATGTATCTGTCATTTGAGAAAGAGGAAATACTAAATATAAGGACTATAAAATTGGATGGCTATTGCTGAGGGCTATTCAGTTCTGCAGAAAGATAATGAAAGGGTCATTAATTATCAATTAATTAAAGGCTAAGTGTGAAAGCCAGAGGGTCTCCTTGGCAGCATAAAAAAGACTCTCATCTCCTGCAGGATATGTATGGTAGAGCTCCAGAAATGGTAGATTCTCAACCATGGAAAGTTTTCTCTGCACTAATTGGGAGCCCTGATTGGGAAGAAATGTAACCCTGACACAGGGAAGGGAGACATCTGGGTTGATGCACTGGAGAATCTTGAATCCTGAAATTCTTCTACAGAAATAGTCCACTTTTCCCTTGTAAAGACTAATTCTCCCTCTTCAGGTAAGCAAACAGTGATCTTTCTAAGTAAGCAAGTAGGCAATGATCCAGCCAGGTGATGTCAGGAAGTCTCTGTCATCAGCCATTCCCGTGCTGGTTCACTGGTACATGAACAGAGTAGTCATGGTGGCAGGGATGAAGTCTATACGTGGGTCCAACAAAATGGGTTGCACTTACCCAAGCTGATCTAGATTTTGTTGCTGTCGAAAGCTATGGAGACAAATCCTGAACCCCAATATAGCACCATCCCTCAAGGAGACCAATCATCCACTTGGTGGCATGTTAACTATTTGGATCCTGTAATGAATGGAATGTTTATTCCTATGTTGAAATCCTAACTCCCTAGGTGAAGGTATTAGGAGGTAGGGCCCTTGGGAGGTGATTAGGTCATAAGGGTGCAGTCCTCATGAATGGGATTAGTGTTCTTATAGAAGAGAGCTTGTTTGCTCCTTCTGCCATGTGAGGATGTGGCAAGTAACAGGCTATCTATGAGCCAAAAAGCAGGCTCTCACTAGATATTTAATCTTTTATTTTCTGAGATAGGGTCTTGCCTTGCACTGTACTCTAGGTTGGAGTGCAGTGGTGAGATGCTAGCTCACTGCAGCCTTGATCTCCTGGGCTTAAACAATCCTCCCACCTTGGCCTCTCAAGTAGCTAAGACTACAGGAAGGTTCCATATAACTAGCTAATTTTTTTTTTTTTTTTTTTTTTTTTTGGTAGAAACAGAGTCTCCCTGTGTTGCCCAGGCGGGTCTTGAACTCCTGGGCTCAAGCAATCTGCCCACCTCAGGCTCCCAAAGAGCTAGGATTACAGGCATGAGCCAACATACCTTGACATGTCAATATCTAGACACAGAATCTTGATCTTGAACTTCCCACCTCCGGAACTGTGAGAAATAAATTTCTGCTGTTTATAAGTCACCCAGTCTATGTTATTCTGCTATGGCAGCTAAATTTATCTTGGCTGGAATTGATGTATTCTGAGTATGAGTTTAACTTTCTTGCCTGTAGGGCCTCATCCAGCATCACTTGTTGAGGGCTTATAAAGTATTTGATCTACTTGACATGGGATCTGGATGACATCTCACTGGACTAAGGAACCCACTTAACAGGATAGGAAATGCAGCAGTTCACACATGACTTAAGATCCACTGGTCCTCTCACCTACCATTCCACCCAGAGCCTGCTGGTCTGATAGAGTGATGAAACAGCATTGGTGTAAACAGCTCTGATGAAACCTGTTAAGGTACCAACTTGGAGAGAACACCCTGAGAGGATGGGGCACCATTTCCCGGAATTAGTATACATCTGAAGTCAACCAGAGCTGTATGGGATGGTATCTTCAATAAATAAAGTCTGATAGAGAGAGTTAATTTACAACTGGACTAGAACAGCACTGTCTTTGTCTCTGTGAATGCCTTGATGTCTGGTTTCTGACTGTCAGACAAGATAAGAAAAGTGGAATTTATGATGTGCTGTTTGAAGTCTGAAACTCCCTTCCTAACTGCCAGGGCCAATTTCTATACTGACGGCCTTAAACTGGCCTAACTGGTTTGATAGCCCTGGCTAAGGGTACATAAAAACTCCACTGGGAACTTCCTTATTGAATTCCCCCAAAGCTAAGATTCCTTGCACAGATCTTGGTGGTTTGACCTAGATTCTGACTGCATCGTGTGCAAATCAGGACCCTGGGGAGCTGTGTCGGAGCTGTCTCTCAGATTCCAATGCTTGCCTGTACTCTCCATCTCTTGATGCAGTGCATCACTTGCCTTTAAATAAAAGCCTTGAGTCTGGTAAGGCCTTTAAAATATCTGAACTTGAGAAGTCTTTGCAACAGAATATAATGGGAACTAATGGATGGAGGCAAGAGTGGCTCCACCAACCGTTACTCCCCAGTAACTCACTGGGGAAATTGTGTTTCCTAGAGATCCTGATCCCAAAGAGTGAGCACTTTCACCAGAGGATACAGAAAGTGTTGCATTAAACCTCAAGCTATGGCTGCCATCCAGTTACTTTGGACTTATTGTGCCAACATACCAGCAGTCAAATAGGAGATTCACCCTCCTGGAAGAAGTAATCAACTCTGACCATTAGGAAATAATATGTTTGGCACCCACACAATCCACTTGGTTTCTTGATACAACAGGCATGCAGGTCCTGAGATGGGGATGATGACCAGGGTCTTAGATCCTCTCAGAGATGAGTGTCTGGGTCACTCCACCTAGGTGATAAGGTTTGGCTCTCTGTCCCCACCCAAATCTCATCTTGAATTGTACTCCCATAATTCCCATGTGTTGCAGGAGGGACTCGGTGGGAGATAATTGAATCATGGGGGTGGTTTCCCCCATACTGTTCTTATGGTAGTGAATAAATCTCATGAGATCTGAATTTTTTTTTTTTTTTTTTTTTTTTTGAGACAGGGTCTCACCCTGTTGCTCAGGCTACAGTGCAGTGGCGTGATCTCAGCTCACTGCAATCTCTGTCTCCCGGGTTCAAGCAATTCTCCTGCCTCAGTCTCCCAGGCAGCTGGGATTACAGGCACTCACCACCACACCCCACTAATTTTTGTATTTTTAGTAGAGACAGGGTTTCACCATGTTGGTCAGGCTTGTCTCGAACTCCTGACCTTGTGATCCACCCACCTCAGCCTCCCAAAGTGCTGGAATTACAGGCATGAGCCACCATGCCCGGCTGATCTGATGGTTTTATCAGGGGTTTCTGCTTTTGCATCTTCCTCATTTTCTCTTTGAGATGGAGTCTCACTCTGTTGCCATGCTGGAGTGCAGTGGCACAATCTTGGCTCACTGCAACTCCGCCTCCCAGGTTCAAGTGATTCTCCTGCCTCAGCCTCCCCAGTAGCTGGGACTACAGGCACCCACCACCACACCCGGGTAATATTTTGTATTTTTAGTAGAGATGGGGTTTCACCATGTTGGCCAGGATGGTCTCGATCTCTTGACCTCGTGATCCACCTGCCTCGGCCTCCCAAAGTGCTGGGATTACAGGCATGAGCCACCGCCCCCGACCTGCATCTTCCTCATTCTCTCTTTGCCTGCTGCCATCCATGTAAGATGTGACTTGTTCCTCCTTGCCTTCTGCTGTGATTGTGGGGCTGCCCCAGCCATGTGGAACTGTAAGTCCAGTTAAACCTCTTTCTTTTGTAAATTGCCCTGTCTTGGGTATGTCTTTATCAGCAGTGTGAAAATGGACTAATACACTAGGTAAGCCACCTAGGTCAGGAGAGAGAAAGGGAATCTAAGAGACCTATAAGGTAGAATGATGATAAGTATCATTTGTGCTCTTGAGATCAGCTGCATGGTGGGGATGGAGGCCCTGTGAAATTTTAAGGACCTGCTCTTGGAACTTGAATGAAGCAGGTGGATCCAAGAGACTCAGGGGTGGACTATAATGGATGTTGTACTACCCCACCTTGATCTCCCCACTCCAGGACTGAAGCCTTTTTTACCCCTTCTGCTGGGAGTGTTGTCAGTCAATAGACCTCAGCTGAATTCTTCTCCAGTTCTTGGCCTTGGTTGAAGAACTGCCCCTCCCGAAGAGTAGCTAACATCCAAGTGTCTGGTTGTTTTGGGAGCATAAAGGCCCAGTCCTCTTGCTCCACTTTGGAGCAACTCTAAAGTGTCATCCTATCTCCAAAGCTCCCTTTAAGATGAACCTAGGCCTTTGTTGTGACTCACAGTTTAACTTCTGTCTCTGCCCAATTATACTTTCTTTTTTTTTCCCAGTGATACTTTCTTCATGTCCCCACAGGTTTTGTTCTTGAGAGTACTCCCTAAGCAACATTCTGTACTCAATCTCTTAGAGTTTGCTTTTCAATGAACCCAGTCTGTGACCATCTGAATGCATCTTGCTTTCTTTCTTTCTTCCTTCCTTTTTTTTTTTTTTTTTTTTTTTTTTAAGATGGAATCTTGCTCTGTCACCCAGGCTGGAGTCAGTGGCATGATCTCGGCTCACTGCAACCTCCACCTCCAGGGTTCAAGCAATTCTCCTGTCTCAACCTACTGAGTAGCTGGGACTAGAGGCGCGTACCCCTGTGCCCATCTAATTTTTGCATTTTTAGTAGAGACGGGGTTTCACCAAGTTGGCCAGGCTGGTCTTGAACTCCTGACCTCAAGTGATCCATTCACCTCAGCCTCCCAAAGTGCTGAGATTACAGGCATGAGCCACTGTGCCTGGCCCTGAATGCATCTTTCTAAAATCCAGTCTAGTCTCTAAGAAGCCTGTAATTGCCTTCTTATTCTTGGTGTAAAGCTGCAATGGTTTTTAAACTGGGTTCCAAAAAACCCTTCTGTGGAGGTGCTTCATTGCAAATATTTAATTTGAATTTCATTCTTAAAAAACAATGGATACATTGTTTTTTAAATGTGTCCAAAAATGACTGGACACAGTGGCTCATGCCTATAATGAGCCACTATATTTGGGAGACTGGGGTGGGAGGATTGCTTGAGGCCAGGAGTTTGATACCAACCTGGACAACAAAGCAAGACCCTATCTCTACAAAAAAATTAAAAAATTAGCTGGGTGTGGTGGTGCATGCTTATGGTCCCAGCTACTTGGGATGCTGGGGTGGGAAGATCACTTGAGCCTGGGCTGTCAAGGCCATAGTGAGCCATGATTATACCACTGCACTCTGGACTGGGTAATAGAGTGAGACTCTGTCTCTCAAAAAAAAAAAAAAAAATTAACAATGTAAAAAGCACTAAAACCAAAAATACAAACTACTGAGAAAAACGAGCACAGAAATATAAATGTGCTATATCCTAAAGTTTACACATATTTTACAGTGTATTAACTTGTGGTGCCAACTCCTATGATTTTTGTGTAGAGCCCAGGAGAAAGTTTCACTTTTCATTATTGTGTACATATTTCAACTTTTAAGAAATTATTTTTGGCTGGGCACGGCGGCTCACGCCTGTAATCCCAGCACTTTGGTAGGCTGAGGTGGGTGGACCACCTGAGGTCAGGAGTTTGAGATCATCCTGGCCAACATGTTGAAACCCTGTCTCTACTAAAAATATAAAAATTAGCTGGGTGTGGTGGGGCGTGCCTGTAATCCTGGCTACTCGGGAGGCTGAAGCAGGAGAATCGCTGGAACCCAGGAGGTGGAGGCTGCAGTGAGCCAAGATTGCACCACTGCACTCCAGCCTGGGCGACAGAGCGAGACTCTGTCTCAAAGAAAAAAAAGTTTTTTTGAATATATAATATATGTACGTAGTTTGGAATTAAAAGATATAAAGGAGTATATACATAATTTTTTATATATATGTATTTATTTATTGAAAAGAATAATTCCCTTTCACCCCCATCTTCTAGTTCCCCTGTTCCCTCTCCAGGGGCAAATATAGCACTCGGTTTCTTGCATATTTTTCTAGAGATACCTTATGTATTAAATTATGTATATATAGTGAGAGTTTCCAGAATCAAAATGGAGTCTCTTGTGTCAGACCAAATCAACAACAACAAAATAAAGCTGGGAAGTTAAGAATGAAGGGCCCTCACTCACATATGCCTATGATAAGAACTATTACAAAGACTCTCTAAAGGGCTCTTACACGTGTGCCTATAGCAAGAGTCTTTGCCAAGGATTCCAAACTGTAGCTTGCTAGGTGAGTCACAAGGACAGCTGGAAAGATCCATAAGAATACTTGCCTGACACACTGTCTCTATTAAAAAATTAGTGTCATCTTCTGTGATAAGCCTCTGTAAACAATGTTCTCTGTTTCAAACCAAATTATGTGTACTTTTCTCTTTTGCCTTTAAAAGCATCTCCTTGCCTCAACCTCCTTGGATACAACTGTAGTCTCCTTAGCCTGCATATCTTGGATTTGCAGATCCACTCTGCACTCCCCATTAAACTCATTATGTTTGAAGATCATCTCTCTTTTCTGTTACTTAGGTTGACAACACACACATATGCACATACCTTTTCCCCCTATATACACTGTAACGTATGCTAAATGCTGTTTTAAAGGTTGCTTATTATTTTTAATTTAACATATCTGCAACATTTTTGTTTATGGAAAAGGTCTCTAATATGTCATTAGTTCATAACTGCTGCTTTGCATATTAAAGACCTTTACCTTTTCTAAAAGACCTGATCTTTTCTATAATAAATATGTGGATTTTGGGAAAGAGATTCCAAAGCAGAATATCAATAGCATGGATTGGCTGATATTAGCTGCATTCATAAGGTTATAAAAGAAAGAAATGAACTCAGAAAAAAAAAATAGCCTACTTGCAAGCAGCACTAAAAAGTAAGAGAGAATTCAGGCATTTTAGGACTGTGTCAAAAGATACCACTTTTTCTTTCTTTCCAACTAGTAAATGATAAAAGGAGGAATAATTTCATCTAGGAAGGCCAATTCAGCCTTAGGACAAAGACCAAATCAATGATGTAGCTATGAGATGTTCTGTTAAGACCTTGGATTGCATTAAGCTGGACCATACTAACCCATGCAGCTGAACAAAATGGCTTCTAGAAAAGTGACTAAGGGCAAGGTCCTGTGGAAACCTGATAAACTTAAAGGACCTGTAATTACATCTAGAAAGAAAGTCATGTTTCAAAAAGAATTGTTGGTGTGACTGAAGTCATAAAAAATGGACACATATTTTGGAGAGAGATTTATCGTCGAAAATGCCATGAGCTTGTATTACAAGAGACTGGGACCGTTTAGGCTATAAACGACTTTTGGGGCCCCAGATTTCCATAGGCTGAGAAAGGTGCCCTTCTGCCAATGAGACCATGTTCTCTATTGCCCTCTTTAGCTATGTCCAAGGAAAAAAATGAAAGATATAGAAAGTGCAGCCAGGCACCACAGAGAAAAGTGGACTAGGGAAAATAGTTTGAGGATCAGTTAAGGGCCTCCTACAAGCCACTAGTGAAGTCTTGGGGCTCTGGGTGTAGTGGGGTGTCCCAGCCTTCCTAGCAGCCTCCTGAGAAACAGCAAGATTCTAGAGGGAATGGATGCATGGTCTGTCTCCAGGGAGGGAGACCACAGGGCTGGATTGGTCATTGATTGCCTGTGTGACCATGTTGACAGTAGTAGTGCACATCTGAGCTATACCCTGTGTAGAAAAATGATTGATTATTGAGGGCTGGCCCAGCCCTCAACTACTACAGTCCCACTCCACCTCTTCTGCATTTTGGCACTGTAGGGCTTCAGAACTTTGGGCTGAGGCTGGTTGCAATGGCTCATGCCTGTAATCTCAGCACTTTTGGAGGCTGAGGCAGTCGGATCACTTGAAGTCAGGAGTTCAAGACCAGTGTGGCCAACATGGTGAAACTCCATCTGTACTAAAAAAAATACAAAAATTAGCCAGTGTGATGGCATGTGCCTGCAATCCTAGCTACTCAGGAGGCTGAGGCAGGAGAATTGCTTGAACCTGGGAGGCAAAGTTTGCAGTGGGCCGAGATTGTGCCATTGCACTCCAGCTTGGGCAACAGAGCAAGACTTCATCTCAAAAAAAAAAAAAAAAACCAAAAAACCGAAAAACCAAAAAAACAAAACTAAACTCTGGGCTGAATGAAAACAACAAATAAAATCGAGGCTGAATTTTTAGTCCATCAGGATTGGGGTTGAGAGTTAATTAAAATGAAGAATAGAATATAAAGAAGTGAGTTATTACTTGTATACTGTAGTATACTGGAGTTTGTTGATTCCTATCTGTTATAAATTCATTTACCCATTCAGTCATCAAAATTTTCTGAGTGTGTACTTTTTGTCAGGGCCTGAACTAGGTCCTGGAAATACATTGGTGAACAAAATCTTCGTGGAGTTTACGTCCTGATACATAGATGTCTTAGTCTGTTTTCTACTGCTATAATAGAATACCACAGACTGGGTAATTTATAAAGAAAAGAGATTTATTTGGCTTATGGTTCTTGAGGCTGGGAAGTTCAAGGGCATGGTGCTGGCATCTGTTTGGCCATCTGGTGAGGTCCTACTTGCTGTGACACACTATGGCCAAATGACGGGAAGGGCAAGAGAGCACATGCAATAGAGTTTCCTTTTATAACAAAGTCACTCCTGAGATAACTAACCCACTCCTTTAATAATGACATCAATTCACTTATGAGGGTGGAGCCCCCATGATCTAATCACTTCTTTTAAAGCCCCTACCTCTCAATACTGTCACATCAGCAATTAAATTTCAGCATTAATTTTGGAGGGGACATTCAAACCATAGCAATAGGATTTGTGACATTTGGCTGGAAACTTGGAAATAAGAGTATATATGTTGCCATGACATCCTGTTTATAAGTCCCACATCCACATTCAAATAATTTACTACTAACAAAGAGGTAGGTGCTATGTAATTATATTGTTCCTAGAACAGGGTACAAGTAACATTGGAATAATATTTTCTCTAAGGCAGGCTGGTTACACAGCTATCAGCACAAGCAATCTTTAGCTAATTAGGATTTCAAAGGAAACATAAACATTTAAATGTAATAGGATTATACCTGGGTGGAGGCATTAAGGATATCTATCTCTCTCAGTAGCTTTCAGGCTTAGTTAGAGAGCTAGGATGGTTAAGATTTAATTTTCATTTATTCAAAAAGAAATCAAATGTATTCTTCCAAGTGGGAACAAGAGGATTGGTGTCAGTCTGGTCTTTCCCCTGCCCTACTCAACTAGTTAAGCAAATGTTTCACAGCAAATATCTGTCTGTCGGATGTTTAAATTGTGTCAGGAACATTAATAGAATTTTTGTTACATGTTATCTCTTAAAAAATAGACCAATATTATTAATGTGAATCCTTTATTAAGATTATATTAATTATTAATAGAGTCACATTAATAACATTAATGTTAATTATTTTGTTATTAATAATAAAATATTAACAATTATTAATACCAATAATTAAATATTGATTAATAATAATGATTAAGCTAATTAAGTTCACATTGTATTAGTACGTTCTCACACTGCTAATAAAGACATACCCAAGACTGGGTAATTTATAAAGGAAAGAAGTTTAATTGACTCACAGTCCAGCATGGCTGGGGAGGCCTCAGGAAACTTACAATCATGACAGAAAGGGAAGCAAACACATTCTTCTTCACATGGTGGCAGGAAGGAGAAGAATGAATGCCCAGTGAAGGGGGAAGCCCTTTATAAACCATCAGATCTCATGAGAACTAACTCACTATCATGAGAACAGAATGGGGGAAACTGCCCCAGTGGTTCAATTATCTCCACTTGGTCCCTCCCACGACACGTGGGGATTATGGGAACCACAATTAAAGATGAGATTTTGGTGGGGACACAGCCAAACCATATCACATATATTAATGTGATAAAAGCAGGTAAAGTTCTGATTTTTTTCCCTTCAAACAACAAAACAATAAAACCCTAAATAAAACAAATAACATGATTATAGAAAGCATAATGTGGCAATAATCTCCCATTGAGGCTGTAGTTCTAGTTCTTTCTTTTTCAAAGTTTCAATGCCATAATAATTTGTCAGAGGAAAATTAGGCAGTAAAAAGCATCTTTTCTTTCCCTCAGAAGATTGAGGGAAAGGTTAAGGAGAGGGGAAAATAATGTGAGTAAATATGGTCAGCCTAAAATAGAGTTAATGTAGCTCCATATCTAACATTGTTTACCCAGACTGCTTTTTTCCATGAAGAACACCAATAATTATCAGTATTTGGCAACAAAGATTGCAGATTGCTTCATGTGAGGTTAATATTTACTTCCATTTTTCTCGGAAAAGACTTTCAAAAAGAATTTCTATTTGGGTGTTCTTGAGGGAATTGTACTGATTCATTTCTTTGTTATAAACTATTTTGGGGAAAAGCTGAAATGTTACATACCTACTTTTGTTTCTTTGCTTGGTGAAGTTGATTGTGCTGGATTTTGTAATTCTATTGTTTTGTTAAAATGACAATTTTTTTTTTTTTTGAGACACAATCTCAATCCGTCACTCAGACTTGAGTGCAGTGGTATGATCTTGGCTCACTGCAACCTCTGCCTCCCAGGTTCAAGTGATTCTCATGTTGCAGTCTCTCGAGTAGCTGGCATTATAGGTGTATGCCACCATGCCCAGGTAATTCTTGTATTTTTGTAGAGATGGGATTTCGCCATGTTGGCCAGGCTGGTCTTGAACTCCTGACCTCAAGTAATCCACCTGCCTTGGCCTCCCAAAGTGCTGAGATTACAGGCATGAGCCACTGCGCCCAGCCTAAAATGGCGATGTTTTTCCCCTATAGAAGCCCTTCTGAATTCAATGGGAGGCCTTCTTTGAGTTACTTGTCTTTACTTAGAGGGATATTCTGAAAGCCAACTATGGTGAATACAAAAATCAGGGAACTACAGGTCATAGAAATGTATCAAAATGTAGTGGCTGTCAGACAGTATAACTTAATTGATTTAACAGTTTTTATAATCAAGTTCTAGTGGTTGATTTCAATCTCCGGTCAATGTGGGTTGACCAACTAAATAATTCCAGGTTTTCTGCCCCTCCCCTGGCATGTAAAGTAATCCAGGTTTTTCATAGTGAAATTGGTATGCATTTTTTAAAGAGAATCAACTAAGCTTGGGTGTTTGGGATAATAACAAAAATGCTTTTTTACCTTCTACCTTATTAGCTGAGTCTTAACTGAGAGAATGTTTTTGAACTCTATTATTTCTCATTCATTCTACTCCCGGCTCCCTGGGATTTCAGCAATTATGGTAGCTCTTCCTTCTGATTTTTTATTTTTTCTCCACAAGATCTTTGGTATTCATGAGGCCAATCTCATCAGCATTCAAAGCTATTAGGGATTTCCAGGTCATAATCTCAGATCCTACAAGCCTCTATCTCTGTTTTGGTTCCTTGGGGGGTTTGCCAGTCTTCCTCAAGACATCAAGAAATGTTTATCAAGCTGGGCATGGTGGCTCACGCTTGTAATCCCAGCACTTTGGGATGTTGAGACGGGTGGATCACCTGAGGCCAGGAGTTCAAGACCAGCCTAGCCAACATGGCAAAACCTTGTCTCTACTAAAAATACAAAAAAATTATCTGGGCGTGGTGGCGCACCTGTACTCTCAGCTACTCAGTAGGCTGAGGCAGGAGAACTGCTTGAACCCAGGAGGCGGAGGTTGCAGTGAGATAAGAGTGTGTCCCTGCACTCCAGCCTGGGCAACATGGTGAGACTCAGTGTCAAAAAAAAAAAAAAAAAAAAAGAAGAAAAAAGCTGGAAGCCGTCATCCTCAGCAAATTAACACAGGAAAAGAAAACCAAACACTGCATGTTCTCACTCATAAATGGGAGTTGAAAAATTGAGAACACATGGACACAGGGAGGGGAACATCACATACCAGGGCCTGTTGAGGGGTGGGGAGTGGGGGGAGGGAACTTATAGGATGGGTCAATATGTGCAGCAAACCACCATGGTACACGTATACCTATGTAACAAACCTGCACGTTCTGCACATGTATCCCAGAACTTAAAGTAAAATTAAAAAATAAAAAAAGGAAGAAAAAAATGTTCTGGCATATAATAGGTGTTTTATTTAGATTTTTGAGTAATTGATAAATTCACATGGTTTCATAAATAAATAAATAAATAAATAAATAAATAAATAAGGTGGCTGGGCACAGTGGCTCATGCCTGTAATCCCAGAACTTTGGGAGGCCGAGGTGAGCAGATCACTTGAGGTCAGGAGTTCGAGACCAGCCTGGCCAACATGGTGAAACCCCATCTCTACTGAAAATACAAAAATTAGCTGGGCGTGGTGGTGCACACCTGCAATCACTCAGGTTGGCTGCTCAGGAGGCTGAGGCTACTTAGGAGGCTGAGGCAGGAGAATTGCTTGAACTTGGGAGGCGGAGGTTGCAGTGAGCCCAGATTGCACCACTGCACTCCTGCCTGGGTGAGGGCGTGAGACTTCATCTCTAAATAAATAAATAAATAAATAAATAAATAAATACACATGGTTTTAAAATCAAGAGGTATAAAAAGTTGTATAGTGAAAAGTTCCCTCCTTATTCTTCTATTCCAGTATCCTCATCTATCCTTCTTCCATTCCTCACTCATCATCCCTAGTACTAGTTTTGGTTTCCTTCTGGAGTTTATGTGCATTTAAGTGCCATTATAGACTAATTGAGAGATTTTCATCTTTTAACACCCACATGGCTTAAAATTTTATATGTTTATTATCTCCACCTCCTTATCATCTCTCATCTACTTAAAACAATACTTTAGGCTGGGCACAGTGGCTCACACCTGTAATCTCAGCTCTTTGGGAGGCCATGGCAAGAGGATAGCTTGAGCCCAGGAGTTTGAGACCAGCCTGGGCAACATAGCGAGACCCTGTCTCTACAAAAAACAAATTAGGCCGGGTGCGGTGGCTCACGCCTGTAATCCCAGCACTTTGTGAGGCCAAGGTGGGCGGATCACGAGGTCAGGAGATCGAGACCATCCTGGTTAACACGGTGAAACCCCGTCTCTACTAAAAATACAAAAAATTAGCCAGGTGTGGTGGCGGGCGCCTGTAGTCCCAGCTACTCGGGAAGCTGAGCAGGAGAATGGCGTGAACCCGGGAGGCGGAGCTTGCAGTGAGCTGAGATTGCATCACTGCACTCCAGCCTGGGCGACAGAGTGAGACTCCACCTCAAAAAAAAAAACAAAAAACAAAAAACAAATTAGCTGGGTGTGGTGACATGTGCCTGTAGTTCCAACTACTTGGGAGACTGAAGTGGGAGGATCACTTGAGCCCAGGAGGTAGAGGCTACAGTGAGTCGTGACTGCACCGCTGCACTCCGGCCTGGGTGACAGAGTGAGACCCTGTCTCAAAAACAAAAACAAAAACAACAACAACAACAACAAAAAACATAGACTTTATTTTTTCAGAACATAAAGTTCACAGCAAAATTCAGCAGAACACACAGAGATTTCCCATATACCTCTTGCCCCCACATATGTATAGACTCCCCCACTATCAAAATCCTTCACCAGAGTGGTACATTCATTACAAACAATGAACCTACATTGGCATGTCATTATCACTCCAAGTCCAGAGTTTACATTAGGGTTCATTCTTAGCGTTGTACATTGTGTGGGTTTTGACAAATGCATGATGACATGCATCCACCATTATAGTATCATACCGAATAGTTTTGCTTCCTAGAAATCCTCTGCCTGTTCATCCTTTCCTCCTAACTCCTAGCAACCACTGATTCTTTTATTCTCCATAGTTTTGCCTTTTCCAGAGTGTCATATAATTGGAATCATACAGCATGTAAACTTTTGAAATCGGCTTATTTTGCTAAGTCGATGCATTTAAGTTTCCTCCGTGTCTTTTTATGGCTTGATAGCTCATCTCATTTTAGCACTGAATAATATTCCATTGTCTGGATGTTCCACAGCTTATTTATTCACTCACCTACCGAAGGACGTCTTGGTTCTTTCCAAGTTTTGACAATTGTGAACAAAGCTGCTATACACATTCATATTCAGGTTTTTATGTGGACATAAATTTTAAACTCATTTGGGTAAATACCAAGGAACACAATTGCTGGATCATATGGTAAGAGTAAGTTTAATATTATAAGAAACTGGCAAACTGTCTTCCAAAGTGGCTGTACGATTTTGCACTCCCACCAGCAATGAATGAGGGTTTCCCACTTACTTTTCCACAAACTGCTGGCACTTTCCCACTTTCCCCACCCCACTAAAACAACTTTTGCTAAGATAAGCAATGGCTTCCCAGTTGCTGTCAATGTGTACTTTTTAGCTCTTATTTTACTGGACGTATCTGTTGACTACTCACATATACTTTACTCTCTTATCTCTTCACCTCGAATACTAGTCTTTTCGGTTACTCTTCTCCCATTTAGATGGCTCCTTCCCTTTTTCTGTTGTTAGTGGTTTCTGGTCTTGGTTTATCCCTCAATTGTTGATATTTTAAAATTTTCTCCTTCATACTTTTGTAACTCCGTACACTTTTCAGAGGTAATTTCCAAAATCTAGCAGCAATCCAAAGATTGTTTTTGTTTGTTTGTTTGTTTTTTGTTTTTTGAGACAAAGTCTCGCTCTGCACCCAGGCTGGAGTGCAGTGGTGCCATCTCAGCTCACTGCAACCTCCACCTCCGGGGTTCAAGCAATCCTCCCACCTCAGCTTTCTGAGTAGCTGGAACTACAGGCATGTGTCACCACGCTTGGCACTTTTAAAATTTTTAGAAGAGACAGGGGTCTCCCTCTGTTGTCCAGGCTGGTCTCGAACTCCTGAGCTCAAGTAATCCTCCTGCCTTGACCTCTCACAGTTCTGGGATTACAGCAGAAATTCTTAACTGAATTGGAGATATACATTTTCGTTGGCTTATTGTCTATTAGACTGCTAAAATTCAGCACACTACTCCATTCCTGGGCACCAAAAGTAAGCAAATCTCTGCTCCTCTTCCTTTATTTTTGATCCAGATGGGTGGCACTACTGTCCATCTTAAACTGCTCACACCTGAAATCTGAAGCCTTCTTAGATGACTTTTCCTTGCTTGGCCCTCCGCATTCAGGAAAATTGATTTTACTTCCTAGACACGCCTTCAGTCTGCCTCTCCTTTACATTGCCACAGCCACTGCCTTGGATCAGCCCTCCACCTTCATTTCCGGTACTGATGCAATGGCCTCCTGATTGTTCTCCTACTTCTGGGCTCACTCTCTGCTCTTCGCCCTCCACACCAGTGTCTGGGCGATCTATTTATAAAGTAACCCTCGACAGCGTCATTCCTCTGCAATACTCATGGCCTCGAGGAAAAAAAGTCCGAGCTCTCAAGTGTGGTGGGCAGCGTACTTCATGGTCTGACTCTACCTGTTCTTCGGACTCTGTTCCTTCCTGAATTTCCTGGGGCAGGCTTTCTTAGGCACCTGGAATGTCACATCTCTGCCTGTGCCTGAAATACCCTTCTCTCGTCTGCCTAGGCGCTGTCTCTATTCTAAAGGCCCTCTTTTATTTGGAGCTTCTCCCTCTTCTACTCCCATCTTCACCCCCCAGCTGAGTTAAGTGCTTCTTTCTTTCTGTACCATAATCGCTTGACATCTCAGCAGCACTGCCAGTCACGCCATTTTATACCGCTCTATTTTCTTGTTCAAGATCATGTGGACTTTTTATGCGCATAAGTTTTACTTTAACACTTACAAATGGCTTTCCCAACGCTATTTCCTTTGATCTTCATGGTACTCCTTTTGTCCTTGAATTGTGTATAAAACCCTAAAAACTAACAACAACAACAACAACAACAACAACGAGTCTGAAACAAAGTTTATACGTTAACACTTTATTTGGAGTGGAATTCCAGGGCAGCAAGAGTGAAGGAAGAAGGAAGGAGGGAATTCAAGCAGGGAGGGAGGGTAGGCAAACATAAGGTGGCATCTTTCTTATCCTGCAGATCACTATTTCACAAAGACACAGCCAAGCCCATCATACAAGGCATCTCCTGAGAGGCTGCATAGATCCATTGAGACCCAGAACAGACCATTAGGTTTGGAAAGGTGGAAAAGTAAGTGATTTATTCGTCAGTGGCTTCTTATTTTGTGCTTTTCATTGGACAAAATTTAACGATTTTTTTTTCTCTTTCTTTATTTCTTGCTTTTTAAAAATTTTCAGAGCAGAAGAACTTGACCATCTAATTATTTTTAAATTTCCCAGACCTCCAGGGTGTTATTTGCCTCCCCACCCGCCCCCGTCGCCCACTTTTCCCCGGCAGCTGCTGGGGAAGCCAACAGCTGGGTCCGGTCGGGTAGAACTTGGGCGCCTAAGCAGCCAAGGCTCCTGCTGGGGCAGAAACAACGCAGCTGTGTGGAAGCTCAGCGAGTGGCATGAGGAGAGGAAGCAACTGCAGTGGCAGGGGGCTGTCACTTTGGCAAGCTGCCAAGAGGCCAGGGCAGGTTGGATCAAGCAATTCTTTTTCTCTAATTGAGATTTTATTGGTTGTGTTGGGGATCAGTACGTACACAGACATTTCACAATTTTGCACACAATTTGTACACAATTTTGTACCAAAAATCTAAAAAGCCATGTATTGTAAGCGTTAAAAACAGATATTCTCATGACTTTGCCGCTTGAAATTTGAAGGCCAAATTTCCTTAAGATATCAAATGCCAGTGTCTTCAAATGTGGATAACCTGTTACGTAAGTACCATCAATGAACAATTTTATATCATAGACACTACGTACTGAAATTTTCAATCTTTCACAGCACATTAACAAAGTTCCTAGGAAAACAGGACCACCACAACCAAAGATGCTACAGAGCACACGTGGTTTTGACAGGGAGAGCCACCATCAAGGAGTAGTTGTCTTTTTTTATTGAGACAGAGTCTTGCCCTGTCACCCAGGCTGGAGTGCAGTGGTGCAATCTCAGCTCACTACTATCTCCACATCCCAGGTTCAAGCAATTTTCCCGCCTCAGCCTCCCAAGTAGCTGGGATTACAGGTGGGTGCCACCACACCTGGCTAATTTTTTGTATTTTTAGTAGAGATGGGGTTTTGCCATGTTGGCCAGGCTGGTCTCGAACTCCTGACTTCAGATGATCCACCCGCCTCAGCCTCCCAAAATGCTGGGGTTACAGGTGTGAACCACTGCACCTGGCCCAAGGAGTGGTTTTCTTAGGAAACAATTCTACTAAAAAACAACACGGGAATAGGATTAAAAATGTTCAAGACATTAAGTGCGGGACTGTGACTCCATATTGCCATGTAGTATGCTTTCTATTATAGGATATAAAAACTATCCCCCATTTGTGGAATATGAAGCCGACACCCAAGACAGTCAAAGTCTCCTGTAATCCAGTATTCCACATTATTTGCTGGTTGTACCAAAAATAAATAACTAGCAAATAATTTCATCTCTGAAATAAAAGCATTCACACTTAAAAAAAATGAGATGAAGAGGGATTCCCTCCTTCTTAAAAATGTTTCTAGAGGCTGGGCACGGTGGCTCGCATCTGTAATCCCAGCACGTTGGGAGGCTGAGGTGGGTGGATAACCTGAGGTCAGGGGTTCCAGACTAGCTAGGCCAACATGGTGAAACCCCATCTCTACTAAAAATACAAAAAAAATTAGCCAGGCGTGGTGGCGGGCACCTGTGATCCCAGCTACTCGTGAGGCTGAAGTAGGAGAATTGCTTGAACCTGGGAGGCCCAGGTTGCAGTGAGCCCAGAATGTGCCAATGCACTCCAGCCTGGGTAATAGAATGAGACTCTGTCTTAAAAAAAGAATATAAAAAAAAGAAAAAAAGAAGTTTCTAGAGCTACTAAAACACTTGGCATTTACAAAATAGTTGATAAAAAATATTCGTCTGGATTGTATAGGAAGGGAGACAGGGACTGTGGCTAAGACAGGGCATATGATACTAATCAGACTTGGCTTCTTTGTCTCCAGGTTCATCAGAGGCTGGACTGTCCCCATTTTCAGTTTCTCCATTTTCTGTAGGTAAATCTTCTTGAGTTTCCTGGTTAGCCATTTTGGCCTGTTTTCCCTTTCCTCTTCTTTTTCCCCTTTGTTTGCCTTTTTTGGTCTGAAGGTTTATCCTTTCCCACTGCCTTTTTTGTTTTCGTTTTTACTGTTGCAGGAGCAGGTTTATCTGACAACCTCACCCATCTCCTCTTGGGATCTTCCTTCACTGTGTCTTGGGCTGAGTTGCCCTCCTCTCGGGTATCTTGATGGTGAGGAGGCCACTGCTACTCCTCTTACAGCTCGAACTGCTGAGACCTGCAGCCAGGGCAGTGGGAGAACCTGATGGGACCTGGGTCAAGCCAATACGATACAGCACATACACGGTCAAATTCATCAATGATGTTAGAAAAACCCAGTTTTCCTCATATTGCTGATGAGGGAACTGAAACTAGAGAAACAAATTAACTTGTCCAAAGTCACACAACCATTATGATTGAGTTAGAATGTATTTCAAAGTACTTTTCCCTATATATTTTACAATGTTTTGCACTGAACAAATGTATGTCTGAAGTTTCTATTTTTTTCTCTCCTTCCTCAAACACTAATGACATTTTTTGTTTTTAACTTTTATTTTATAAAGTTCAGAGATACACGTGCAGGTTTGTTATATAGGTAAATTGTGTGTCATGGGAGTTTAGTGTACAGATTATTTCATCACCCAGGTAGTAAGCATAGTCCCCGATTGGTAGTTTTTTGATCCTCACCCTCCTCCCTCCCTCCAAACTCAAGCAGGCCCCAGTGTCTATTGTTCCTATATTATTATGTCTATGTCTGTTGACATGAAGTCCACTCAATGTGAGAACATACAGTATTTGGTTTTCTGTTCCTGTGTTAGTTTGCTTAGGATAATGGTCTCCAGCTTCATCCATGTTGCTGCAAAGGACATGATCTTGTTCCTTTTTATGGCTGTGTAGTATTCTATGGTATATACATACCACATTTTCTTTATCCAGTCTTCCACTGATGGGCATTTAAGTTGATTCCATGCGTTTGTTATTGTGAATAGTGCTATGATGAACATACACGTGCATGTGCCTTTATGGCAGAACAATTTATATTCCTTTGGGCATATACCCCATAATGGGATTGCTGGGTCAAATAGTAATTCTGCTTTGAGTTCTTTGAGAAATCTCAAAACTGCTTTCCATAATGGCTGAACTAATTTACATTCCTACTAGCAGTGTATAAGCATTCCCTTTTTTTCACAACCTTGCCAACATCTGTTATTTTTTTGACTTTTTAATAATAGCCATCTGACTGGTATGAGATGGTATCTTATTGTGGTTTTGATTTGCATTTCTCTTTTGACTAGTGATACTGAGCATTTTTTCATATGCTCTTTGGCCATGTATATGTCTTCCTTTTTTTTTTTTTTTTTTTTTTGGAGACAAGAGTCTTGCTCTGTTCCCGGGGTGGAATGCAGTGATGTGATCACAGCTCCCTGCAGTTTCTACCTCCTGGGCTCAAGCTATCCTCCTGCCTCCAGAGTAGCTGGGACCACAGGTATGCATCGCTACACCTGGCTAATTTTTTATTTTTAGGAGAGACGAAGTCACGATGTTGCACAGGCTGGTCTCAAAGTCCTGGGCTCAAGTGATCCTCCCACCTTTTGGTCTCCCAAAGTGCTGGGATTACAGATGTGAGCCACTGTGCCCGGCTGTATGTCTTCTTTTGAAAAGTGTTTGTTCATGTCCTTTGCCAACTTTTTAATGGACAAATGGTTGTTAATTTGTTTAAATTACTTATAGATTCTGGATATTACTCCTTTGTTGGATACACAGTTTGCAATATTTTCTCCCATTCTGTAGGTTGTTTACTCTGCTAATAGTTTCTTTTGCTGTGCAGAAGCTTTTTAGTTTAATTAGGTCCCATTTGTCCATTTTTATTTCTGTTGCAATTGCTTTTAGTGTCTTAATGATGAAATCTTTGCTAAGTCCTATGTTCAGAATGGTACTTCCTAGGTTCTCTTCCAGGGTTTTTATAGTTTCAGATTTTACATCTAAGTCTTTAAACCATCTTGAACTGATTTTTGTATATGGTTAAAAGAAGGGGTCCAGTTTCACTCTTCTGCATATGGCTAGCTGGTTATCCCAGCACCATTTATTGAATAGGAAGTCCTTTCCCCATTGCTTGTTTTTGTCAACTTTGTCTAAGATCAGATGATTGTAGGTGTGCAGCTTTATTTCTGGGCTCTTTATTCTGTTCCATTGGTCTATGTGTCTGTTTTTGTACCAGTACCATGCTGTTTTGGTTACTGTAGGCTAAATACTGATGACTTTTGATTTAGCCAGCCAATTAACAGTCCAGCCCTTTCTGTCTGGACTGGTCTTTTCCTTTCCAAAACTCTTATTTGTATCCCAACTTCCTGAACTCCATTTTTTTTTTTTTTTTTTTTCTGCAAAGAGCACTGGCGGGCAGTTTAAAGTAGGGCAAGTTCCTTCAGACTATAGGTTATCCCTGCCTAGGATGCATAGGAAACAGCTGCAGGTTCAGGCAATTATGATAAAGCCAGAGATACTAAGTTCTGGACTTCTTAGTGGCCTATTTGATTGGTAATTATCTAGTCTACAAGTCCTCAGGTCCAGGTAGGACAAAAAGGACACTATTACTTTATCTTGATTGGCTCTCTAGACACGGTTACCTTTTACATAGAAGGGAGGCTCTATCAGAGGAAAGTTGGAGATGGGACAAATCTCAGGTGAACCCTATTCTAATTGAGTGCACTAGCTCCATTAATCAGCAACAGCTGAGCAAGACCAGCATCCCTTGAACCTATTATCTTTGCGGCTGCCTTCCCTTTGTTTCTCACATTCACGAAGACCCTGCTGCTTGTGTTTGTGTGTAGATAGAAAGGGGATCTCTTGGGGCAGCTATGTCTTCCTCTACGGACAAGCGTGATACATATGGAAATTCCAAGTGGTGGTACCTGTGAAGAAGCGGACAATTCTGGAACCCTGGTGTTTGTGGCAAAGAAAGAAAGGAAGCAAGGAGAACCAGCCACCCTGAAAGGAGGTAGCAATGGTTAGCTTTATCCAGGGTTTCCTGATGTCACTCTACCTTCTTCATTTTTTTGTCTCATTTCTTCTTTCCCCCAAAGTAACAGTGCTAAATGTAAAATACTGTTGCATTGAACCAGGTCTCCTTCTAAGCCCGGGAGAGCTGGAACCTTCCTCCATTTTATTATGTATGTTTTTCTTTCTTACTTCCTCTTACTTCAGGCCAGAAAGCCTATATACTGCCAGGAATAAAACAATGAAAGCCAGTCTTTGCTGCTGGCTCTATGCATGTGGCCAAATGATTATTGGCAAGAGCACTGTTAGGATGCTAGCAGGGGATTCTGAAGGTGTCTGCTAATAACATATTCTCACGGGATGATTTAGGGAGGCTGCAGGAATACAAGGCTCTTTCTGGTGTGAAAAGCAATTCCACTCTCCTTGGGGGCTGTCTGACCTTGTCCCTTTTTCCTCTCACCCGAGACTGCCCTGTGGTCCCACCCAGTGTTTTCATAAAGAAACACTTTTAGATAATAACACACAGAAATTACCTGCTTGGCCAGTTAACATATCTGGGTGCCAGAAAGCCACCATGGAAGGGGCAGGCATTCTGTGGGACTCCCCTGCTTTTTAAAAGCTGAGTTCAATCTCTGTTCTATCTTCCAACAGTGTCTGGTGGAATCGTTTGAAACTTTCAAAATAAGTTGATAGGAATTTTATGTCTATTGAATCTAATAAAAAAACTTGAGCTTGTATTCCTTTTTTTCCCTCATTTTCTTCTTCTATTGACTCATTTTTAGTGTATTTTATTAGGGAATCAGGGGTAATTGGAAAAGAACAACAAAAAAATCTGTTCCACGGGCGTTTTGAGAAGCAGAGCCCCTAAGTCATGCTGGTGCCCAACTTCTCTTACCCATATTGGCGCAGGGATACCCTCTGCAGATGTCTCCTCCCAGAGTCCCAAAAAAGGAATGGAGCAATTTCCCTGCAGTCCCCGGTGTTCCCCCTCAGCCTGTCCGCCTTACTTCCGGGAAACTGGGAACCCGTTGTGGGACCACCTCCTGTCTTCCTCTTTCTTCCTGTCCTACAATCCCCTTCATCAGGAGAGGGCGGATGTTTCTTTAACTTCCAATCTATCTACTATAGTCCATCGGGACTAGCTCTTGATACACTTAATGTGAGTTAAAAATGTAGAGAATCCTTTCTCTCTCAATTGTGTCTGTTATCTAGTTTATTGTTATGCTACGCCATCTCTTGAATGTTATAAGTTGAATAATAACTCCTGCTCTTCTCATTCCTTCTTTCACAGTCTCAATCCAATCTGCACCTCCTTCTCTCCCACGATACTTTAGGTTTTGACAAAGATTCTTTGCTTGGCCAAAGTTTAGTCAGGCTTCCAAATCTTCTGCTCAGCCCATCTATGCACTTTCTTGCAACATCCAGTTTTAGCAAAGAACACTACTAAGTCAGTTTAGCCAGAACCCCTCATCCTCAGTATCTGATCATCCTGGATATCTGATCAGAATTTTCCTCTCCCACGTCCCCAACGCGATGCCTGTTCACCCTGGCCTGTCTTCAGCAAGAATCCTGTTGTGTTGGTTTAGCCAGAATCCCCCTCACCCCTGATGTTTCCTCTTAGTAATTTTCCATCCACTGACCTCCACCCTGCTCGTTGGCATCAATTATGATTTCCACCTGCTTGTGCTGTATTCAGAGTTGCCCCAGTCTCTCCCTGACTGCAAGACCCCATTGCCCTGGTCCCTGTAGCTATCGTGATGGTTCTGAATGACGTTTTCCTTGCCATGCTTTAACTAGTATCACTGAATAAGTTTTCCTTAACAGTTAATTAGGGAGAAGGTCGCATAATGTAGTTTTTCAAAATACTATCTTCCCTTGCACAGCCTCGTGTATTGAGTTATGCTAACAGCACCACTTCTGCCACGGATCCCACACCACACCCTAATAACGTGTAGAGCTGTAAATATATGGCATAATCATTTCTGTTGCATCACTTGTACTGAGCACAAGGCAGGCTCATTCTCACCCTTCAAGTCTCAGCCTAAATGCTGCCTCCCCAGAGATGCCCTTCTTGATGAGTGTCCTCTTCTAGTTAGTTTCTATCTCATCATTCTGGTTTTTTTTTAAATAACTTTATCACAATGTTTTATGCCGCTTGTTTACTTACTAATTGTGTCTCCCATAGAAATGTAAGATCCATGAGGCCAGGATCTTTTATTTATTTTTTATATATTTTTTGAGACAGTGTCTCACTGTGTTGCCCAGGCTGGAGTGCAGTGGTGTGAACATGGCTTACTGCAGCCTTGACCTGTGCTCAAGCAAGCCTCCTACCTCAGCCTCCTGAGTAGCTAGAACGAAGACAGGTACATGCCATGACACCTGGCTAATTTATTTATTTTTAATTTTTTTGTAGAGATGAGGTCTCGCTATGTTGCCCAGGCTGGTCTCGAATTCCTGGACTCAATCATTCCTCCTGCCTTGGCTTCCCAAAATGGGATTACAAGCGTGAACCACTGCTCCCGTGTTTATGTTTTCAGTTTTAATTTTAATTTGTTGGGAGGCCAAGGCAGGTGGATCACTTGAGCCCAGGGGTTTGAGACCAGCCTGGGCAACATGGTGAAACCCTGTCTTTACAAAAAATACACACATTAGCTGGGTGTGGTGGTGGGCACCTGTAGCACCATCTGCTTGGGAGGCTGAGGTGGAGGTGGAAGGAACACCTGAGCCTGGGAAGTTGAGGCTGCCAAGAGCTGTGATTGTGCCACTGCATTCCAGCCTGGGTGACAGAGTAAGACCCCGTCTCTAAATAAATACATATTTTTTTTTAGAGACAGAGTTATGCTCTGTCACCCAGGCTGGAGTGCAGTGGCACAATCATAGCTTGCTACAGCCTTGAACTCCTGGGCTCAAGTGATCTTCCCGCCTCAGCATCCCAAAGTACTGGGATTACAGGCATGAGCCACTGCAGCTGGCCCTTTTATTTTTATTTATTATTGTATCTCCAATTCCTAGCATAGAGCCTGGTGCACAGCAGGTGATTGTAAATCTTTATTGAGAAAGTGAAAAGGTACTAGAGAGCTCCCTCTTGTGGATGCTTAGGCTGCGAATCCCTTTTGAGGCATGCATGGAATTGCAACGTTACTCCTGCCCATGGCTTTTTGTATTTGAAACATCTGGAGTCCTGTAAAGGTGATTGCATTTTGCTATTCAGGAAGGGTCGCTAATTTCAGCTTAAGATGTTCAAGTTTCATAAAAAGAAAAGATGATAGGTGATGGAGCTCCCCCAGGAGAATTCAGAGAGCGAACCTGAGAGAAGATAGGGGAAGAGAAAATGGTCACGACTCAGACAGAGGTCCTACTGTCTCTATTATGTCAGTTGCCTAATTTGAGGCACACTTTTGTGGCCCAGGAGGTGTCCAGGCAAGCGAGCAAGGGAAATGATTGTTGTAAATGACCATTATGCCAGTGCCCGGGGCAGTGGCTGAAGTGGAGGACCCAGTGGGTGCCACATTTTAGGGTAAAGTGGCCCAGGCAGGCTGCCACTCTCTGCACCGCATGCCACTTTATGGTTGAAGCTAAAGATGACACCTGCTCTTTCCCTGGGGTATTTTGTGAGTCAGAGACTGAAGCCAGCACAGCTGCTCCTCTGCAGGGCATTGTCATTCCCTGCTGCAGCCCCATATCTGGGAGCAGCCCTGGTCTCCCCCTTCTCTCTTCCCTTCCACATTTGTCAATAGCCAATTGATTTAATCTTCCAACTCTCTCTTGATTATGGTTTGCTTTTCTCCTTCTCCTTTGCTGGAGACCAAGCTGGCATCTTTTTTGCCTAATTGATTGCAAGAATCTCCTGAGAGTTTATTCCAAATCAGACTTGATGGCTTCTATTTTACTTTTTAGTATGATCTCAATCAGGTCCGTCTCCAGATTAAATTAACAGATCCTCTGTTGTTTCATTGATCAAAGATCTCCGTCTTTCTCCTTCCTTAAGCCTTATCTTATTACTTATATTTTCTTCCCTCCTCTCAATTCTTAAGATTTTCCCCTATTTTTCCAGTTTCTAGAACTTATAATGCTTTTTTTTTTCTTTTTTTAAAAATAGTGCTTTTGCACCATAGTTTCATTTTGTCCAGCACACGATTAATTTATGTATACTGGCCTACTATTCTGAGAGCCTGTAAAGCTCACTTTTATTTCTATTAGCTTTAAAAGATTCCATAGTAATTTCCATAGAGATACTCATGTTGTCTGCAAATGAAGACAGGTTTACTTCTTTCTTTCCAAAGTGTCTGCATGTACTTCTTTTTCTTTTTATCTTTTTTTTGAGAGAGTCTCACTCTTTCGCCCAGGCTGGAGTGCAGTGGCACAATCTCAGCTCATGGCAACCTCTGCCTCCTGGGTTCAAGCAATTCTCCTGTCTCAGTCTCCTGAGAAGCTGGGACCACAGGCATGCACACCCGGCTAACTTTTGTGTTTTTAGTAGAGACGGGGTTTCACTATGTTGGCCAGGTTGGTCTTGAACTCCTGACCTCAAGTGATCCGCCTAGGCCTCCCAAAGTGCTGGGATTATAGGTGTGAGCCACCATGCCCGGCCATGTACTTCTTTTTCTTGCCTTATTGCCCCAGCTAGAATCTCCAGTGGTGTTAAATAAGCGTGGGGAGCATGGATGTTCTTCCTGATCTTAGGGGGAAAGGATTCAGTCTTTCACCTTTAAGTGATGTTAGCATACTTTTTTTTATAGGTTTTCTTTTTCAGGTTGAGAAAACTTCATTCTATTTTTTTTAGCTTGTTGAAAATTTTTATCATGAAGGCATATTGAATTTTATGAAATACTTTTTCTGCAACTCTTAAGATAATCATATGATTTTACTTTTTACATGGACTGATTTCAAATATTGAGCAAATTCTCTATTCCAAGAGAAACTTTACTTGTTTATTCTTTTTATATGTTGCCAGATTTGATTTGTTAATATATTTTTAAGAATTTTAGCATCTGTGTTCATGAGAGATCATGATATGTACTTTTCTTGTAATATCTTGGTCTGGACTTGCTATTAATGTTGGCCTGATAAAATTAGCTGGAATTTCATCTTCTACTCTCTGTAAATGTGTGTAGAATTTGTATTATTTCTTATCCAAATGTTTCATAGCCTTCACCACTGAAACCGTCTGGGCCTAGACATTTTTCTATGGGAATGTTTGCAGCTATAAATTTAATATCTTTTGTATATGATATTCAAGTTATCTACCTTTTGAATGAGATTTGGCAGTTTTAGCTTTTAAAGGAATTTGTCCATTTCTTGTAGGTTATTAAATTTATTGGTATAAAGTTATTCATAATGTTTCTTTATTGTATCTCTAGGATCTATAGTGATGTCTCCCTCCTTCATTCCTTTTTTTTTTTTCTTAATATTTTTTAGAACAGGTTCTCGCTATATTGCCTGGGCAGGTCTCGAATGCCTGGGCTCAAGTTATCCTCCCACCCCTACCTCCCTAAGTGTTAGAATTACAGAGCCACTGCCCCCAGCCTCTTTTATTCTTGATCTTTGTTAAATTGTGTAATTCTTTTTGTCTCTTAAGTCTGGCTATAGAGGTCTACAGATTTTATTAAATTTGAAAAAACCTAGCTTTTGGTTTTGATTTTCTGTGTTGCTTTTCTGTTTTCTATTTTAATGATTTCTACACTTTTATTATTTCATTTCTTCTGTTTGCCTTGGGTTTAATTTGCTCTTCTTTTTCTAGTTTCTTACCATCAAAGTTTAGACCCTTCTTCTTTGTTCATGTAAGCATTTAACATGACATACCTTTCTCTCTAAGGACTGTTTCAGCTGTATCCTATAATTTTGAAATGTTGTTTTCATTTTTTTAAAATTCAAAATGTTTTCCAGTTTTTTTTTGTGACTTGTTCTTTGATTACTGAATTATTTAGAATTGTTAATTTCCAAAGATTTGGAGATTTTTTAGATGTCATTTTAATATTGATATTAGTTGAGTTGTGGTCAAAGAACATACTGTTTATGATTTAAATTCTACTACATTTATTGAAATTTGTTTTATAGCCCCAAATATAGTCCATCTTGGTGAATGTTTCATGTGTACTTGAAAGGAATGTGTTTTCTGCTGTTGTTGAGTGTTGTGTTCTATAGAAGGCAATAGGTCAGTTTGGTCAATGGTGTTGCTTAAGTCTTCTATATCTATTTCTGTGTACCTGTGCTACCACTTACTAAAAGAGGAACTTTGGGGCCGGGTGCATTGACTCACACCTGTAATCCCAGGACTTTGGGAGGCTGAGGCGGGCAGATCACGAGGTCAGGAGATCGAGACCATCCTGGCTAACAGTGAAACCCCGTCTCTCCTAAATACAAAAAATTAGCCAGGTGTGGTCGTGGGCGCCTGTAGTCCCAGCTACTCGGGAGGCTGAGACAGGAGAATGGCGTGAATCCGGAAGGTGGAGCTTGCAGTGAGCTGAGATCATGCCACTGCACTCCAGCCTGGGCGAGAGAGCAAGACTCTGTCCAAAACAAAACAAAACAAAACAAAACAAAACAAAACAAACAGGGCCTTTTTTTTTAAGGGCCTTTAAATCTCCAATATGTTTGTAGGTTTTTCTATTTCTCTCTCTTTTTTTTATTTTATTTTATTTTTTTTTTAACATATTATTTTTAATTGGCTTAAGTTAAAACACGATTTGTTAATTTTATTCACAGGTTTTGATTTAAAATCCAGCTATATCCAGTTTCTTTTTTTTTTTTTATTATACTCTAAGTTTTAGGGTACATGTGCACATTGTGCAGGTTAGTTACATATGTATACATGTGCCATGCTGGTGCGCTGCACCCACTAATGTGTCATCTAGCATTAGGTATATCTCCCAATGCTATCCCTCCCCCCTCCCCCGACCCCACCACAGTCCCCAGAGTGTGATATTCCCCTTCCTGTGTCCATGTGATCTCATTGTTCAATTCCCACCTATGAGTGAGAATATGCGGTGTTTGGTTTTTTGTTCTTGCGATAGTTTACTGAGAATGATGGTTTCCAATTTCATCCATGTCCCTACAAAGGATCTCTCTCTTTTTTAAATTATACTTTAAGTTCTGACTTACATGTGCAGAACGTGCAGTTTTGTTACATAGGTATACACGTGCCATGTGGTTTGCTGCACCCATCAACTCGTCACCTACATTAGGTATTTCTCCTAACGTTATCTCTCCCCTAGCCCCCCACCCTCCGATAGGCCACAGTGTGTGATGTTCCCCTCCCTGTGTCCATGTGTTCTCGTTATTCAACTCCCACTTATAAGTGAGAACACGCAGTGTTTGGTTTTCTGATCTTGTGATAGTTTGCTGAGAATGATGGTTTCCAGCTTCATCCATGTCCCTGCAAAGGACATGAACTCATCCTTTTTTAATGGCTGCATAGTGTTCCATGGTGTGTATGTGCCACATTTTCTTAATCCAGCCTATCATTGATGGATGTTTAGATTGGTTCCAAGTCTTTGCTATTGTGAATAGTGCTGCAGTAAACATATGTGTGCATGTGTCTTTATCATAGAATGATTTATAATCCTTTGGGTTTATGCCCAGTAATAGGATTGCTGGGTCAAATGGTATTTCTAGTTCTAGATCCTTGAGGAATCACCACACTGTCTTTCACAATGGTTGAACTAATTTACATTCTCACAAACAGTGTAAAAGCATTCCTATTTTTCCACAACCTCTCCATCATCTGTTGTTTCCTGACTTTTTAATGATTGCCATTCTAACTGACCTGAGATGGTATCTCATTGTGGTTTTGATTTGCATTTCTCTAATGACCAGTGATGATGAGCATTTTTTCACGTGTCTGTTGGCTGCATAAATGTCTTCTTTTGAGAAGTGTCTGTTCATATACTTTGCCCACTTTTGGATGGGGCTGTTTGTTTTTTTCTTGTAAATTTGTTTAAGTAAGTTCTTTGTAGATTCTGGATATTAGCCCTTTGTCAGATGGATAGATTGCAAAAATTTTCTCCCATTCTGTAGGTTGCCTATTCATTCTGATGATAGTTTCTTTTGCTGTGCAGAAGCTCTTTAGGTAGATCCTATTTGTGAATTTTGGCTTTTGTTGCCATTGCTTTCGGTGTTTTAAACGTGAAGTCTTTGTCCATGCCTGTGTCCTGAATGGTATTGCCTAGGTTTTCTTCTAGGATTTTTATGGTCCTAGGTCTTACGTTTAACTCTTTGATCCATCTTGAGTTGATTTTTGTATAAGGTGTAAGGAAGGGGTCCAGTTTCAGTTTTCTGCGTATGGCTAGCCAATTTTCCCAACACCATTTATTAAATAGGGAATCTTTTCTTCATTGCTTGTGTGTGTCAGGTTTCTCAAAGATCAGATAGTTGTAGATGTGTGGTGTTATTTCTGAGGACTCTGTTCTGTTCCATTGGTCTATATATCTGTTTTGGTACCAGTACCATGCTGTTTTGGTTACTGTGGCCTTGTAGTATAGTTTGAAGTCAGGTAGCGTGATGCCTCCAGCTTTGTTCTTCTTGCCTAGGATTGTCTTGGCTATGTGGGCTCTTTTTTGGTTCCATATGAAGTTTAAAGTAGTTTTTTCCAATTCTGTGAAGAAAGTCAGTGGTAGTTTGATGGGGATAGCGTGGAATCTATAAATTATTTTCGGCAGTATGGCCATTTTCACGGTGTTGATTCTTTCTATCCATGAGCATGGAATGTTTTTCCATTTGTTTGTATCCTCTCTTATTTCCTTGAGCAGTGCTTTGTAGTTCTCCTTGAAGAGGTCCTTCACATCCCTTGTAAGTTGCATTCCTAGGTATTTTATTCTCTTAGTAGCACTTGTGAATGGGAGTTCACTCATGATTTGGCTTTCTATTTAGGTTTCCTGTTTCTCTTATCAGTCAGGCTCTGTAATTAGGTAGATACATATTTAGAATAGTTATATATATATGTACACACACATATATATGCACCATAAAATTATATGGTCATAAAAATTATATGTATAATATATACATATATGTACATATATGTATATAGTGTATACATATATGTACATATATGTATACACTGTATATATGTACATATATGTATATAGTGTATACATATATGTACATATATGTATATGCAATATGTACATATATGTATATACAATATGTACATATATGTATATACAATATGTACATATATGTATATACTATATACATATATACTATATATACATATATACTATGTATATATACTATATACTATGTGTATATATAGTATACACATATATGTACATACATATATAGTCTACACATATATGTACATACATATATAGTATACACACACGGCATATGTACATATATAGTACATATAGTATACACACACATGGCATATGTACATATATAGTACATATAGTATACACACGCATGGCATATGTACATATATAGTACATATAGTATACACACGCATGACATGTACATATATAGTACATATAGTATACACACGCATGGCATATGTACATATATACTACATCCAGTATACACACGCATGGCATATGTACATATATAGTATAGTATACACACATATGGCATATGTACATACATGTATATATAGTAATATATAGTATATACACATATGGCATATGTACATATGTATATATAGTATATACACATATGGCATATGTACATATATGTACGTATGTAATATGTACACACAGCGTATGTACATATATGTACGTATGTAATATGTACACGTATAGTGTACGCACATATATGTACGTATGTAATATGTACACGTATAGTGTATGTACATATATAATATGTACAAGTATAGTGTATGTACATATATGTACGTACGTAATATGCACATGTATGTACATATATGTACGTACGTAATATGTACATAAATGTACGTATGTAATATGTACATGCATGTACGTATGTGGTATATGTACATGCATGTACATATGTAGTATATGTACATACATGTACGTATGTAGTATATGTACACATGTAGTATACGTACATATATGTACGTACGTAGTATATGTACATATATGTACGTATGTAGTATATGCACATATAGTATATACTATATATAGTATATACTATATATGTGTATATTAGTATATACTAATATGTATATATTATATATGTACATATATGTACATACACCTATGTATATACATGTACATATATGTAATATGTACATACATGTGGGCACATATATGTGTGTATATATATTATACATATAATTTGTTTTTTGAGATAGAGTCTCACTCTGTTGCCCAGACTGAAGTCCAGTGGCGTGATCTCAGCTCACTGTAACCTCCAACTCCCAGGCTCAAGCGATTCTCCCACTTCAGCCTCCTAAGTAGCTGGGACACAGGCATGCACCATCATGCCTGGCAAATTTTTGTACTTTTTGTAGAGACGAGGTTTCACTATGTTACCCAGCTCCTGATCTCAAGCAATCTGCCCACCTCAGCCTCCCAAAGTGCTGGTTACAGGCATGAGCCACTGCACCCAGCCATCTTTTCTTAATGAATTGGCTTCTTTATCTTTAAGAAGTATTTCTTTTTATCCCTACTAATACTTCATGTTCTAAAATCTACTTAATCTAATATTAATATAGGCATTTTAGCTTTCTTTGGATTTTTTCTTCTTATTTTAACCCTCTATGTCTATGTATAAAGTGAGTTTCTTCTTGTAGACAGTATGTAGTTGAGTCTTTTTAAAAAATCAGTCTGACAATCTCTACTTTTTGATTGTTTAAACAATTTATATTTAATGTAATTATCTATATGGTTATGTTTAAATGCACCATATTGCTGTTTGTTTTCTGTTTGTCTCAATTGCTCATTTTTCCTTTTTGTCTTTACCTGACTTCTTTTGGATTGAGTATTTTTTTTTTCTGATTTCATTTTATCTTCACTAGGCTTACAGCCCTTTTTTTTTTTAAAGGTGATTGCTCTAGGACATACTGTATATATACGTATATATATACACACACACAAATATTTTCACTTTTCAGTCTATTTTCAAATATTATACCATTGTACATATGGTATAAAAATGTTAGAGAAGTGTATTTACTTTACTGTCTTTCTTTTCTTTGTGCTACTGTTATTATATATTTTACATCATATTTTTAATTTACTTCTACATATACTATAAAATCCATAATTAATTTTCTTACTATTAGTAGTTAATTATCCTTTAAAAAATAACTTTGTGGCCACGCACGGTGGCTTATACCTGTAATACCAGCACTTTGAGAGGCCAAGGCAGGAGGATCACTTGAGGTCAGGAGTTCAAGACCAGCCAGGCCAACATGGTGAAACCCCATCTCTACTAAAAATACAAAAATTATCCGGGCATGGTGGTGGATGCCTGTAATCCCAGCTATTTGGGAGGCTGAGGCAGGAGAATCACTTGAACATGAAAGGCAGAGGTTGCAGTGAGCTGAGATCATGCCATTGCACTCCAGCCCGGGTGACACAGCAAGACTCCATCTCAAAACAACAACAACAACAACAACAACAACAACAACAACAACAACAACAACTTTGTGTGGCTGAGTGCAGTGGCTCACGCCTGTAATCCCAGCACACTTTGAGTTCTCGTGTTGAGGCCAGGAGTTTGAGACCAGCCTGGCCAACATGGTGAAACCCCATCTCTAATAAAAATAAAACAATTAGCTGGATATGGTGGCACATGCCTGTAATCCCAGCTACTTGGGTGATTGAGGTGGGAGAATCGCTTGAACCCTGGAGGAAGAAGTTGCAGTGAGCCAAGATCATGCCACTGTCCTTCAGCCTGGGTGACAGAGTGAGACTTTGTCTTAAAAAACAAACACACTAAAACTTTATGGAAATATAATTGATGTAAAATAAAATACATTTATTTATTTATTTGATAAAGGGTCTTGTTCTGTCACCCAAGCTGAAGTATAGTGGCGCAGTCATGGCTCACTGTGGTCTCAACCTCTCGAAAATACCCGTTTTTATTTTATTTTATTTTTTTCATTTTATTATTATCATACTTTAAGTTTTAGGGTACATGTGCACAATGTGCAGGTTAGTTACATATGTATACATGTGCCATGTTGGTGTGCTGCACCCATTAACTCATCATTTAGCATTAGGTATATCTCCTAATGCTATCCTTCCCCCCTCCCCCCACCCCACAACAGTCCCTGGAGTGTAATGTTCCCCTTCCTGTGTCCATGTGTTCTCATTGTTCAGTTCCCACCTATGAGTGAGAACATGCGGTGTTTGGTTTTTTTGTCCTTGCGATAGTTTGCTGAGAATGATGGTTTCCAGTTTTATCCATCTCCCTACAAAGGACATGAACTCATCATTTTTTATGGCTGCATAGTATTCCATGGTGTATATGTGCCACATTTTCTTAATCCATTCTATCGTTGTTGGACATTTGGGTTGGTTCCAAGTCTTTGCTATTGTGAATAGTGCCGCAATAAACATACGTGTGCATGTGTCTTGATAGCAGCATGATTTATAATCCTTTGGGTATATACCCAGTAATGGGATGGCTGGGTCAAATGGGAAAATACCAATTTTTAAAGCATATAATTTACATATTAAGTTTTTAAGAAATAGAGATGGAGTCTTGCTATGTTGCTCAGGATGCCCTCGAACTCCTGGGCTCAAGTGATCATCCCACTTCAGCTTCCCAAAGCCCTGCATGTTAAATTTTGTTTTATTTATTTATTGATTGATTTATTTTAGAGATGGAGTCTCACTGTCTTACCCAGGCTGGTCTCAAACTCCTGGTCTCAAGTGATCTTCCCACCTCAGCCTCCCAAAGTGCTGGGATGATAGGCATGAGCCACCACACCCAGCCCATATTAAGTTTTTTTTTTTTTTTTCTGTGACAGAGTCTAGTTCTGTCACCCAGGCTGGGTCTTGGCCCACTGCAACCTCTGCCTCCCCGGTTCAAGTGATTCTCGTGCCTCAGCCTCCTGAGTAGCTAGGATTTTAATTTAGGAAAGGAAATTAACATTTATTGAGCATGATGCTGACTGCATAGGCTGACAACAAGCAATCCTTCAGCCAGCCGATAATGGTTTTGTTTTTAAACTCACTGTAGGCAATTTGTGAACTTGCCAATTCCTTCGACCACTCTTTCTCCTTATGAAACTGAGAGTGACTCTTAGAGGCCCCTTAAACACCAGTATGCTATTGCCTAGGAGAGAGACGTATTAGTGTTATGGCTACGGAGGGACTGGATTCACTTAGGATTGAAGCTCCTTTATGAAATCCAGAACCCTCTGGAATTGATTAGGGTGCCACATTCCACATCCTAGGCCACTGTATGTGATTAGCTTGACTCTCTTTTGCTTTGACTTCTCTACAGAATCCTGCTTTTATACTAGAATAACAAAACTCTGATTTTCTGTTAGCAGAGCAGGCACTTGAAGGCAGATTCTATTGCAGGAGAGAGGAAAAAGGCTAATCTGATAGGCAAAGCATAGTCTTTGGTGGATGGTGCAGATGGGGTGTAGGAGGTTAGGCAGTTGGCCATGCCATGGAGGTCCAACAAGAAGTAACAAGTGGAACGTTGGCAACACGTGGGGCTCCAGAGGGCAAGCCAAGAGTATTGTAGATCTAGACAGGCAGCGAGCAGCCTGCATCAATAATTGCTGACAATACAGAGGAAATAAAGATTAATCACTCTCCTGGGCATATTCTGTATCCCAGGTGTCCTGCCTATCACTGGCTCCTGGGATCCAGAGTTTTGGAATGCATGATCATTGGCAGTTGGTGGAGTCTAAATTATTCATGCCTTCTTTGACTTAACAGCTTGTAGAAACCACAGTTCCATTCTTCACACTTTTATAAAAGCTTTGTTTGCATTTGAACAGGGGAATCTCACTGACTAAGGTTAAAACTAGGAATAGTAAGAGGAATTCAGGGAGAGGACATCGAGAGTTTTCTCCCTTATGCATTATTAATCTTAAAACATGTTTAGGGATAAATAATGAGGCAAGAAATAGATATATAAACAGATTGCTTTTTCTTGAATAAGCATGCACTTCATCTGTCAGCATTTGATTGCTTTGGGAGTTGTGTGTAACCAACACTACATTTCCCCATTATCTAATAATCACCCATTCATGAGTGTCCCCCACACCAGACTGAACTCTTTGTGGATAGAAACGGAGTCTTATTAATCTCTTTATCTCTGGAACCTAGCAGTGATGAATGGTGAAGGTTCATCCTTTCCTTACCAAGCATGTGCTGTTTCAGAAGCCATTTAAATTAGAAATTCCTTCACAGCAAGCATCATGTCTTTCTTTTCTAGTGAAAGTAGGAAGTAGCTCAAAACAGCACTAACAGGCATTTAGTGACTGTTGATGATGCTAATGATGACATCTAGTTTCCATGGCAACATGCGCTTATCCTCATAATGTTTCTTGGATTATGTGAAATTTGAATGCATATATATATATATATATATATATATATATATATATATATATATACATACTTCTTTCCACGTTGTGAGAAAATCTTTTGTATTACAGTATTTCTTTTACCTCATCTTTTAAAAAATGTTTAAGTAACTGAATCAGTTATCTACATACTGTGGACTATAATGATGTCAAGTTTAGGAATGGTACTGGGAGCTTAGAAATGGTATTGCAGAGGGGGAGAAGCAGAGAATAAGTTGTTAAAAATACATGGATGGCAAACCCATTTTTAGTACATGTTTTCTTTTTTCTCCCTACTCTGATCCTCATCTACTCAACTAAATCTAGCTCTCTTTAAACCTTGAAATCACTTCAATTTCTGCATGGACTATACTGAAAACTGTGAAAGGGGGATCTAAAAAGCTGTGAGAGGGGGAATCTAGGCTATTTCCAGAACGTGTCCATCTAGGATGGTTACTCAGCTGGTGGACACCAGTGCGACTCTCCAGTTGTTAAATACTGAAAAGCTTTCCAACTGATTGGTCCCTTTCACTTCTGTCCCTCAGCCAGCCAGTGCTCTTCTCTGGGGACAATCTCAGTTAACAACTTTTTATTCATTCTTCTAAAGATAGTCTAATATTGTTTAGACAAATATAGAAATGTATGTTCTTTTTTTCCCCACAAATGAAAGCATATTATTTATACTGCTCTGCACCTTGCTGTTTTTACTTGCAGGTGTATCCTAAATATCCTTCTATATCAATTCATCAAGGTCTATCTCATTTAATAGCTAGAGAAGATTTTATTGTATGGATGGCCCATGTATCAGTCAGCTTTTGCTGGGTACAAACCATCACAAAATAGCAGCAGCATACAGGAATAGGCATTTCTTTCTCTCTCACGCATCTGTGGATGGACTGGTGTTGCTCTGTTTCTGATTGCAGGTGGATAAACCAGCTGAGGTGGTGTTGCTTCATATGGAGGGGCAGTCAATACTAGGCTATGTTTTTCTCATGGCAATGACAGATGCACAAGTGCATTTCAAGCCTCGGCTAACATCACATCTGCTAATATCTCATTGGCCAAATCAGTTTGTATGGCCAAACCCATAGTCAGAAAGTGGGAAAGTTTACTTCACCTACCTTGAGGTTATGGCTAGGTCATAGATATATAATCTTACTGTAGGTGATAGGATTGGGACTGAAAGTCCAATTTACCATAAATCCTATTTCTTTTAACCTATTTTATTACCAGCTCAATTGATAGATATTTAATTTGTTTTTACCTTTTGCTTCTTTATATACTTTAAATTAATTCCAGCTCTGAACTCCTGTTCCACTAATATGATGAGAATTCACTCTGTCATTATTAAGACTCACCCTTGGCTGGGTGTGGTGGCTCATGCCTGTAATCCTAGCACTTTGGGAGGGTGAGGCAGGTTGATCACCTGAGGTCAGGAGTTCAAGACCAGCCTGGCCAACATGGTGAAACCCCATCTCTACTAAAAATACAAAAAGTTAACCAGGTGCAGTGGCGCGTGCCTGTGGTCCCAGCTGCTTAGGAGGCTGAGGCAGGAGAACTGCCTGAACCCAGGAGACAGAGGTTGCAGTGAGCCAAGATTGTGCCACTGCACTCTGGCGTGGGCAATGGAGCGAGACTTCAACTCAAAAAAAAAAAAAAAAGAAAAGAAAAAGACTCACCCTTGCCTCAGTATGGTTCCCTGGTATCAGGATCATATGCAGGTCAAATATTGGAGAAGCCTCTCTCATTCTCCATTATTGGTCCCTTCTGGTTACCATGAAGGCAGGTCCAGGGAACATGACCTTTTTAGGACCTGTGACACTATTTTCGTGTCACAAGATTCTTTGGCCTTGTGCTTCAAGTTCAATCTCCAATAACAGTCACTCTTTCCACAAATACCTTGACATTACTTAGTTGTGGTTTAGCAAAAGTAGAATCTTTTGGGACACATGTTTTTCAGAAAAGGAAAATATATACTTGGGCTTCTTTTTATTTTGGCAATAGAGCACGTTAGGTACTTTTACTGCTGCAAAAATATTCAGATGGGATTACAGGAAAAGAAGGTAAGGTCTTATATAAGTTTGCTTGGGGTATACACATATCTATACATTGGGTGAGTTTCTCAGTGTATGAGAAGAATATTGCAACATAGCATATGTCCATCCATGTGTTTCCGAGAGTGTATAGTCTCCATAAAAGAGAAATTGGGAGGCGTAATATAAAGAAATCGATTGCAGTATTCTACCACAGTAACAAATATAACTTCAGACATTTTCAAGTATATAGCTACATGCTTAGAATTCAGAAAATTATTCTGCCATAACAGGCTGGGACCATCTTTCTTTATCTGTAAGAAGGAACATTATTCATTCATTTATTCTTTTACCGATTCTGTATTGAGCATTAAACTCAGCCCTAAGCACTGGGGATACAAAGATAAGATGGTGACATCTCTCCCACAAGGCGCTGGTAATACAAAAGGAGGTAGTGAACCAGCAAGCAGAGACTAGTCATGTTGAGTATAAATGCAGGAATAGGAAACTGTGTAAGGGATGGGGTTGGCACAAAGGAGGGGTGCCTAGGCATATGGGGGCAGATTTCACACAAAGGTAGACACTGGAACTGGGTTTTGAAAGATAAGTGAGACTGCATCAGCAGGACAGTGGAGGAAGGGTGTCCCAGACATTAATGCTGATAATAGTAGGGACATAAAACAGCATGGCATTTTGTGAGGTTGGCTGGAGATTAAGATATGAGGAGGGTGACTGGCAACAACATGAGTGTGAAACGTTAGGCATGGATTCCATTCTAGAGCTGAGAGCAGGGGAAAGACTACTCTGCAAAGGGTTGGGGATGGATTGGATGGGCAGGAGACTAAGGATTGGCAGGAGGCCAGGATAGGAAGCAAGAGACTTTGGTAACATAATGGGAGTTAAGAGGTTTGGGGGAAATATAGATCCCAGAATGATTGAACTTGACATTTTTTTTGGCAAATCCCATCGTGCGGCTCTCCCACTTAAAATCCTTTAGTAGGTCGGGCACAGTGGCTCACGCCTGTAATCCCAGCACTTTGGGAGGCCGAGGCAGGTGGATCATCTGAGGTCGGGAGTTTGAGACCAGCCTGACCAACAGGGAGAAACCCCATCACTACTAAAAATACAAAATTAGCTGGGTGTGGTGGCACATGCCTGTAATCCCAGCTACTTGGGAGGCTGAGGCAGGAGAATCGCTTGAACCCGGGAGGCAGAGGTTGCGGTGAGCCAAGATCACACCATTGCACTCCAGCCTAGGCAACAAGAGCAAAACTCCACCTAAAAAAAAAAAAAAAAATCCTTTAGTAGCTCCCATTGCTTTTAAGACATAATGTAAGCTCATCAGCTGGGCCCAGCAAGTCTTTCCTCTGAAGGTCTTCAGCTGCTCTTTCTTCAGCTTTCAGTTCCTCAGTTTGCATTTTTATGCTTGTGCTCTCTTCAAGTTTCTGAACCTTGCTGGTTAACCTAGAGTAAGTTACTCCTTCCTTCCATAATGAGCTTGTGTTTATATTTCAAATCTTACTTCCGACACCCCCTTCCCTGGGCAGTCACTGGATTCCCTCTCACCCCCTAACTTGGAATTTTTTTCACCATCGAATCTCAGCCACCGTGCCATAAACTGAATCCCCGAGTAGATGGTGAATATGTTGAGGGCAGAAGCTGTCTTTCTTTCCTTCCTTCCCTTCCTTTTCCCTTCCCTTCCTTCCCCTTCCCCTCCCCCTTCCCTTTACCCTTCTCCTTCCCCTTCCCCTCACCCTTCTCCTTCCTCTCTCCTCCCCTCCCCTCTGCTCCCCTCTCTTTCTTTCTTTTTTTTTTTTTTTTGAGAGGGAGTCTTGGTCTGCCGCCCAAGCTGGAGTGCAATGGTCATGATCTCAGCTCACTGCAACCTCTGCCTCCCGGGTTCAAGAGATTCTCCTGCCTCAGTCTCCTGAGTAGCTGGGACTACAGGCATGCGCCACCAAGCCCAGCTAATTTTTGTATTTTTAGTAGAGACGGGGTTTCACCATGTTAGACAGGCTGGTCTTTCTTCTCTCTTCTCTCTCTTCTCTCTCTTCTCTCCTTCCTTCCTTCCTTCCTTCCTTCCTTCCTTCCTTCCTTCCTTCCTTCCTTCCTTCCTCTTTCTCTCTTTCTTTTCTTTCAAAAATATCTATAGATTTTATTCTTAATTGTAAAAGTCTGTGTAATTCTTGTTTTGTTTTTTGTTGTTGTTTTTTTTTTTTTTTTTTTTTTTGAGACGGAGTCTCGCTCTGTCGCCCAGGCTGGAGTGCAGTGGCGCGATCTCGGCTCACTGCAAGCTCCGCCTCCCGGGTTCACGCCATTCTCCTGCCTCAGCCTCCCGAGTAGCTGGGACTACAGGCGCCCGCTACCACGCCCGGCTAATTTTTTGTATTTTTAGTAGAGACGGGGTTTCACCGTGTTAGCCAGGATGGTCTCGATCTCCTGACCTCGTGATCCGCCCGCCTCGGCCTCCCAAAGTGCTGGGATTACAGGCGTGAGCCACCGCGCCCGGCCAAGTCTGTGTAATTCTTAAAAGGCCAAAAATGAATTGGAATAATGAAGAAAAGAAGATCTGGAACAGAACTAGCTAGACTAGCCTAGCCTTCCATCTGTTCTACTAAGGAGAGGTTGGTAGATCACACCAAACTCACATGTATGCTATTTGAAGGTTGATATGCATATATAATCCTTTTTTCCAGTTTCCAATGGCTTTAATTGGTAAATATGCTCTAGAAAATAATGATCAATCCTGTTGCTTCCATGTCAGTGGAATGAAGAGCCGTATCAAGGGACACACCAAGCAGTGCTGAAGGAGACTGCTGCTGTGTCCACCTGTTATTCATAGGCCCAGTCATAGGCACAAGACTTGTAGTCAGCTGGTTCTTTGAGCTTAAACCATGGGCTGATTTCTTTTTCAACACTTTTTACTCAGTCACTGTCATGAATGATGTTCCTGCCCACCTGAATGCATGTCTTTTATTTCTAAATCTCCAGCCCTAGAATAATTCAAGGCTAAATGAGTAGGCTCTCAATTAATTCTTTTGAATAAATGAATGAAGTAGCCCCAATAATTCCTGGGACTCCTTATGTTCAAGTTCTACCTCTACTGGAGCTGTTCCAATACATTGGAGAAATGCGATGTTAAAACTTAGATCTGAGAAAAGAGTCAGAACATGTCGCATTGCTACGAGGTCCAAGTCTAAGAGGAAGCATCTGCCTCAGGTCTTGGCAGATTTCCTTGCCTCCCTCTAATCTGTTCTTTTATCCAACAGATGTCTAAGTACTGCAACCTCAAGATGATTAATAACTCAAGGACTGGGGAGGGGAGTATTTTTGTACTTTTTACCAGTACTTTGGAATCAGATCTTTCCATCTCAATGTGTGACATCAATTTTGTTTTCTTCTTTTGAGGTGTATACTTATATAGGTTTAACTATGAATAACTGTTAGGAATTTATAATCAGTAGTTTCAGAAGAAGTGACAGATGGGCTAGTATCCCAGAAAGCAGCAAAGAAGAAGGGGGACCAGGAGTCCTAGCAAGTGATAGAAAACCTTTAGGAAAGGAAAGTAGTTGGTTTAGAGGAATCAGAAAACAAGAAAAAATTCTGCAGCCCAGTGTGTTGAGGCCAACTTTGGTTAATCTCCTTATTGATTTAGGCAGTGATTCTAAGTATCTGACCAGGACACTTTGAGAGACCTTGGAATTATTGTGAGGGAATGGAAATCCAAATGAAAACTTATATTTTCTCAATCACTACAGTAAAATACAGTAAAAATACAGTAACTGGCACATGAGGGTTTCCATACTTAAAAGATTGGGAATGGATTTTAAACTAGTAGTGTTCACCCTGAGCTGGAAGCGCTAGTTTCATATTCGTATAGTATCTTGTAATGTACATAGGTCTTTTACTTACACTAATTTATTATATTCACCATAACTTTGTAGGGTAAGATGGGGAGGTATCACCATTTTTCAAATACAAAACTGAGACTTAGGCTGTGACTTGTATATGGTTTCATGACTTGAATCAATTCAGTTGAGAGAAGCTTGCAAATTCCATGGATCTTAATTCAGTCCTTTATACTACAAATACTTTTTCCTTGTGGAAAAATTATATCCAGAATGAAGGATAGGGAAATATGGGACTATAAACAAAATATATGCTTCTTAGGAACCAACAAAAAGGAAGAACAGGGCTAGGAGCAGGGCTGGGTTCATCTGTTGACAGCGGTGTTACAAACTAAGGGATTCTGGAAGTCAGACTTGGTTATGAGATTGAGCAAAGGTACATTATGGCCAACCTTAAACAGGTGTGCTTTAACATCTAACAGATCCTCCTCACTCTTTAAAAAGTGCTTTCGGTTTTGCATTCAAGAAAGACCCAAAATTATTTTGTTGATTTATTTTGAGAACAGATATAGGAGATAATTTAAAAGATTATATTCCCAAGGTCTCAGATTTAAGAATGAACTTTGAACTTCCATCTAAGTACCAAACAAAGGAGCATATGTGACACACATTTAATTAAAAAATTGAGTGCCTTTCTTGAATCACTAGAATATTTATAGCTCGATGGTGGTTCACTCCTATAATCTTAGTTCTTTGAGAGGCCTACATGGGAGGATTGCTTGAGTCCAGGAGTTTGAGACCAGCCTGGGTAACATACTAAGACTCCATTTCTACAAAAAGTAAAAAAATTAACCTGATGTGGTGGAACACGCCTGTAGTCCCAGCTACTCGGGAGGCTGAAGCAGGAGGATTCTTTGAGCCCAAGAGTTCCAGGCTGCAGTCAGCTATGGTTGCATCACTGCGCTCCAGCCTGTGCAACAGAGTGAGACTATGTCTTAAATAAATAAATAAAATAGAATATTTACTCTCTAGGCAGTAGCATGGCAAAGAATACATAATTCCTGCAGGGAAATCTGTATCTATCAGACTCAAATTGTGTTAAAGTAGCCTTTAAAAATTGATCATAATCTCCTATTTAGCTCAGTTAAAAGGGTAAGAAGCATCGACCCACAGAGAAATGGATATTCTATGGAAGTCTTCCAAGTAGCTAATAGAAATAACTATGGTTTATTGATTGTTTATTATGGATGAAGTAGTCTATTAAGCACTCTATCCATCTACTATCTATCTATATTAATTATTACAAAATTTCTAGTAAGTATTCACAATTAACTCAGTTTTTACAAATAAGTGCCTTAAAGCTTAAATAAGGTAAATGACTTGTCCAAAGTCATATAGGCAAAATGTGGTAGGAGGCTGAACAAGATTTTGCACTCAGAGACACCTGAACTTAAAATACATACTCTTAACCTTATGCTAGGTACTCCTAAAATGAGCTATATACAGTGTTTCTCAGAAGTCTTTGGAATTCAAATCAACGTCTGGCTATCGTGAATAACTTGTCTGACTTTTTAGCTGTCAATTCTGTAACCTCGATCCAAACCAAGAAAGTTTGGGTGCATTCTCTCTAGCAGTCACTAGGTGGAGCCAGTGCACTAAAAAGCCATCAGGCTTTTTGGGGACCAGGCAGGATTTATTCTAGGAAGTCAGGGGAAGTCAGCAAAGGCTGGTTTTGATTGGAAAAGTGCTAAAAAGATTACTCCCTCTGACAGCTGGCTTTTTTTCTTTTCTGGATAATGTAGATGAAGAGGAAGATGAGAGATCTCCGGAGGTGTAGAGAATTGCTAGAGCCAAGAGTTATGTGGGATGAATGCATAATCAACCAATTTTGTTCTTTCGCAGGAGTGGTTTCAATAATCTGATGTGTGGCTGGGTTGTGGGTTGTGGAAGCAAAGCACAATAGCCCCCTGCCCTGTGTGGTCTGCCTTCCCTTAGAGACCCCAGGCTTTCACATTGTATAATACTGGGCATACGCAGTTGGCCCCACGTCTAGTTTCTCAAATGGTCTGACTAAAATGACAATAATGATGATGATGATAACTGTTATTATGTTAACAAACATGTGCATGGCACTTTATTGATCCCTTTCAGTTGCATTTGTTATTGAGGTGAGTGGATCTTCTGGCAGGGGAATAGAACTTCATGGGATAAAGGGAGGGGATAAGGGCAGGATGAGATTTTCCTCTATGTCCAGGAAGAGTTCTCCAGAGAAACAGAACGAAAGGATCTCTCTCTCTCTCTCTCTCTAAATATATATATATATATGCCTATATATATATATATATGCACCTATATATAAATATATATAGGCATATATGTAGATATATAGATGCCTATATATAAATATATATGCATATATAAATATATAGATGCCTATATATAAATATATGTATGCATATATATGTGTGTGTGTATATATATACTCCCATGATAGGCAAGTACAAAATCCATAGGGTAGACCAGCAGGCTGGAGACCCAGGGAAGAATTGATTTTTGCAGCTTGAGCCTAAAGGTAGTTTGCTGGCAGAAAATTCCGTCTTCCTTAGGGGATCTCAGTCTTTTTTTTTTTTTTTTTTTTTAAGGATTCCAACTTATTAGATGAGGCCCTCCCACATTATGGGGAGTAATCTGCTTTTACTCAGAGTTTACTTATTTAAATGTTAATCTCATCTAAAAATACTTTCACAGAATCTCCAGATGTGTTTGAGCAAATATCTGGGTACAGTGGCCTAGCTAAGTTGACACATAAAAACCAACCATTGTAGGTAGATAACAAATTCTATGCTGGGCTTGAGGGGAAAATAGAGTTCCTTTTGCTGTCTTTGGTAGGGTTCAGAGCTGTTAATTTCTTTCTTTTTTTTTCTTGTTTTTGAGACAGGGTCTTGCTGTATCACCCACGCTGGGGTGCAGTTGCATGATCTTGACTCACTGCAGCCTCCTCCTCCCAGGTTCAAGCGATTCTCCCACCTCAGCCTCCTGAGTAGCTGGGATTGCAGGTGTGTGCCACCATGCCCAGCTAATTTTTGTATTTTTAGTAGAGATGGGGTTTTACCATGTTGGCCAGGCTGGTCTCGAACTCCTGGCCTGAAGTGATCTGCCCACCTCAGCCTCCCAAAGTGCTGGGATTACAGGCACATGCCACAGTGCCCAGCCCAGAGCTATTAATTTCAACTCTAGCAGAAGCAATGTACTCACCCTCTCTCTCGTCCCTGAAAGCTTGATGAGTTGGCAATGCTATTCTGGATAATCATACAAGATGTTTTTATATAAATATATAAAAAATCAGAATTCTATAAAGCATGACTTCCAACCATATCATTCTGTGTTCTGATTATAAGGTGGCTCTGAGATTTCTTAAAAAATATTTTTTTCTTTGTTTTTTTTTTTTTTTTTTTTTTTAGAGACAGGGACTTGCTCTGTTGCCTGGGCTGGACTATGGTGGCACAATCATGGCCCACTGCAGCCTCAACCTCCTGGGCTCAAGCAGTCCTCCCACCTGAGCCTCCCAAGTAGCTGGAACTACAGATGTGAGCTTTCATGGCTGGCAAATTTTAAAAACTTTTTATTTTGTACAGACAGGGTTTCACTATGTTGTCCGGGCTGGTCTTGAACTCCTGGGCTCAAGGGGTCCTCCTGCCTCTGCTGCCCAAAGTGCTGACATTATAGATGTGAACCACTGCTCCTGGCCCTGAAATTTCTTTTTTATAGAAGTACTTTGAAAAGGCATTGAATGAATAAAGTGCCTTTCAAGTAAAGTGTAGAAGCATCCAATGTTATTTCTGAAAGTGTCCCTAGAGATGGTATGTTTTGGATTTCCCCATTTTACAGATAAATGGAGACATAGAAGAATGAAATGACTTATTCAAGGTCATATCGGTATTATTTATTTATTTATTTATTTATTTATTTATTTATTTTTTGAGACAGAGTCTTGCTCTGTCACCCAGGCTGGAGTGCAGTGGCACGATCTCGGCTCACTGCAAGCTCTGCCTCCCGGGTTCACACCATTCTCCTGCCTCAGCCTCCTGAGTAGCTGGGACTACAGGCGCCCGCCACCATGCCTGGCTAATTTTTGTATTTTTATTAGAGATGGGGTTTCACCGCGTTAGCCAGGATGGTCTCGATCTCCTGACCTCGTGATCCGCCCTCCTCGGCCTCCCAAAGTGCTGGGATTATAGGCGTGAGCCACCACGCCCGGCCGGTCATATTGGTATTTAATGAGAAAACTAGGACCAGAACCCAGGCCTTCTGCCTGCAGTTTCATCGTGCTTCCTGTTGCAGCATGCTGCCACCATATAAAAGTGCAAGGATAATCACTTGGACTGCAAATGCCCAACCAGCTGTGCTGAGCAACATGTGTCTAAACAGGCCCAACCGAAACAGGAAATGCCAGTCTTGAGTGGGGGAATGGTTAATCAAAGAGAAAAATATGAAAATGCTGAATCCCAATCCTTCCCAGTGAAGTAGAGATACTAACTTGAATAAACCTCTGCTAGAGTGTGGCAAAAAGTGGGAGGAAAATGATGGAGGCTTAGGTTCCCGTAAGCCTTAGGTTTAGTGATGTCACTGTACTATCTGAGTATAGTCCTATCACATCTTAACAAGTGGCTTTGTGACCTCAGCAAACTGAGATATCCCAGGTAGACACTACTACAAAAGTCATATATATAAAAGAATAAAACAGTTTCTGTAATTAATTCTACAAATAAATCTAAGTGGAATCTACAGATTGGAAGCAATGGAGGCCTAATAGGTTTCTTCAGCCAGGGGATTTTGGCACTCCAAGCTGGCCGCCAGGAACCCTATTTAGTAAGTTGGGGGAAATAACAAAGATGACATTGGAATTAACATTTGGGCTCTTGGAGAAAATGTTGCCATTCAAATATCTTGCAGTTATTAGCCCCAAGGGAACTAATTAAAAAATGCTATAAGTGAGAGACCTAAAGGGGATGGAGAGAAAAGAGATGCCGCTAACAAAGTCATAAAAGTAGTGAGGAAAGAGTAGTTCCCTAGCAGGGCGCGGTGGCTCATGCCTGTAATCCCAACACTTTGGGAGGCCGAGGCGGGCGGATCACGAGGTCAGGAGATCGAGACCATCCTGGCTAACATGGTGAAACCCCATCTCTACTAAAAATACAAAAAAATTAGCCTGGCGTGGTGGCGGGTGCCTGTAGTCCCAGCTACTCAGGAGGCTGAGGCAGGAGAATGGCGTGAACCTGGGAGGTGGAATTTGCAGTGAGCCGAGATCGCACCACTGCACTCCAGCCTGAGCGACAGAGGGAGACTCCGTCTCAAAAAAAAAAAAAAAAGAGTAGCTCCCCATATTAAATCAAACATCGTTGGCTGGATGGAAGGGAGAGCAGTGTGCAGGCTAGTGAGTAGAACCATGAGGTCAATGTAACAGTGGTGGTGTAGAGACAGGATTAATGACAGTGGTAATGGTTGGGGCCATCCAACGTCAGCAGGAATTGGTTAAGTACAGCACCACCTGCACATTTTTGTTCACCAAATTCAATTTGATTAGTTGGAAAACATTTACCGAGTTCCTGGTATATGCCAGGTGTAGAGTGCAATTTTTTTTTTCTTTTTTTGACGAAGTCTCGTTCTGTCGCCCAGGCTGGAGTGCAGTGGCACTATCTCTGCTCACTGCAAGCTCTGCCTCCCAGGTTCACACCATTCTCCTGCCTCAGCCGCCCGAGTAGCTGGGACTACAGGCGCCCGCCACCACGCCCGGCTAATTGTTTGTATGTTTAGTAGAGACGGGGTTTCACTGTGTTAGGATGGTCTCGATCTTCTGACCCTGTGATCTGCCTGCCTCAGCCTCCCAAAATGCTGGAGTTACAGGTGTGAGCCACCGTGCCTGGCTGAGTGCAACATTTTTAATGCAATCCTAGAGAGAGATTTAAGATACACAGGAGCTACACAGAGAAAGGATGTTACATTTATTGGAGAATGAGACAGTATAAGAGAAGGTGGTCTAGATGTATTACTGATCTGGGTTTTAAAGAATGAATATGCATTTTCTTTTCTTTTCTTTTCTTTTTTTTTTGAGATGGAGTCTCTCTCTGTCTCCCAGGCTGGAGTGCAGTGGCGTGATATCAGTTCACTGCAACCTCTACCTTCCGGGTTCAAGCTGTTCTCCTGCCTCAGCCTCCTGAGTAGCTAGGATTACAGGCGCCTGCCACCACACTCGGCTAATTTTTTGTATTTTTAGTAGAGATGGGGTTTCACCATGTTGGCCAGGCTGGTCTTCAACTCCTGACCTCAGGTGATCCGCCCATCTCAGCCTTCCAAAGTGCTGGGATTACAGGAGTGAGCCACCGCGCCTGGCCTATGAATAGGCATTTTCTTTTCTTTTCTTTTTTTCTTTTTTTTTGAGAGGGAGTTTCACTCTTGTTGCCCAGGCTGGAGGGTAATGGCGCGATCTCGGCTCACTGCAACCTCTGCCTCCCGGGTTCAATTGATTCTCCTGCTTCAGCCTCCTGAGTAGCTGGGACTACAGGCGTGTGCCACAACGCCAGGCTAATTTTGTAATTTTAGTAGAGACGGCGTTTCTCCATGTTGGTCAGGCTAGTCTTGAATTCCTGACCTCAGGTGATCCACCTGCCTCAGTCTACCAAAGTGCTGGGATTACAGGTGTGAGCCACTGCACCTGGCCTGAGTAGGCATTTTCTAAGTAGACAAGAAGAAGAAAAACATGTGAAACAATGGAAACAGTAAACATACATTTTTACCGATAGGTATTGTTATGTAACAACCACCCAAAACTTAATGGCCTGAGACAATGGCAATAATTTATTTTGGTTGTGAATCTGTAATTTGAGCAGAGCTAGGCAGGAATGGCTTATTTCAGTGGAGGCAGCCGAACTCGGGCCTGGGGAATCCACCTTCACATTGATTTACTCACAAGTTGGTCCTGTCTATAGGTCCTGGCTATAGGCTGGGAGCTCAGCCAGGCTTGGGACTGTGGGAGGTCCTTACAGCATGATAGGATGGTAGCTGTTTTCAGGAGTGAATGTTTCAAGTACTTCAAGCAGAAGCCATATCACCTTTTATGATCTGGCCTAAGAAGTCACATAGCTCATACGTGAAAAAAGACCATAGTCTTTTTTTTTTTTTTTTTTTTTTGTGAGATGGGGTCTTTCTCTGTTGCCTAGGCTAGAGTGCAGTGGCATGATCTTGGCTCACTGCAACCTTCACCTCCTGGGTTCAAACCATTCTCCTGCCTCAGCCTCACGAATAGCTGGGATTATAGGTACATGCCACCATGCCCAGCTAATTTTGTATTTTTAGTAGAGACAGGTTTTCACCATGTTGGCCAGTCTCGTCTTGAACTTCTGACTTCAGGTGATCCACCTGCCTCGGCCTCCCAAAGTGCTGGGATTACAGGCGTGAGCCATCGCGCCAGGTCTATAGTCTTAAACTAATCCAGATTCAAGGATTGAGAACAAAGACTCCACATCTCAATGGGAAGAGCGTTAAGTCACGTTGTAAGGAGATATTACTGTGACTACCTTTGGAAAATACAATCTGATATAGGCATGTGAGAGTGAAGTATCATGGCCTGTTCAAGAAATACATCATAACACAGGTATTTTTCTCCTCCTCCTCTTCCTCCTCCTCTTCTCCTCCTCCCCCCTCCCTCTCCTGACCCTCTTCTCCTCCTTCCTTTCCTCAAACAGTAAACAAGCTAAATTATCTTACGTTTATGGGAGACAAGGATTCACATAGTAAGTCAATCTAGGTAAATCTCTCAAAATTTTGGAACCAATGTTTTATTTTTTAAGTAAGAATAATCTCACTTCTTTTACCTACTATCAGCATGCTTTTGAGGATCAAGTGAGATAATCCCTGTAAAAATTACTTGAAACTGATAAAGCACAATTTATGTTTATTTATTCAACCATCTACTCATTTATCTACCTAACCACCATCAATTCATCTCCACTCATCTGTTCTTTCATTATCGAATATATATTAAACATCTACACTGTGTCAAGTCTTTTACTATGGGGTGGGCCCAACGTAAGTAATTATTGGTTCTCTGAGGAGTATTCCTAAATGTAGTTTTTTGAAGTAACGCCAGTGAATTAGAATCTCTACACTCTCAAAAACGTTTAACTGGTATATGCAAAGTAACTGGTCACCAGAGGCAACTGTCTTATTTTAATGTTCAAATTTTCTGTTTGTTTCACCTTCTTCGTTAAATTTAAACTCATTCTTCAATACATTCTCAGAGAAGTTCTGCTTTCTACAATAGCAACACAAATAAGCTCAAATAACCTGCTTTATTAGATTTATCACAAGTAACTTATCTGCTCTATTTGGCCAGAATTGTAGGTTGGTTATCACAGCATTTTCTTAGTGTTATATATTTTTCAGTGGATGTCTTCCAACATATTATTGGGTTCATATTATAGTACAGCATTACTCAGTTTATAAACAAATTAAGAATTAATTACTTACATTTTATTTAAACAACAGTCTTGTAGACGTGTAGTATGAGTTATAGCAGCCAAGATAGCAAATCCTACAACATTCTGTTGTCTTATTAATTACCAAACATCACCTATATCTAACATCAAACAAATCCCTCATTTATAGATTATTAAAATTCTACGAAATTTTATTGTGGTTCAATTTGTCTAAGATCTCCATATGAATAAATCTTTGCCAGAAGAACCTCTATGCAGGTGTAACGTACAGTGGCTAATGGCATGACTTTAGAGGAGTAAGATAGAATGGTATTTTTGTTTGTTTGTTTGTTTGTTTGTTTGTTTTTTGGAAACAGGGTCTTGCTCTGTTGCCCAGGCTGGAGTGCAGTGGCATGGTCATGGCTCACTGCAGCCTCAAATTCCCAGGCTCAAGTGATCCTTCCACCTCAGCCCCCTGAGTAGCTGGGACTACAGGTGCACACCACCATGCCCAGCTAATTTTTTGTAGAGGTGGGTTCACTGTTATGCCCAGGCTGGTCTCAAACTCCTGAGCTCAAGCAATCCACCCACCTTGGCCTCCCGAAGTGCTGAGATTACAGGTGTGAGCTGCCAGGCCCGGCCAAGAGTAGATTTTTATTATGATTCTACACATACTTGCCGTGTGACCTCGGGCAAATTATTTAACTTCTTTAAGTCTTCACTTTTCCATCTCTAAGATGTATACAATGTTACACATTTATAGAGCTGTTACTAAGAAAATGAAAGAAATAATGCATATGAAGCCATTGGTAAAATTCCTTGCATAAGGTCTCCATAAATGTTGGTTTTAGTGTCTATGTTATTTTGACTAAATTGAGGTGAAGAGGTACTATATAGTTCTTTTTTTCTTTATGTTTGAACTTATAGATTATTTGTGATAATATAATTTGTATATATTTCATATAAAATTAGGTTCAGCTGTGTTACAGAGGCCTAAAATGACAGTGGCTTTAAAAATAGAGATTTTTTTTTCCTTTTTCAAGTAGAAGGAGGTAGGCTGACCAGGGCTGGTGTGATTTTTCTACTTTGAAAATTTTCCAAGAATTCTGAATTCTTAGTTGCGCTTCTGTCATCTTGAGGCTGTGACCATTATCCTCATGATCCCAAACGCTAGCTATAGCTCCAGTCACTAACTTCACATCTTAAGAAGTAGTGTGTAAGAATGCTTGAAGAAGAAAGTGGATGGGGAAAGCAAAGGGTATTAGATCATGGCTTTTAAAGGAGGTCTCCAAACTACAGGGTGTCTCCATGTATATTCCATTGTCTAGAATTAGTCAAATGTTCAGACCTAGCTGCAATGCAGGATAGAAAGTGTATTCTTGATTCTCAGTGGACATTTGCTCAGCTGAGAATTGCAAATCTATTTGCAAATCTATAAAAGAATCGGTAGAAAGCATACTGGGGGACACTGGCACACATCTCCACATTATGCAACTTGTTTTTAAAACTGACTCAACTCATTGTGGTGTAAATCTGAATGATTGATTTGTCCAATAACTTCCACCAACTTTTCTCTGCCAAGTCACCACTTTCTCTTGGGAACCAGCTCCCTTAATGGTAGTTCAGTCTGATTTCTTTTACTTTGGTCACTTTGGGCTATTCAGAATAGTCTTGTTTCAGTTTGTGAGCCCTAGTCCTCTTCATTTTAAAACATTATCTTAATCTGTTCCTGCTGCTATAACAAAATACTGAGAGTGGATAATTTATAAATAACAGAAATATGGGCAGGCGCAGTGGCTCATGCCTGTAATCGCAGCACTTTGGGAGGCAGAGGCAGGCAGATCACAAGGTCAAGAGATTGAGGCCATCCTGGCCAACATGGTGAAACCCCATCTCTACTAAAAAATACACAAATTAGCTGGGGATAGTGTCACGTGCCTGTAGTCCCAGTTATTCGGGAAGCTGAGGCAGGAGAATCGCTTGAACCCAGGAGGTGGAGGTTGCAGTGAGCCGAGATCACGCCACTGCACTCCAGCTTGCTGACAGAGCAAGACTCCATCTCAAAAAAGAAAGAAGAAAAAAGAAAAACGGAAAAAGAAATATATTTTTCGCAGTTCTGGAGGCTGGGAAGTCCAAGACCAAGTTGCTGGCAGATTTGGTAGAAAGTAGAATTGCTCTGAGAATGTATTCAATAAAGAGTTTTAAATTTAGTAAAGGAGAAACAAGCAGAAAATTTGAATATTAAAATAAGACAGTTGCTTTTGGTGACGAATTACTTTGTATATACTGGTTAAACATTTTTGAGAGAGTGGAGATTCTACTTTCTACAGTAGCAACACAAATAAGCTCAAATAACCTGCTTTATTAGATTTACCACAAATAACAACATATCTGCTCTATTTGGCCAGAATTGTAGGTTTGTTATCACAGCAATTTTCTTAGTGTTATATATTTTTCAGTGGATGTTTTCCAACATGTTCTTGGGTTCACATTATAGTACAACATTACTCAGTTTATAAGCAAATTGAGAATTAATTATCTACATTTTATTTAAACAACAGTCTTGTAGATGTGTAGTATGAGTTACAGTAGCCAAGACAGCAAATCCTACAACATTCTGTTGTCTCATTAATTACCAGACATCATCTATACGTAACACCAAACAAATCTCTCAGATTTGATGTCTGGTAAAATTTCTCTCTCTGCTTTCAAGATGGTGCCCTGTTGCTGCATCTTTTGATGAGGACAAACTCTATGTCCTCACATAGCAGAAGAGAAGAAGGGGCAAACTCACTTCCTCAAGCCCTTTTGTAAGCACAAAATCTCATTCATAAAGGTGAAGTCCTTATGACTTAATCACCCTCCGATGGCCCCACTTTCTAATACCATCACCTTGTGTATTAGCTGCTAACATATGAATTTTGGAGGGATGCATACATTCAAATCATAACAAACATCTGTCTGATGCTTAATTCAAAGCTCTCTCACTCCTCTCTCCAGTTCAGGTTTCAGGGGCCTAGAGGAAGGGAGTGAACCCTCTTTAATTATCAGGCCCAGTGAAGCATTGAATTGTGACAGTGTGTGACAGCAGTCATGTTTCACTTCCCTTTGAGCTAAATCATTTCATCTTAAAGCCACCTGCTCTGTGGGCTCTAGAGTAACTGATGCCAAGTAGCCATAAAATGCATTGCACTGGACATCATAACTCATACACTGTAGTTCAACAACGTAAAGCCAATCACTAACCAATGTTAATTCCATAAATCAGTGAGAATTCCTGTCTAACAACTTTGTATCTGCCCACTCCTTCTCCCCTTTTGCCTTTAAAAACCTGCTTGTAACAAAGACTAAATAGAAGCACTCCTCAAGGCAGCTTAAATGTGTGTCCCAGGTAGCCATCCTCAACCTTGGCGCAAATAAACTCTCTATGTTAATTGTGCCTTTATTTCTTTCTTTAGGTCAACAGGGTGGCTGTCATCACCTGCTCTTTCCATCTCCCTCCTTCCTCCATTGCTTACCTCCCTGAGACTGAGTCAGGAACAAGGCTGAGGGATGCAGATGGTGGCACCTCCCCACGTTTCTTTTAATCATTCTCACTGTCTGGCTGGTTGCTTGAAGGGTAGTGGTTTGCCACTGGTAGTACTGGGAATGACTTTAGATGCTCCTGATAAGGCTCCATCCCAGGTGCTCTGTTGGCATTGGTATTGAGGACATCTGTCCTCCAAGGTTCCCTACTGAGGGTCTGCAGCAAATTGTAGAATCCATCTTCTGCATGCCTCAGGAAACAGAGACCCAAGGGAATCATCTGTGCCCCTCCCCCATCGAGCTATACCCCTGAGTCCTGCTCCTTGGTGCTCCTTCTCTTGCTCTGGGGCAGGTCAGCAAGCCCAGTGGCCTTAGGCGGTGGCTTCTTCTCCTCCTCCTCCTCCTTCTCCTTCTTTTTCTTCCTCCTCTTCCTCCTCCTCTTCTTCCTCTTCCTCCTCCTCCTCCTTCTTCCTATATGTTTGCATTATTTAATTTTTAAATTTTAACTTTTATTTTAAATGTGGAGGGTGCATGTGCAGGTTTGAACCCAGGTTGTGAGCATAGTAGCCAATAGGTAGTTTTTCAACTCACACACCACTCTTCCCTTGCCTCCCCTCTCTAGTAGTCCACAGTGTCCATGTTTGTCCGTGTGTGCTCAATGTTTAGTTCCCACCAATAAGTGAGAACAAGTGGTATTTGGTTTTCTGTTCCTGCATTAATTCACTCAGGATAATGACCTCCAGCTCCAACCATGTTGCTGCAAAGGACATGATTTCATTCTTTTTCATGGCTGTGTAGTATTCATTCCATGGTGTATATGTACCACATTTTCTTTATCTGATCCACCATTGATGGGCACCTAGGTTGATTCCATGTCTTTGCTATTGTGAATAGCACAGTGATGAACATACCAGTGCATGTGTCCTTTGGTGTAATGATCTACTTTTCTTTGGGTATATACCCAGTAATGGGGTTGTGGGGTCAGATGGTATCTCTGTTTTAAGTTCTTTGAGAAATCTCCGAACTGCTTTCTATAGTGGCCAAACTAATTGACATTCCCACCCGCAGTGTCTAAGTGTTCCTCTTTCTCTGCTGCCTTGTCAGCATCTGTTGTTTTTTGACCTTTTTTTTTTTTTTTTTCTTTTTGAGAGGGAGTCTTGGTCTGTCACCCAGGGTGGAGTGCAGTTGTGCGATCCCAGCTCACTGCAACCTCCGCCTCCCAGGTTCAAGCGATTCTCCTGCCTCAGCCTCCCAAGTAGTTGGGATTACACGTATGTGCCACTATGCTCAGCTAATTTTTGTATTTTTAGTAGAGATGTGGTTTCACCACGTTGGCCAGGCTGGTCTCGAACTCCTGACCTCAAGTGATCCGCCCGCCTTGGCCTCTCAGAGTGTTGGGATTACAGGCGTGAGCCACTGCGCCTGGCCATTTTTTGACTTTTAATAATAGCCATTCTGGCTGGTCTGAGATAGTACCTCATTATGGTTTTGATTTGCTCTTCTCTGATGATTAGTGATGCTGAGCATTTTTCATGTTTGTTGGCCTCTTGTATGTCTTCTTTTGAAAAGTGTTCATGTCCTTTGCCTATTTTCTAATGGGGTTATTTGTTTTTTGCTTGTTGATTTGTTTTAGCTCCATATAGACTCTGAATATTAGATGTTTGTGAGATGCATAGTTTGTGAATATTTTCTCCCATTCTGTAGGTTGTCTGTTTACTCTGTTGATAGTTTCTTTTGCTGTGCAGCAGTTCTTTAGTTTAGGTCCCACTTGTCAATTTTTGTTTTTGTTGCAATTGCTTTTGGGGACTTAGCCAAAAATTATTTGCCTTAGGCTTTGTTTTTTTTTTTTTTTTGAGACAGAGTCTGGCTCTGTTGCCCAGGCTGGAGTGCAGTGGGGTGATCGCGGCTCATTGCAACCTCTGCCTCCCGGGTTCAAGTGATTCTCCTGCCTCAGCCTCCAGAGTAGCTGGGGCTACAGGTGTGCACCACCACACCTGGCTAATTTTTGTAATTTTAGTAGAGACAGAGTTTCATCATGTTGGCCAGGCTTGTCTTGAACTCCTGACCTCAGGTGATCCACCCTCCTCGGCTTCCCAAAGTGCTGCTGGGATTACAGGCATGAGCCACTGCACCCGGCCACCTTAGGCTTCTTAAACATACAACTGGGGCAAGCCATGCCCCTCTTCCCTTCTTTTTTTGCTTATTGTGGTAAAATATTTATAAACAAACATTGCCATTTTAATTCTTTTTGAGAGACAATTCAGTGGCCTTAACTACACTTATGATATTGTGCAACCATCACTATTACTTATTTCCAAAACTTTTTTTTATCACCCAAACAGAAACTCTTTACCCGTTAAGCAATAACTCCCATTTCCCCTCCCCCAATCCTCTGGTAACCTATAAACCATATTGTGTCTTTTACGTAAGTGGAATTTCATACCAGTGGAATTTGTCTAGCTGATTTCACTTAGCATAATGTTTTCAAACTTCATCCATGTTGTAGCATGTATTATAAGTGGATTCTTTCTTTTATGGCTGAGTAACATTCCATTCTATGTATATACTACATTTTGCTTATCCACATCTTTTGGCTATTGTGAATAATGCTGTAAAGAACATTGCCATACAAGTATTTGTTTGAGTCCCTGTTTTTAGTTCTTTTGTGTATATACTTAGAAATGGAATTGTTGGGTTTTGTGGTAATTTTGTGTTTATTTTTTGAAGAACTGCCAAACTGTTTTCCATAGCATCTGCACCACTTTATATTCCCACCAGCAATGTACGAGGGTTCTAATTTCTCCACATCCTCACCAACACTTATTTTCCACATTTTTGATTATAACTGTCCTAGTAGGTGTGAAGTGTGTCTCTTGGTGGTTTTGATTTGCATTTCTCTGATGACTAATGGTGTTGAGCACCTTTTCCTGTGTTTATTGGCCATCTGTGTATCTTCTTTGGATAAATGTCTATTCAAGTCCTTTATCCATTTTTTAATTGGGCTGTCTTTTCTTTCCCCACTCTCTCTTTTTTTTTTTTCAGCTACCATAGAGAGAGGAGAAAGAGGAAGACTTCTCTTTACTTTCTTAAGCCTGTGGTGTCTCTCTCTCTCTTTTTTTTTTTTTTGAGATGGAGTCTCGCTCTGTCACCCAGGCTGGAGTACAGTGGCACGATCTCGGCTCATTGCAACGTCTGCTGCACGATCTCTGCTCATTGCAACCTCTGCCTCCTGGGCTTAAGCCGATACTCCTGCCTCAGCCTCCTGAGTAGCTGGGATTACTGGTGTCCACCACCATGCCCAGCTAATTTTTGTGTTTTTAGTAGAGATGGGATTTCACCATGTTGGCCATGCTGATCTCAAACTCCTGACCTCCAGTGATCCACTAGCCTCAGCTTCCCAAAGTGCTGGGATTACAGGCATGAGCCACCTCTTATGGCTGTTGGCTGGTCAATCAGTTCAGGTTCTCTTGCCCCTGCGGTGGGGGCGTGGGTAGTGATGTAAGGCTCAGAGCAAGAAATAGGCTTTAAAAACTGTTCCCAGTAGGCCACGCTTGGTGGTGCATGCCTGTGATCCCAGCACTTTGGGAGCCTGAGGCAGGTGGATCGCTTGAGCTCAGAAGTTCAAGATCAGCCTGGGCAACATAGCGAGACCGCATCTCTACAAAAAATACAAAAAGTAGTTGGCTGTGATGGCATGCACCTGTAGTCTCAGCTCCTCAGGAGGCTGAGGTGGGAGGACGGCAGCCCACGAAGTCAAGGCTGCAGTGAGCTGAGATTGCGGCACTGCACTCCAGCCTGGGTGACTGAGTGAGACCTTGTCTCAAAAACAACAACAACAACAACAAAACCCCATTCTCAGTAATCTCCCCTAGAGGCTCAAAAAGATCTTAATCCGATCTTACACAAATCTGTTTCATTTATGCATAGAATAATTCAGTCTTAGAACAGGAAGGAATCATGGAGTTTATCACATCCAACTCCATCATTTTACAGCTAAGGCCTCTCTCAGGTCCTTCAAGGTGAAGTAACTTTGCCCACTAATTTACCATCTTAAAACAGATTTTTAAAAAATGCCTGACTTATGTGTCACTCGGACTGGCTGCAAAAGTATACCTTCTTTTTTTTTAAATTTTTTTGGAATCTGGAAGAGGAACACATTACAGATATGACCTATTTCTGATCTCCCTTCTCCATGTGACGGTGGCAGTTTTTGGGTGAAAATATTTTGTCAGCGGCTCTAACATATGGATAGTTTCTAGGCTTTTGGAGATCAGGTTATTATGCTAAATGAATACAGATGAGCATTATGCCTATATAGTGCTCTACACTTTGCAAAGTGTTATAACATCCTTACCATCAGTGAGCAGGTGTCATTATTCCTATTAGTTGGATAAGGACATGGCCAAGATCATCAGTCAACTGGTGGCAGTTTCTGTTGCAGAACACAGTCTCTTGTTTCTAGGTAGGTGATCTGGCTGTGATGTCTGGCACCCTACTGATTACCAGCAGGATGCAATGGAAAGAACATCAGAATTTGGAGCCAGAGAACTCAGGTTCAATTCTCAACTCCATCCCTGATAGGCTCTTACCTTAGGCAAGTCACTTTGCCTTTCTAATTCTCAGTTTTCTCATCTGTAAAGTGGAGACAAAAATAGCATCTATCCAGTTTTTGTGGGACTCAGGAAATGGAATAGAGTGCTTTGTGAATACAGAGAGTTATACAGATGTTAGTGATTGCCATTATGTGGCTGTCGAGGTAGGGGGTCACTCTGTGTATTATAAATAAGACTTTGTATGGTTTAATGGGTTTAGAAGCTTACACAGAGCTTCAAAGAGCTCCTGCAGAGTAAAAGATGATGTGCTCTTCCTCCTTAGGTCTTATCCTAACCCATAACCATTGTTATTTAGAATTCAACAGACATAACAAGCTAAGTCTTCTTGAAATATTCCTCTTTGTAAATATAGCTTTGCTTTTACAGTTCTTTCACCTGCAGAAAGATGCAACATTCGCTCATTTCACCTAGCATTTGAAGGGTCAGTCATGGAAATCTGAAAGTCTTTCTAACACACAAACCCAGTCATGATGCTCCTATTATTAAAAACCTTTTTACTCCCTGTGGCTCACAGGATCAGGTCTAAATGCCAGGGCTGCAAATTGTTTCCCTATCTAAGTGGAATATACATATGCAAATGGATTTATTAATCAGAGGCCTATCATTACAGTACCAGCCCTTTTCTGTGCTTCCAGCCTTTCATCCTAGTCCCCCCATTTCTTTCCTACACACTGTATGTGCCACAGCACCTCTCACGGGAAACAAAGCTCAGATGCCCTGCTGGTTATGGCCGCCTTCTGTTTACATGGGCTGCCTCAGCTGCATGGAGCCCTTGGCCTTCTCTCTGCCACTTCCATATCTCCCCTTTAAGACCCCACTCAAAACTACTTCTTCTGTGAGACCATCTCTGACCTCTTCTTCCTCACAGGGTGGATTCATCATTCCTTCTTTGTGCAGGGGGGAAAAAAAAGCGTTTCCCCCAGGATTCTGTCTTTTGCTCTATTTAATTTGAGATTTGTTTAGCCATTAGTCCACGAGTTTTGAGGGCTGGACAAGAATTGTATTCTCTGCATCTCTGTGCGCCAGTGCCCAGTGTCGGATGCAGAAACAGTAGGTACTCAATACATGTTTGCTACCATATACTGATAAGGGAAACAGGAATCTGTTTGCCAACAATCCTTATAGCCTGGAACTGTGCCCATTTGGGTCTTCCTTCCCCTCTCTCTGAGATTAAAAATACATCATCATCCTCTAGTCATCAACTGGACATAAATTAGACAAAACAGGCCTTACTTTAAAGTTCCACCCTCCAGGCCTCTCTTTTGGCCAGTTGGCCCATTGGCTGGAAAGCCAGGGCCTGTGACACTGGGTCCCTCTGTCTGATAACACTAACAAGCTATGTGACTTTAGCCCATCTCTTGGCTTCAGGTTTTGGACTGTCTGGGAGTTAGAGTAGATATTCTCAGGGATCCCACTCCATTCTGACCATTTCTCTTTTACATAGTTGATGCTGAAAAGCTGGGTGAGTTCAAGCCAAGGCAAATACTTTTGGCTGGAGCAGAAGACCAACGTAGAAACACAGGCTGGAGATGGGGTTGGGGGGGGGTTGGGTAGGACAAGTATCAGCACAAAAGCCCTGGGGCTCCCTTCAAAATTAGAATATTGTGTTGTTATTGTCTAGTCACTTCTCGCAGCACAGAGTAAGTCCTCCCAGCTCAAACACACCTTCTTCAGAATGCTCACCCCTCCCCCATGATGCTTTCTAACCCTGAGTGGGACTTTTTCCTCAAACCTGGTCACAGACTCCTTTAGAATGTCCCCCATTAGATTTCTTGTGCACTCTTTTTCTGCACTTGCTTAGAATTTCAACACACTGTTGCCAGTGAATTGAGAATGGAAAAGTGCAGAAGGGTCAGGTGAACTCAAGCATGTACTTGGATGAGAGCAGAAGAGCCGGCAGAGAGGAGTAGGAAGGACAGAATTGGTAAGAGCTCTGGATTGAAAAGGGGACATGGACAAAGGGGAGGAGTTAGGGACAAGACACATTTAGGAGTTTTACTGCAGACTTATTTGTTTTTAATGCAGTTAAAGTTTTGTTTGTTTGTTTTTGAGAGAGGTTCTCACTGTATTGCCCAGGCTGGAGGGCTGGAGTGCAGTGGCACGATCTGGACTCATTGCAACCTCTGCTTCCCGGGTTCAAGTGATCCTCAAGCCTCAGCCTCCTGAGTAGCTGGAACCACAGGTGTGCACCACCACGTTTGGCTAATTTTTGATAGAGATGGGTTTTACCATGTTGGCCAGGGTTTTTTTTTTTTTTTTTTTTTCAAAGAAAGGAATGTGTTAGAAGAAACTATGAAGTATGAAGATTGTACACCAGCACACGAGTGAAGATGAGAATAACCCAAGACCATGAAGTTAAATATTTCACAAAAAACATTTATATGAACTTTGTCATGTCTTTTGTTAAGTGAAAAGTAGAGAGAGACATTTATTGGATGGACTAGCTATGAATCCAATTTTTAGATAAATCCTAATATTTGTTGCTTTAAAAGGGTCAAGGTCCAACACCCAACCAAAACTGAGAAAGACACCATCAAGGAAAGGCCTAGATTCCGGGCGCGGTGGCTCACGCCTGTGATCCCAGCACTTTGGGAGGCCAAGGTGGGCGGATCACGAGGTCAGGAGTTTGACACCAGCCTGGCCAACATAGTGTTTAGTCTCTACTAAAAATATAAAAAATTAGTTTAGTCTCTACTAAAAATATAAAAAATTAGCTGGGCGTGGTGGCAGGCACCTGTAAGCCCAGCTACTGGGGAGGCTGGGGCAGGATAATCTCTTGAACCTGGGAGGTGGAGGTTGCAGTGAGCCAAGATCGTGCCACTGCACTCCAGCCAGAATGAAAAAGGTCTAAAAAACCCCAATATTTTCTTTTATAAAAGCGAAGAAAATGGGGGGAAACAGATTAAGGAAAAAGAACCAAAAATGGAAAGAGGACACACAAAGTCTTGTACTAAGGTGTCTGTGGACCAGCCGTTATCCAGTGAACCTCAGGGCAGGACTTCCTCCCCAATTTCCCATCTCAACTGTTTTTTTACATAATGAGAACAGGATAACATTGGGTAGTCAGAAAAATGTTGCTCAAGATTCTACTAAAGATAAGTAACAGCAAAGATATATCCAGTCCCTCGGCAAGCTACTGATGTCGCATAGCAACAACTGCCTAGTTTTATTTCTGTCACACGATTGCCATAAGGAAGCTTTGAAATTAATTTTTTTTTAAAATTTAAACAAACAAGGTAGCATACCTCACTGCACCCATCCAAGTCACCTGCCTGCTTCCAAAATTAGAAAGGCAGCCTCTTCAAAGAAGAGATAATTAAGGTAGTAGAAACAGAAACACAAATTTATCAGGTCTCTGCTAATCTCCATCCCGTGCTATCTCATTAAATCCTGGTAATAACCGTGTGAGGTGGGTTTTACTCTTATTTTGCAGATGGGGAAACTGACTTAAAGGCATTGAGTAACTTGGCCACCCAGTTGGTAAAGGGGTAGAGTTAGGATTGAAAGCATTCCCCTCACCTTTTTCCATCTGATTTGTAATCCAGTGCTTTTCCCATCACTCAGCCTACTGCAATGAGGTCAGTGGTACTGCAGCTGGCTGGAGTTCCCCTGCCACTTCTGAAGGTGTCTGGGATTGTGTCTGTTAACAGGCCAGTCTTACTTCCAGAGGAACACCTGGAAGAATTTGGACCCGAGTTTTATTCTGTGGGCTGGTTATTTCATGGTATAGACCTAACTGGGAAATCTAAATTTATAATTAGCCTAATGCAAGACAGTCACAGACAGGCAAGGGGCAGGACCTATGAAAACACAATAGCTCTTCAAGGCACTTGTGTTCTGAACTATTTGAGGGGAGTCCCTGTCACCATTTTTGGTATTGGTGTTTGCAGGCAGGTATTTAGGAGTTATTCAAGAAGTAAGTTCCCTATGTGTTGTGACAATTACTTGAATATTTTTTTTTTGAGATGGAGTCTCACTCTGTTGCCCAGGCTGGAATGCAGTGGTGCGATCTCGGCTCACTGCAACCTCCGCCCTCCGAGTTCAAGCGATTCTCCTGCCTCAGCCTCCCGAGTAGCTGGGACTACAGGCGTCTGCCACTGCGCCCGGCTAATTTTTTGTGTTTTTAGTAGAGATGGGGTTTTACCATGTTGGCCAGGCTTGTCTTGAACTCCTGACCTGGTGATCCACCCGCCTCGGCCTCCCAAAGTGCTGGGATTACAGGGGTGAGCCACCGCGCCCGGCCTCACATCTTATTATTTTTTTCCTAGCAGTCACTTCAGCGTCTATGAGTAGGAATAATAGAACCAAACACAAGGAGTCCAAGGTGCAGACATTTTTGGTCTCCCCTCTGCTCATGACTCGGGGGTGTGTTCTGGAAAGATCTCACTTCTGCTTGCTTACCACCCATATGGCTCTCACACAGAGGAAGAACTCAAGTCAACCAACATTCCCTGGGCCTCTATTGTTTGCTGGGCATTGAGCTGAGCAGCAGGGATACAAAGCAGTGTTACCCACTGAGCCTGACCTCAAGACATTCTTCAGCCTCATCAAGGAGATAAAAATCAAACAGAGTTACTACTGTATGATAGACCAGTTGCAAGCCTAAAGAAGTACCGCAGGAGCATAAAAATAAGTGTCATCCAGTCTAGTTCATTGGAAAAGGTTTTATGAAAAGGGTCCACTTGATCATATTAATGCAGGCATTGGGATCACTGGGGCATTCTAGGTGGAAGGACCGCATGGGGTCATGAAACAGGGAACCCTAAGCAGCTCAGTCAGCCTGGAGTATAAATTAGGAGTCAGTGATGGTCTGGTATGTGTGTATGTTAGGTGGGCGATGGTATGAGGGTCAGGGAGAGGCGTCCATTTTATGGTAATGGGGAACCTTCGACAGATGTTTGAGCAGAGAAATAACTTGCTAAGATTTGTGCTTTAAGAAGTCATACGTGGTGGCATTTAGGAAGTAGATGCAGCTGAGCAAGATTAAATTCAGAAAGATCAGAAAAACACTGGGTAAATAAATTTGAAGAGGTTTCTTTGCCAGAGGTCTCTTAAAATATTTTAATGTGCAAATGGGTCCTGTGAAATGCCTTTGTTGTGGATATTCTCCTTTTGTCCATCTGGGTTTGATCCCCACCTTTCTCTACCCTGACTCCAGGAGGCTGACCTTCTGGAAATGTCCCAGCTTGACTCTCTTGCCTGCTCCCTTCTTGTTGGGTTCAGCCAATGGGGGAAACCAGGAGGAGATCAGAGGTAGGAAGAAAGACAGCACAGAAAATTTTCTTCCTATCTGTTTTTCTTTCCTTTTTAAAAAATTTTTGTCAACAGGGCCTCACTCTGTCACTCAGGGTGGAGTGGAGTGCAATGACACAATCATAGCTCACTGTAGCCTCTGCTTCCTGGGCTCAAGCCATTCTCCCATCTAAGCCTCCAGAGTAGCTGGGACTGCAGGCATGCACCACTAAACCTGGATAATTTTAAAAATTTTGTGTAGAAACAAAGTTTCACTATATTGCCCAGGCTGGTCTCGAACTTTTGCGCTCAAGGGATTCTCTCACCTCAGCCTCCCAAAGTGCTGGGATTACAGGTGTGATCCACCATGACTGGCCTAGAACATTTCTAACCCTCTTCAGTTGGGCCTCAGTTTGCCAGTGGCTCTACCTGAGGTCATAATTCATGTTAGGAAGTCCCTTTTTTCATTTGTTCATTATTTTTAGTTTTTTATTTGACAAATGAAAGTTATCTATATTAATTGTGTACAATATGTTATTTTGAAATATGTATACATTATGGAGTGGCTAAATTGAGCTAATTAACACGTGCTACCTCACACACTTATCATTTTTGGTAATGAAAATGAGAGGTCCCATTTCTATAGCTACAGCTCACTCTAGATTCTATAGCCATAGTTCTCTCCTTCCTCTGCCCCTTCAGACCTCACAGTGGCAATGACTTCCTGCTATTGCTAATCTAGGGGTGCATCACTATCCTTTGCTGGTTCCTGTACCAGCCCACACCTTTGAAAATAATTTATTTATTCAAATGTCTTCAAGTGTCACCTCTGCATGCGTAGCCAGCTTCCTGCTGGATGCTGACTGATACAATCATGGAACAGTGTCTGATATGGTTTGTGTCACCACTCAAATCTCATCTTAAACTGTAATAATCCCCATGTGTCCAGGGTGGAGCCAGGTGGAAATAACAGAATCATGGGGGCAGTTTCTGCCATACTGTTCTCGTGGTAGTGAATAAATCTCATGAGATTTGATGGTTTCATAAATGGGAGTTCCCCTGCACAAGTTTTCTCTTTGCCTGTCACCATGTAAGACATCCCTTTGCTCCGCGTTCATCTTCCTCCCTTATTGTGAGGCCTCCCCGTCCTGTGGAACTGTGAGTCCATTAAACCTCTTTCCCTTATAAATTACCCAGTCTCATGTATGTCTTTATTAGCATCATGAGAACAGACTAACACAGTAAATTGGTGCCAGGAGTGGGGCACTACTATAAAGATACCTGAAAATGTGGAAGCGACTTTGGAACTGGGTAACAGGCAGAGGTTGGAATGGTTTAGAGGGAAAGTTTGAAAAAACTTCCTAGCAATTGTTGAATGGTTTTGACCAAAATGCTGATAGTGATATGGACAATAAAGTCCAGGCTGAGGTGGTCTCAGATGGAGACGAGGCATGTTTTAGCAAGACTTGCTATGTTTTAGCAAGAGACTGATGGCATTTTGCCCCTGCCCCAGAGATCTGTGGAACTTTGAACTTGAGAGAGCTGATTTAGGGCATCTGGCAGAAGAGATTTCTAAGCAGCAGAGCCTTCAAGAGGTGACCTGGGTGCTGTTAAAAGCATTCAGCTTTCTATATTCACAAAGAGAAGCAGAGCATAAACGTTCAGAAAATGTGTAGCCTGATGATGTGGTAGAAAAGAAAAACCCATTTTCTGAGGAGAAATTTAAGATAGCTGCAGAAATTTGCATAAGTAATGAGGAGCCAAATGTTAATCACCAAGACCATGGGGAAAATGTCTCCAAGGCATGTCAGAGGTCGTCATGGCAGCCCCTCTCTTCACAGGCCTGGAGTCTTAGGAGGGAAAAGTGGTTTCCTGGGCCAGGCCCAGGGCCTTGCTGCTTTGTGTAGTCTTGGACTTGGTGCCCTGCATCCCAGTCATGGCTAAAAGGGGCCAAAGAACAGCTTGGCCTGTGGCTTCAGCAGGTGCAAGCCCCAAGCTTTGGCAGCTTCCACATGGTGTTGAGCCTACAAATGCACAGAAGTCAAGAATTGAGGTTTGGGAACCTTTGCCTAGATTTCAGAGGATGTATGGAAATGCCTGTATCTCCAGACAGATGTTTGCTGCAGCGGTGGAGCCCTCATGGAAAAACTCTGCTAAGGCAGTGTGGAAGGGAAATGTTGGGTGGGAGACCCCACACAGAGTCCCCACTGGGGCACTGCCAAGTGGAGCTGTGAGAAGAAGGCCACCATCCTCCAGACCCCAGAATGGTAGATCCACTGACGGCTTGTACTGTGTGCCTGGAAAAGCTGCAGACACACAATGCCAGCCTGTGAAAGCAGCTGAAAACAGGGCTGTACCCTGTAAAGCCACAGGAGTGGAGCTGCCCAAGACTGTGGAAACCCACCTCTTACATCAGCATTACCTGGATGTGAGACATGAAATCAAAGGAGATCATTTTGGAGCTTTAGGATTTGACTGCCCCACTGGATTTCAGACTTGCCTGGGGTCTGTAGCCCTTTGTTTTGACCAATTTCTCCCATTTGGAATGGGTGTACTTACCCAATGCCTGTACCCCCACTGTATTTAGGAAGTAACTAACTTGCTTTTGATTTTACAGGCCCATAGGTGGAAGGAACTTGCCTTGTCTCAGATGAGACTTTGGATTGTGGACTTTTGAGTTAATGCTGAAATGTGTTAAGACTATAAGGGACTGTTGGGAAGGCATGATTGGTTTTGAAATGTGAGCACATGAGATTTAGGAGGGGCCCAGGGGTGGAATGATATGGTTTGGCTGTGTCCCCACCCAAATCTCACCATGAATTGTAATAATCCCCATGTGTCAAGGGCAGGGCCAGGTGGAGATAATTGAACCATGGGAGTGGTTTCTCCATACTGTTCTCGTGGTAGTGAATAAATCTCATGAGATCTGATGGTTTTATAAATGGGAATTCCCCTGCACAAGCTCTCTCTTTGCCTGCTGCCATGTATGACATCCCTTTGCTCTTCCTTCGTCTTTGTCCATGATTGTGAGGCCTCCCCAGCCATGTGGAACTGGGAGTTCATTAAACCTCTTTCCTTTATAAATTACACAGTCTCAGGTATGTCTTTATTAGCAGTGTGAGAAGGGACTAATACATTATCTTTGAGAAATACCCATCCATTTAAAGGAACTGTTCGATCTGGGGTAGAGAGAATGAGAGTTTTCACCAAGACTCACATAGTAAATAAGAAGGTGAGGACATAGACTAGAGAGATACTCAGGAAGCAGAATTTACAATATAGTCACTGATTGTAGGGTCAGGAGGAAGAAGAGGTAGAGAGAATTGCTCCTTGGATTTGGGCCTAAGTGCGTAGATGGTGATGTCATTCACCATATCACAGAATGTAAAAGGAAGGACAGGTACTAAGGAGAAAACCAACACTCTGGAGCACAGTAAACTCAAGGTGCCTGTGGGGCCTCTAGGGGTAAAAAGGAGCCCTTGTCTACCTCCTGACTTGAAAAACATGCATAGATTCAAATATTTTTTTCATTCCTGCTTGGAATTTTCCCTTTTTACTTTTGCAGTCCATTTCTCACAATCCTCTGTGAAAATCAGCATATGCTGAAAGTAGGTAGTTTCTGTTATCTTTACTGTGACTTCATGACACCAGAGGGCCAGAAAGCTAAAAATATTGAGAACCTAGGGCCATATCAATCTTCTTAAAACACCTGCATTTTTCTCTGCTCTTCATGAAGCTAAAAAAGGGTCTTGGCCGGGCACAGTGGCTCACGCCTATAAACCCAGCACTTTGGGAGGCCAAGGCAGGTGGATTGGATCACTTGAGGTCAGGAGTTCGAGACCAGCCTGGCCAACAATGGTGAAACCTCGTCTCTGCTAAAAATAAAAAAATTAACCAGGCGTGGTGGCATGCGCCTGTAATCATAGCTACTCCAGGGGTTGAGGCAGGAGAATCACTTGAACCCGGAAGGCGGAGGTTGCAGTGAGCTGGGATTGCACCATTGCACTCCAGCCTGGGTGACAGACAGAGCAAGACTCCATAAAAAAAAAATAAATAAAATAAAATAAAATAAAATAAATAAATAAAAACAGGGTCTCTTGAAGCTGGGCATGAAAAAGTCCTTGCCAGTCAGTCAAGCACTGCAACGCTCACAGCCCCTTCTAGTGCCCTGCCCCACTCTCTCTCTGGAGGACTCTGCTGCCCATCTGTGCCTGTCACCAGGTGGTGGTCCTGCCCTGCTGGCCCGGTGAGAGCTGGGGGTGTTGACGTCAATCCCCCTGCCTCTGACACCTCAGTTCTCATCCCTGTTGTGAATTTAGCTCAAAAACTTTCAACAATTATGGAATCAGAGTTTAAATTCTTTAGCCTGATGACCAAGTCACAGCCAAAATATTAAAGGAGAAAGCAGTGTCTCCTGGGGTCTGGTAGTATTCGTAATGGTAACTGATGGGCTATCCCTATGAGAGAAAGTAACTTTGAGGGAATAAGAGTCCGGGTCTCTTATTAGTGGGAGCTAAATCTTGGATTCACATGGACATAAAGATGGGAACAACTGACACTGAGGACTCCAAAAGGAGGGAGATAGGGAAGGGGGCAAAGCGTGAAAAACTTTCTATTGGGTGGTATGTTCACTGTCTGAGTGACAGGATCAATGGAAGCCCAAACCTCAGCACCGCACAATATACCCTGTAACAAACCTGCACATGGACCTCCTGAATCTAAAATATGAATGGAAACAAAAAAAAAGTCAGGGTTTCTAAGTCTAGATTCCATTGCCTGAGAGTGTGGTATGATTTTTCCGGAAAACAGTGGATTTTCTTTATTCTTTCATTTTTTAAGGTTCTATGATTCTTTTTAAATGCTTACTGTATATACTGTTCACATCATTCGTTCAGCAGGCAGACATATAATGATCTTATTCTAATTTTTCATGACATTCACCTTTTATTCCTGATTAGATTAATAAATCTCAGCATTTTGTATTTCTTACAACCCACTGTGCTTAAATGGGTGTTAAAAAATACTTGTTGAGTAAATGGATGAATAGATCACTAAGTATGAATCACTGATATAGCACTCACCTCGAATTGGAAGACCTGAGGCAAACACCCCAGCTTACCTTTCAAGGACAGCTCTGGTTTCTTTTAATGTTCATTGAGCTAATTATCTCAAGGTCAGTGAAGTTTGACAGAAGGAAAAAGATTATCCTAAACAATGGAGTTGTGTTTGATAGGTTAGTGCAGAGGCTCAGCTACTTGCTATAGAATCTTGAACAAATTACTTAATCCACTTGAACCTTATTTATCTATGAAATTAATTCATTTTAAAGAGTCAATGCAGTATAGTGAAAAGAGCATCAAACGTAAGTCAAAACAGCAGGCGATCCAAGAGAGATGGAGATAGAGATGGGGATAGACATAGACATAGACATACAGATGCAGATACAGATGGATGGGGATAGGGTACTGAAGACTGAGGCTGCAGTCTTTTATAATCTAAGAATCTTGGAAGTGATCTGCCATTATTTGTGCTGTATACTGTCAATCATAGAGAACAACCTTGGTACAGTGTGGGTGCAAATTACACAGGGACGTGAATACTTGAGACAAGGATTATTGGGGGCCATCTTGGAGGCTGCTACCACAGTGTTCAATAACTGAATTGAAAATATTCCCAAGTACTGTTCTTACCCTTTCTTGTCTCCTATGATTGTCTTCCCTGACAGAGTATAAACTCCTTATTCTCCATGATGTCCTTATATGCCAGGAACATGCTATATGTGTGCCCAATATTTGTTGACATGAATGAATGGGTGCTATATGTTATCCATGTTTCAGCTCTTTTTTTTTTTGAGATGGAGTTTCGCTCTGTCACCCAAAGTGGAGTGCAGTGGCGCAATCTCGGCTCATTGCAATCTCTGCCTCCTGGGTTCACGCCATTCTCCTGCCTCAGCCTCCCAAGTAGCTGGGACTACAGGCGCAAGTCACCATGCCTGGCTAATTTCTTTTGTATTTTAGTAGAGACGGGGTTTCACCATGTTGACCAGGCTGGTCTCGAACTCCTGAGCTCAGGCAATCTGCCTGCCTCAGCCTCCCAAAGTGCTAAAATTACAGACATGAGCCACTGCGCCCAGCCAGCTCTTTTTTTTCCGATGAGATGCAAGGAAACTTAAAGAGCCTCTAGTATATCTTTTTTTTTTTTTTTTTGTCTCCCAGGCTGGAGTGTAGTGGTACAATCTCGGCTGACTGCAACCTCTGCCTCTTAAGTTCAAGCAATTCTCCTGCCTCAGCCTCCCGAGTAGCTGGGATTATAGGTGTGTGCCACTATGCCCTGGCTAATTTTTGTGTTTTTAGTAGAGGCCGGGTTTTGCCATATTGGCCAGGCTGGTCTTGAACTCGTGCCCTCAAGTGATCTGCTTGCCTCAGCCTCCCAAAGTGCTGGGATTACAGGCGTGAGCCACTGCACCCGGTCTACCTTATCTTTTTACAGATGTGGAAACCAAGGTCTACAGAGGTCCCCTTATTTGTCAGCAGTGCAGCTAAGTCTAGAATCTGGTCTCTAAACTCCCAATTCTCTGGACTTTCTACTTCATTCTTTCTTAGCTTCAGTCTTTGTAACTTGAAATTACCCTTGACACAGAATTTAGTAGCTCTGTTAATAAATCATCTGCCTCTGCAGCTCTGCCTTTTGTCCTATTTGGCCTTAGTTCCACTTTTATTGAAATATTTGGTAATGCTTTCATCTGATTTTCCTTCTATATTACAATTTTCTCTTTCTGTTCACCTTCTGGTTTCCTGGCCCTAACCCTAAATGTAGTGAATGGCCAAGGTTTCATGAATATTAAGATCTAATATTTATGTGCACTATCATCTTCCATGCTCTGTTTATTTTTTTATTCTTGTGACACAGTTAATAATTATGCATCTGAAATGGCTGCAAGTTTAAAAAGCAAAAGGAAAAATTCTTTTGCAATAGGTCTTACTTAATTTACAGGTCTCATTTTTGCTTCATTTCTCCGTTTCTTTCCCTTATCTAGCACTAGCCTCATTAAAAACTTTTATATGAGAGATTAGCATTTTTAAAGTCAAGATCTCTCTTCTATACTTATGTTTGAAAAGGCCTCCTCCACTCTTTCTTCTTGGGTGATGGCACTTTGAACATAAAGCTAGTATAGTATGGGCCTCAATGCATTGGTATTTCCATGTTTATCTCCTCTGCCAGACTGAGCACCTTGAGGGTAGGCATTGTGTCTTAGTAATTTTTGTATACTTTAGTATCTCACAGTATAGCTCCTAAGAGGATCTCCATACATAGTTGTCAAGTGGAATCAACCAACCCTTCATATAATTTCAAATACATTAGATGAAACCATCCTTTTCCCAATAGTGATCGTTCTTCTATAACATATTCTTGCATTTCAGTTGAAGACAGGGATGTCCCCCGACCCCCCTACTCTGCCCAGGCTATCCTATGCTATCCCTTGAGTATCCCGTATCCCTAAGTCTGACCTGAGCAGAGCTACTTGAAAGTCTTCCTTTCCTGGAAAATGTGGTTTGAAGTGTGCCAGGAAAATCTCTCTCCCATGTGTATGGTCCTTTTTTGAATAAATCCAAACCCATTCTCATTTGGGGCTTGAAAACTTTTTAGCTTTCAAAAGCCTGCTTTGGAAATCCAGATGTCTCAAGGGAAGGCAGAAACTTGTCTCTCATCTGCTGACACCTTAGCAGCAATAACATTTCAGCAGAAAGTGCTGTGAGCAGCAGTTGGTAAAAAGTGGAGAGAAGCAGAAAAATGCCTTTTGTTCTTTCCCACCTGCTCTGGCTTTCTGGTGTTTGCTTTTTCTCAAGCATTTTTCTTTTCTGTTTTCTCTTCTCTTCTCTTTTTTCTTTTCTTTTCTTTTCTTTCTTTTTTTTTTGAGACTGAGTCTAACTCTATCTCCCAGGCTGGAGTGCAGTGGTGCGATCTCAGCTCACTGCAACCTCTGCCTCCTGGGTTCAAGTGATTCTCGTGCCTCAGCCTCCTGGGTAGCTGGGATTACAGTCACCTGCCACGATGCCCTGCTAATTATTATTATTATTATTTTTTGTATTTTTAGTAGAGACAAGGTTTCTACATGTTGGTCAGGCTGGTCTCAAACTCCTGACCTCAAGTGATCCACCTGCCTCAGCCTCCCAAAGTTCTGGAATTACAGGTGTGAGCCAGCACGCCCGGCCATGTATATTTCTTGAGCTCATATCCGAAGATGGAAAATTAGCCATGACACTCCCATGGGCTATTCGGCTTTGGGGGCCAGGGCAGCTTGGAGGGTCACCCTGTTACACACAGCTTTAGCCCTGCTAAGAGGGGCTGTAGGGACCCTTTTGCCCAGCAGAGGGTACTGTCTGTGCTGGCAGCCTCTCTCACTGTGGATGGTCCCGGCTCAACCGTGCTAAAGTTAGCTGCTGGTTTGAAAATTTTATTTGTTTCTGGTTTGTGACACAGTGCAACCCAAAACAGGATGACAAATGTTTACTCTTTAAATTACAGGTTAAAATCTTTAAAATCATTTTTGAGAGTTTAATTTTTGCCCCCTAAATCCTCCGATGGAGTTACAGACTCAGGTGATGTCAGGAAACAAGATTGAGTGTTGACTCTCTGCTCTCTTTTCTTTTGTAGCAAGCAGGTATGTTTGCTGCCCCTTATTCTTCTAGCTGAGTCTTCACCCTCATTTAGGCCACCCCCAGAGCAAGGGTGGATGTGGGGTCCCAGGAAGAGGTTGTATGTCCTTAAGGATTTGGGTGTTTTCCGACGGAGCACACTCATGGTAGATCATCTCTCTGGTCTTCAGGAGGACTTTGCTTAAGTCACAGTCCAGGTGAGAAGTATGGGGTTGGATGTGGTCTTCCAAGGGGGCCTTCATGACTCACATCGGTCGTTCCAGGCACATCCGAGGCCTTCCCAGGATGATGAGTGTATCTGTGCAATGACTGACCTATGACTAGCCTATTATCACTGATACCCCTTGGGCAAACCTAGCAGCCAGCAGTAGGTCAACAACCAAACAGAACTTCAGACAGCCTTTCACTTGTACCTTAGAACTTCCGACCTGCTATTCTTGGGAATCGCTCTGGGGTAGACATGAGATCCTCACCCCCTTGGCTTCTCAGAAATTGCTCTCCAGTTTTATTTAGACTGTATGAAGCAGGAACTGACAGAGCTGCCTAATGCTTCTTAGCATGCAATGTTATTACAAATATAATGGCGTTCAATTTAAAAATAAAATACATTTTCTACTTTGCAACCCTTCTGTTCTCTTTCATTTAGCTGTTTAATAATGTCAAATGCTTAGAACCCAGATTAGAGATTCTTACAATAGTCTCTGATTAAACCCTAATAAAAGCACAGTCAGGAAAATTCATAATATAAGGCATGCTAACTAACTTTTGGAAGCTCAATTTATATTTTGTAAGGCTAAGACTAATTTGAGGATTATGTTTTAAACTAAAAAGCTTTATGGGTACTTAGGCAAAATACTAGTAATAATAAATGAAATAACCCAAAACTTGGGTAGTTTTGTTCCTTCATTGACTAATTGCTTTTACTCCGTTTACTTTCAAAACATTATTTGAGAAAATGTACCATAATTCTTTAGAGCACTGAAGTAAAAATGCAAACATAAGGGCCAAGCAGTGAAGGACATTGAATAATTATTCCAGAAAACTCAAGTTTAAGGGAAATGTTTGCTTTTTTTTTTTTTTTTTTTTTTTTTGAGACAGGGTCTCACTCTGTCACCCAGGCTGGAGTGTAGTGGCATGATCTGGGCTCACTGCAGTCTCTGCCTCCTGGGTTCAAGTGATTCTCCTCCTTCAGCCTCCTGAGTAGCTGGGATTACAGGTGCCCATCACTATGCTTGGCTGATTTTTGTATTCTTAGTAGAAATGGGGTTTTGTCATGTTGGCCAGGCTGGTCTTGAACTCCTGGTCTTAGGTGATCCATCCACCTCAGCTTCCCAAAGTGTTGGGATTACAGGTGTGAGCCACTGCGCCCAGCCAGGAAATGTCTACTTTTAAGTCCAAGACTTAATTCTGGATTTTCTTAGAGCCAGGGAAACAAGGGAATCAGTTTGGGTTATCTAGCTCTCATATCTAATATGAGTAAACATACTGCACAAATGTCTTACTGGAATTAAATTCAAAAAAATTATGTTGTAAATCTTTGCAGATGTTGGTATACATAGTGGACATATCTTCAACAAAACAAGGTGTTCTTTATTTAGCATTATCTACACCAGTTTCTGATAGAAAAATGAGGGCATAGTATTAAGTCATAGTTTGTGAAGCCATTTCTATAAAGAACTAGAGCAGTATTCAGGTATATGACTTTCCAGTGAAGTGACATGACATAGCTTGGAAATTCTAAAAGAAAAACAAGAAGAATGAAAAGTTAAAATTCCTATAGTCTATCTTTCTTAAGCATCAGTGGTCAGAACTGGGTTTTTGTTAGGAACTTATAAAAGGTACTTCATAATTAAGGTCTCCTGAACTCCAGATATCTTGTGTGGGTTGAAATAATAATCATATACTTTAGAGATGTGGTGAGTAGATGTCTTATGATCCATTTGAAAGACCTTGACTTTGTATCCTGATGAAGGACCACACTCCAACTCTGAATAAATGGAAAAATACCTGCAAAAATACTAATAAAGCACCCCACAGACTGCCTGGTACTTAGAAGGCACTCAGTAAGTGTGAGTGCCCCATTAGGCAGGCAGTTAGCTATGGGCCCTGAGCATTCCTACACATTCTTGCAAAATGGCTCACCTACCTCCTGATGCTGAACAGTTCTGTAGCTAGTCACAGGCAAGTAAGCAAGTTTAGCTGACCACAGTGTGACCACCCTGTAACTGCTTGCGCCCTAGGAGGAGGGGGACTAACTTATTTTTTGCTTGCTACAATGTTTGCTGCTTGAGGGAACATTTCCGGATGCTAGGACTTGGGCTCCTCTCCTATAAGGCACCCCATTGTGTGAGCAGGTATTATTGGGTCCCGTCATGTCACCCCTGTTGGACTTGGGGACAAGGGAAACTGTGTAGATATGCTGATGCTCATGTTGCCCACTGAGGAATAAAGTCCTTTGTCTTTGATCCACACATCATCTTCTGTCCATTAAACTGTAGACTACCTTGTTAGCTTTCAAGCAGGGTAAAATTTCTGACTCTTTGCAGCTTGTGACAGCGGTTTCCTAAGCCATCAAACCCAATCTTCCTTCTCTTCAGATGGCCTCTTTGAGGCAGATTCATTATCATCACTAGCTCTAAGAGTGTTTTCTCCAACCAATAAGCTTCTGTTTACTTTCTCTACAATCACAATGAGCAGGAATCATATTATTCAGCTTAGATAAGAATTGTGTGGCTGGGTGTGGTGACTCACACCTGTAATCCCAGCACTTTGGGAGGTTGAGGCGGGCAGATTACTTGAGGCCAGCAGTTAGAGACCAGCCTGGGCAGCATGGAGAAACCCCGTCTCTACTAAAAATACAAAAATTAGTCACACGTGGTGGCGTACGCCTGTAATCCTAGCTACTCCAGAGGCTGAGGCACGAGACTCGCTTGAACCTGGGAGGCAGAGGCTGCAGCGAGCTGAGATTGTGCCACTGCACTCCAGCCTGGGTGACAGAGTGAGACTGTCTCAAAAAATAAAAAAAGAAAAAAGAATCGTGACAGTATGAGAGTCCCTGGGTGGGACATAAGATCCGTAAATATTCCTGTAGAAACAATAATAGTAAAAATAGTAATAACAATTAAATTACTATCATGAAGAAATTGATGTTCAGAGAGATTGTGCAGCTTCTCCAAGGTCACACAGCACATGAATGGCAGAAAGAAAATTAAAACCTACATCTGCTGATTCTTAGCCATTATTCTGTATTATTTCCTCATTAATAGTTTCCACTGCAGTTTTATATATATGCCTATATGTATGTGGTTCTTACTCTGACATCTTATTTGCCCTTGCTAGGGATCAGCAATCTTTTTAAAAATCTAGGACCAGTTCAAGATTTAATCACAGTGCCTGTGTTGTCTCCTTTCTTCTTCAGTACTATCTTCTTACAAATTGGCTTGAGTCTCCTTTAGTTTGCTTTGGGCTGGTGATTTAAACAAGTGATGGTAGAACCAAGGAAGTTACAGAGGTACAACACCCTAGGGAATCCTTAGTATTTACTTGTAATGACCAGTGAAGTTTAATTTTTTTTTTTTTTAGAGGTGGGGTCTTACTCTGTTGCCCAGGCTGGCCTTGGACTCCTGGGCTCATGGATTCCTGCTGCTTCAGCCTCTGGAGTAGCTGGGACTATAGGCATGCACCACTGTGCCCAGCCAAATTAGAAATGTTCTTAATATTTCAAATATTATTGTTGCTCCTCTTATTTTAAATTTAATTTATGTTATTGTTGCTCCCCTTATTTTAAATTTCTCTTAGTTATCTTTTTCTGACTTTTTTGGCTGCTTGTCTGTGTCTGCACATCCTGCACAATGTTGAAATTGTTCCGTTGATGGTTGAGAGATGAGTCCCTTTATCTATGATATTGGGAAAAGTTACTGAGCTGTCCACATGATAGACCTGGTGTTTGTGTAGAAGGACCGGTTCCTTGATGCCCCATTTGGAAGAATACCTCTAACTCTAAACAGAAACAGAACTTTCCCTCATTGTCCTTCCTATTTTTCACTTTGATGTAGTCCACAGCCACAACTTGACTAACAACTCCTACCTCCAAGGCTGCAGGTGTCCCAGACAGATTCCTTGGAACTGGTGCAGTGCAATAATTTCTTATGGCCTGATTGTAGATTATAAAACCAGCAAACGAATAATAATATTGATAATTATAATTACTACTACAACAACTACCACCACATTTGTTGAATATTGATTATTGACAAGGCTCAATGATAAAGGTATAGTATCTCATTTAACCCTTTTACCACTGTATCTAAGCTGGGTCGTGTTATGATTGACCCCATTTTACAAATAAGGGAATTGAGGTTTAGAGAGTTGACGTAGTTTCCCAAACCTGTTCAGCTGTCATGTGGCAAAAGAAGAATTTCATCGCAGGTGTTCAGGTGTCAGAGCCTTCCTCAAATGTTAGACCCACCATGCTCTAAAGGAGAGGTTCACAAAGTGTGGTTCTAAGAACAGCAGCATCAGCATTGCCTGGTAGCTTGTTATTAATGCAAATTTTGGGGCCTTATCTCATATTCACTGAATAAAAAGCTCCAGGGGCGAGGCCCGCAATCTGTTTAAATAAGTCTTCCCAGTTGACTCTGTTGTCTATTAGAGTTTTACAGTCATGGCTCTAAACTCTAAAGCTTTCTCCTCTCCATATAGATATCTAATGTCAGTTCCATGAATGTTGATAATAAGAAATAATTTACTTAAAAAAAGTATGTTTGTTAAAATACAGATTGCCATATACATATATCTGTAAAATATTCTTGACAACCCCCCTCACCCTACTCCTGCATGAAGCCTGAATCAGATGAAGCCTCCAGCTCTAACTGTCAGTTTACAGGCAATACAGAGGACAGAGGAACATGTTACACAACACCAAGGGAATGCAATCAGCAAAATCCAGACTGTGAGAAATTTTGCAGGATTAACGACCTGGTTTCTTCAAAAGATAAACTGCAATGAAGGAAGATTTGTATGAGAAATGCATTAAATGAGACTTAAGAGACATTAACCAAATGCAGTGTTTGGATCCCACTTAAAATAAAAAACAAGCAAAATAATATAAAAATTTTATAGGACAATCAAGTAGTTAGGGACATTTAAATGCTAATTGGATATTTAATGATGATAATGAATTAATGTTAGTTTTTAAAGATATAATTTTTTAAAGCTATGTGGTTATATTTTTTAAAAAAATCTTCAAACTTTTTTTTTTTTAAGTCTTCAAGCATACTAGAGCATTTACTGAAATAGAAGTTCCTGGGGTCAAGTTACTAGATTTAGTAAACACTGTGTTATGGCTGCCTCCTTAGCACATTCTCCCTTCTCCTGGTACCTACCCAGATTTTTATTTAAGTATTCGTACCCCTCGGCCCTGCTAAGTCCAAAGGGTGAGATATGTAGTTCATGCTTAATTTAGCTCAATCCTAAGCGTTAGCTACAATTTCTAGTTTGAAAAGGTGCCCTTTTGGCAGGAAGAACATTTTCTGTAAAATTCTGGGAAAGAAGTTTTCATTTTTTTTTTTTTTAACTCCGGGAAGCAACCCAAACTTGCTTCTCTAGGACATAGATGGTATAGCCAGTTCATAAGAGGGTCTCTTGGTATTCATGACCTTGGTATTCAGTGTAGTCTCCGCCTACACTGAATTAGGGCTGACCTGTGTGAGCAAGAGAGAATACTGTGGAAGTGATGGCAGATGGCTTCTGAGGCTAAAAGACATTTGCAATTTTCTTCATGCTGTCTTGGGTTTCTTGCTCCAGGGAAAGCCAGCTGCCATGTCACAAAGACCCTTGAAGCTGGTGGAGAATCCCACATAGACAGAAACCAGTTTGCTAGCATTAGCCTAACAGCCACATGAAAGAACCACCTTGGAAGTGAATCCCCTGTTCCTAGAAAGGTCTTCAGTGTCTTCAACTTCAGCTGATATCTGATTGCAACCTCATGAGAATGCCTAATCAGAATCCCACAGCTGAACCAGTCCAGAATTTCATAAACACATTGCCTACAAGAAACAACAGATGATTATTGTTGTTTTAGGATACTAAGTTTGGTGTAATTTGTCCTGCAAAAATCAATAATGAATGCAATACATGAAAAAATTGTAGCCCAGAGAGTTGGAAGTAGGCATTTTGTGACCACGGTGGGTTGAGGGGAGCCAATTTAGGGTGAAGCTTACATTTTGGGAGGCAAAGCAGAGAGACTGGAAGGAAATTGATTCCTCATCGTCATCAGTGAAACCCATCTCACTTCTGTGCTTTCCAGGTCATGAGCAATAAGTTTCTTTTATTGTTAAAGCCAATTTGGGTTTCAATTACTTTTAAATGCCTGATTGGAGCAGGAGATATGAGAATTTTGGTGGTGTAAGTGGACTACATGGACAGCATGATAATAAATGAAAGAAATCATAAGTGAATAAAAAAGTGATTCTGAATGGGTAGGCTATTGTATTAGTTTCCCAGGGCTGCTGTAGCAAATCAGCACAGACTGGATGACTTAATGCAACAGCATTTTATATTCTCATCAGAGTTCTAAAAGGCAGAAGTCCAAAATCTAGGCAGGGTTGGTTCCTCCTGAAGACTCTGAGGGAGAATCTCTGTCCTTGCCTCTGTCCTAGCTTCTGGTGGTTGCCAGCAATCCTTGGAGTTCCTCTGCTTATGGCTGCATCACTCCAGTCTCTGTTTCTGTCACTGATGTGGTCTTTGTCCTCGTGCAAGTTGACATAGATTTCTTATAAGGACTCTGCTCACTGGATTTAGGACACATCCGAATCCAGTAGGACCTCATTTTAACTAATTACATCTGCAAAGATCCTGTTTCCAAAGAAGCTCCCATTCTGAGTTCTGGGCAGACCTGAATTTCTGAGGGACACTATTCAATCCAGTACAGTGATAACTTACAGTGTTCATTGACTGAACAGATACTTATTGAGTGTCTACTGTGTGCTAGACCCTGGGTTAGTCAGTAGAGATAGTGTGAACAAGACAGATGTGACACATGTTTTATATAGAGCTTACAGTCCTTACAGTCCAGTATAGAAGACAGATATTAAGCAAATGGTTGCAAGTGTAATAAAAGTTACAAAAGAAGGAGCACTAGAATGTGATAGTATCACCTGAGAAGAGACCTAAACTATCTGAGGTGGGAGTGGTGAGGGTAGTCAAAAAGGCCTCCTTGTGGAAGGGACATCTAAGCTAAAACCAAGCAGAAAATAGGGATTAGCTTGGTGAAGAGTGTAAAGACCAGATTATTACAAACCAATGCTGTGTATGAGAATTTGCATTTTTAACAAGCACTTCAGTAATGTGCCCACATGCTGGACTTTGAGAACCCTTGCTCTGGGACCTCAGCTGACCTGAAATAGATCCATATCTCCCCAACAACTACTCACGAAAAAGACCACTCCTCCTCTGCTCTCTCACTCAGCCCTGTGAACCAGGCCAGGGTGAGGACACCCCTGAGAACTGGACTCCCTCCCTATTGGGACACTTGGGCCCCCTTCCCACCACTGTGCTGAATCAACTAAATAAAACACATGGCTTATATCTGGTTTAGATTTTTCTCCTTCTTCGGTGAGCATTTTCCAACTTTTCCCTGCCTCCAACTCTGTTCTATTTTCTGCCACATAGCAAGCCTATTGCTTTGCATTTCAGTTGATAATTTATTTGCCATTGAATTGCAGAAGTTCACCTTTCTCTTAAAAGCATCTCAAGTGTATGTTGCACTAATTCAGTGTTTTATATGAAGAAAAGGTGTTGACATTTTCTTCATTTCTCATTTTCATCAACTGAAACAGTTTTTAAAAACAGTATCTTTCCTTTGGAATAGGAGATAGAGAAAGTCCAGAATAACAATTCCCAAATATCCAACTGAAAAAAATTTTAACAATTGGGGCTGTTTCTCAGGAACAATAGTAGATTCTTACCACTTGATTCCTTTGCAAGGTTGGTGAAACTGACATTTAAACTGATAATGATCAGAGATTTTAGAGCTTTAGAGAGTCTTGGAGGTCACTGAAATTCTGAAAGACCATAATCTCCTTTATTTTACAGTTGAGGAAAATTAAAACTGAAGGAGGTAAGATGAGTTACACAGTCAGTCTCACCAGATAACTCCAAACTCCTCTTATTCCTCAAGACCTGTTATTTGGTTTATTTTCAGTGACTTAGATTCTCCACCTTACTTGGTAGCTAGGCTACTTATGCCTAAGCCACATGCTCAAGGTTTCTCCTCCTCATTTGTTGCCACTTAACCCGTAAGAAACCCAGCGCCTTCCTCATGCAGTGGCCCAGGTCTCAGAGAAATGAGGGTCATCCCTCATATCAGAACTAGGGAACCGGCCTCACACTAGAGCTCTGGCTTTTGAGTCTTTTTCAAAAGGTTATACATGCCTTAGACACACAGAAAAGAAAAAAAATATTTGAAAGCCGTTTTCATTCGTTGTCTCCAGTCTAAAAATAGGGTGACAGAGGGATCGTGGGATAAGCAGCCGGAGCAGGGAAGAGTCGGTTGCCACAGTAACCAATGAGCCATTTCGCCGCATTTGCCTTGACTGTGTGATTTCTGGGATGTTTTTTCCCCCTTTCCTTCTCTTGTGCGTGGGGGTGGGGGTAGGTGGTGGGGGCATTTTTAGATTATATAATGTGGAACCAGATTCCTTACCTCCGGAGTCAACCAGTCTTCATGAAATTGCTATTCCCTTTTACATCTCCCTCCCACTGCAAACAGCCTAGGTTCAGTTGGCTTTCACTGGGGACCAAGAGAAAAGATTAGGATCACACCCATCTCTAAGTACAGTAGTACCTTTCTTGAACACCTCTCCAATTTTTGACAGCCTAGCTTCATAGAAATATTTCTTGCTCCCTTCCCCCCAGTCAGGTTCTCAAATGTCACAGGCTCCAGGAGCCCACTGGGAGACTACTGGGGCTCTCCCTGTTCCAGAGCAAAGAGGGTTGGCCCTACATGAGGTTGCAGTCTGTGAAGTTGCTCTGAGGCTGACCTGGTTCTCTTGCCTCAAGAGAGCACCTCTCTTACCTCAAGCTCCATCCTCTCCCAACCTGTACATCCTGGGATCTGGACACAGGCCCATTTTATAGTGTAAACAGCACTGGCTTTGGAGGCAGAGACACTTATGTTTGAATCTGGAACCCACTATGACCTTGGGCTAATAATGATTTAATATTTCTGAGCCTGCTAAGAGACAATAGGCACAAAGCAGCCAGCACAGTGTCTGGCACAAGTGAGGCACTGAATAAATGTTAGTCATAGCCACTTCTTCCCCAATTTCCCTGTCCATCACTGCTCTCCTTTCCTCCTCCCTGCTATCATAGGCCTCTGGTAGACCACTGCAGGCTTACTCCCATCAGCATTTGAAACACCTAACGTATGTTTATTTTAGAGATCACTTTTTCCTATATCTCTTTTGATCTCTTTTCCTCTCTACGGTCTTCATTCTCCTGCTGGCTGCCTTGTGTCCTCACATGGCATCTCTCCATACTTAAGACCTTTCCTGGCTTGTTTTCATCAAAACACATCTATATCCCATTTATGAAGAGCCCAGGGGGTTCTTGAATAGCTAATCAGGTTTAAATCAAAATGTAAAAATGTGTTCAATGGACACAAATGAGTTAAAATGACGCAGGACAAGCTCAAATCTTTACTGCTTATTAGGGTGATGAGGTAGGAATGAAAAACTGAATGGGAGTGTATTCATTAGAAATATTTTTTTATTTGCAAATAAAATCCAACCTGAACTCACCTAAGCAAAAAGGGAATATGTTTGCCAAAGTAAGTAGGAAGTCCAGGAGTGAAGCTATCCACAGGGATCCCAGAGATTCAATGACTAGCATCAGAACTCTTTCTTTTGGCTATAGTTTGAATGTTTGGCCCCTTCAAATCTTGTGTTGAAACTTGATCCCCAATGATGGTGGTGTTTGGGTCATGGGGGTGGATCCCTCATGAATGGCTTGGTGCCATTCTCAAGGCAATGAGTGAGTTCTTGTGCTATTAGTTCCATGAGAGCTGGTTGTTAAAAAGAGCCTGGCACCTCCCTCCTCTTTCTCTCATTTTCTCTCTTGCCAGGTGATCTCTGCATGCTGGCTCACTTGGCCTTCTTCCATGAGTGAGAGCATACTGAAGCCCTTACCAGAAGCAAATGCTGGTGCCATGCTTCTTGTACAGTCTGCAGAACTGTGAGCCAAATAAACCTCTTTTCTTTGTAAATTACCCAGACTCAGGTATTCTTTTACAGCAACACAAATGGGCCAAGACAGAAAATTGGTACCAAGAAGTCAGGTATTGCTATACAGATATCTGAAAATGTGGAACTGGCTTTGGAACTGGGTAATAGGCAGAGGTTGGATGATTTTGGAGGGTTCAGAAGAAGACAGGAAGATAAAGGAAGGTTAGGAACTTCTTAGAGATTATTGGTGGTTGTGACCAAAATGCTGACAAAAATGTAAACAGTAAAGGTCATGCTGATGAAGTCTCCGGTAGAAATAAGGAACTTACTGGGAAGTGGAGTCAAGGTCACCCATGTTACTTCATGACAAAGAATTTGGTTGCATTGTGTCCATGCTCTCAGGCTTTGAGGAAGGCCAGACTTAAGAGTGATAGCCTAGAGTGTCTGGTTGAAGAAATTTCAAAGCAGCAAAGCATTCAAGAAGTGGCATGGCTGCTTTTAACAGCTTATATCAGGTATGGGAGGAAGGAAATGACCTAAAGGTGGAATTTATAATTAAAAAGAAAGCAGAGTGTAAAAATCTGGAAAATTCACAGCCTAGCCCTGTATTAGAGAAGGAAAGAGACTTTTCAGGAGAGGAATCCAAGGGTGCTGCAGAGCAACCATTTACTAGAGAGATTAACACGGATGAAAGGGAATCAGGTATTAATAGTTAAGACAATGGAGAAAAGGCCCCCAAAGGCATTTCAAAGATCCTCAGAGCAGCCCCTCCCATCACAGTCTCAGAGGCCTACAAGGCCAGAATCGTTTTAGGGGAATGGCCTTGAGTGCTGCTGTCTTGTACCACCTCCAGATGCTGCTTTCTAAATCCCCGCCACTACAGCTCCAGCCACAACTCAAATGGCTCCAGGTACTGTTTGAGCCACTGCTTGGTGGCTTCCACATGCTTTTAATTCTGCAGGATGCAGAATTCAAGAGCAGAGGCTCTCAACTTCTACCTAGATTTCAGAGGATGTATATAGGAAAACCTGGATGCCCAGGCAGAAGCCTGCTGCAGACTCTAGTAATGCAATGCTGAGCAAAAGTGTGGGGTTTGAGCCCCCATAGAGAGTCCCCATGAGCACACTGTCTAGTGAAGCTGTGGGGGCAGGGCTGCCACCCTCTAGACCCCAGAATTATAGAGCCAGCAGCAGCATGGAATCTCAGCCTGGAAAACCCACAGACATTGGACTTTGACCTGTGTGAGCAGCCACGTAGGCGGCACCCAGCAAAGCCATGGGGACAGTGCTTCACAAGGCCTTGGGAACCCATTCCTCACACTAGTGTGCCCAGGATGCTGGACATGGAGTCAAGGGAGATCATTTTGGAGCTTTAAGATTTAACATCTGCCCTGCTGGGTTTTGGAGTTGTGTGAGGCCTATTACCCCTTTCTTTTGGCCAGCTTATCCCTTTCTTTTGGCCAGCTTATCCCTTTTGTCATGGGAATGTTTGCCCAATGCCTGTATAATCATTGTATCTTGGAAGTAAATAACTTATTTATTTATTTTATGTTTTTTTCAGAGATGAGGTCTCACTGTATTGCCCAGGCTGGAGTGCAGTGGCTATTCACAGGTGCAGTTCTGCTACTGATTAGTGCAAGAGTTTTGACCTGCTCTGTTTATTTTTAGTTTCTTTTTTTATTATGTATGTATGTATGTATGTATGTGTTTATTTATTTAATTATTTATTTTTTTGAGACAGGGTCTTGCTCTGTCGCCTAGGCTGGAGTGCAGTGGTGCGATCTCAGCTCACTGCAACCTCTGCCTCCTGGGTTCAAGCAATTCTCCTGCCTCACCTTCCCAAGTAGCTGGGACTAAAGGTGCATGCTGCCACACCAGGCTAATTTTTTGGTATTTTAGTAGAGACGGGGTTTCACCACGTATCCCTGAGTTTCAAACTCCTGAGCTCAGGAAATCCACCTGCCTCAGTCTCCCAAATTGCTAGCATTACAGGTGTGAGCCACTGCACCTGGCCTCTTTTAATAATTTTTAAAATTATATTTGAACTTGCAGCACTGCATGACCTGCCCTGTTTCTGACCTGGGCTGGTTCACCCCTCCTTAGGCAACCTGGTGGTCCCCTCCTCTCAGGAGGTCACCATATTGATGCTGAACTTAGTGAAGACAACTGATGGGCATAGTGCCCTACAGCCCAGAACTCCTGGGCTCAAGTGGTCCTCCTGCCTCAGCCTCCGAAGTAGCTGGGACTATAGGAACACACCACAAGAACTTATTTTTGATGTTAAGGGCTCACAGCTGTAAGAAACTTGAGTATTATAGGAGACTTTGAACTTCTCAGTTGATGCTGGAACAGGTTAAGACATTTGGGGACTATTGAGAAGGGATGACTTTATTTTGAAATGTGAGAAGGACATGAGATTTGGGGCGCTAGTGGCAGAATTTTATGGTTTTGACGTTCGACTTTTTCAAATCTTATGTTGAAATTTGATCCTCAATCATTGACCAATGTTGGATGTGGGAGCCTAATGGGAGGTGTTTGGGTCATGGGGTGGATCTTTCATGAATGGCTTGGTTCTGTCCTCATGGTAATGAGTTCTTGCTGTATTAGTTCCTGTGGGAACCCACTGTTAAAAAAAGCATAGCACCTTTCTCCTTCTCTCTTACTTCTTCTCTTGCCATGTGATCTTTGAACACACTGGTTCCCATTCCCCTTTCACCATGAGTGGAAGCAGCTTGAAGCTCTCATTAGAAGCAGATGCTGGCACCATGCTTTTTGTATAGTCTGCAGGTCCTTGTGCCAAATAAATCTCTTTTGTTTATTTATAAATTGCCCAGCCTCAGGCATTCCTTTATAGCAACACAAATGGACTAAGACACTGTTCCTTAACTCTGCTTGTCTCCCAGTGGCTTTATCCTTGCTTACCACAGACAGGCTTTCCCCAGACTTATATTTTTCTAGCTTCTGTGACCCAAGAGGTAAGAATTCTTCTCTTCCAACTTCAGATTGCAAAATTCCAGGAAAAGACTTTGGCCTGGTTTGCATCTTAGGTGACTCTGAATCAATCAGAGACCAATCAATCTTTGGCAAAGAGAATGGGATACTATCATTGACCATGTTATGTCTCATGTTGAGGAGGTGACAGTCTGTGGTGAGTAGTCACCAGAATGACATGATTCAAATGGGAGAAGATCAATTTCCCCAAAGAAGATAGAACACTCGTGTAAGGCAGAAATAACAGAAGTTCACTTCAGAAGGTTAACCACAAAAGAACTGCCTGGACACTCAGAAAAGTATCTGTAGAGCTGCAGAGTAGGTACAAAGCAAGTGTCTGAATGACTCTGAAGACAAAGTTCTTGCCCTCAGGGAGCTGTGAATTCAGCGCAGGAGAAAGAATTAAAAATACAAAGAGAAGACAGGTGAAATTGCAAGGATACAGTTACATAGCTGGAGAGGAATTGAGAGGACTGAAAATGAAAACTTGAAATTGCCACCATATGTCAAAAAAGTTAATTTATAATAACATCATATTTCAAATTGGGTTCTGTGGAGTGCCAGCATTACATTAGATGCTGCTCTGGCTCTGGGCTGAATGCTTGTATTCCCCCAAAATTCCTATGTTGAAACCCTAATCCCTAAAGTGATGGTATTAGGAGGTGGGGACTTTGGGAGGTGATTGAATCATGAGAGAGGATTCCTCATGAATGGGATTAGTGCCCTTATAAGAGAAGCAAAGAGAAATTCCTCACTCCATACACCATGTGAGAACGTAGCAAGAAGGTGCTATCTATGGACCAGAAAATGGTGTTGGACCAGACACTGAATATACCAGCACCTTGATCTTGGACTTAGCTTCCAGAACTGTGAGGAAAAAAATTTCTATTGTTTATAAGCTATCCAGTCTATGGCATTTTGTTACAGCAGACCAAATGAGCTAGGATGCTAATAGGTGTTCCCAAGAAAAAATAAAAAAGAAAAGAAGGAAAAAGAAAGAGAAAGGGTCACTGTGCCATGTTTTAGAAATGATGGATTAAAGTTATTAGGTTTTAATTTCTTTTCTTAATCAGGTTTTAATTTTTTTTTCTTATTATGTTAGTACTCATTTCACACATATTTGACCATAGAACCAACCTTTTTAACCATAGACAACTTACAGGATCTTGAGGTGGATTCATGTCCCATAGATCACATTCTGGAGAATACTACCATAAAGACATCCACATAAATCATGGTGACAGTCAGAATATCAGGTTTAGAAGGACCTTTAGAGATCAAATATCTGAATACTTTTTTTTAAGGAAATTAAACTTTTTATTTTATTTAAGATAATAGATTCACATGCAGTTGTAAGAAATAATACAGAGAAATCCCATGTATACTTTACCTAGTTTTGCCTAATAGAAACATTTTACAAAGGAATAGTACACTATGACTACCAGGATATTGATATTGATATGGTCAAGATACTGAACATTTTTATCATCACAAATTCTTTTTTTTGTTGTTGTTGAGATGGAGTCTCACTCTGTTGCCTAGGCTGGAGTGCAGTGGTGCGATCTTGGCTCACTGCAACCTCTACATCCTGGGTTCAAGCGATTCACCTACCTCAGCCTCTCGCAAAGCTGGGATTACAGACATGCGCCACCATGCCCAGCTAATTTTTGTGTTTTTAGTAGAGACGGCGTTTCACCATGTTGGCCAGGCTGGTCTCAAACTCCACCCACCTCAGCCTCCCAAAGTGCTGGGATTACAGGCATGAGTCACTGCATCTGGCCCATCATCACAAATTCTTCATGTTGCTCTTTTATTACCACAGTTACTTCCCTCCTGCCCCATCCCCTCCTTAATTCCTGGGAGCCACTACTTTGTTTTCCATTTCTATAATATTGTCATTTCAATAATGTTACATAAATGGAAACATTGTGTATAACCATTTGGGATTGGCTTTTTTTCACTGAGCATCATTCTCTGGAGAATTGTGTATACCAATAATTTGTTCCTTTTTATTGCTGAGTAGTATTCCATGGAATGGACGGAAGAGTTTGTCTAACCATTTACCTATTAAAGGCCATCTGGGTTGTTTCCAGTTTTGGGCTACTATAAATAAAACTTCAATAAATTTTCATGTACAAGTTTTTGTATGAACATAAGTTGTTTCTCTAGTATAAATACCCAGGAATGTAATTGCTTGGGTCATATGGTACTTGCATGTTTAAGTTTCAAGAGTTCTTTATGTTATTCTAGATACTAGTCCTCTGTTGGATGTGCGGTTGGCAAATATTTTGTTCCAGTGTATAGCTTGTATTTTCATCCTCTTGGCAGGATCTTTTACACAGCAAAAGTTTTTAGTTTTGATGATGTCAAATTTATCAATTTATTCTGCTATGGATTGTGCTTTTGGTGTCAAGTGTAAGAACTGTTTGCCTAGTTGTAGATTCTCAAGATTTTCTCCTGTTTTTTTTTTCCTGGAAGTTTTATGGTTCTATGTTTTGCATTTAAGTCTGTTATTCATTTTGAGTTTATTTTTGTACAAGGAGTGAGATTTAAGTTGGAGATTATTATTATTATGAGTATTTGTATATAGACGTCTAATTATTTCAGTACTACTTGTTGAAAAAGCTATCGTTCCTCCATTGCATTGCTTTTGCACCTTTATCAAAAGGCTGCTGGGCATATTTGTTTTGGTCTATTTCTGTGTTCTCTATTCTGTTCCACTGAGCTATGCATCTATCTCTCTGCCAACACCACATCATCTTGATGGCTGTATCTATATAATAAATATTGGCATCAGGTTAATTTATTTATTCTTTATTCTTCCTTTCCAAATTTGTTTTAACTATGCTAGCTCCTCTGCCTTTCCATATACATTCTCGAATAATCTTGTCTCTACTTACAAAAACTCTTGATCGAATTTTAATAGAAATTATGTTAAACTTGCATGTGAGTCTGGGGAGAATTAACACTTTATTATGTTGAGTCTCTCAATTCAGGAACACAATATGTCTGTCAATTTATTTAGGCCTTTGATTTATTTTATCAGTGTTTTTTGGTTTTAGCACCCAAATCCTATACATATCTTGTTAGATCTATTCCTGAGTATTTCCTTTCTTTTTTAGGAATTGTAAATGCCATTGTATTTTTAACTTTGATGTCCATATGTTTATTGATAGTATTATATATACATATAATTGAGTTTTGTATGTTTATCTTATACTCTATGACCTTGCTGGATTCACTTGCTAGTTCTAGGTGCGTTTTTTTTGGTAAATTTCTTTAGATTTTTTATGTACATAATCATGCCATTTACAAATAAAGATAATTTTATTTCTTGCTTTATGATCTGTATCCATTTTAATTATTTTTCTTGCCTTATTGCACTAGCTAGAACTTCAAGCATTAAGTTGAATAAGATCAGCTAGAATCAGCATTCATGCCTTGATCTTAGGTGTAAAGCATTCAGGTTTTGTCATTAACTGCAAAGTCACCTGAAGCTTTTTTGTAGATGCTTTTTATCCAATTGAAGAATATTCCTTTTATTCCATATTTATGAGAGTTTTTTTTTAATGATGAAAGAGTGTTAAGTTTTGTGAAATGCTTTTTTTCTTTACTGATTGATATGTCATGTAACTTTTTCCTCTAGTCTGATTGGCAAATTACATTTATTGATTTTCAAATATTGAACCAGACTTGCATCCCTGCAATAAACCCCAATTGGTAATGATGTATCATTTGAAAAATATATTGCTGGGCCAGGCGTGGTGGCTCATTCCTGTAATCCCAGCACTTTGGGAGGCCGAGGCAGGCAGATTGTCTGAGGTCAGTTTGAGACCAGTCTGGCCAACATGGTGAAACCCTGTCTCTACTAAAAATACAAATCAATTAGCCGGGCGTGATGGTGTGCGCCTGTAATCCCTATTTGGGATAATCATCTACTTGTTAGGCCGAGGCAGGGGAATTGCTTGAACCAGGGAGGTGGAGGTTGCCGTGAGCCAAGATCATGCCACTGCACTCCAGCCTGGGCAACAGAGCAAGACTCCATCTCCAAAGGAAAAAAAATTATCTATCTATCTATCTATACACACACACACACACACACACACACACACACACACACACACATCTGGATTTTATTTGGTAGTATTTTGTTATAGATTTTTATGTCTATATTCATGAGGGGTATTGGTTTTTAGTTTTTTAAATTGTCATTTTCTGGCTTTGGTATCAGGCTAGTTGTAGCTTTATAAATTGAATTGAGAAGTGTTTCCTTTTGTATTTTCTGGAAGAGATGGTGTAGAATTTGTATTAATCTTTAAATGAAATGAATGATAGAATTCTGTGTTTTTTTTTTTTTTTTTTTAACAAGGTTAGTGGGATTCTTGAGCAAAACCATCTGGGCTTGGAGATATCTTTTTTGGGAGTTTTTCAAATCATAAATTCAATTTTCTTCATAGTCATAGACCTAGTCACATTATTTATTTTATGTGAGTTGTGGTTGTGTGTGTGTGTGTGTGTGTGTGTGTGTGTCTTTTTGAGGAATTTGTCCACTTTGTGAAATTTGTGTGTAGAATTGTTTGTAGTATTCTCATATTGTCCTTTTGATGTCTGCACAATTCAGAGTAATATCTTCTGTTTCATTCCTGATACAGGTAATTTGTGTCTTCTCTCTTTTTTCTTTTGTCAGTCTTGCTAGAGCTTGTCCATTTTATTTTTGATTTTTCAAAAAACCAAGTCTTTTTAAAATTGAATTTTTAAATTGTTTTTCTATTTTCTGTTTCACTGATTTCTGCTCTTACCTTTGTTATTTCCTTTCTTCTACTTCTTTTGAGTGTATTTTACCTTTCATTTTCTAGGGGCTAGTGGTGAGAGCTTAGATTATTGATTTGAGACATTCCTCTTTTCTTACACATGCATTTAGTGCTATAAATTATCCTCTCAGCCCTGCTATAGCTGTGTCGCACACATTGACATATGTTGTAGTTTCATTTTCATTCAGTTCAATATATATATTTAAATTTCCTTTCAGATTTCCTCTTTGTTGATATATTATTTACAAGTGTGTTGTCTGGGTTCCGAGTGTTTGGAATTTTTTGTTGTTGTTAGAGACAGGGTCTTGCTCTGTTGCCCAGGCTGAATTGCAGTGGTGTGATCATAGCTCACTGAACCTCGAACTCTTGGACTCAAACAATCCTCTCGCCTCAGCCTCCTGAGTAGCTGGGGCTACAGATGTGAGCTATTGTGACCGGCCAAGTTTTAAAATAAGTCTCTCTGTTATTAATTCCTAGTCTGATTCCATTGTGATTGGAGGACACACTTTGATTTCAGTTCTTTTAAAGTTGTTGAGGTTTGTTTTATAGGCCAGGATTTATTTCATCTTAGCATATGTTCCATGGACACCTGAAAGCAATGTACATTCTGCTGCTGTTGGGTGGAGTGTTCCATAACTGTTGATTGATCCTGTTGGTTGATGGTGTTGTTGAGTTCTATGTCCCTGCTAATTTTTTGTGTAATTGTTCTATTAATTATTGAGAGAAGGTTGTTGAAATCTTCAACTATAATTGTGGGTTTCTCTATTTCTCTTTTCCATTCTATCAATTTTTGCTTGAAACATTTACCAGTTCTGTTGTTTGGTTCATACATATTTAAAATTACTATATCTTCTTGGTAGACTGTTCCTTTTGTAATTATTAGATGTTCCTCTTCCACTTTTACTTTTAATATAATTGTTGATAAATTAGGACTTAAGTCTGCCATTTTGTTTATTATTTTTGTTTTCTATTTGTCTCTGTTGTTTTTCATTTTTCTGTTTGCTTTTTTTTTTTTTTTGCATTCCTGTGGGTTACTTGAACTTTTTTTAGAATTTCCACTTAAGTTACTTGTAATATTTTTGAGTGTATCTCTGTTTACATACATAACTTATCATAGTTTTCTATTATCATCATATTATCAGTTCGAGTAAAGGAACCTTACTTCCCTTTATGTTCTTTTACCTTCATCCATTTATAATATAATTTTCTTAAGTACTTCCTCTACATAATTCAGAACTGCATTAGGCAATCCTATATTTTTTTTCAACCATCAAACATAATTTACAAAATGCAAAAGGAAAAGTTATTGTGTTTATCCATTTTTTTCTTACAATATTCTTTTTCTTCATGATGTTCCCAGGTTTTTTCTTTCTTTGTTTTTTTTTTTGGTGACAGGTTCTCTCTCTGTAGTCCAGGATGGAGTACAGTGGCAGAATCATGGCTTACTGCAGCCTTGACCTCTTAGGCTCAGGAGGTCTTCCCACTCAGCCTCTTTTCTTATATATGTATTGAGTGAGTAGCTGGGACCACAAGCGCATGCACCACGATGCCTAGGTTTTTTTTTTTTTTTTTTTTTTTTGGCAGATATGAGATCTCACTATGTTGCCCAGGCTGATCTCAAACTTCTGGGCTCAATCAATCCTCCCTTGGTCTTGGCCTCCTGTCGCGCTGGGATTACAGGTATGAGCCCCTGTGTCTGGTCTCAGGTTTATATTTTTAATAATTTCTTTTCTGCTTAGAGAACTTTTGGTAATTCTTTTCAGAGTACAACACATTCTTTTAGATTTCTTAAAATCTGAAAATGTCTTGGTTTCCCCTTCATTCTTGAAATATATTTTTGCTGGATATAGGATTCTAAATTTACAGATTTTTCTTTCAGCAGTTGAGAAATGTGCCACGTTTTTTCTGGCCTCCATAGTTTTGATGAAAAACCCACTGTCTTTTGATTTGTATTTCTCCTATAAGTGAGGTATTAGTTTCTTTAGCTGCTTTCAAAGTCTTTAATTTTCATAGGTTTGACTGTAATGTATCCTTGTGTAGATCTCTTTGGCTGTATTCTATTTGAGGTTTATTCAGCCTTTTTTTTAGGCAGTCTCACTCTGTCACTCAGGCTGGAGTTCAACGGCATGATCTCGGCTCACTGCAACCTCTGCCTCCCAGTTTGAACCGATTCTTGTGCCTCAGCCTCCCAAGTAGCTGGGATTATCAGCAAGTGTCACCATGCCTAGCTAATTTTTCTATTTTTAGTAGAGATGGGGTTTCACCATGTTGGCTAGGCTGATCTTGAACTCCTGGGCTCCAGCAATCTGCCCTGCTTGGCCTCCCAAAATACTGGGATTGTAGGAGTGAGCCATGGTGCCTGGCCTATTCAACTTTTTAAATCTGTAGGTTGGTGTCTTTTGTGAGATTCGATGAGTTTTAAGTCAAACTCCTTTGCATACTTGCTTAGTTCCACCCTCTTTCCCTTCTCCTTCTGGGACTCCAATGTCTCCTTCTGGGACTCCAATGTCTCCTTCTGGGACTCCAATGTCTCCTTCTGGGACTCCAGTGACAGAACTGTTACTTTTTGTTACAGTCACTGGTCCTTTAGACTCTGTTCGTTTTGTTTTCAGTATATTTTCTCTCTTTTATTCATACTGGATAGTTTCTATGATTCTATTTTCAAGTTCACCAGTTATTTCCCCTGTTCCATTTTGCTTTTGAGTCTATCCATTGAGTTTTTATTTTGGTTATTGTATTTTTTATTTCTAAAATATCCATTTGATTCTTCCTTATGTCTTCTGTTTTTTTTTTTCTGAGACTATTTCTTTGCAAAAGATTACAATTTTTAAATTTTTTGTAAACATATTGGTCATTGTTTATTAAAATATTTTTATGATGGCTGCTTTAAAATCTTTGTCAGATAATTTTAGCATCTCTGTCATTGATTGGTATCTACTGATTATCTTTTTTATTTATTTTGAGATCTTCCTGGTTCTTGGTATGACAAATAATTTTTTCCTGAAATCTGAACATTTTGGGTATTATGTTATAAGTCTCTGGATCTCATTTAAATGTTCTGTTTCGCTGGCTTTCTCTGATACTTCTCTAGTAGGGGAAAGGAGGGATTGTCACGTCATTACTGCTAGGTGGGAAAGAAGTCCTGACTCTGGATGTAGTCTCTACTGATACCAGTGGAGGTGGTTTGCTACCGCCTAGCGGAGATGAAAGCACTGGGTTTCTACTTAACCTTGCCTGACACTATCCGAGTCAGGGTACCATGTTACAGCCTAGTGGTTGTAGAACACTAGACTTCTCACTTGGCCCTGAACTAGTGTGAGTGTGAGGTAGCTAAAGGTTTTTCTGTGGTGTTTGGTTATAGTAGAGCAGTATTATTGTAAAGTTTCATGTCTTGCTTCCTTGGTTCTTTTGGCTAAAGAGAGTGGGTTTTTGTTGGAGCTTATTTTGTCTGCACCTACCGATGTTTTGAGGTTGCCAACTTTTTCAGTACCAAGTCTAAAATATAGGAGGCAAATTGAAAACCCAAGGAACTTATCATTATGATTTTCCTTAGGTCCAGAAGTCCTGAGCTGATCTGTTATGTTCTCTCTTTACCTCCCAGAGTCTTTTATTTTTTTAAGTTTTTGATTTTATTTTTAGATTATCTATCTATCTATCTATCTATCTATCTATCTATCTATCTATCTATCTATCTGTCTATCTGTCTGTCTGTCTATTTATCTATGTATTTTGAGACCAGATAATGAGATTGGCTAATTTTTGTATTTTTGGTAGAGATGTGGTTTCACCATGTTGCCCAGGCTGGTCTCGAACTCCTGGACTCAAGCAGTCCTCCCACCTTGGCCTCCCAAAGTGCTGGCATTACATGCATCATGAGTCACTGCGCCCAGCCACCACTGTGGCCAGCCCCAGTGTCTTCTTATGTGTGCTTTATATATAATGTAGAGTGTTTTTAGTTGTACTTTGTGAGAGGAATGGGGAAAATTACGTGCTCTCCATTTTCCCAGAAGCTAAGTCCTCAACACTCCTTCGATAGATGAGAAAATTGAGGTCAGGAGAGGTTAAGTGAATGACCTAATATAAAACAGCTATATCCATACCTCTTATAGACTAAATACCTAACCTCCTGCTCCATTTTTTTTGTTTTTACTTTCTGTGCCACCTGAATTCTCACCCAACAAATGCAGTTGAGATTCTTCCCTAACTCTTATGATAGTCACCAAATTCAGAATTTTTAAGGGACCTGAATGAGGAAATGATATGTAACTTGTGATTTAATGCAGCAGCGAATTCCCCCTTAGATAAGAATTGTGGATATCAGTGATATACTATTCGTTTAAAAAGAAGGAACATTTGAGAATAAATCCAAAATGCTGTGACTGGAAATAATATGCTTTTTCATTGTGAAAGTTGATTTTGGACTCATATTCTTTTTTTTTTTAATTATACTTTAAGTTCTAGGATACATGTGCACAACATGCAGGTTTGTTACATAGGTATACATGTGCCATGGTGGTTTGCTGCACCCATCAACTCGTCATTTACATTAGGTATTTCTCCTAATGCTATCCCTCCCCCAGGCACCCACCCCCTGACAGGCCGCGGTGTGTGATGTTCCCTGCCCTGTGTCCATGTGTTCTCATTATTCAACTCCCACTTATGAGTGAGAACATGTGGTGTTTGGTTTTCTGTCCTTGTGATGGTTTGCTAGAATGATGGTTTCCAGCTTCATCCATGTCCCTACAAAGGACATGAACTCACCCTTTTTTATGGCACAGTATTCCATGGTGTATATTTGCCACATTTTCTTAATTCAGTCTATCATTGATGGACATTTGGGTTGGTTCCAAGTCTTTGCTATTGTGAATAGTGCCGCAATAAACATATGTGAGCATGTGTCTTTATAGTAGCATGATTTATAATCCTTTGGGTATATACCCAGTAATGGGATCACTGGGCCAAATGGTATTTATAGTTCTAGATCCTTGAGGAATTGCCACACTGTCTTCCACAATGGTTGAACTAATTTACACTCCCACCAACAGTGTAAAAGTGTTCCTATTTCTCCACATCATCTCCAGCATCTGTTGTTTCCTGACTTTTTAATGATCACCATTCTAACTGGTGTGAGATGGTATCTCATTGTGGTTTTGATTTGCATTTCTCTGATGACCAGTGATGATGACCATTTTTTCATATGTCTGTTGGCTGCATAAATGTCTTCTTTTGAGAAGTGTCTGTTCATATCCTTCACCCAGTTTTTGATGGGGTTGTTTTTTTCCTGTACATTTATTTAAGTTCTTTGTGATTCTGGATATTAGCCCTTCCTCAGATGGGTAGATTGCAGAGATTTTCTCCCATTCTGTAGGTTTCCAGTTCACTCTGATGGTAGTTTCTTTTGCTGTGCAAAAGCTCTTTAGTTTAATTAGATCCCATTTGTGAATTTTGGCTTTTGTTGCTATTGCTTTTGGTGTTTTAGTCCTGAAGTCTTTGCCCATGCCTATGTCCTGAATGGTATTGCCTAGGTTTTCTTTTAGGGTTTTTATTGTTTTAGGTCTTACATTTAAGTCTTTAATCCATCTTGAGTTAATTTTTGTATACAGTGTATGGAAGGGATCCAGTTTCAGCTTTCTACATACGACTAGCCAGTTTTCCCAACACCATTTATTAAATAGGGAATCCTTTCCCCATTGCTTGTTTTTCTCAGATTTGTCAAAGATCAGATGGTTGTAGATGTGTGGTATTATTTCTGAGGCCTCTGTTCTGTTCCATTGGTCTATATCTCTGTTTTGGTACCAGTGCAATGCTGTTTTGGTACCAGTGCAATGCTATTTTGATTACTGTAGCCTTGTAGCATAGTTTGAAGTCAGGTAGCATGATGCCTCCAGCTTTGTTCTTTTTGCTTAGGATTGTCTTGGCTATACGGACTCTTTTGGTTCCATATGAACTTTAAAGTAGTTTTTTCCAATTTGGTGAAGAAAGTCATTTGTAGCTTGATGGGGATAGTATTTAATCTATAAATTACCTCGGGGAGTATGGCCATTTTCATGATATTGATTCTTCCTATCCATGAGCATGGAATGTTCTTCCATTTGTTTGTGTCTTCTTTTATTTTGCTGAGCAGTGTTTTGTAGTTCTCCTTGAAGAGGTCCTTCACATCCCTTGTAAGTTGGATTCCTAGCTATTTTATTCTCTTTGTAGTAATTGTGAATTGGAGTTCACTCATGATTTGGCTCTCTGTTTGCCTATTATTGGTGTATAGGAATGCTTGTGATTTTTGCACATTGATTTTGTATCCTGAGACTTTGCTGAAGTTGCTTATCAGCTTACGGAGATTTTGGGCTGAGCTGATGGGGTTTTCTAAATTTACAATCATGTCATCTGCAAACAGAGACAATTTGAGTTCCTCATTTCGTAATTGAATACCCTTTATTTCTTTCTCTTGCCTGATTGCCCTAGCCGGAACTTCCAACACTATGTTGAACAGGAGTGGTGAAAGAGGGCATCCTTGTCTTGTGCCGGTTTTCAAAGGGAATGCTTCCAGTTTTTGCCCATTCAGTATGATATTGGCTGTGGGTTTGTCATAATAGCTCGTATTATTTTGAGATATGTTCAATCAATACCTAGTTTATTGAGAGTTTTTAGCATGTTTTTAGTTTTTAGCATGAAGGGCTGTTGAATTTTGTCGAAGGCCTTTTCTGCATCTATTGAGATAATCATGTGGTTTTTGTCGTTGGTTCTGTTTATGTGATGGATTATGTTTATTGATTTGTGTATGTTGAACCAGTCGTGTGTCCCAGGGATGAAGCTGACTTGATTGTGGTGGATAAGCTTTTTGATGTGCTGCTGGATCTGGTTGCCAGTATTTTATTGTCAGACTCATATTCTTAAAGCAGCCTTTTCAGACTGCCCTCCCTCCCCACTTGTAGAAGTAATCTGGCCACTCATTGTTTTTCACCTTCCTCGTATTTCTGATTTCATGGAACTTCTAAGAAACATCATTTTAATTTGTCCTCTTCCTCACTCCCCCCACCCCACCCCACTCCAGCACTCTATCTCCCTTACCCCAACACTTGCCAGGGTGGAACAATAGGGTCCTTTGATATTTGGGCATTTTTAGAGCCAAGTCATTCAGGAAGGGAACAGTGCCTTCTCTTTTTCCAAAGCAAAAGTGCTTTCTCTTTTCTAAAGCAGGGAGAACCCCTTCATTGATAGGATTGTTGATCCATAGAAGTATAAATGCTGGTGTAAACATTTCTGGCATTTGTATTTAAAAGAGTTCCTTAAGAGTGGGGCCCATATTGACTTAAAAAATATTGAGGAGAACGTCTAATAGTGGCCATCACCAACTTGATTTATTAGTAACCTTTATGAACAAATATCCATTTGAGGAAGGCTGCCCCGGCTGGTAGCCTGAAAAAGCCTGCTTTTCTCCTTGACTTGGGATTTCCTCATCTGGTTATTGTCCTTCCCTTTACCACAGGAGTTCACTAGTCCTCAAATTTAGCTGTAAAAGCTGGAATGACCACAAGCTTGGTTCTAGGCTCTTGATTCTCTTCTATTTGGATTCTCTCCTTCTGTAATCATATGTAGTTTAGTTGCGTTCTATTGCTTAATCTCAATATGCTGATGACTCCCATATGTGTACCTTTAGTCTGATATCTTTCCTGAGCTCCATACTCATATATGCAGCTTGCTACCTATCTCTTTACATATAAATATTATGTATCAATATTACATATAAATATATGCAGATTATATATGCATGTATACATGTATGTATATATGTACACATACATATGCACATGCACATATATACAATGTATATACACACATTATATATTTTATGTGTATACTTATATATAATGTGTATATATGTTATATACTATATGTTATATAATATCATAGACCCTATTGGTCTGTTCCTTGAGATGGATACATTCACGGATAGGTCATCTGACTTCCTACTCTCTGTTAGTCCCTCCCCATGTCACTTGAGTGCACACACCATGAGTGTAGCCCGTTTTTGTTTTCTTTATATCACTCTTCTCTCTCCAAGCCTCTCTTGATAATTTGCTGTCTGTCTATCGCTTGTCCCTTACATCTTCCTGCAGGGGACACGAAAGCAGTGGTGGCTTGTTTGCCTAATTCAGCCCTCTGCAGCCAGCACCCTTCTCAATAAAGGGTGTAGACTCAGTGGAGGAATGCCGTGCTGCCCTCTTCTCTGGCAGTTCTAGTCCCTTTTTTCCTATCTTGATGTAGCACCAGCTTAAGAAAGGGGATTCTGGATGATCCTGGTGTAACAGGGTGTAAAAACGGGACTCTTTTTGTCTTTGTTTTACCTGAGACCTGAAAAAGTAGGTTGATAATAGGCCTGAAAAGAATAGGTCAAAAGGATCTCCGTGTTCTGAAATGAGGTGCCAAGACTCCCAAGCAGGGTGTAAGGACTGGTGCTCTATGCCTTAACAGGCTGCCCACCTCAGCAGTGGGGAGGACTGAGGGGCTTATTCCTCATTCAAGGGTAGTTAGGGGCTATGGTGGAAACACTGTAGCTGCTTCTGCCTCCTGCTTGTGAGACATAAAGGTAAGTGGCCGGAGCTGCTTGCTAGGCTGGCCGAGCAGGGAGAGGTGGCTCACACAGGAGCCTGGTGGGTTGGGAGCAGAGTATGTTAGAGTAAAAGGATGAGAGAGTGTTTTCTATGGATCATATGTGTACCAGATATGAGCCATGCTGGGAGAGAAAGCTGCCCTGGGATTTTGTTTTATACTGCCTGAGAGGACCACCTGGAAGGGGCAGGAAACCACAGCAGAAAGTGTGACATCAGGTGTCTAAACACCAAAGGAGGAAATATTAGCGACCCATCTGTGGAGATGCATTTCCTGCTTCAAGGGAACTGCAGGTAAGCGACCTCCAGTGGTGTGTGGGAGTATCTCTGAAATGCTCACGAAAATGCCACCGAGAAGTGTCTTTAACGCTTGCCAGCCCCAGAGAACACCACACCAGCTCACAGCAGCACCAGTCAAATCAGGCCTTCCCTGTTTATGGTGCAGTTAGCTGAGCTGGCTCTGGTAACAGATTAGCCCCGTATCCCAGTGGCTTAACACCGTACTGGCTTTATTTGTGTCTACACAGTCAGTGCAGGTGAGGATGCCCTCCTTTATCTCATGCAGGGGAGGATGGGAGTGGAGGAGGCATGTCATTTCCTAACTTTCTTGACTCAGAAGTTACATGTCATTTCCACTGACAGTTTCTGGCCAGAATAACTCATCTGGCCCAAACCTAACTGTTAGGAAAGCTCGATATGAAGGAAAGGAGGACGTGGAATATGTGATGAGCACAACTTTGGCCTCACTGACCTCCTGCCCTTACCTTCCACTCTGCATCCTTTAACCTGGATGCAGAACCAGTCCTTATCGTGTACATACCAGTGTAGCCATACTGGTTGTTAAATTCTTTTAAATCTAGGTGATGGATATAAGGTGGTCATTGCATAATTCTTTCTACTTTTATATATGCTTGAAGTGTAGAATTTTGACAGTTACACAGGACTATTTGTTTAAAAAAGATAATTGAGCATTTTTTATGTTTTAGGGTCCTTACTAATATTTCCTTTTTAAATATTCACAAGCCTGTGAAGTAAGCCCTGTTAATGTCCCCAGTTTACGGACAAGGACAGTGAAACGAAGAAAGACAAAGTAGTTTAGCTAAGATTGTAGATCTAGTACAATCAATTGCAATTGCGTATGAGTTGTTTGTCAATTAGAAGAGGAGCTTTTTGGGTGAAGGGATCATTTATTTATTTTAGTACCTCTAGCATACAGCCTAGGGCTTGGCACAAAATAAGTATGTAAGTATTCTGTTAAGGATTGTAGTGTCTAAGTTAATCAAGAATATTGGTCTGTAGTTTTCTTTTTTGCTTATATCCTTTTCTGGTTTTAGGATTAGAGTGATGGTGGCTTCATAGAATGAATTAGGGCAGGTTCCTTCTTTGTCTATCTTTTGTAATAGTGTCAAAAGGATTGGTACCAATTCTTCTTTGAATGTCTGGTAGAAACAGTCATTTTAATTACTGAAATGGGGGCATAGTGTGATTTAAGTGACTTAAAAGACTGAGACATTTTAATTATTTAGGTGAGATTGGAAAAGTCATGTGTTTTCTAGACTTCCCTGAGGGTCAGAAAGGACCAGGTCCCACTGATTTGAGCAGAACAGGGCCTTATTTTCTCATGTACTTTTTAGGGTCCCCCTTGTTGCCCATACAGGTGACACTCATTTGGGAGGTAATTTTGCAGGGCTCAATGTGAATGCCACCTCTCACAGGAGACTTTCCTGAGCCCTGCAGCTCCTCGTCCCCACTTTTAGCCTCAGGCTCAGCCCTTTGATAGCCTTCTAGCTCTTACCACAACTGCAATTTTTAAAATTTACTTAAAAAGCTTCTCCCTCATGAGAATGCCAGCTCCATGAGGCAGAAACTATGTCTGTTTCATCTGCTGTTCTATCCCCAACCATAATAGTGATGAACACATTTTATGTGCTCAAGAATATTTGTTTGGTGAATAAACGAATGAATGAGGCCCAGCCCTCATGCCATCTTCTGTCCTGTACTCTGGCAGTTATTAAGAGTGGCTTGGAATGAACAAAGTCCTGCATTTGCACTGCTCAGTAGGTGGAAGTGAGGATGGAGAAGTGGCAGGGAAGCATCTGAGCTGAATGCTAGCAGAGAGAGATGTGGGTATCCAAGTAGATTAGGTTTCGTGGTGCTAATTGTCCAGCACAAAGTTATTCTGCGTGTACATTACTGGATCCGTTTTTGGAGGTGGGGTGGAAGAGTCTAACCTAGGAAACTTGTTATCAATGATAGTTGTATTTCTGTGGGAAAAGGTCCTCTGAGTTTTAATCCACAGAATTTAAATAGCACCTTCAAAATAGCTAATTTATAAGCTGAGGCCTGTCACCATATAATACTAATCTCTCATTAGGAAATCAAATATTGTTCATATGCTAGGCATTGTTGGAAATTAGAAATAGACAGTAAAAGTTACAGTTCCCTCAAGCACTGCACAATCTAGGGCAGATGGGAGGTTAGATTGCCCATCCCCCTCCTGAAAAAACTGAAAAGCAATGAACACCCACAACTTTATGCAATTCCATTGTGGGGAGACCTAGACATGAAAATACTGTGACTTCTGAGTTACTCTTAATGCTTTATGTCTTACTTTTATAAAGAACAAGATATACACAATGCAATGCAGAATCAGGTTGTCATTTAAAATAAATTTGACTTTCTTGTTTTAAAATGTCAAAATAGTTCTCCTTTCTAATAGCTGTGTAATTTGGTCAGGTGTTCTCTATCCTACACAGCTTATAACGTGATGAAATACTTGCTGCCTTTGACCTTGTGCTGCAGTTGGCAGTTTACACATCTGTCTTCCCTCACAGGCTGTACATTCCTGGACTCCAGGATCGTAGCTCACTGATCTTCATGCCTCTCCATTCCACATGCTGTCTACTTCATGTCTGAGCCATGCCAGACTTTGGATCACCACTAATTAAAACATGAAAATTGCATTTTCTTCTTCAACACACCTTTTGCACACTTTATGATTCTTATCATTATTGTGAAAGAAGAAAAGTCTGTCCTGTGTGTACTCTGGTTGTCATCAAAGGTAGCAATTGTCACAAAAACAGAAGACACACACACATCTATTCTTTTAGAATCTACCGATAATTCCATATATAGTTGTGGTAAAAAAGGAACTGCATACAATTTTGGGCAAAAGATAGTATCTTTTCAACATTTTAGGATAGGGTAGGAATATAAACCAAGGAGTTAATTTTTAGTGACAAAAGTAGATACTAGTTCTAACCATTTTTGTTACAGAAGTGTTAGGGAATGGGGAAGGGGCATAGTTTTGTAGATGCTTTTCATGGAATTTTTTTTCCAACTATAGCTGTTTATTTTTTTAAAATTTTTTTCCATAGGGTATTGGGGAACAGGTGGTGTTTGGTTATGTGAGTAAGTTCTTTAGTGGTGATTTGTGAGATTTTGGTGCACTTATCACTCGAGCAGTATACACTGCATCCTATTTGTAGTTTTTTATCCTTCACCCGACTCCCATCCTTCTCTCCAAGTCCCCAAAGTCCATCATATCATTCTTCTGCCTTTGTGTCCTCATAGCTTAGCTCCCACATATCAGTGAGAACATACGATGTTTGGTTTTCCATTCCTAAGTTACTTCACTTAGAATAATAGTCTCCAATCTCGTCCAGGTCACTGTGAGTGCCATTAATTCATTCTCTTCTATGGCTGAGTAGTATTTCATCATATATGTGTGTGTGTGTGTGTGTGTATGTACATATATATATATATATATATATATATATGTACATACACACACACACACACACACACACACACACACACTACAGTTTCTTTATCCACTCGTTGATTTATGGGCATTTGGGTTGGTCCCATGATTTTGCAATTGCGAATTGTGCTGCTATAAACATGCATGTGCAGGTATCTTTTTTGTATAATGACTTCTTTTCCTCTGGGTAGATACCCAGTAGTGGGATTCCTGGATCAAATGGTAGTTCTACTTTTAGTTCTTTAAGGAATCTCCACACTGTTTTCCATAGTGGCTGTACATTCCTACCAGCAGCGTAGAAGTGTTCCCTGATCACCAAATCCATGGCAACATCTACTTTTTTGTTGAATTTTGATTTTTTTGATTATGTCCATTCTTTCAGGAGTAAGGTGGTATCACATTGTGGTTTTGATTTGCATTTCCCTGATCATTACTGATGTTGAGCATTTTTTCATCTGTTTGTTGGCCATTTGTATATCTTCTTTTGAGAATTGTCTATTCATGTCCTTAGCCCAATTTTTGATGGGATTGTTTGTTGTTTTCTTGCTGATTTGTTTGAATTTGTTGTAGATTCTGGATATTAGTCCTTTGTCAGATGTATAGATTCTCCCACTCTGTGGGTTTTCTGTTTATTCTGCTGTCTGTTCCTTTTGTTGTGTAAAGCTCTTTAGTTTAATTAGGTCTCAGCTATTTATCTTTGTTTTTATTGCATTTGCTTTTGGGTTCTTGGTCATGAAATCCTTGCCTAAGCCAGTGTCTGGAAGGGTTTTCCCAATGTTATCTTCTAGAATTTTTATAGTTCCAGATCTTAGATTTAAGTCCTTAATCCATCTTGAGTTGATTTTTGAATAAGGTGAGACATGAGGATCCAGTTTCATCCTCCTACATGTGGCTAGCCAATTATCCCAGCACCATTTGTTGAAAAGGGTGTCCTTTTCCCACTATTTTATTTTATTTTTGAGACAGAGTCCGGCTCTGTTGCCCAGGCTGGAGTGCAGTGGTGTGATCTTGGCTCACTGCAACCTCTGCCTCCTGGGTTCAAGTGATTCTCCTGCCTCAGCCTCCCAAGTAGCTGGGATTACAGGTGCCTGCCACCATGTATTTTAGTAGAGACAGGGTTTCACTATGTTGGCCAGGCTGGTCTTTAACTCTTGAGCTCAAGTGATCTGCCCGCCTCAGCCTCCCAAAGTGCTAGGATTACAGGCATGAGCCACCGTGCCTGGCCCTTTTCCCACTTTATGTTTTTGTTTGCTTTGTCAAAGATCAGTTGGCTTAAAGTATTTGGGCTTATTTCTGGGTTCTCTATTCTGTTTCATTGGTCTATGTGCCTATTTTTATTCCAGTACCATGCTGTTTTGGTGACCATGGTCTTATACTATAGTTTGAAATCAGGTAGTGTGATGCCTCCAGATTTGTTCTTTTTGTTTAGTCTTGCTTTGGCTATGTGGGGTTTTTTTTTTTTTTTTGGTTCTATGTGAATTTTATAATTTTAAAAAAATTCTGTGAAGAATGATGGTGGTATTTTGATGGGAATTGCATTGAATTTATAGATTGCTTTTGACAGTTTGGTCATTTTCACAATGTTGATTCTACCCATCCATAAGCATGGGATGTGTTTCCATTTGTTCATGTCATTTATGATTTATTTCAGCACTGTTTTATAGTTTTCCTTGTAGAGGGATTTCATTTCCTTTGTAAGGTATATTCCTAAGTATTTGATTTTTTTTTTTGCAGCTATCGTAAAAGGGGTTGAGTTCTTAATTTGATTCTTTACTTGGTCGCTGTTAGTGTATAGAAGAGTTACTGATTTGTGTACATTGATCTTGCATCCAGAAACTTTGCTAAATTCTTTTATTAGTTCTAGGAGCTTTCTGGAGGAGTCTTTAGGGTTTTCGAGGTAAATGATCATATCATCAGCAAACGGTGACAGTTTGAGTTCCTCTTTACTGATTTGGATGCCCTTTATTTCTTTTTTTTTTTTTTTTTTTTTTTTGAGACGGAGTCTCGCTCTGTCGCCCAGGCCGGACTGCGGACTGCAGTGGCGCAATCTCGGCTCACTGCAAGCTCCGCTTCCCGGGTTCACGCCATTCTCCTGCCTCAGCCTCCCGAGTAGCTGGGACTACAGGCGCCCGCCACCGCACCCGGCTAATTTTTTGTATTTTTTTAGTAGAGACGGGGTTTCACCTTGTTAGCCAGGATGGTCTCGATCTCCTGACCTCATGATCCACCCGCCTCGGCCTCCCAAAGTGCTGGGATTACAGGCGTGAGCCACCGCGCCCGGCCCGGATGCCCTTTATTTCTTTCTCTTGTCAGATTGCTCTGGCTAGAACTTCTAATACTATGTTGAAGAGGAGGGGTGAGAGTGGGCATCCTTGTCTTGTTCCTCGTTCTCAGAGGGAATGCTTTCAACTTTTTGCCATTCAGTATTATCTGGGCTGTGGGTTTGTCACAGATGGCTTTTATTACATTGAGGTGTGTCCCTTGTATGCTGATTTTGCTGAGAGTTGTAATCATAAAGGGATGCTGAATTTTGTTGAATGCTTTTTCTTCATCTTGAGATGATCATGTGATTTTTGTTTTTAATTCTGTTTATGTGGTGTATCACATTAATTGACTTGCATATATTCTGAATCCCTGCATCCCTGGTACAAAACCCACTTGATCATGGTGGATTATCTTTTTGATATGTCACTGGATTCAGTTATCTAGTATTCTGTTAAGGATTGTAGTGTCTAAGTTCATCAAGAATATTGGTCTGTAGTTTTTTTTTTTTTTTTTGCTTATATCATTTTCTGGTTTTAGTATTAGAGTGATGTTGGCTTCATAGAATGAATTAGGGAGGGTTCCTTCTTTCTCTATCTTTTGTAATAGTGTCAAAAGGATTGGTACCAATTCTTCTTTGAATGTCTGGTAGAATTCTACCGTGAATCCGTCTCGTCCTGGACTTTTCTTTTTGGCAATTTTTAAATTGCCATTTCAATCTCGCTGCTTGTTATTGGCCTGCTCAGGGTATCTAGTTCTTCCTGATTTAAGCTAGGAGGGTTGTATTTTTCCAAGAATTTATCCATCTCTTCCAGGTTTTCTAGTTTATGTGCATAATGGTGTTCATAGCAGCCTTGAATGATCTTTTTTATTTCTGTGGTGTCAGTTGTGATATCTCCCATTTTGTTTCTTATTGAGGTTATTTGGATTTTCTCTCTTCTTGGTTAATTTTGCTAATGGTCTATCAATTTTATTTATCTTTTCAAATAACTTTTTGTTTCATTTATCTTTTCTTTTGTTTTATTTCAATTTCATTTAGTTCTGCTCTGATCTTGGTTATTCCCTTTCTTCTGCTGGGTTTGGGTTTGGTTTATTCTTGTTTCTCTAGTTCCTTGGGGTGTGACTTTAGAAAGTCAGTTTGTGCTCTTTCAGTCTTTTCAATGTAGGCGTTTAGGGCTATGAACTTTCCTTTTAGCACTGCCTTTGCTGTATCCCAGAGGTTTTGATAGGTTGTGCCATTATTGTCATTCAATTCAAAGAATATTTAAATTTCCATCTTGATTTTGTTTGTGACCCAGTGATCATTCAGGAGCAGGTTATTTAATTTCCATGTATTTGCATGGTTTTGAAGGTTTCCTTTGGAGTTGATTTTCAGTTTTATTCCACTGTGGTCTGAGAGTGTTTGATCTAATTTCTATTTTCTTAAATTTATTGAGGTTCGCTTTGTGCCTATCATAAGGTCTATCTTGGAGAAACTTCTATGCACTGTTGAATAGAATGTGTATTCTCTGGTTGTTGGATGAAATGCTCTGTATATATCTGTTAAGTCCATTTGTTCCAAGGTATAATTTAAATCCATTGTCTCTTTGTTAACTTTCTGTCTTGATGACCTGTCTAGTGTTGTCAGTAAAGTATTGAAGTTCCCCACTATTATTGTGTTGCTTTCTATCTCATTTCTTAGGTCTATTAGTAATTGTTTTATAAATTTGGGAGCTCTAGTGTTAGGTGCATACATATTTAGGATTGTGATATTTTCCTGTTGGACAAGGCCTTTTACCATTATGTAATGTCCCTCTTTGTCTTTTTTAACTGCTCTTGCTTTATTTGTTTTGTCTGATACAAGAGTAGCTACCCCTGATTGCTTTTGGTGTCCATTTGCATGAAATGCCCTTTTCCACCCCTTTACTTTAAGTTTATGTGAGTCCTTTTGTGTTAGGTCTCTTGAAGGCAGCAGATAGTTGGTTGATGTGTTTTTATCCATTCTGCAGTTCTGTATCTTTTAAGTGGAGCATTTAGGCCATTTACATTCGATGTTAGTATTGAGATGTGAGGTACCATCGCATTCATCGTGCTGTTTGTTGCCTGTGTACCTTGGTTTTGTTGTTTTTGCTTTTTAAATTGTATTTTTGTTTTATAGGTCCTGTGAGATTTATGCTTTAAAGAGGTTCTGTTTTGATGTGTTTCCAGGATTTGTTTCAAGATTTAGAGCTCCTTTTAGCAGTTCTTGTAGTGCTGGCTTGGCAGTGGTGAATTCTCTCAGTATTTGTTTGTCTGAAAAAGACTGTATCTTTCCTTCATATATGATGCTTAGTTTTGCAAGATACACCATTCTTGGCTGATAATTGTTTTGTTTGAGGAGGTTGAAGATAGGGCCTTAATCCCTTCTAGCTTGTAGGGTTTCCCCTGAGAAATCTGCTGTTAATCTGATAGGTTTTCCTTTATAGGTTTCCTGGTGCTTTTGTCTCACAGCCGTCAAGATTCTTTCCTTTGTCTTAACTTAGATAACCTGATGACAATGTGCCTAGGCAATAATCTTCTTGCGATGAAATTCTCAAGTGTTCTTTGTTCTTCTTGTATTTAGATGTTGAGGTCTCTAGCAAGGCTGGGGAGGTTTTCCTTGATTATTCCCCCAAATGTATTTTTCAAACTTTTGGATTTCTCTTTTTCCCCTGGAAAAGTGATTACTCTTAGGTTTGGCTAACATAATCCCAGACTCCTTGGAGGCTTTGTTCATATTTTCTTATTCTTTTGTCTTTGTTGGATTGGGTTAATTCAAAGACCTTGTCTTCAAGCTCTGAATTTCTTTCTTCTACTTGTTCCATTCTATTGCTGAGACTTTCCAGAGCATTTTTCATTTCTGTAAGTGTGTCCAGTGTTTCCTGAAGTTTTGATTTTTTTAATGCTATTTATTTCTTTGAATATTTCTCCCTTCATTTCTTGTATCATTTTTGTATTTCCTTGCATTGGGTTTTGCCTTTCTCTGGTGCCTCCCTGATTAGCTGAATAACTAACCTCCTGAATTCTTTTTCAGGTAAATCTGGTATTTCTTATTGGTTTGGATCCATTGCTGGTGAGCTAGTGTGATTTTTTAGGGGGTGTTAAAGAACCTTGTTTTGTCATATTACCAGAGTTAGTTTTCTGGTTCCTTCTCATTTGGGTAGGCTCTGTCAGAGGGAAGGTCTAGGGCTCAAGGCTGTTGTTCAGATTCTTTTGTCCCATGGGGTGTTCCCTTGATGTTGTACCCTCCCCCTTTTCCTATGGATGTGGCTTCCTGAGAACCAAGCTGCAGTGATTGTTATCTGTCTTCTGGTTCTAGCCACCCAGCAAGTCTACCAGACTCTGGGCTGGTACTGGGGCTTGTCTGCACAGATTCCTGTGATGTGAACTGTCTATGGGTCTCTCAGCTGTGGATACCAATGCCTATTTCAGTGGAGGTGGCAGGAGGTGAAATGGACTCTGTGAGGGTTCTTAGCGTTGGTGGTTTAATGTTCTATTTGTGTGCCGGTTGGCCTCCTGCCAGGAGGTGGTGCTTTCCAGAGAGCATCATCTGTGATAGTATGGAGAGGAACTGGCAGTGGGCAGGGCCCTAGAACTCCCAAGAGTATATATTCTTTGTCTTCAGCTACCAGGGTGGGTAGTCAAGGACCATCAGGTTGGGGCAGGGCTAGGCATTTCTGATCTCAGACTCTTTTTGGGTGGGTCTTGCTGTGGCTGCTGTGGGGAATGGGGATGAGATTCTCAGGTCACTGGAGTTGTGTACCTAGGAGGATTATGGCTGCCTCTGCTGAGTCATGCAAATTGTCAGGGAAGTGGGGGAAAGCTGGCAGTCACAGGCCTAACCCAGCTCCCACGCAATCCAAAGGGCCAGTCTCACTTGTACAGTGCCCCTCTAACAGCACTGAGTCTGTTTCCAGGCAGTGGGCAAGCAGGGCTGAGAACTTGCCCCAGGCTACCTGCTTCCCAGCTGTGAAAGAAAAGGGCTTTAGTACTTCCCCCACCTGTGGAGTCTCCACACTGGATTTGTGCTGTCTCCTGAGTTCTGGCCTGGAGGCTTCTTGCCCAGTTCAAATTGTTACAAAGTTCAGCTGGAGACTTCCTTCTCCTTGTGGTTTTCCCCTTGCCTCTGGTCACCCTCCCAAAGGATCCCTGTGATACCAGGCAGGAATGGCCTGCTTTGGGACCCAGTGAGTTCACAGGGCCTTTCCTGCTGCTTCCTCTACCCCATGTATTTCACTCAGCTCTCTAAATTGACTCAGCTCCAGGTAAGTTTGGAAACTCCTCCTTCAAACTAGACCTTCAGTTTCCTCAGTGGGGGTGTGTGTTCAGGGGTGGAGGATCTCCCTTTCCCCCTTCCACAGTTTGGGCACTCAGAGTACTTGGGGTGTCTCCTGGGTCCTGCAGGAGCAGTCTACCTCCTTTAGAGGGTCTGTGGGTCCTTTTGGGACTCCTGGTTTATTCCTGCAGTCATTCTAGAGCTAAAATTCATGATGTGAGCCTCCACATGCTGCTCTGTCCATCCAAGTTGGAGCTGCAATCTAGTCCTGCCTCCCATCCACCATGATGATCCAGGAAATGTCTTCATGGAATTTGTATTGTTTTGATTTGCTTTAAGTTTAAAGGTTGACATTTTCTGATTGTTCCTAAGTTTGGTTGGGGACCCATTTTGTGTTCTCAGGGCCTCTGTTATGGACTAAATATTTGTCTCCCTCTGCCCTCCACTCAAACAATTCATATCATGAAGCTCTAACTCCCAATGTGATGGCATTTGGAGGTGGGGCTTTTGAGAGGTAATTGGGTTTAGCTGAGGTCACAGTCCCATCCCTCCTGATGGGATTAGCACCCCTATAAGAAGTGACCAGAGAGCTTGCTGTCTTTCTTTCCACCATGTGAAGACATAGCAAGAAGGAAGCTGTCTGCAAACCAGGAAGAGGGCCCTCATATATACTGTGATTTAGTCTGTTTTAAAAAACTTTTAAAGTTTTGTATGCTTAAAAGGAAATTGTTTATTGGAAGCAGAAACTGACACTTTAGTCTATATCACCCATAAGGGATGGAAAAAATGAATGAAGAACAAATAAAGCTATGTCTTTTATAATTGCATGATTTGAGGAGTTTTAGCCTTTAAATCAGGAAATAAGCACCCTTCCCTCCAGATTCTCAATTCTAAGACAGTGTTGGCTCCCTGATCTTGGACTTGTCAGCCTCCAGAACAGTGAGAAATAAATATCAGTTGTTTAAGCCACTTGATCTATGGTATTTTGTTATAACAGCCTGAGCTAACTAAGATAGCCTCTGTGTACTGACCAACTGGACACTAATTCTGGAATACGCTCAGAGTTAGCATTTGTTTCTTCTCACTATGAGAGTCTGTATCAGTTATCTGCTGCCACAATAAGCAACTACCCCAAAACTCTGTGGCTTAAAACAATGACCATTCACTTACCCACGAGTCTGCAGGTCAGAGACTGCTGGTCTGGGAAGTTCTGCTGATCTCAGTTGTTTTCACTCCCACGTCAGCTGACTGAAGCACCTGGGCCACCAGGTTTTCATGCTCCAGCAGGCTAACTCAGGCATGTTCTCATGGCAGTAGCTGAAGCACAGTAGCAAGAGTACTTTTTCAACCTTCTGCATATATCACATCTGCTAACATCCCATTAGCTAAAGCAAGTCACATGGCTGAACCTTGAGAAATGCAGTCAGCTGGCCAAGTAGCATTGATTCATAGGAGGTGAAGAACTGGGGCCATTAGTACAATTAATACATTTAACTCCTCTCAGTCACCATCACATGCCTCACACTGAAGAAAAACCTTGGTGGGACTCCATTGTGGAGGAATGGGGTTCATCTTCTGGGTCCTCTCAGAAATCCTGTGCAATGTGGTAGGAAGAACAGGAGACTGAAACCAGAAGACTTGGAAAGGAATCCAGACTTTCCTATATATTTGTGACTTTGGTCAACTTATTTCACCTCCATAAATCCTTCTGTAAAAGAAGGTTGATAACACTTACGATGATTAATTTTATGTGTTAACTTGACTGTGCCACAGGGTGCCCAGATTAAACATTATTTCTGGTGTGTCTGTGAGGGTGTTGCCAGATGAGATTAGCATTTGAGTCAGTGGACTCAGTAAAGTACATTGTCCTCCCCAATGTGGGTGGGCACCATCCAATCTGTTCAGGGCCTGAATAAGAACAAAAAAGGCGGAGGAAGGAGGAATTTGTCCCTTTTGTTTCCTGCCTGCTTGCTTGAGCTGGGACACTGGTCTTCTGCTCTTAGACTGGGATTTACACTATCATGTCTCCTGGTTCTTAGGTCTTCAGACTCAGACTGAAATTATACCACCAGCTTTCCTGGGTCTCCAGCTTGCAGATGGCAAATCACAGGACTTGTCAGCCTTTATGGTTATGTGAGCCAATTTTTCTTTCTTTCTTGTTTTTTGAGATGGAATATCGCTCTGTTGCCTGGGCTGGAGTGCAGTGGCATGATCTCAGCTCACTGCAACCTCCACCTCCTGCGTTCAAGCAGTTCTCCTGTCTCAGCCTCCTGAGCAACTGGGACTACAGGGACGCACCACCTCACCTGGCTAATTTTTGTATTTTTAGTAGAGACGGGGTTTCACCAGGCTGGTCTTGAACTCTTGGCCTCAAGTAATCCATCCATCTCAGCCTCCTAAAGTGCTGGGATTAAAGGTGTGAGTCACTGCACCCAGCGAGCCAACAGTTCATAATAGATCCCTTTCTCTCTCTCTCTCTCTTTCTCTCTCTCTCAGTGTGTGTGTGTGTGTGTGTGTGTGTGTGTGTGTGTGTGTGTGTGTGTGTGCATGCTCTCTCTTTCTCTGGAGAATCCTGACTAATATAGACTTTGGTACCAAGAGTGATTCTAGAGGAATAGAATGTTAAAGATGAGTTTTCTGATTTGGTTCTGAGTTTTCTTCAATTGGCTTTCTAATCTGATTAGACTTAAAGATACTAATGATCCTATTTCCAGTATAAAGAGAGACTGATAGTCCATGGCATTTATAGAGATGTGCAAAATATCTCTATTGAATACTCCTAACCAACCACTTAAAAGAAGCAAGGAGCTACGTGACTCTATATGATACTTTCAAACATTTTTGGAAAACTAAGGAATATAGTGCTGTTGGTTGGTTGTTCCTAATGTTCTTGGACAAAGGGGTGAAAGAAAAGGATGAGTTCAGGCGTTCAAATTCCTTCACTGATACATTATCTGTCCCACAGCATTTTGAGGATCAAATTTGGTAATTTAAATATGTATAGTGCTCTATAAGTACCAGCTCAATAAGTGTTTACTTTATGTCAAAGATAGGCTATTCTTTTATGTATACAAGCTGTAGAACCTCTCTTTTGTGTTTGCCTTTTACTGGGAAGCAGAAAATACTTCTCATTTATCAAATGGATGGCACAGCCATGGGTAATTTTGAGGCATATACCATATTCACATTATATGTGAAGGATGGCTCAGAAATAGTAATAAGTTCATATCATAGAGCACCCAGTATTATTAGAATTATACCAACCACCAAAGAAACACAATGTTTATGAAAGTATTTCCAATTTAATAATTTAAAATTCCTTTCCTTATTTATACTATCTCAATATAATTCACTCCAGCTGAGTTGTTGTCTGGTGATTCTTATTTATATTTTAAGGTCTGTATTAGGGACACAGATGGCAATGTCTTTTCACTTCATAGACAGGGCCTAGGACTAATCATTAGAAAAATTTAAACCTTATTAATTGCCCCAAAATGTAAGAGGCTCATTAAGAATAAGTGTGTTACATAATAAGTAAACACATTTTCCTCAATAATTTGCTTCAAATTCATTTAGAAAAAATAATCATGGATAGCTTTTTGAAGCTTTATTTTAGTGAAAGTGTGGTGGGACCATTGAAAACATTTGGTTATAGAGCTTAAAGATGAACATATTTTATCAGCCTCTTATAACAAGTTCTTTAATATAGTCTTGTCTGTATAATTTTGAAGCTAAAAGCAATGTCTAAATTTAAGTTGGTTTTTACTAGCATTGCAAACTCCATCTGTGACTAGTCTCAACAGCTGCCTTTCCTGTTCCTTCACTGGCATAAGACCATTAATCAGGTGGTAGGGGAAAATGGGAGGGCTGTGTGTTATTGTTGATTGTGTTTTGCAGCGAAACATGAGTTTAATGTTATAGAGAACATAAATTTATAATTGTTTCCTGTTAAAGAGTCTGAGAATAAGAAATGAGTTCTTTCCATTGTTCCTTTAATCCCATTTAAAGATTTCTTGATCCCCTCATATTTCTCTGAGATGTTAAGTAGAAATTGGCTTGTATTGTTGTCTGATCTAGTCTTTATTTAAAATTGAGATATCTTTTTTATCATAAGTTTCTCATTAATTTTTGCATTACTCTCACCATATGCAAAAATTAACTCAAGATGGATTTAAGACTTAAATATAAGATGTCAAACTATAAAAATCCTAGAATAAAACATAGAAAATACTCTTCTGGACATTGGTGTAGGCAAAGAATTTATGACTAAGTACTCAAAAGCAAATGCAACAAAAACAAAAATTGACAAAATTGACAATTGAGACCTAAGTAAACTAAAGAGCTTCTGCATACCAAAAGAAACTATCAACAGAGTGAACAGAAAACCTATAGAATGGGAGAAAATATTTGCAAACTATGTATCTGATAAAGGACTGATATCCAGAGTCTATACAGAACCTAAACAAATCAACAAGAAAAAACATAACTCCATTAAAAAGTGGGCAAAAGATATGAACAGGCACTTCTCAAAAGAAGACATATAAGAGGGCAACAAACATATGAAAAAATGCTCATCATCACTAATTATCAGAGAGATGCAAATCAAAACCACAATGAGATACCATCTCACACCTGTCAGAATGGGTTATTAAAAAGTCAAAAAACGATGGATGTTAGTGAGGTTGCTGAAAAAAGGGAGTGCTTGTACACCATTGGTAGGAATGTAAATTAGTTCAGCCACTGTGGAAAGCAGTTTGGAGATGTCTCAAACAACTAAAAATAGAACTACTATTCGACCTAGCAATATCATTACTGGGCTTATACCCAAAGGAAAAGAAATATTTCTACATAAAAGACACCTACACTTTTATGTTTATTGCAGTCCTATTCACAATAGCAAAGACATGGAATCAACCGAGGTGCCCATCAATAGTGTATTGGATAAAGAAAGTGTGGAATATATACGCCATGGAATACTTATGCAGCCATAGAAAGAACAGAATCATGTCCTTTGCAACAACATTGATGCAGCTGGAGGCCATTATCCTAAGCAAATTAACAGAGGGACAGAAAACCAAATACTGCATATTCTCACTGATAACTGGAAGCTAAACATTGGATACACATAGACATAAAGATGACAATAATAGGCACTGGGGACTACTAGAGGTGGGTAGAAGGGAGGGGGCAAATGTTGAAAAACTATCTATTGGGTACCATGTTCACTATTTGGGTGATGGGATCAATAGAAGCCCAAACCTCAGCATCACACAATTTACCTATGTAACAAACCTGCACATGTACCCCCCTGAATCTAAAATAATTTTTTTTTTGAGTTGAAGTCTCCCTCTATTGCCCAGGCTGGAGTGCAGTGGTGTGATCTCAGCTCCCTGCAACCTCCGCCTCCTGCGTTCAGGCGATTCTTGTACTTCAGCCTCCTGAGTAGCTGGGATTACAGTCAAGCGCCACCACGCCCTGCAAATTTTTCTATTTTTAGTAGAGATGGGGTTTCACCATCTTGGCCAGGCTGGTCTCGAACTCCTGGCCTCAAGTGATCTTCCTGCCTCCACTTCCCAAAGTGCTGTGATTACAGGCTTGAGCCATCACACCCAGCCTAAAATAAAATAAAAAAATTATTAAAAAAGTTGCATTAAAATGCTATTTATGTTGATTATTGAGTTTTTAGGTGTTCCCTTAAATTTTTCCCTTAAGGCAGATGCCTCACTCAACCTCACAGTAGTCTTGGTCCTGGACAGTTTTACAAATCACGATATACTGTTGAATTCCATACTCACTACCATTATAGCTTTTCAAAGAGACTCACAATATAGGAATTGATGTTGAGAAAGGAAATTGTAGTAGTTAGCTATTGTTCCATTACAAGACACTCCAAAACTCACTAGCTTAAAAAAATTATTTAGCTCACAATTCTGTAGGTTGGCAATGTAGATTGTGCTCAGCAGTTTGTTATCCTGGTCTCAGCTGGGCTCCCTCAGCTTTGTTTGTGGTTAGCTGTGAGTCAGGTAGGCAGCTTTGCAATCTTGGCTAGCAGGGTTAGGACTAAGGTGAAATAAGGAATTGGACTTTATCTTATAGGCAATAGAACTCTGAAAAGTTTTGTAGGGGGAAATAATAATGTTATTATTAGATTTGCCCAGGTTGGTCTTGAACTCCTGGGCTCAAGTGATCCTGTGGCCTCAGCCTCCCAAAGGGCTGGAATTATAGGTGTAAGCCACCATGTCTGGCCTCTTTTTGCTATTAATTGTTTTCTTTTCTGTGGAGAAGCCTTTTAGTTTGATGTAGTCTTACTTACCTAATTTTGCTTCTGTTGTCTGTGGTTTTGGTGTCATATCCATAAAATCATTTCTAAGTCTAATGTCGTGAAACGTCCCCTTATGTTTTCTTGTAGGAATTTTGTTGTTTCAGATTGTATGTTTAAGTCTTTAATCCATTTTGAATTGATTTTTGTGTATGCTGTAAGCTAAGCGTCCAATTTAATTTTTTTTTTTTGCATGTAGATATCCACGTTTTCCAACACCATTTGTTGAAGAAACTATTTTCCCCCCATCATGTGTTCTTTGGCCATCTTTACATAAAATCAATTGGCCACATATGCATGGATTTATTTCTGGGCTCTCGGTTCTATTCTATTCACCAGTATGTCTGTCTTTATGCCAGTACCATACTGTTTTAATTACTGTAGCTTTATCCATGAAATCAAGACATGTGTTGCCTCCAGCTTTGTCCTTCTTTTTTGAGATTGTTTAGGTTGTTCAGGGTCTTTTGTGGGTCTCTATAAATTTTATAATTTTTTCTATCTCTGTAAGAAGTATTATTTTGATTTTGATAGGAATTTCTTTGAATCTGCAGATGGCTTTGGGTAGTATGATAGACATCTTAAAAATATCGAATCTTCCAACCTGTGACCACAAAATGTGTTTCCATTTGTTTGTGTCTTCTCTAATTTCTTTTATCAATAATTTGTAGTTTTCAGTATGTAAGGCTTTCACCTCCTTATTTAAATTTATAATTAAGTATTCTATTCTCTTTGATGCTATTGTAAATGGGATTTTTTTCTTAAACTTTGGGGATATTTTGTTATTATAGTACAGAAGTACAACCAATTTTTGTTTGTTGATTTTATGCCTTGCAACTTACTAAATTCAATTATTAGTTGTAATAGTTTTGTGGAGTCTTTAGCGTTTTCTATACATAAGCAGGGATGCTACATTTTGGATGTGCCCCCCAAAGTTTATATGCTGGAAACTTGATCCCCAACACAACGGTGTTGGGAGGCGGAGCCTAATGGGAAGTATTTAGTTTATTAGAGATCCCCCTTCATGAATAGACTAATGCCTGTTGTAAAAGGGCTTGAAACTGCGAGTTTGACCTCTGACTATCCTTCATCTCTCTCTTTCTTTCTTTTTTTTTCTTTTCTTTCTTTATTTATTTGAGATAGGATTTCACTCTCGTCACCCAGGCTGAGTACAGTGCCATGACCATGGCTCACTGCAGCCTCAACTTCCCATGCCCAGGTGATTCTCCCACCTCAGTCTCCTGAGTGGCTAGTGCATACCACCATGCCTGGCTAAATTTTTTGTATTTTTAGTAGAGATGAGATTTTGCCATGTTACTGAGGCTGGTCTTGAACTCCTGGGCTTAAGAGATCCTCCTGCTTCCGCCTCCCAAAGTGCTGGGATTACAGGAGTGAGCTACCATGCCCAGCCACCTCTCACTTTCATTTGTGCTCCCTTCCACCTTCTGCCATGGGATAATGCGGTAAGAAGGCCCTTACCAGATGTGGGCCCCTCAGCCTTGGGCTTCCCAGCCTTTAGAACTGTAAGAAATAAATCTCTGCTTTGTATTAATTACCCAGTCTCAGGTATTCTGTTATAGTAGCACAAAATGGACTGAGACAAGGAACAATTTTATTTCTTTTCTTCTGATTTGGATCTTTTATCTTTTTCTTTCCTAGTTGCTCTAGCTAGACATCTAGAACATTGTTAAATAGAAGTGGCAATAGTTCATTTATTTGGTACCCTTTGGGATTCCTTTTCCCAATCTTAGTGAAAAAGCTTTCATTTTTTTCTCTGTTGAGTGTGATGTTAGCTGTGGGCTTGTCGTATATGGCCTTTATAATGTTGAAGTAATTTCCTTCTATTACTAATTTGTTGAGAGTTTTTTTTTTTTGAGTTGATGATTCAGAGCTATATTTTTGACATGGAAAAAAGAAATATATTAAGTTTAAAAACAAATTATAAAAGAGTTAATTTTGAAAAATTCCATTTTATTTATTTATTTATTTATTTATTGTTTTATTTTAACCAGGAAAGGATGTCAAGTTTTATCAAATGCTTTTTCTTGCATCTATTGAGATGATCTTATGGGTTTTGTTTGTCATTTTGTTAATGTGGTGTGTCACATTAATTGATTTGTATATGTTGAGCTATCCTGGCATCCTAGGGATAAATCTCACTTGGTCATGGTGTGTGATCCTTTTAATGCGCTGTTGAATTTGATTTGCTAGTATTTTGTTGAAGATTTCTTACTTATTTTCACAGGAATATTTGTGTGTAGTTTTCTTTTCTTGTGCTGTCTTTGTCTGGCTTTGGTATCAGGGTAATGCTGGCCTCATAAAATGAGTTTGGATGTATTTTCTCCTCTACAGTTTTTCTTTTTTTAGAAGAATTTGAGAAGGAATGGTGTTATTTCTTTAAATATTTGGTAGAATTCACCAGTAAAGTCATCTGGCGCTGGGCTTTTCTTTGAAGATTTTTGATTACTGATTGAATCTCTCTACTTGTTATAGGTCTGTTCAGACATTCTATTTCTTCATGATTCAGTCTTGGTAGGCTCTTTGTTTCTGGGAATTTATTTATTTCTTTTTAGTTATCCATTTTGTTGACATAATTGTTTATAGCAGATTCTTATGATATTTTTTATTTCTGTGTTTATAGTAGACTCATGATCTTTTTCATTTCTGTGGTATCAGTGGTAATATCTCTTCTGTAACTTATGATTTTATTTATTTAAGTATTTTTTTAATCAAGCTAGAGATTTCTCAATTTTATCTTTTCAAACAACCGTTAATTTCGCTGATTTTTTTCTGTTGTTTACCTGTTCTCTATGTTACTTATTTCTGCTCTAATCTTTATTATTTTCTTCCTTCTGCTAACCTTGAGATTGGTTTGTTTTTATTTCTAGTTCCTTGAGATATAAGGTTATGCTACTTGAGATCATTCTTCTTTTTTAATGTAGGTATTTATTGCTATAAACTTCCCTCTCATTACTGCTTTTCCTGTATCTTATAAGTTTTTATGTATTGTCTTGTTTTTATTTGTCCTAAGATGTTTTTTAACTGCTTTTTAACTTTTCTTTGACTCATAGGTTGTTTAAAAGTGTAGTGTTTAATTTCCACCTATTTGTGAATTTTCCAGTTTTTCTTCTGCTACTAATTTTCAGTTTCATTCCATTGTGGTCAGAAAAGTTATTTGGTATGATTTTGGTCTTTTAAATATTTTAAGTCTTGTTTTGTGACCTAGCATGTGAACTGTCCTGGAGAATGTTCCATGTGTAATTGAGAAGAATATATATTCTGTTGTTGATTGAAAATATATGTCTGTAAACAGAGAGCCAAATCATGAGTGAACTCCCATTCACAATTACTACAAAGAGAATAAAATACCTAGGAATCCAACTTACAAGGGATGTGAAGGACCTCTTCAAGGAGAACTACAAACCACTGCTCAATGAAATAAAAGAGGACACAAACAAATGGAAGAACATTCCATGCTCATGGATAGGAAGAATCAATATCGTTAAAATGGCCACACTGCCCAAGATAATTTATAGATTCAATGCCATCCCCATCAAGCTACCAATGACTTTCTTCACAGAATTGGAAAAAACTACTTTAAAGTTCATATGGAACCAAAAAGAGCCTGCATTGCCAAGACAATCCTAAGCAAAAAGAACAAAGCTGGAGGCATCACGCTACCTAACTTCAAACTGTACTGCAAGGCTACAGTAACCAAAACAGCATGGTACTGGTACCAAAACAGAGATGTAGACCAATGGAACAGAACAGAGGCCTCAGAAATAATACCACACATCTACAACCATCTGATCTTTGACAAACCTGACAAAAACAAGCAATGGGGAAAGGATTCCCTATTTAATAAATGGTGTTGGGAAAACTGGCTAGCCATATGTAGAAAGCTGAAACTGGATCCCTTCCTTACACCTTACACAAAAATTAATTCAAGACGGATTAAAGACTTAAATGTCAGACCTAAAACCATAAAAACCCTAGAAGAAAACCTAGGCAATACCATTCAGGACATAGGCATGGGCAAGGACTTCATGGCTAAAACACAAAAAGCAATGGCAACAAAAGCCAAAATTGAGCAATGGAATCTAATTAAACTAAAGAGCTTCTGCACAGCAAAAGAAACTGCCATCAGAGTGAACAGGCAACCTATAGAATGGGAGAAAATTTTTGCAATCTATCCATCTGACAAAGGGCTAATATCCAGAATCTACAAAGAACTTAAACAAATTTACAAGAAAAAAACAAACAACCCCATCAAAAAGTGGGCAAAGGATGTGAACAGACACTTCTCAAAAGAAGGCATTTATGCAGCCAATAGACACATGAAAAAATGCTCATCATCACTGGTCATCAGAGAAATGCAAATCAAAACCACAATGAGATACCATCTCACACCAGTTAGAATGGCGATCATTAAAAAGTCAGGAAACAACAAGTGCTGGAGAGGATGTGGAGAAATAGGAACACTTTTACACTGTTGGTGGGTCTGTAAAGTAGTTCAACCATTGTGGAAGTCAGTGTGGCAATTCCTCAGGGATCTAGAACTAGAAATACCATTTGACCTAGCAATCCCATTCCTGGGTATATACCCAAAGGATTATAAATCATGCTGCTATCAAGACACATGCACACGTATGTTTATTGTGGCACTATTCACAATAGCAAAGACTTGGAACCAACCCAAATGTCCATCAACGATAGACTGGATTAAGGAAATGTGGCACATATACACCATGGAATACTATGCAGCCATAAAAAAGGATGAGTTCATGCCCTTTGTAGGGACATGGATGAAGCTGGAAACCATCATTCTGAGTGAAGTATCACAAGGACGGAAAACCAAACACCGCATGTTCTCACTCTTAGGTGGGAATTGAACAATGACAACACTTGGACACAGGGTAGGGAACATCACACACCAGAACCTGTCATGGGGTAGGGGGAGTGGGGAGGGATAGCATTAGGAAATATACCTAATGTAAATGACGAGTTAATGGGTGTTGCACACCAACATGGCACATGTATACATATGTAACAAACCTGCTCGTTGTGCACATGTACCCTAGAACTTAAAGTATAATAATAAAAAAAGATTCTAAAATGTATAATTACCCAAACATTAAAAAAAAAAGATTCTTTCTTTTCCTTCAGCAGCTTATTATGATATATCTAGGTGTGGATTTCTTTGACTTTTTTCCTAATTGGAGTTAGTTGAGTTTCTTGGATATGTAACTTAATCATTTTCATCAAATATAATAAATTTTTCCAACTATTAAAAAAAAGAAAATATATGTCTTTTAGGTCTATTTGGTCTATGTTGTTATTTACTTCCGCTCTTATCTTGTTGATTCTCTATCATGTTGACTTATCCATTATTTAAAGCGGGATATTGAAGTCTGTTAGTATTATTGTTTTGCTGTCTATTTCTTGCTTTGTTTCTGTCAATGTTTGTTTTATATATTTAGGGGCTCTTTGTTGAGTACCTATATATTTATAATTATTTTATCTTCCTGATCGATTAACACTTTTATCATTATATAATGTCCTTCTTTGTCTCTTGTGACAGTTTTTTTACTTAGGGTTCATTTTGTCTGATATAATGGTAGCCACCCCTGTTCCGTTTGGTTACCATTTATGCAAAATACTTTTTTCCATCCCTTAACTTCCATCCTATGTGTGTCTTTAAATCTAAAGTGAGTCTTTTATAGACAGCATAAATTTGGATTAAAAAAACCACTTAATCAGTTTATGTCTTTGAATTGGGGAGTTTAATTCACTTGCATTTGAAGTAATTATTCAGAAGGAAGTATTTACTATTTTCATTTTTTCAACTGTTTTCTGTTTATCTTGTAGTTTTTTTCATTCTTTGTCTTGCTGTATTCCTTTGTGTTTCATTTTTTTTTGTGTGTGTGTGTTGATATACTTTGATTCTTTTCTTTTCTTCTTTGGTGTAACTTTTATAGGTGTTTTCTTTGTGTTTACTATCGGGCTTCCACAATATATCATATAGTTATCATAGTCTATTTTAAACTGATAACAAGTTAACTTCACTTGCATATAAAACTCTACAGTTTTACCACTCCCCTCCACATTATATGTTATTGATGTTATAATTTATATTTATCTATGTCATATATTCATTTATGTAATTTTAACTGTCTTATTTTGTAGTACTTTTGTCTTTTATGTCAAGATTAAAAGTAATTTACTTACCACCATTAAAATAATAGAGAATTCTGCATTTGTTTACATATTTATTTCTACCAACGAGTTTTGTATTAATACTTTCTTATGCCATTGTGTTGCTGTTTAACATTCTGTTATTTCAACTCAAAGGGCTCTTTTTAGCATTTATTGTGGGCAGGTTTAGTGGTGAATAATTCCTTCAGCTTGTTTCTCTGGAAAAGTGTCTCTTCTTCATTTTTGAAAGACAATTTTGCGAGACATGGTATTCCTGATCAGCAGATTTTTGTTGTTGTTGTTTTGTTTTAGCACTTTGAATATATCATCCCACTCCCATCTGACTTGCAAGATTTCTCCTGAAAAATCTACTTATAGCCCTGTGTAAGTTCTTTTGTATGTGACAAGACACTTTTGCCATTTTCAAAATTCTCGTTGTTTTTGACTTTTGATTATTTGATTATAATGTGTTTTCAGTGTAGATTTCTTTGAGTTCATTTATTTGATATCCTTTGGGATTCCTGGATCTGGCGTCTATTGCCTTCCAGAGACCTGGAAAGTTTTCAGCCATTACTGTCATTATGATGTTTTGGTCAATGACGAACTGCATATATGACAGTGGTCCCGTTAAATTATGAAGGAGCTGAAAATTCCTATTATCTAGTGACATTAGCCATTGTAACATCTTAGTCCAACATATTACTCACATTTTTGTGGTAATGCTGGTGTAAACAAACCTACTGCATTGTCAGTTATATAAAAGTATAGCAAATACAATTATGTTATTATGATAATAAATGACCATGTTACTGGTTTGTGTATTTACTATAGTATACTTTTAATCATTATTTTAGAGTGCAATCCTTCTACTTATTAAAAAAAGTTAACTATAAAACAGCTTCAGGTAGGTCCAGAAGTATTCTAAAGAAGGCATTGTTACCATAGATGACAGCCTCATGCATGCTATTGCCTCTGAAGACCTTCCAGTGGGACAAGATGTACAGGTGGAAGACAGTGATACTGATGATCCTGACCCTGTGTAGGGATAGGCTAATGTTAGTGTTCATGTCTCATTATTTAACAAAAATTTTAAAAAGCAAAAAAGGTGTAAATAGAAAAAAAACTTATAGGGAAAGAAAATAGTTTTGTACACCTGTACAGTGTGTTTGAAGCTAAGTGTTATTAAAGGAGTAAATTTATTTTTAATTAAAAAGTTTGGGCCGGGCACGGTGGCTCACACCTGTAATCCCAGCATTTTGGGAGGCTGAGGTGGGCGGATCACCTGAGGTCAGGAGTTCGAGACCAGCCTGGCAAACACGGTGAAACCCTGTCTCTACTAAAATTACAAAAAAATTAGCTGGGAGTGGTGGTGGGTGCCTGTAATCCCAGCTACTCTGGGGCTGAAGCAGGAGAATTGCTTGAACTTGAGAGGTGGAGGTTGCAGTGAGCTGAGATTGCACCATTGCACTCCTGCCTGGGCAAGAAGAGTGAAATTCCATCTCAAAAAAAAAAAATTATAAAGTTTGTAAAGAAGAAAATTAACAGTGAGCTAGGGTTAATTTATTATTGAAGAGAGATAATTTTTAAATAAATTTAGCGTAGCCTAAGTATGCAGTGTTGATAAAGTCTACAGTAGTGTATGTTAATGTCCTAGACCTTCATATTCACTCACCACTCACTCATTGACTCACTTGGAAGAACTGCCAGTCCTGAAAGCTCCATTCATGGTAAGTGCCCTATACAAGTGCACCATTTTTTAATCCTTTATACTGTATTTTATGGTACCTCTTCTATGTTCAGATGTGTTTAGATATACAAATAGTTACTATTGTGTTACAATTGCCTACAGTATTTAGTAGAATAACATATTATACAGGTTTATAGCCTAAGAGCAATAAGCTATACCATAAAATCTAAGTATATAGTAGGCTATACCATTATACTATTTAGGTTTGTGTAAATTCATTCTATGATGTTTGCATAGCAAAATCCCCTAACAACACATTTCTCAGAACATATTCCCATCAGTAAATGACATACAACTGTACAAACATTAACACAAAATGGATCATAGTTCTAAATATAACTGCTAAAACTATAAAACCCAAAAAGAGGAAATCTTCATGCCTTTGAGTTAGGCAATGATTTCTTACCTATAATACCAACATCACAAGTGACAGAAGAAAATATAGGTAGATGAGACTTTATCACAATTTTGAATGTTTGGGTTTCAAAAGGACACAGTTAAGAAAATAAAAAGACAACCAACAAAATGAGAGAGAATGTTTGCACATATATATCTGGTAAGGAATGTGTATCTAGAATATTTAAGAAATCCTTGAAACTTAATAATAAAAGAGAAATAACCTAATTAAAAATAGAAAAAGAAGCTTTTATCCCAAAGAAGATATTAAGATGGCTAATAATTACATGAAAAGATGCTTAGCCTCACTAGTTATTAGGGAAGTACAAATCAAACCACAATGAGATACCACTTCATACTCACTAGAATGGCTAAAATATAAAATATAGGCAGTAACAAGTTTATAGAGGATATGGAGAAATTGAGACCCTCAGTGAATGCTGGTGGGGCTGTAAAATGGTACATCCACTCTGCCAAACAGTTTGACAGTTTTTCAAAAACATTAAACCTAGAGTATGACCTAGAAACCCCACTTCTAGATATATACACAAGATAATTGAAAACATATGTAAACATAAAAACTTATATAGCAGCATAATGGATAAAAAGTGAAAAACAAGCTCAAAGATACATTAACTAATGAGTGAAAGGACAAAATGTGTAGTATCTATACAATGAAGTGTTATTTGGCAATAAAAAGCAACAAACTACTGATACATGCTACGACATGGATGAACTTTGAAAACATTTTGCTAACTGAAGGAATCCAGTCACAAAAGGCCACATATTGTATAATGTCATCCATGTACAATGTCCAGAATAAGCAAATTCATAGGTACAAAAAGTAGATTAGTGATTGCTTAAGACTGGGGGTAGGGGAAAATGGAGTGTCCTTGCTTGGTGGTGGGTACAGAGTTTCTTTTGGGGTAATAAAAATATGCTTAAATTATATAGTAGTAATGGTTGCACAACTATGAATATACTAAAAAACACTTTACAATATTATGGCATGTGAATTTTATTTTATGTAAATTTATCTCAAAGCTGTTATTAAAAAGAAAGGACAAAAAAGGTAATCAATAATACTAATAAAAATAACACTACAATATGTCCCACAAATACTAAAAAAAAATAAGATGTTTCAAAAAAATTTATGAAAATAAATTTGAAAATTTTGATGACATGAGCAAACTCCCAGGGAAAAATTTTTTATTTTTAAATTTTTTATTGTACTTTAAGTTCTAGGGTACACGTGCACAACATGCAGGTTTGTTACATAGGCATACATGTGCCATGTTGGTGTGCAACACCCATTAACTTGTCATTTACATTAGGTATATTTCCTAATGCTATCCCTCCCCACTCCCCCCACCCCATGACAGGCCCCAGTGTGTAATGTTCCCCACCTTGTGTCCAAGTGTTGTCATTGTTCAATTCCCACCTATGAGTGAGAACATGCGGTGTTTGGTTTTCCGTCCTTGTGATACTTCGCTCAGAATGATGGTTTCCAGCTTCATCCATGTCCCTACAAAGGGCATGAACTCATCCTTTTTTATGGCTGCATAGTATTCCATGGTGTATATGTGCCACATTTTCTTAATTCAGTCTATCATTGATGGACATTTGGGTTGGTTCCAAGTCTTTGCTATTGTGAATAGTGCAGCAATAAACATGTGTGCATGTGTCTTGATAGCAGCATGATTTATAATCCTTTGGGTATATACCCAGTAATGGGATGGCTGTGTCAAATGGTATTTCTAGTTCTAGATCCTTGAGGAATCACCACACTGTCTTCCACAATGGTTGAACTACTTTACAGACCCACCAACAGTGTAAAAGTGTTCCTATTTCTCCACATCCTCTCCAGCACCTGTTGTTTGCTGACTTTTTAATGATCGCCATTCTAACTGGTGTGAGATGGTATCTCATTGTGGTTTTGATTTGCATTTCTCTGATGACCAGTGATGATGAGCATTTTTTCATGTGTCTATTGGCTGCATAAATGTCTTCTTTTGAGAAGTGTCTGTTCATATCCTTTGCCCACTTTTTGATGGGGTTGTTTGTTTTTTTTCTTGTAAATTTGTTTAAGTTCTTTGTAGATTCTGGATATTAGCCCTTTGTCAGATGGATAGATTGCAAAAATTTTCTCCCATTCTATAGGTTGCCTGTTCACTCTGATGGTAGTTTCTTTTGCTGTGCAGAAGCTCTTTAGTTTAATTAGATCCCATTGCTCAATTTTGGCTTTTGTTGCCATTGCTTTTTGTGTTTTAGCCATGAAGTCCTTGCCCATGCCTATGTCCTGAATGGTATTGCCTAGGTTTTCTTCTAGGGTTTTTATAGTTTTAGGTCTGACATTTAAGTCTTTAATCCATCTTGAATTAATTTTTGTGTAAGGTGTAAGGAAGGGATCCAGTTTCAGCTTTCTACATATGGCTAGCCAGTTTTCCCAACACCATTTATTAAATAGGGAATCCTTTCCCCATTTCTTGTTTTTGTCAGATTTGTCAAAGATTGGATGGTTGTAGATGTGTGGTATTATTTCTGAGGCCTCTATTCTGTTCCATTGGTCTATATCTCTGTTTTGGTACCAGTACCATGCTGTTTTGGTTACTGTAGCCTTGCAGTATAGTTTGAAGTCAGGTAGCGTGATGCCTCCAGCTTTGTTCTTTTTGCTTAGGATTGTCTTGGCAATGCGGGCTTTTTTTGGTTCCATATGAACTTTAAAGTAGTTTTTTCCAATTCTGTGAAGAAAGTCATTGGTAGCTTGATGGGGATGGCATTGAATCTATAAATTATCTTGGGCAGTATGGCCATTTTCACGATATTGATTCTTCCTATCCATGAGCATGGAATATTCTTCCATTTGTTTGTGTCCTCTTTTATTTCATTGAGCAGTGGTTTGTAGTTCTCCTTGAAGAGGTCCTTCACATCCCTTGTAAGTTGGATTCCTAGGTATTTTATTCTCTTTGTAGTAATTGTGAATGGGAGTTCACTCATGATTTGGCTCTCTGTTTGTCTGTTACTGGTGTGTAAGAATGCTTGTGATTTTTGTACCCTGATTTTGTATCCTGAGCCTTTGCTGAAGTTGCTTATTAGCTTAAGGAGACTTTGGGCTGAGCTGATGGGGTTTTCTAAATATACAATCATGTCATCTGCAAATAGGAACAATTTGACTTCCTCTTTTCCTAATTGAATACCCTGTATTTCTTTGTCCTGCCCATTGCCCTGGCCAGAATTTCCAACACTATGTTGAATAGGAGTGGTGAGAGGGGGCATCCCTGTCTTGTGCCAGTTTTCAAAGGGAATGCTTCCAGTTTTTGCCCATTCAGTATGATATTGGGTGTGGGTTTGTCACAAATAGCTCTTAGTATTTTGAGATACGTCCCGTCAATACCTAATTTATTGAGAGTTTTTAGCATGAAGGACTGTTGAATTTTGTCAAAGGCCTTTTCTGCATCTTTTGAGATAATCATGTGATTTTTGTCTTTGGTTCTGTTTGTATGATGGATTACATTTATTGATTTGCGTATGTTGAACCAACCTTGCATCCCAGGGATGAAGTCCACTTGATCATGGTGGATAAGCTTTTTGATGTGCTGCTGGATTCGGTTTGCCAGTATTTTATTGAGGATTTTTGCATCAATGTTCTTCAGGGATATTGGTCTAAAATTCTTTTTTTGTTTTGTCTCCACCAGGCCTTGGTATCAGGATGATGCTGGCCTCATAAAATGAGTTAGGGAGGATTCCCTCTTTTTCTATTGATTGGAATATTTTCAGAAGGAATGGTACCAGCTCCTCCTTGTACCTCTGGTAGAATTCAACTGTGAATCCATCTGGTCCTGGACTTTTTTTGGTTGATAGGCTATTAATTACTGCCTCAATTTCAGAGCCTGTTATTGATCTATTCAGGGATTCAACTTCTTCCTGGTTTAGTCTTGGGAGGGTGTAGGTGCCCAGGAATTTATCCATTTCTTCTAGATTTTCTAGTTTATTTGGGTAGAGATGTTTATAGTATTCTCTGATAGTAGTTTGTATTTCTGTGAGATCTGTGGTGATATCCCCTTTATCATTTTTTATTGCATCTATTTGATTCTCCTCTCTTTTCTTCTTTATTAGTCTTGCTAGCGATCTGTCAGTTTTGTTTATCTTTTCAAAAAACCAGCTCCTGGATTCATTGATTTTTTGAAGGGTTTTTTGTGTCTCTATCTCCTTCAGTTCTGCTCTGATCTTAGTTATTTCTTGCCTTCTGCTGCTTTTGAATGTGTTTGCTCTTGCTTCTCTAGTTCTTTTAATTGTGATGTTAGGGTGTCAATTTTAGATCTTTCCTGCTTTCTCTTGTGGGCATTTAGTTTCTATAAATTTCCCTCTACACACTGCTTTGAATGTGTCCCAGAGATTCTGGTATGTTGTGTCTTTGTTCTTATTGGTTTCAAAGAGCACTTTCTTTCTGCCTTCATTTCGTTATGTACCCAGTAGTCATTCAGGAACAGGTTGTTCAGTTTCCACGTAGTTGAGTGGTTTTGAGTGAGTTTCTTAATCCTGAGTTCTAGTTTGATTGCACTGTGGCCTGAGAGACAGTTTGTTATAATTTCTGTTCTTTTACATTTGCTGAGGAGTGCTTTACTTCCAACTATGTGGTCAGTTTTGGAATTAGTGCGATGTAGTGCTGAGAAGAATGTATATTCTGTTGATTTGGGGTGGAGAGTTCTGTAGATGTCTATTTGGTCCACTTGGTGCAGAGCTGAGTTCAATTCCTGGATAACCCTGTTAACTTTCTTTCTCGTGGATCTGTCTAATGTTGACAGTGGGGTGTTAAAATCTCCCATTATTATTGTGTGGGAGTCTAAGTCTCTTTGTAGGTCTCTAAGGACTTGCTTTATGAATCTGGGTACTCCTGTATTGGGTGCATATATATTTAGGATAGTTAGCTGTTCTTGTTGAATTGATCCCTTTACCATTATGTAGCAGTCTTCCTTGTCTCTTTTGATCTTTGTTGGTTTAAAGTCTCTTTTATCAGAGACTAGGATTGCAATCCCTGCTTTTTTTTGTCTTCCATTTGCTTGGTAGATCTTCTTCCATCCCTTTATTCTGAGTTTATGTGTGTCTCTGCATGTGAGATGGGTCTCCTGAATACAGCACACTGATGGGTCTTGACTCTATCCAATTTGCCAGTCTTTGTCTTTTAATTGGGGCATTTAGCCCATTTACATTCAAGGTTAATATTGTTATGTGTGAATTTGATCCTGTCATTATGATGTTAGCTGGTTATTTTGCTCGTTAGTTGATGCAGTTTCTTCCTAGCATCGATGATCTTTACAATTTGGCATGTTTTTGCAGTGGCTGGTACTGGTTGTTCCTTTCCATGTTTAGTGCTTCCTTCAAGAGCTCTTGTAAGGCAGGCCTGGTGGTGATAAAATCTCTCAGCATTTGCTTGTCTGTAAAGGATTTTATTTCTCCTTCACTTATGAAGCTTAGTTTGGCTGGATATGAAATTCTGGATTGAAAATATTGGCCCCCACTCTCTTCTGGCTTGTAGAGTTTCTGCCGAGTGATCTGCTGTTAGTCTGATGGGCTTCCCTTTGTGGGTAACTTGACCTTTCTCTCTGCCTGCCCTTAACATTTTTTCCTTCATTTCAGCTTTGGTGAATCTGACAGTTATGTGTCTTGGAGTTGCTCTTCTCAAGGATTATCTTTGTGGTGTTCTTTGTATTTCCTGAATTTGAATGTTGGCCTGCCTTGCTAGGTTGGGGAAGTTCTCCTGGATAATATCCTGAGGAGTGTTTTCCAACCTGGTTCCATTCTCCCCATCACTTTCAGGTACACCAATCAGACGTAGATTTGGTCTTTTCACATAGTCCCATATTTCTTGGAGGATTTGTTCATTTCTTTTTACTCTTTTTTCTCTAAACTTTTCTTCTCACTTCCTTTCATTCATTTGATCTTCAGTCACTGATACTCTTTCTTCCAGTTGATCGAATCGGCCACTGAAGCTTGTGCACGCATCACGTAGTTCTCGTGCCATGGTTTTCAGCTCCATCAGGTCATTTAAGGTCTTCTCTATGCTCTTTATGCTAGTTAGCCATTTGTCTAATCTTTTTTCAAGGTTTTTAGCTTCTTTGCATTGGGTTCGAACATCCTCCTTTAGCTCAGAGGAGTTTGTTATTACCGATCTTCTGAAGCCTTCTTCTCTCAACTTGTCAAAGTCATTCTCCGTCCACCTTTGTTCCATTGCTGGCGAGGAGCTGCATTCCTTTGGAGGAGAAGAAGCGCTCTGATTTTTAGAATTTTCAGCTCTTCTGATCTGGTTTCTCCCCATCTTTGTGGTTTTATCTACCTTTGGTCTTTTATGATGGTGAAGTACAGATGGGGTTTTGGTGTGGATGTCCTTTCTGTTTGTTAGTTTTCCTTCTAACAGTCAGGACCCTCAGCTGCAGGTCTGTTGGAGTCTGCTGGAGGTCCACTCCAGATCCTGTTTGCCTGGGTATCACCACAGAGGCTGCAGAACCGCAAATATTACAGAATGGCAAATGATGCTGCCTGATCATTTCTCTGGAAGCTTCGTCTCAGAGGGGCACCCGGCCGTATGAGGTGTCAGTCGGCCCCTACTGGGAGGTGCCTCCCAGTTAGCCTACTTGGGGGTCAGGGACCTACTTCAGGAGGCAGTCTGTCTGTTCTCAGATCTCAAACTCCATGCTGGGAGAACAACTACTCTCTTCAAAGCTCAGTTGGAAATGCAGAAATCACCCGTCTTCTGCGTCGTTCAGGCTGGGAGCTGTAGACTGTAGCTGTTCCTATTCGGCCATCTTGGAACCTCCCCCAGAAAAGATTTTTTACCGAGAGTGATACGTGAGGAAATCTGAATAGATATATAATGTTTTAAAATTTTTATATTTATAACTTTTATATTTATAATTTATAAAAATTGCATTTTCTAAAACCTAAGTACAGTGTATATATAATACGTATATTAAAATGTATATTTATATGTATAATAATTATATATTATATATATTTTTGTACAATTATATAATTTTATATTTATATGTATAACTTTACTTCCTCATTAAAGATAATTTTGCAGCCAGGTGCAGTGGCTCATGCCTGTAATCCCAGCCCTTTGGGAGGCTGAGGCGGGCAGATCACAAGGTCAGGAGATCGAGACCATGCTGGCTAACACGGTGAAACCCCGTCTCTACTAAAATACAAAAAAAAAAATTAGCTGGGCGTGGTGGCAGGCCCCTGTAGTCCCAGCTACTCGGGAGGCTGAGACAGGAGAATGGCATGAACCCAGGAGGTGGAGCTTGCAATGAGCCGAGATGGCGCTACTGCACTCTAGCCTGGATGACAGAGCGAGACTCCATCTCTAAAAAAAAAAAATAATAATAATTTTGCAAATTTAAGTTAATATATAAGAAAAAATGTTGCAAGTTTATGTTTTCTTTTTCAGAAAATAAAAGAGGAAATATTTTTCATCTCATTTTAGGCCCACTGAACCTTGATACCAAAACTTAATAAAGACATTGTAAAAAAGAAAAATGATAAGCCAATATCATTAATAAACATAAATGCACAAATTTGAAAACAATATCTTAAGCAATATATAAAACTGATAACTGAGTAGGAATTTTCCAGAATGTAAAACTTAGTATTTAATGTTGCTAAAGCAACATTTAAAAAAATCAGTAGTAAAATAAGGAAAATAAAATTATATAGTCAGTAGATGTGAATGAAGCAATGTATCTACTTTAAAAAACATTAATAGCAAGCATACTCTTAGCAAACTGGGAATAAAAGGGAATTTTCTTGTGATAAAATGTGTCTAATAAAAAAGCTACAGCAAACATCTTACTTAATGGTGAAATGTCAGATGCTTTCCCTCTGAGATTAGAAACAAAACAATAATGTCTGCTCTCATCACTTCTAATAAACACTGTACTTAGGTTTTAGAAAATTCAAGGAGGCAAAACAAACATAATAAAACTTATAAAGGTAGGACAAGAAAAATAAAATTATTACTTACAGATAATATGATGTATATTTAGAAAACTCAAGTAACTTACAGGTAAATTATTGAATTAATAAATAAGTGTAGCAGAGTTACTAAACACAGGATTACTGTAGAAAAAACAAATGTATATATAGCAGTGCAATGGTTTATTTTATGCCCAACTTGACTGGGCCACAGAGTGGCCAGATATTTGGTTAAACATTATTCTGGATAATGAGGGTTTCTGGATGAGATTAACATTTGAGCCAGTAGATTGAGAAAAGCAGATTCTCCTTCCTAATACGAGTGGGCCTCAACCAATCCATTGAAAGCCTGCATAGAAGAAAAAGGTTAAGTGAAAGAGAATTCTCTCATTTTGTTTGATTGTCTTTGAGCTGGGACTTTGGTCTTCTCTGCCTCTAGACTTGGATTGAGACTAAAATTTACAAAATTGGCTCTCCTTGGTCTCTAGCCCGCCAACTGCAGATCTTGGGGCTTCTCAGCCTTCATAATCATGTGAGCCAATTGCATATAATACATCTTTCTTCTATCTCTCTCTCTCTCCCCCCCATCCCCGACCCCCCTCACAGAAAGTTGGCAGGGCCCTGCATTTGCTAGTCCCCAGGGGCTATACAGAACAAAGCAAGCAGTGATTTTGAACAGGTATCAGGGCACTTCCCATAGCTCCTCCCCCTGGCTTATTCAGGCAATAAAACCTATAAAACCAAGCTTCTGGCTTCTCAGTAGAAAGAGCTCGATCACACAACTAGCACCCCAAATTTCCTGGCTAATATCCAGGGACTGGCTTCTAACTTGCCTGTCTCTGGGAGCTGATGGGACTTGGTATCTGTTAGTTCCCTGAAGGCTACAGAGACCAAACAGTAGTTTGAAAAAGTGTGTGGTTTTAATACCTGTGTGGGAAGTTGCCACAGTGGCTCTCTCACCTCAGTGCAGAGCAAGTGGGCAATAAACTCCAGCCCCCAACTTACCTTGTGGTGCAAAAAAGTGGACCACAGATTTAGCTTCCCAACTTTTTTGACTGCTGCTTAAGGAACTGGCTTCTATTTTGTTTGTCTTGGGTGCTGATGGGAAATGGCATTCTCTAGATTTCTAGGGGCTGCTAAGAACAAAGGACAGCAGTTTGAACCAGCATAAAGGCTTGAGAGGCACCCAGAATATCTGGCCAAGCTGATTAGTGAGGGTTTTCTATACAATACCAGTCTTTGAAGTCTAGGAAAGGTGGTTATTTTCTCTAATGCACAGGCCAACGCAGTTGTGGAAAATGAATAAATAAGAAAATGTATTCCAAATAAAAGTAAAGATACATCTTCAGAAATTGACTCTAATGAAATGGAAGTATGTGATTTACTAAACAGAGAATTCAAAATAACAGTCGTAACAATACTCATTGAGGTCAGGGGGCCATAGCATGAACAAAGTTATAATTTCAACAAAGAAATATAAAATATTTTAAAAGTACTAAATAGGAATTATAGAACTGAAGAATACAATAACTAAACTGAAAAATTAAATAGAAGGGTTCAACAGAAGACTAAATCAAACATAAGAAAGAATCAGGAAAAAAAGCCAGGTCATTGGAAATCATCCATTTAGAGGAGCAAAAATTAAGAAAAAAGAGTGAAGATAGCTTAAAGGAGTATGGGACAACAATATGTGCATTATGAGAGTTACAAAAGGAGAAGAGAAAGAGAAGGGGACTAAAAGCTTATTCAAAGAAATACAATCATGTACTGGTTAACTAGGGGGATATGTTCTAAGAAATGTGTCATCAGGTGATTTTGTCATTGTGCAAGCATCACAGAGTGAATTTACACAAACCTAGATGGGACAACCTACTACACACCTAGGCTATATGGTATAGCCCATTGTTTCTAGGCTACAAACCTGTACAGCATGTTACTGTACTGAATACTATAGGCAATTGTAACATAATGGTAAGTATTTGTGTACCTAAACATGTCTAAACATAGAAAAGATATCGTATAAATAAAATATAAAATACAAAAGTGGTACACTGGTATAGGCACTTACCATGAATGGACCTTGCAAGACTGGAAGTTGTTCTGGATGAGTCAGTGAGTAAGTAGTGAGTAAATGTGAAGGCATGGGGCATTACTGTATACTACTGTAGACTTTATAAACTGTACATTTAGGCTATGCTAAATTTATAAAAAATAATTTCCTTTCTTTAATAATAAATTAACCTTAGCATACTATAACTTTACAAACTTTAATTTTTAAAACTTTTTGACTCTTCTGTAATACCGCTTCAAACACAAACACATTGTACAGCTGTACAAAAATATTTTCTTTCTTTATATCATTATTCTACAAGATTTTTCTCTATTTAATTTGTTTTCTTTTTTACTTTTTAAACTTTTTTGTTAAAAATTAAGATACAAACACACATGTTATCCTAGGCCTACGCAGGGTCAGGATCATCAGGACAGCACTAGATGATAGGAATTTTTCAACTCCGTTATAATGTTATGTGACCACCATTGCATATATGGTCTGTTGTTGACTGCACCATTATTCTGTGGCACATGACTGTATGTGATGTGAGGGAGGGACTGAACTTCATACTTTTGCATGTGTATATCCAGTTGTCCAGGCATCATTTCTTGAAAAGAATATTCATTTTTCCATTGCATTTTCCTGGTGTGCTGGTAAATCAGTTTACCAGAAACTAAGGGTTTATTTATGGACTCTTAATGCTATTCCATTTATTTATATATCTAGACTTATGCTATATTTAGTCTTATGCTATTACCAAACTGTCTTGGTATTGTAACTTTGTAGTAGGTTTGAAACTGAGAAGGGTGTGTTCTCCAACTTTGTCCTTGTTTCTTAAAGATTGTTTGGTTATTCTGGGTTACTTGCATTTGCATATGGATTTTAGAATCAGCTTTTACATTTTTGCAAAAAAAGCCAGCTAGGATTTCAATAGAGATTTTGTTCAATCTATAGATCAGTTTGAGTGGTATTGCCATCTTAATAATATTACACCTTCCAATACATGATCATGGGAGATCTTTCTACTTATTTAGGTCTTTAATTTTTTTCAATAATGTTTCATAGTTTTTAGTGTAGAAGTTTTGCATTCCTCATCAAGCTTATTTCTAACTATTTTATTTTTCTTGATGTTGTAAAAGGACGTTTTACTTAATTTAATTTTCAGAGTGTTCATAGGTAGTTTACAGAAATACAATTGATTTTTGTGTATTAATCTGTTATCCTGAAACCTTGTTGATCTTGCAAGAATTTTTAGTCAATTTTATTAGACTTTTTCTGAAAACAGTTTTTTGTTTTGTTGATTCATTATTGTACCTTCTACAGTTATTTCACTAATTTCTTCTATTAATTGTTTTCTTCTTTCTGCTTTTTTTCAGGCTTTATTTTTCTAAAATTTGAAATAAATGCTTAGATCACTGATTTTTAGCATTTTCCCTTTCTTGTATACATTTAAAGCTACAAATACCTCTGAAATTTTTGACTGAATTTAAAATTTTTAAAAGTATAATATTTTTATTAGTATTCAGTTCAAATATTTACTACTATGATTTTTTTCTTTAACATATAGTTATAGTGTATTTTTAAATTTCTGAAGATAGTTGATTTCATTTATCTTTCGCTTGTTGATTTGTAGGTTAATTACATTGTGATCCTGGACATAAAATTTTATATAATTTTAATCTTTTGAAATTTGCTAAGATTTCTTTTGTGGCCTAAGTTATAATCAATTTTCACAAATATACTATACACAGTTGAAAGGAATGTGTATTCTATAGCTGTTGAGTGCAGTGTTCTACATGTGTTCAGCAAATTATATTTTTTTATCATGTTGTTCAAGTTACATTATTAATGATTTTTTCCCTTCGCTTAACTTATAGATTAATGAGAAAATTTGTCATAATCTCCGAATGTGATTGTGGATTTGTCTATTTCTACTTAGAGTTCTATTACTTTTAGCACTCTCTCTCTCTCTCTCTCTCTCTATATATATATATATATATACACGCACATATATATATATATATTTTTGAGATGTAGTCTTGCTCTGTCACCGAGGCTGGGGTGCAGTGGCATGATCTCTGCTCACTGCAACCTCTGCCTCCCAAGTTCAACTGATTCTCCTGCCTCAGCCTCCTGTGTAGTTGGGATTACAGGTGTGCACCACCACGACTGGCTAAATTTTGTATTTCTAGTAGAGATGGGATTTTGCCATGTTGGCCAGGTTGGCCTCAAACTCCTGATCTCAAACGATCTGCCCTCCTCGGCCTCCCATAGTGCTGGGATTACAGGCATGAGCCACTGTTCCCACCCATGGCTTCATGTTTTTAAACTATTTTGGAAAATTGCCACAATGTTTCTTCCAATATTGCTTTTGCCTCATTCACTATGTCAAAGAGGATGTAATTTTCATGAGTAACTCATATTCTTTGGACATAGTCTTCCTATAGGACCAGAATTATGGAGATCTATTCTACATTGTGGTGGATATTTTTCTTTATTAGTATTTAGAGAATGTTCTTTTTCTTTATATATGTATATATACATGTTGTATAGTATTCAGTGGCACAAATGTTGCCATAATTTGTTTAAAAGGCTCTCTGTTAATGAAATCAAAAAATTATTTTCTCAAAAAATGTTAAACTCACTTGTATATGTTAATGAAAATTTATAAACAAAACTACACATCAATTTCTTGGAATATATTTCTCCCTTGCATTTGCATTTTTTACTTCTCCTTGATAAGTCATGCCCATCTTTTATGACTAAGCTTAAATACAAAGCCCTAACAAACTCCCTCAAAAAGATTTACTCTCTTTTTCACTGCTTTTACGCATCCCTCTTTCAGAAGTTATTGCAATCGGTTGTGATCTTTTGTTTGTATGTCTATATTTTTCTTCACAATGTGAATATCTTATGATCAAGGGTCATGCCTGAGTTATTTTTGTCTGCCAATTGCTAGTGAGATTTTTTTTTTCTCTTCCCTCTTGCAGGATTTCGTTTTCTAGCCTAGTGAGATTTTTGGAGCCAGTAAACACTCAGTAAAGGCTGAATAAATAAATAAATAAGTTTTCCCTTAGAGATCTTCTTCATGCCTTCCTAACCCCCATACTATGTGCATTAATTATATCAATTACCTTAACTGTTCCATTACTGATTGCTGAAATGACTCATAAGACTCAAATCATTTATACTCTTCGAACACTTTTATTACAAGCAAAGGATACAGGACAACAATATCAGGAAAAGAATATGTATTTAAAATGTCAGGAGATTTCTTATCTAAGTTTCTTTGTCCTTCTGTTGCTGGGTCGAATAAAACATGCTTTGTTTCCAGGTCACAAACCACCACCACTGTGTGTGCAAAGCATCTCATTACTAGGAAGCTCAAAGACTGCTCCAGGTCCAGTTCTTTTATGCTGAGATGGCCATAGAGGCACATTATAGTTAAGTGACTAGATTTAACTGTTAAACCTGCCTAGTTCCACCAAAGCCAAGTACAAGCCATAAATCTAAGATGATTACTAAAAAAACTCAGACAGTCTGCTGCATTCTGTTGCAAAACAACTCATAGGCAAACAGCTGTAAAACATCATTTGTCTTTAGCTGATATGACATAGTGTGGAACAAGGGTCACCAGTATGTGCCAGTAAGACTTGGAATAAGCATTCCAGAACAGCTGAGATTATTTTTAAAAACTGATGAAAAGGATAATGTCAGGACAGTTTTCTTCAGTTCTTAGAGCACCAAAGATTCTTTTAAACTCAAAACGTGTGAAATATCAGTCCTTTTTTTAAACAGAAACCACATATAAATCCCAAATATATTTTTAAAAACCCTACAAGAATACAGTAGCAATATGGGCAAAGTGTATGAAAAGGCACCTTAAAAAGCAAGAAGCCCAAGTGGACAATCGCTAATGAAAATATGTTCAACTTCATTAGTTCCCAGGGAATTGAAAAGTAAAACAGGAAGGTACCATTTTAAATTATCAGATCAGTAAAATACAATTAATATGAGATGTAAGTCTTTAGATGGGCTAAACATAACTTCCTTGAAAAGAAATCCAGCCAAACTTTGAAATATATTTTTGGGAAATAACTACTTATTCTTGAAATCATAGCTAGCCACTGTCCATCTTCAGACTAACTGTTGTTTGGTGGCTTAGAGGAGAATAATTCAGAACCAAGAGTAAGTTAAAATTTAATTTGACCAACTCTCAAATACTATTTAGTTATGGCCTCCTTGTAACTATTACCCTCCCTTAGACCTCACTTCAGGCCTTACCAAATTACAGAATCTTAGGAGTGCGAGGGGCCTTAATTTATCTCAGGCTTACTTCCTTTTAATTGTGATATTTATACTCACTTTAATGCTATTACTGGAAAGAAGATCTGTCTCATTTCCATTCAAAAACTTTCTCAAAATTTTCTCAAAGCCCTCCTATTTCAGTATATTTTAATACTCAGCTATATAGTCCCCCTTTCATTCTATCATGCATAGTGCCTGGCATAGAGTAGGTGTTTAACAAATATTTGCTAAATGAATCAAGGAGTGTGCAAGTAATTGTCATGCCAGATAAAATTCAGCTCTTTGCCACTGTTGAATTTCCAACTTCTTCTTCCAAACTGTTAAACATTGCTAGAGGACATAATCCAACTGAGCTGATATGGCCCTTTCCAAATTTGTGCTATTAAATCCAGCTGTGCCCTCATTGATATTGAATCATCTTTTTAGTCATGTCTTGTTGCCTTTCTAGAACACTCACTGTAATAGTTTATTCCAAGTACTTTAACTCATTGAAACCCTAGTCCCACCCTGGGCTTCTTACTCTCTCTGGGAAAGGTTGTCAGGGAAAGGAAAGGTTGTTGAGAAAGTTGTCACTAGCAGCACTACTGACTTCCTGCCTTGTTGGGTGGTTACACGTAGTTATGAGTGATTGGGTGGTTACGTACATGTCTTATTTTGTCTTCTGATTATAAACTTCCTGAGGCCAGGATTCATCTTTTACTACCTTTTTCTCAGCCTGCATCATAACCCATTAAACACAGAACCGTGGTTTTCTAATAAATTGAGGTGCTCTGTTCTGATTATTGCTATATAACAAAGCTCCCCAAAGTAAGTGGCATAAAACAGCAACTACTTCATTATCTGTGTGTCAGGAATTTAGAAAGGATACAGTGAGTATGATTTACCTCTGTTCCATGGTATCTGGGGGTCTTAACTGGGATGACGGGGGAGCTGGAATTATTGGAAGACTAATTTACTCACATGTCTGGTGGATGGGAAAAGAGGAACAAAGACAAATACTGTAGACTAGAGCACCTGTATATGGCTTCTCCATGTGTGTTGGCTTTCTCATAGGATGGCAGACTCAAAGTCTTTGGACTTACTGAGTAGTGATAGTTTGAGGCTTTGAGCATGAGTGTTCCAGTGAGCAAAGTAGAAGCTGTATTTTCTTTTATATGCTAACCTCTATCCTAGCTTTCATATCTGCTGAACTTTATTGGTTGAAATGGTCACAAATCTCACCCATATGTAAGAGGGAAAGGCAATTGACCCTACCTTTTAAAGAGAGAAATACCAAAAATAAAATTGCAAGAAGAGCATGCAGGGTGGTAGGTATGGTTGCAGCCACCTGAGAAAAATACAATCTGCCATATTATCTTCCACATTTTTTCTTTGTCATTTCCAAAAATCCCTTTTAGTCCTCTACAAATCTCAAAGGCAAGGCTAATGCCTCCATCTCTACCCTCATCTCTTATTGGCCCTTGTTTCTTCAATGAAACAAACAATCAATCAAGAAGCAAGCCTCAGAGCCAAAGCCATACCCTTATCCCTATATTCACCCTCCTATTGGCTCTTGTTTCATCAATGCTGCCTCTTTGGTGCTTTTCTTTTTTCACTTGCCCATATTTCTTTTTGCCTGAAACATGCCCATTATCAATTATCATAAAGCTTACCCTCCTTCAATTCTTTCACTGATACTACTTTCCCTTTAAATTACTTTCCTGTAATTTTCTTTCTCATCCAAACATATCCCTGTGTCTTATTGACACATCATTTACTTGTTTTTTAACCTCCTGCACTCTGGCTTCTTTCCCTTCTACTTCCCCTGAAATTCCTCTGAAACCTATTAATATAATCCTAATTATCATAGAGTCTTTTCGAAGTTCTCATGCCCTGCAAAATCTCTGCATCGTTTTGTACTAATGCCATATGTATATCTATATAATTGATCTAATTAATCTGAACTACTCTGAACAGGCTTTATTTTTTCCTGACCCTGCTCTAGTGCTTAAGATATTCTCCTCACCAAAAATTCCCTCCCATAATCTACATCTTTGAAGTTTTTCTAATCCTTTAAGGCATGGCTCAAAATGCCTCTTCCTCTACAATACCTTTCTTAACTGCCCAGTCTCTGCTTTCTGACTTTCTTTAGAATCCATTGCCTCTGATTTATTGAAAAGAACATTAGGCATAAAATGTTAGAATCCTTTTGATTATGTCATTGTATGACCTTGGACAAGACAGTGTATCTGGGCCTCAATTTTTCTCATTACACAAATCTTAATTTGAATGATTTACAAATATTATACAAGTTGGTTATAAAAAATAAAATAAAAAAGTTTACTCAAGTAAAATTTTTTACTCCTCCCCAATTCCACTTCTGTTAATAATTTACTTTGGATTCTTAAAGATATTTCTGTACTCACATAATGCATACCTACAAACACATAGGCATACAAGTGCGTAAACATTCACACATTTTACCTATAATTAGGAGAATATGTAATACTATAAAACAACTTTTGAGACTTTTTATGGGAAGCATTATATATTACAGGCTTCTCTCATTTTTATGGTTTTATTGCTTTAAATTTGCACACATTGATTTTTTTGATATACAGTTTTGAGTTTAAGCACATATATGGATTTGTGTATGCATATATTGTATATGTGCACCAACACATATGCAGAATAAAGAACATTTATATGACTTCAAAAATTCCCTTGTGCTACCCTTTTGTATTAAGAACCTTTCCCCACCTGTAACCTCTGGCCCTTTTCAGTCATATGAATGGAATCATACATTATGTAACATTTGGAAACTGGATTCTTTTACTCAGTATGATTGTGTCTACATAGGAAATCTCAAGGAATCTGCTAAAAGTCTGCATACATGAATTTAACAACACTACAGGATACAAGGTCAACATAAAAATGTCAGTTATATTTTTATGTACTAGCAATAGGGATTTGGAAAATAAAGTAAAAATATAATTTTTCAATAGTTACATTAAAAATGATATACTTAGGGGTAAACCTAGCATCCTTGCCAGCTCTTTGAAATTAGGTTGTTTGCTTCTTCTTGTTGATTATCTTTTTCCTTGCAAATTGTTGAGATTTTTCTCAGTTCTTTTGTCAAGTAATCTGGATTGCATCATTGACGTTTTGATTGTTATAAGACTCTATGTCTTGTTTGAATCCTATGGAGAATGTTGCTTTTTGCTTGCTTGTTTTGGTAGGCATATTAGTTATCTGCTGCTGCATAACAAATTATGCCAAACCCCAGGAGCTTAACACAGCAAACATTATCTCACAGCTTCAGAGGGTCAGAAAGCTAAGAGTGACTTAGCTCAGTGCTTCTGGCTTAGGATATCTCATGATGCTGCAATCAAAGCTTGACCGGATTTTGAGGATCCACTTCCAAGCTCACTCATGTGGAGGTTGACAGGAGACTTCAGTTCTGCACCACCCATGTGGGCCTCTCTGTAGGGCTGGTCATGACATAACTTCCCCTAGATAGAGTGATCAAGACAGAGTGAACCCAATTCTGAAGCCACAGTCTTGTAACCTCGAAAGAGACAAGCAGTCACTTCTGCCCTACTCTATTGGCCATGTAGACCAATCTTGGTACAGTATGTGAGGAGAGGGTGTGAATACCAGGATGTGGGGTCATTGGGGGCCATCTTGGAGGCTGGCCACCTCATAAGGTATTTAAACTTATTATGTTTAAGTTGCATGTTCCTACCTGCTTTCTGTGGACTGTGTTTTCAAAGCTTTTGGAAAATTATTCAAATCCGTACTGTGTGTGTGCGCCACCCAGTAGGCAATCTGGGACCTAAGTGGTGTTCTATCCCATAGTTCAGCTCTCGAGCTAGTGTATTGTTTAGGATCATTTCCATGCATGCACACTTCAAGGGTGAGCCCAGAATTTAATGACAGATATATAGGATCCTTTGTTTGAGTGGCTTCTTCTATTTAATCTCCCCAACACTCTCTGCATCCAGGAGAGCCTCTTTCTGGTCCTTTGGGGGTGTATATATATATACACCCATCTCGAATTTTCTTGAATACAAAAGTATGAAGTGGATCTTTTGCCAAAGAGGAGTTCTCCTTCTTAGAGTTGCATGTGCCTATTGGTCAAAACTGCCATCATCCAGCTGCTTTGCATTCTACCAGCTTTCTGTGGACTTTGTTTTTCTGTGGACTATAGCTTGCTTGGAGTCTTGGTTAGGAAAGAGAAAAAGAAAGAAGGAGAAACAGAGGGAGAAAAAGAGGGAGGGAGGAGGGAAAGAAGAAAGGGAGGAAAGAAGGAAGGAAGGAATGCAGGGCATTTCTCTCATTTTCTGTGTCCTGTAAAGGGACCCATTTCTCACTCCTCAGATCAGAAAGAGAGGGCTTCTTTTGGAGCACCTGATCTGTGGTGAGTCCACAGCTCTGGGGTTTAGGTTGCTTTTCAGTCTAGGCTTGAAGATAAGGAAAGAAAAACAAAAAATGAAAAACTCAGGAAGTTTACCGCTAGATTGTTCATAATTTGAGTTTTTCTTTCTCAATCTATTACCAGTGGCAAGTCTGACCCATCTTCAGCAAACTCAACTCTTGCCTCCTTGGGGGAAAGAATTCAGCTGAGGAGCATAAAGTAGAGTGAGAGACCAAGGCAAGTTTTAGAGCAGGAGTGAAAGTTTCTTAAAAAGTTTTAGAGCAAGAATGAAAGGCAGCAAAGTACATGTGGAAGAGGGCCAAGCAGGCAACTGGAGCAATCTAAGTGCCCTGTTCGGCCCTTGACTTTGGATTTTATACATTGGCATGGTTCTGGGGTTTTCATTTCTCCTTGATTTTTTCTTGAGGTGGGCTGTCTGCATGTGTGGTAGCCTGCCAGCACTTGGGAGGGGCCGCATGCACAGTGTGTTTACTGAAGTTGTGTGCATGCTCACCTGAGGTGTTTTTCCCTTACCAGTGAAGCGTTCCCGGAGGAAGGGTCCCTGCCATTTTGCCTCTTAGTGTGCATGCTTGAGCCCACTTGCTCATCTCCTGAGACCTTATCAGGAAGCTGCTGATCACCAGTTCTAGGTGTTGTCTATCTATTGGGAGACTGTCATTCTTTGGTGCCAGCTGTGACCAATTATGATTTTAGAACGAGAGTTTAACAACCACCTGACCATCATCACCTGACATTCCTAGAGGAAGGGGTCCTCTCCTGTCCTGCTCATGAATGCCTAACTAGCCAAGAAATCTACCTGCTACCATTTACTTTTCAGTTTTCAGATAATTTTTCCATTCGTTTTGTCTAGCATTTTAATGGCATTCAGTATAGGGTTGCCAGGTAAAATATAAGACATCCTATATAATTTTTTAGTATAAGTTTATTTTAAATATTGCATGAGAAATATTTAAACTAAAAATTATTGCTTACCTGAAAATCACATTTAACTAAGCATCCTGTATTTTATTTGATACATTTGGCAATCCTAATTCAATGGAAGATGAGGTGGAGTGTGCTTACTCCATTTTCCCGAGAACAAGAACTTTACCTCATTATTTTAACAGTGCCTACCATTCTGTTTTATGGAAGTACAAAATGTATTTAGCCACTTTGCTATTGATATTTAGGCAGTTTTCTGTTTCCTCCTCTTTTAAATAATGCCACAGTGACATTCATTTATATTTATCTTTGCACACTTTTAGTCTCAGTTTTTTAAAATCTATGCCAAATAGAGAAGTGCAACTGCCTATCTCAAAGGGTTGTTGTGAGAATCAAATGATATGATGAGTGTGAATATGCTTAGTAAGCTGTTAAAGACTACAGAAAGTATTTCTCAGCACTTGTCTTGTGAGTGATGGACTTATAAGTGTACATGTTTAGTTTCCCTAGTGATTAAAAAAAATCCCTTGAGTGGATAGATTTTGTCTTATCTAGCTTTGTAATCAATTCTACTGAGTTTTGTAATAGTACTTTGCTTTTAGATGACTCCAAATAAATAATAGTCAAAAAAGAGAATTAAACTTGCCTACATTTGCCCTCATCTTCTAACATTTCCTTATCTCTTAGATATAGCTCATTAATTATGCTTATCTTGGTTCCCTTTCTAAAATCACCTATTTGTTTTAATTGATTTGTTTTAAAAATCATTGATCTTTAATTTTTTTTACATGTACCTTTAAGAAGTTCCCAGGTGATTCTGGTGACTCAGCCAGGCCCAGGATCCCTGATCTAATGCACTGTCTCAGTAATGCAGGTATTGACATTCCTTCTACTGAGTCACTAACTGGGGGAGATCTGACCTTGCCTCAGCACAGCCAGGATTCTTGTGGTTGCAAGTGACAGACAACTCAACTTAAATTAGCTTAAGCCATAAATGTGGGTACACATGGCTGAAAAATCCAGAGGTAGCACTAGTTTGATCTAACATCTCAAATGATATCACTGAAGTGATGCAGCTGCTTTAGATCTCCCTTCTGGATTGCAAAATTCTACAGCAGTCCTAAAACTTACATCTTCAAATCACACACTCCAGGAAAAGAAAGTCTCTTTAAATGGTTCCTATAGAAGAGAGAAGAATTTTCTCCTTCCCAGAAGTTCTAGCAAACATTTCATTGTCCTGCCTCCTAATGAAATCACTATGGTCAGGGACTGAATAGGCTGATTGGTTTAAGTTTGTGAAGGCCACCCCATGGTGTGTGAGAGAGAAGCAGAAAGAGTTAGGGGAGCCAGACAGTGCCAAACGTTCTCTTACAGCAGCCTTCCATGTTTTAGTCTTATTTCAAACATTCACTGAAAGGATCTTTTTTTAAAAATTTTTTTACTCATTTCCATTACTTTCTCTGTGTCAATACCAAATCCACTCACTAGAAGCCTGATTAATGGTAGATTCTGTTTAATGAAAATGTTTTTCTAAGGGTCAAGTAATTTCTTTTCAGACACATGTGAATTATAATTAATCATTTTTAAAAAGAGGCAAATCTCCTTAACTATCTCCATTGAAAATCTCTTGTAGTTACACAACTTTGCATTTAATACAAAATGAAAATACCAACTTCCTTATCCAAAGGCTGGTTTAACATATGGTTGCAGGTGGGTTCTCACTTTTAAACCGAATTTAATTATAGTGATTTGTCTGGGTAACAATTATACTAACTGAATGGAAGAGGATCACGCTTTTCGTTAAAATGCAGAATCATTGGGGAACTGAAAGCAGCCACCGTGGATGGGGGCAGACAAAAAAAAAAAAAAAATCAGACTTAAGAAAGTCCATCAGCCAAGAAGATGAAACAAATATGTTTTCTTACTCCTTGGATCTCTTACCACTGTCTTTAAAACATAATTAACTGCAAACAAATAAACAAGCAGCAGCAGTAGCAGGGATTTGCAGACCAAGGAGGGGGAAACGTTCCACTACGTAAGCGGTTCCCCTGGCTCAGCCATAGGGAAAATGAGCCCCTGATAGGAAAATTTATGCCGATTAAAAGCAGGGGAGTTTTAAGGCTAACCCCTGACTTTTCCCTTCATCTATTTTTTTTTTTTTTTTTTTTTTTTTGAGACGGAGTCTCGCTCTGTCGCCCAGGCTGGACTGCAGTGTCGCGATCTTGGCTCACTGCAGGCTCCGCCCCACGGGGTTCCCGCCATTCTCCTGCCTCAGCCTCCCGAGTAGCTGGGACTACAGGCCCCCGCCATCTCGCCCGGCTAATTTTTTGTATTTTTAGTAGAGACGGGGTTTCATCGTGTTAGCCAGGATGGTCTCGATCTCCTGACCTCGTGATCTGCCCGCCTAGGCCTCCCAAAGTGCTGGGATTACAGGTGTGAGCCACCGCGCCCGGCCCATCTAATTTTAATTGTTCCTCAGATCCATTAGATCACTTAAGGTGGCAGCCCAACACCCTCTGTTTATAAACAGAAAATGTCACTTGATCTGACAAAGAGCAGGCAAGTATGGGTAAATCAGCCCTTCTTAGGACGCATTCACAGAACCATACTGGACAGTAACTCTTGTTTCCAATGGAAGGTAGGCTAAATAGCTTCCAGGTTATTGCTCTCTGGTTACTGAGCAACCATGAGGTCTTTGCCAGTCCTCTCCCCACAAAATTAATCTCCTTGCATAATATCCAGTGGTCCGACCGTCTTGTCCCTCTGTTCCTCTCTTGTCCATTCCATTTTCTGAGGCCCCTCTTCCACCTGCCGTCCAGTCTCCCCAGTGCCCACCTCTCATGTCTGCTCTCCTCCCCCGTCCTCTCATTCTCTCACTTCTTCATCTCACCTCTTCTAACCCTCTGCAACTTTCTCGTTCCCTTCCTGCCCATCTTCTTATGATCACAATCGTGTCTGAACCTTGGCAAAGAGAACGCTCTGAAAAACATTAATGACTCCTATGGAAACAGCTGGTTCCTCTGAGTTGGAAATGAATATGGGGGCTGTGAATGGTGCTTGTTGTGAAAGAAGCAAGCAGAAGGAAAGAGTTCAAATAGAAAATCTTCCGTCTTCCTTGGCATCCTCCTGAATTACTGTCTCATTTCTTTGATCTCTCTTGTTTACCAAAAATGTAGCTAAGAGATTTATGATAGGTATGTGCTAAAACTCCCTCTGAAGTGGAAAATTTTCAATGAGTGTTGTTATTAGTCTTTTGGTTTCCACCTTTAATGTGAGGGTTGGAAGGGCTTATTGAAATGAAAATGTAAATTAATCCAAACATCAAATTGGTTGGACCCACTTATAGCATTTTTATTGTTTATCAGATAATTAATTAGGTCTACTTCTTAATCTGAAGTTTCTGTCACTTTTCCATTTTTTTCTGCTCCCCCTCTCTGTCAACATTTTACCGATTATATTAATCATGGTTCCAGTAGGAAATAAATGACACCCTCAAATTAGAAAAATGGGAGAAGAGTTTAATGAAGAGACTGTTTACAAAGGTGTGGGAAAGTGTTGGGGAACCACGGTGGATGGTGCAGGAGCTAGGGGCATGCAGGTGCAATAGGAGGGAACAATTATTAGAACTATTAGGGAGAGAGTCAGGTAGAAAGGACATCTGTTTTAGGCAATGTGATTTTTGGTCGAGGGGTGCAGCTTGCTTCTTAATCTTTTTCTCTCCTGATCTTCCACTATGTCCCCTCATTGGCTGAAACCCAACCAGAAGCTGGAGAATAAGAGAGCCCATTGATGTAGATCATACAAGTCAGTCTCTCCAGGGCAGAGATTAGGTTGGAAAATCAGGGACAGTGGATCTGGAGGAGTCAACAGAAAAGATATGAATCATTTTATAAAAAGAGGCAAATCTCCTTCACTATCTCCATTGAAAATCTCTTAGAGTTACATACCTTTGCATTTAATACAAAGTAAAAATACCTAAGACCTGCAGGCACATCTTTTGTGAGAGGAAGGCAAACCGGAAATAAAGAGAATAGTACAGAACGTTTATGTAAATTTATCGGGATAACATTTTATGAGTTAGGAGCCAATCTGAGATAGAAATACAAGATTCTTTGGTCTTGGTCTTTGATTTTAATTTTAGGCCTACATAATTTTTGGAAGCATTTTCATACCAGTGGGTACCCAAATCTTAGAAATATATGCCAATATGTTAGGTCCATCTAAAAATACTACATGGCAGGGGGGTGCCTAAATGTACTCATAGTTAGATGTTTTATGTGTCAGCACTGAATAATTTTAATAAATGAATACAAGTACTTCTGTTTTATAAGGAGATGCTATAGAGAGAACCTCTATTGGTTTTAGGCCTTCCACCCCCCACGCCCCCCTGCCATTTTTTAGAAATAGTTTCTTGAATTACCAATGGGGACCTTTTCTTTCTAACCCCTTATGGTTCTGTGGGTGGACGTGGGATTCAATTTGGCTGAAAGTGCACTCGATGCCCCTGGCCACAGGGATGTGATGAAGGATGAGTGCATGAAATAAGCCAGGCCAATCAGAGTGGCACCCAGAACACTTATTCTGCAAACTCCGCCTGAACTCTGGAGAGTGTTAGGACAGGAGCTGCTGATGGTCCTATCCACCACCAAGCGGACACTCACAGTGGAAGCAACATGAAGGAGAACAGAACCCAGGTAGGGAAAGAGGACAGATTCTGGTGACAGAGTTTGTGTCCTTGAATTCATATGTGTCAGAAGCTAGCTCTAGGCCTGTTGCATCCACTAACAAGTTCTCTTTTAACTCAAGCTAGTTTGAGTTGGATCTTCTGTCACTTAGAACTGAAATTTTCTTAAAATGATACAAAGTATTCCAGGTAGGTTATCAGGATAAGACTTTTCCTTAAAGGCAAATACTATTGTCTCATGAAATTCCTTTATGAAGTTATGATTTTTTTTCCTTCCTAAGAAAATTTTCTCCACAGGCTGTTGGAAATGAGATAAGAAGACCACATCACAGCACCCTGTGGTCTGTCAGCAAGCATGCTGTGCTTTGCAAAGCTTCTTAGACCTGCCTCCTTTACAATGGGAATTTTTCCCTCCTGTCCTATGCTTGCAGTTTGATTTGGCTCTCATCTTAATCTGAATATGTTTGAATACAGGTCCACAACAATATTCATGGATGGAGCCCCCACAGTGGGACCTGTATTTACACCTTGAACACTAATACTCAGAGTCTCATAAAATGTGGAGAGAATTCGTTCCTTACTGATCCTGTGAGCTCAGCCTTTGGTATAGTTTATATGAATGAAGGTTGTTTGTGTTCATACATGTATTGAATGAACCTGAATCTGGCTACTTTGTAGCTTAAGGGCAGGAAAAGGAAGGAGAGACTGAGTTTTGTAGACTGTGGAAGACTCTCCGAGCCATCCTGCTCCATGGGCGATGGCAGAGTTGTGGTTAGAGTGGGCCCTGACAGCCTGTGTCTCAGGGTTCTGATCTGGATAAAGTGATGACAGGAGTTGTGCCGTGAAGCCGGGGCCTGGACTCAGGATGAGAGAGGGACCCTGGTTGTGTAGATCCACAGGGAGGCACTCCAGTTGTGCTGGGAAGGCTGTAGCCATCATTACCTCTGGCTCACTGAGACAGCTCTGCTCACATCAGCAGCCCTGGGTCCTGTTCTCAGGGATGGATGTGTAGGTCAGCGCAAGTATTAGGGCATGATTCTTTTTTATAGCAAATGACAGAAAGTAGAAGGGTGAATTATCACTGTGGGGGCCAAAGGAGAGCTTTCACTTTGGCCCACTGAAGGTTCACTGAAAACCAACTCATGAAAGACAGATTAATTGGAGAAAAGGTGTACACATTTATTTAATGTATATACACAGGAGTCTTCAGAATAAAGACCCAAAGACAGGGGAAATTGTCCATTTTTATGCTGAGGTTCAACAAAATATGAGGCAGCCTTCTATTATAGAAATATGGTTGGACAAAAAAGGCATGATTGAATGCTAATAGACACTGGGGACACCCAGCAAGGCCTGTCTGTCTAGATTCTTCTTGGCCTCTCTGAGCATGCATTTCTTCCTTCTGGGTGTGCAGCAGGACCCTCTCTGGAATGGGGATCTTATGACCGATCATCAAACAAGTTAGGTCAGATAATTTCTTTATGGCTGGTTTTTACATAGATAAGGTGGAGGGAAAGTTAGAGTGATTTTTTAGGTTTTATGACTGGCTTTAGGAAAAAGGGATTCTGGCTTCTATGTCCCATGTTGGGGAAGAGAAATTCTAGTTTCTATGGCTAGCCTGGGGGGAGAATGGGACTGAGAGGGATGAAGGCAGGAGAAGGTGACAGAAAAGGTTTTGCTTCTGAAGCTGCTGTTGGGACCCTCATTAGGAGGCATTGTTTTTTGAGCCCCAGAATCTCCTTTCTCCATCTACACTAGCACAGTGATTTGACTCTAGAGTCAGAAAGACTGGGTTAAAAATTCTAGCTCCATCTTTACAAGCTGCATGGCTTCTGTAAGATGGAAACAATAACATCTACCTCACAAGGCTGTGAGAATTAAATGAGATCATTCTCACTAGAGTAGTTAACACAGTACCTGGAACATAAGTCTCCAGCAAATGTTAGCCTGAAAGGGAGCAGGGGATACACTCTATAAGATATTTTAAAAGTAAAATATGTTTCTATGATCAACTTTCCTCCACTCTCATTTACCCCCGAGCCTCCCAGCAGCTACTTAAGGTGTCCCCAGATTTCCTTGTCACACAGTTAAAATGACTGTGGATTACATTGTATTTCAAATAATCCAAGAACAGTACAGCAAGCTTAGGATCTGAAATTAACTTTGCCTTTATATTGTTCACGCTAGTTTCTCTTCAAGTACAATTATCATCAGAAAGCTGCCACTAAAAATAGTACTGATTCTCATTTTTCTCTCAGTGTTATCTGCTGCCATAGTATTTCCTAGGCATGTTTATTTACTTGATTCACAGTAGTGAATCTTTTCTCTTATTAGCCTGCCAGCAACAAGCGGATCCCACAGCAATGCTCAGTTCAGGTACAGTCTTTATTCCTCGGGAAGCACAGGAGGGCTGTGTCGCCATTTCTCCTTGAGAAACTCAGTGGAAGTGTTGGTCATGGCAGGAGCTGTGTGGACAATTTTGATGTGAAAGAAAGAGAAGATCAAAGTAGAACCTTCGCTTTGATAGTTTCAGAACTTTTCTCCCTCTGGGGAGAATGACAATTTAGCCTTCAGATTTCCTCTTGTTCCCTTTTCACTGCTCATATGTGCTTTGTGTGCAAGTGTGAATTTAATGGTAGTCAGAGAAGCTGATTGACAGCTCCCTGCATGTCTCACCCCCCCTCTGATGACTCTTGCTCACAATTTGGCAGTAAACTGTCTGAGTAATATGAGAGCTCTGTTTCTATCTTTCTCATTAGGTGCTAAGATGTTGGCCAGTGATACGGTTAGGCTTTGTGTCCCCACCCAAATCTCATCTTGAATTGTAATTCCTATAATCCCCATAATCCCCATGTGTCAAGGGAGTGACCAGGTGGAAGTAATTGAATCATGGGGTTGGCTTCCGCCGTGCTGTTCTCCTGATAATAAGTGAGTTATCACAAGATCTGTTGGTTTTATAAGGGGCTCTTTCTCCTTTGCTCAGCACTTCTCCTTCCTGCTGCTTTGTGCAGAAGGTGCCTTGCTCCCCCTTTGCCTTCCGTCATGAATGTAAGTTTCCTGAGGCCTTCCCAGCCATGCAGAACTGTGAGTCAATTAAACCTCTTTCCTTTATAAATTACCTAATCTCCTTTATGTCCTTATAGCAGTGAGAACAGACTAATATAGCCAGTAAGTTAGAACAAAATGCCATAACACTGAAAGCATTTTATCCTGGGGTATTCCCTCCTACCCCCCTGCCAATGTCTCTGACTTGTCCGTCACAAACCTAAGGAGTTAGCATTAGATAATTTGGGGCCTTCTTTGGGTAAAAATAAATTGCTGTTAATTCTAGAATTATTCAATTCTTTTCCTCTCCTCTCCAACACTTCTCCTCCTTTAAAAAAAAAAAAAGAAAGCAATTCATCCAACCCTGAGAAAAAGCAACAGGCAGTCTGAGGACACAGCTCTGTAATCTGTGAGCTCCAAGTGTTGGCTGTGAGTCTAGGAGATTTGCAGCCAAGGCTGCCAGTGAAGTAGCATCTGAAGCAAGCTTAGGAGAGACAGTGTGTCGGGGGAGGGAGGGGGTGGCCTAGGAAGGTGGGAAGGAAGGAATAGAAAGTGAGCAAATTGAAACAGGAATGGAAGCAAAAAAAAAAAAAAAGAACCAACCTAACCAAGCAATTTTATATTACAACTCCTTCAGTCTTGGGAAATAACCATGTGATGTGACTGGCCCTGCAGCTAGAGGCAATGTGAGAGACTAAAATGTTCTAGCCCTGGCTCTGACAATCACTAACTGTGAGATCCCCAGCAACCCTTAGGGGTCTTCTTACCACCTGTGTTGAATGGAGGATATGTAAGCTGCCCAAGCCATCTAGGGTTGATAGATGCTGAGGTCATATAACACTTTATGAAACCACTTTGAAAACCGAAAAGTCTAGTTCCAAATGTAATGTATTATCAGTTCTCTTCCAGAGAACATGTATCCAACATGCCTCAAGCTTCTGTTTCTTCCCTTCCTCAGAAAAAACAATGCTTACTTTAAGCCATCTTAGGCTCTGTCCAGAATCTTCCATTGTCAAGTCATACACCATGTTGTTTTTCTTAGCAAAGAAGTGAAGGCATGGACCCTGCTCTGCTGCTAATTCCCAAAGATAAGGATGGTGTCAGGTATTTTGTATTGTCTTGCTACTGGGCAGGCTTTTCCACTAATAAGATGAGCAACTGGAGATCACTGTCCAGTTGGCCAACCTCCGATATTGCATGCGGGATAGTCAACCTTTTCCACCATGCATAGTGAGGGGGTATCAGTTTGCAAGGACACGGCTAGCATGCTGGGAGCTCTGTGGTTCCCAGACGCCTCCAAGTGGCTTAGATTGGAGCTATAATTAAAACCATTCCTTGCAGTTTGAGGAGAGAGTGGGAATCTTCAGCCTCTGTAATCACCGGGTCATAACCAGACTGTGTTACTGTCAAATGTTTGGGAAGTCCATCATTTTTATCTCGGAGCTTGCTAAGACCCCGGGGCTAAAGTTTCACATAGATCTTATTCAGACTGAGGATCAGGACAGGGATTTTTTAATAATCCTTTTTGGTCTGAATACTTGGGCAGGATTTGGGGAAGTCCTGTAACGTCCTGGGAGTTTCTGTTCTCTATGACATGCTGGGAAAGAGAAATACAGCACCTCAGACACCCACCTTTTTCACCAATCATGGCAGGAGAATGTTTTCTGCATCAAAATCACTTAAACGGTGATAGACTTCCCTCTAAACTCTTCATTCGCTCATGTAACGTTAATTTATTGAGTGTGTGTTATGTGAGTAGCACCACAAAAACTGCAAATATTCATTAAGAATCTAGGAGGGGCTGGGTGTTGTGGCTTAATACTAGCACTTTGGGAGGCCAAGGCAGGCAAATCATTTGAAGTCAGGAATTTGAGACCAGCCTGGCCAACATGGTGATATCCTGTCTCTACTTAAAATAAAAATACAAAAATTAGCCTGGTGTGGTCATGTGCACCTGTAGTCCCAGCTACTCGGGAGGCTGATGTGGGAGAATTGCTTGAGCATGGGAGGTGGAGGTTGCAGTGAGCCACTGCACTCCAGCCTGGGTGACAGAGTGAGACTCTGTCTCTAAATTCTCTTAATAGATTTTCATTGTTGTACCTGAGACATATGAGATATTTATGTAAAAACTATGGTACAGAACATCTCTCAGTGCCAAATGAGTGGCAGAGAAAATAGCATGCAGACTAGACTGGTCTAGGACAAGTTCACAGAGGAGAGGGGACTTAAATTGGGCTTTGAATGAATATTAATAGGATTTAGAAGGCATGGAGAAGGTAAAGAACAGGTGCATGGGATGCCTAGCAGGAGCAAAGGTTGCACAGAGGCAAAGCTTGCACAGAGTTAAGACTGAATCAAGAGCAGAATGCTGGGTCCGTGAGTGGTTAAGAATATGCATTTTGGTGTCAGTCTGCTACCTACTCTCTGTGTGACCTTGGAAAAGTCATTGATCACCTCTTGGCTTCATTTTTCTCATTTATAAAATGAAGGTGACAGTTCTTGCCTTAAGAGGCAGTCATGAGAAGTAAATGAAATAATGCATAAAGTGTTTAGCACAGTGCCTAATTGCTAATAGTAAGCAATTATTAGCAATATTGATAATACTAGTTGAAATGTGGAGTTAATCTTTTCCCTGGGGAAAGTGGGGGAGCTACTGTGAAGACTTTTGTGCAGGAATGCGACAAAATCAGATCAATCTTTTTGTAAGCTGAATGACATAATGGTATAAAGAAGTTGTGGAGAGAGAAGACGCTAGATGTGGGAAGTCCAATTGGAAAACCATTTTAACCATTCAGCTGCGAAGATAATGACCTTGATCATGACGGAGGCAAGGAAGAGATGGAAAGAAAAGACATTTATGTCAATTTTCATGATCGGATGTAGGGAGTAAGAGAGTGGAAAGTTCCCATGATCAGAGTGTAAGCTTCTGAGGATGGAAGCCTGTATTTTAATTCTCTTCATCCCCAGTGCTTAGCACATTGCCTGGTACTGTATACTGTAGCCATCAGTAAATGTTTCTGAGTGAAAGTGTAAGTAAAGGAGTGAGTGAATAAATGAAAGAAAAATGATTCACAGGTCATGAGCATAGGTTGTTGAAAGAATGGCAGTTTCCACTGACCAAATTTAACCCTTTCTTGGAATGTTTTTGGTATCTATGTAGTCTTTATCCATCATATAATGTACAAAAATGTACATATTACACAATATACACAGGGTTCTATTATCAGTATGTAATTGCTCATTTTAAAAGAAATGGTTTTAACTTTAATGAAAGTGCTAAAGGGACAGTTTTTGTCTAGAAATTTTTGTTTGATTTTTTTAACTTGAATAGAGATGTTATATATGAAATGTGGTCTCTTTGGGATTACTAAAACTAAAAATGATACATGTTTTAGTTCAATTTTAGGAAACTTCTTTTAAACTTCAGGATTGGTAGAATGGGATTAAAAACATTTCCACTTTTATATTTGTATAATTATTTCCCTTTTCTCCCTTTTTCCATTTAACAAGGAGTTGAAGTAAATCGATGGTTTATGTAAATCGTAACTTTTTCAGAAAACTCAACATTTTGGTTTCTGAAAATGGAGGAAAAAGTTCTAATATGATCAGAATCAGGGACTTTGCTCTTATCCAAAGGTGAATATTTGCTGTCAATCTGTGGGTTGCAGCTTGAAACTGTTTACTAAAAGACCCCAACTTCTTTAATATTTAAATTTACTCAAATGCCTTGTTTATATTTTTTAAAGAGCCAAAAAGAGACCCAAGCACATTAACATCTGGCAATGAGGCACTTAATTTTATTCTAACTCATCCTTTGCAAATATTACCATGACATTGTAAAGTTCTCTAATTCTCATTTGCTGGACATTTACTAAGATAATTTTTCTTTTTTAGTAACAAAACCAAATCAATTCCCAGACTTCTCCTGAATGAAATAGGTGGAATTTAGCTGTGGACTGTGTGAGCTCTTATTGAAAACAAGATGCCCTCAGGAGCTATTTCACAGCATTCACCTTTCCATGTGCAAATAGAATAGAAAATGACTTTGTTACCTGCAGTCTTTTTGCTGGGTCCTGAATTGTGGTAATTATGTAAGATTCCTGCTTTTAAAAGTAAGCTTTCTTATACAAAATTAGAATATTACAGTTATATGTAGAGGAGTATAGATTTTTGATGTCACAGAAAACAAGGTTGTATAATGGCCACACCTCCCTTGGTAGGCAGTGGGGAAAAGACCTTGTACACAGTGCCACAGACCACCGTGTGCCCTGTTTCCTGAGAAATCAACTATAGGTATCATCATTTACACGCAACGTCACCAACAGGTGGATGTGAAGAGCACAGAGTTCTGATAGTCATCTTTCTGTTATTACTTGTCTCCGTCCCAGTGGCCATAGCTACTTAGTCTAAGAATAGACAACTAGTACAAGTTGGGCAATCGATGTTTCCCCGTGGTAAATACAGAATATTGAATGGAGACCCAGAAACTGAAATCTTTGAGAAGTGAGTCTGCTTTATGGTAGTGTTTTGGGAGGAAATCTATCACCACTGTGAGGTCCTAGAGCTATGCTGGTCCTGCTCTTCCTAAAGAGTAGGTGTGTTTGACTCCTCATTAGATTCTGTCACATATTCTAATATTCCTCCAATAAACCCTGCTTCCATGTGTCTATATGATAAGAGTGTGGAGCAGTAGGGACGGGAAGAGCTTTTATCAGTTAAATCATTACTGACAGAGATTTACTTTTATTTGATGTTAGCAGTGATTTGGGCAGCAGATGAAACAATGAAGAACCATGAGATGCCAACTTTTTTGATCTCCTCATAAAATGAGATTATCTTCCTGGACAGCTGCTCCCTTCTGACTCCTGAACAGGAGAAGAGCAGAGGCCACTGTCCCCTGAGGAGTCCTTAGGGGTTAGCCATGGGCTTCCATTCGGCCAAAGATAGGTTGGAAGAATATCAGAATATGTGACACAGTCTAATGAGGAGTCGAACACCCGCTCTTAAGGAAGGGCAGGGACCAGCATAGCTCTGGAACCTCAGGGTAGTGATAGATTTCCTTCCAGAACACTACCATTCAACAGACTCAGTTCTCAAAGGTTTTAGTTTCTGGGCCTCCAGTCAATATTTCATATTTACCTTAGAGAGATGTTGATTGCCCAACTTGTACTAGGTATCTATTTTTGGACTAAGTAGCTATGGCCACTGGGACAGAGACGAGTAAAGATGGCTCCCAGAAATCACCTCTGTGGAGAGATTGAGCCATTCTGTGAGATAGTAATATAATAAGTTTATGTTACTAGGTCCCTGTTGCTCTGCAAAAAGCCTGGGGAACTGAGATAAAATTCCTCAAAATTGCAGGAAAACTCATTAATCTAAGGGGCATTGAAGATGGCTTCAGAACTTTGGGGAATCTCTACATCCACAAAATGATGGACTATGGAATTGCTCATTACTAGTGTATCAGTTATGTATTGCTGCATAACAAATACCCTCAAAACTTAGTAGCTTAAAACAACTGTTGTTACTTGCTGTTATTGCTATTTGCTCATCATTCTATGGGATGAGCTTAGCTGGACAGTTCTTCTACTGGTGTAATCTAGATTCACTCATGTGGCTCAGTCACCTAGTGGCTTGAATGCAGCTGAATAGTCCAAGGTGGCTTCACTCATTTACCTGGCATTTGGTGCTGGCTATTGGCTGGGCCACTTTCCATAGTCCTCCATCCTCAACCAAAAGAGCCCAGGCTTCCTCACATGGCATCAGTGAGGCCTTGGTGTTCACATGGAACATCAAGAGACATCTTGAGGCCTAGGCTTGGGAGGGCCTCTGCATTCCACTGTTCAGAACAAGTCACAAGGCCAGCCCAGATTCAGGGGAGGGAAAAATAGACTGTCTCTATGGGAGGAGTGGCATATGGGGACAAAACAGAGTATTGTAGCCATCTCTGCAAACAATCTAACCTGCTTAGGACTTACCTATATTAAGAAATGAGCAAACAATAACAACAAAAATTCAAGCATTTATAGCAAATATCCAGCCATGGGAGAGTTGAATAGCATGGTATAATAAAGTACCTGTCAGAAGTAAGTAGCTAAAAAATGACTTAAAATTTCTACAGTTCACACAGCAGTTGTGAGTAAGGCACACCAGAAAGCATACTGGAGTGGGATTGGATTATGGATCCAGTCATGTTACCATCTTTCTCTGTAAAAGTTATAAAGCTGCTCACCTCCAAGCCTCAGTTTCCTTGTAGGCCAAATAAGAAAATGTATGAATCACATGACTATTATGAGAAAGAGCTCTGTGAACTGTAAAAATGCTATATAAATGAAGTCATTCAAAAGAATTCAAATTGTGAAACCATGTTTTCCTCTTCTCTAGTTATGTGGTTTAAAACAAGGAACGATCTCAGGCTTATGTAGCTACAAAAGACATGTTTTTACTAAAGTTTTCTTTCATCTAAATGCCTTTTGATGATTTTCCAGTGAATGTAGTGCAATATATGGTTTTTCTAAGTGTACAAAAATGTGTGAAATTAAAATACCCAAGAGGAGAGTAATTGAATGTATCCATTTGGAGAAAATAGAAAAGCACATGGAAAAGGAAATGAGCTTAAAAGCATAAGAGACAGTATGTCTTTTAGACTGCGTAAGAATAATTAGGTGAGATCCTCTGTGTGGACAATTTTAAGAGAAAATGATTTGAAACAGTAAAATGTATGCCAAGCTAGGTGTGAGAGCTGAACACAGCAAACTTTGAAGAAGTAAAAGAAAAAACTTTAAAATGTAATAACTACTTTCTTTTATTATTATTAATTTTATTTATTTGGTGTTTGTTTTTTTGCCTGCCCTGGAAGAGCAATAACTAATTTCATTGGAGAATGGATTGTGACAACAAATATAACACCACCAGATTTTAGTATTTCCAAAGCAAAAAAATTGCCTAGGGCAGTCCTCAACAAATGGCATAGCAATTGGTGGAAAAAGGAAAAAGACCCAGCCTCCACGTGGTCTACTGCAAGAGTTGGCCAACTTCAGCCTGTGTGCTAAATTCAGCCCACCTGTTTTTATAAAGTTTTATTGAAACACAGTCATGCCCATTCATTTACAAATCATCATGGCAACTTGCTTATTACAATGGCAGAGCTGAATAGTAGCAACAGAGATTGCATGGTTTGCAAAGTGAAAAATATTTATTATCTGGCTCTTTACAGAAAATGTTTGCCAACCTCTACTTTAGTGGGACGATTCTGAAGCACATTCTGCGTGGTTCCTCAGAGTGTTCTCAGCAAGACTGAGACCCAGATGTTCACAATGGTAACCAGCACTTTAATGCACACTTTATTGGCTCTTTGCCCTTTCCTATCTTTCTTTCTCTGCTCCCTCACTTCTGTTTCCTAGGACCATTTTGAAAATAAACTACCTGCATCTGAGACCTTGTCTGCTTTGGAGGAAATACAAATTAATATAGAACTCAATCCCCCTTGGTAGTTCTTTTTCATGTTACACTTATGAGATCTTGCTCCATTATTTACTTGGTGACTTATAACACATATTGTGCTAGTATGTGTGCGCTGCTAGAAAGGAATACCTGAGACTGGGTAGTTTATAAAGAAAAGAGGTTTATTTGGCTCATGGTTCTGCAGACTGTACAGGAAGCATTTGCTTCTGGTGAGGGACTCAGGATACTTATAATTATTGCAGAAGGCGAAGGGGAGCCAGCATATTACATGGTGAGAAACGGATCAAGAGAGAGGCAGCAAGAGAAAGAGAACAGGAGAGAAGGAACAAGAGAGAGAGAAGCAATGTCGCAGACTCTTAAACAACCAACTCTCATGTGAACTCATTACTGCCAAGAGGGTACCAAGCCATTCATGAGGGGTCTGTCCCCATGACCCAAACACTTCCAGTAGGCCCCACCTCCAACACTGGGGATCACATTGCAACATGAGATTTGGAGAGAACAAATATCCATGCCATATCACATACCATGCATAAAATGTAAACACTCACATACCATGCATAAAACAGAAAGACACACATATAATCTGTCACTGAAACAAATGTTTTACGACATAATATTTACCCTTGCTTGTATTTTCTATTCTGTTTTACTTTCTTATATTTTATTTTATAAAACTGTCTGGTCATGACCAGTTAAGCTGATTTCCACACAGCTCTAGAGGACTCTTTACCAGTTGTTGAACCCATACGTCTGTGAGTGGCTACAAGTCAAAATTGCATAGGCTTGGAGTCCACAGGCCTTGATCATATTGCCTGGTCAAAGAAACACAGAGTATGGATTTGGAAGACTTGATCAGGAACTCTTATTTGTAATGGCAGAAATGCATTGACACCATCCTGAAAAGAGCACAAGGAATAAAATGAGGGCATAAACAAAAAACTGTGTTTAGGATGAAAGAAGATGGAAATAGAGATGGAGCCCAGTGAAGAGGTGAATCTGCAAAGAGCTGCAGAACATCTCTTCATTTCTACGTTGTATAAAACAGGCCTCTGTGTGTGAAAGCAACAAATAACATTTGAATGAATATAAATAGTCAGAGTCCTTCCTACATTTTAAAGTTGATGTCGTCCATCAATTATAATTTATGCCATCGTCATCTCTTTACCTGTGATTTCAGATGATCTCCTTCTGCTTAGCACTATACTATCTGGATGCTTCTACCTCTCTACTACTCCTTCTTAGTCTCTTTTGCTGGATTCTCTTTGGTATTTGTTTTTAACTGTTGATGTTTTCCAGGGCTCATTTCTCTGTTTTCTGTTTTTATTACACTATACACTTCCTTTAATCAATTTTACCCACTCTCATGATTGATTATTTCTATGTTCCCGGTCCTCAAAATAAATACCTTCAGCCTAAATCCTCCACCCTCAGATTAATGTAGCTGCCTGCTGAATATCTAGACCTGAAACTTAACTTTTTTTTTTTTTTTTGAGACAAGGTCTCACTCTGTCACCCAGGCTGGAGTGCAGTGGTGTGATTTTGGCTCACTGGACCCTCCACCTTCTGGGCTCAAGCAATCCTCTCACCTCAGCCTCCCAAGTAGCTTGGACTATAGGTGCATGCCACCACGCTTGGCTAAGTTTTAAATTTTTCTTTAAAATAGTAGAGATAGGGTCTCACCAGGTTTCCCAGGCTAGTTTTGAACTCCTGGGCTCAAACCTATCTTAGCCTCCCAAAGTGCTGGGATTACAGGCGTGAGCCACGACACCTGGTAAAACTTAACATCTTAAATTGAACTCATCCTCTATAATGCCTGCCAAATCTCCTTGTCCCACTCTCCCTGTTTTCACTTTCTGTTTCCCACCATCAGGGCAATCATCCAGACCAGAAGTCCAAGAGACTCCTAAATGTCTCTTATTTTGCCCCTTCATCCATAGGTCATAGGTCCTAAATATTTCTTTAATTCATCTTCCTCCTTTATTGGCATTGTCAAAATTCATTATAGAATTTTGAGTTTCATCATCTCTCCTTTGTATTATTGAGATAATCTGTCTATTGATCTCCCTGTGTTCTCCCTATTCAATGCTCTCTTCCCAAAGCCGCCAGGGTCATCTTCTAAAATGCTCCAGATTGGATCACAGAAAGAGAAACCACGTGAAGTATTTTAAGCAGGAATGAATTTAAAACTGCTAACTGGTGCTTACAAAACCCTGGAAAGGCTGTAGGACTGTAGGTCAGAAAAGGTTGCCAGTGGCTCTGAAGTTTGCCAGTTGCTCTATAATGTGATAGCAGCGTTCTGGGATAAAGGAAGAGGCTATTGTTGCCCAAGTTAAGGACTTCAGAAAACCAGTGGTGATGTTCATAGTTGCCTGTAGCACAAAAATGAGTGTTTCACACACAGCAGAACGAGAAAAACCTAAGGTCTCTTGGAGCTCACGCATCTGCCTGCCACTGTTGGAGGAATAATGCTGGCTCTTTCTTTCTGAATCTGGCAGGATTCCAAATTGGTGGCCTTTAAACTGGAATACAGCTGACATGGGATCTAGAAAATGGATTCCCAGATTTTCAACTCATGCTATACAGGAGAGAGCATGAAAGGAGCGGAAATGGCTCTGAAGACCACAGATGATCTGGCACACACCACCCCCATCACTTGCGGGATAAAATCCAAACTGCTCAACAAAGAAAAACCATAGCCTTCACAAGCTGGTGTCTTCCTCTGTAATCATCTCTCTTCCTTTCTTCCTTGGCACTGACCTTATTGAATTACTGACTTGCAGTTGCACAACTGCACTTTATGCATAGTTTCATGCCTCCATGCCTTTGCAAATGCTATTCCCCAGGGGTGGAAGTCATTCTACCACCCTCTACTCCCATGAGTGGCCTTCTGGACAAACTTCTATTTGTTCTCATGACACCAATGCAAAGAGTCTCTGTTCTGTGAAGTTTTCTTGATCTTCTCTTCTCCCATAATTGTTCCTTGTACTCACCTCTTTATTTAGTGAATCCAGTATTCATTTATGTGCCTGCTTCCTGTGCTATACTGTAAGCTCCTTAATTGTTTCTTCTTTACCTTTATCCCCCAAGTGCCCTGCCTAATGTTTGGCTTATAATAGACACCCAATTCATCTCTTATGGAATAAATGAGTAGATGAAAGCTCCTATACGGCGCTGTACCTTGAGGTCAAAGCATCAGTGAAATTGCTTACAGGAGATATAAGCAGCCAGATCCCTTGCTATGGAGACACCATTTGCTAAATCCTGCCCTGTGGAAAATAGCGTTATATAGGTAGGTTCCAGCTGTCTTTCTATTCATAGCCTGTATTCCTTGTCATATCCAAGTAATTATTCAGCAGCTGCCTGCCTTTCTACATTCTAATATCTTTTCAAATGGATTCTGAATCTGGAAATGGTGTTGGACCCTAGCTGGATACTAGTTGGCTTAAAGAAAACCCACTCTCCTAAAATGCCTGTTTTGTTAGAGTGTGAGATTTCTGAAGAAGGAAATGGGGATGGGGTTGGGGATGGGAAACGGGAAAGCTGGCCATCTTTTTGAACAGAGAATGAGGAGGAGTGAATTGGTTTCCTAGGAGATAAGGCTCTTCTTTATTTAAAGTTTTCCCACAGAAAGGTTTCTGTACTGGTGTCTTCTTCTTAGTCATAAGGAGTGCACCATCAAAGATGCAGCTCAGAATTGCTTTCTATCAGCCACCATCAAAAGTGAGCCTAATCTTCTGGTCTTTGGTCCTTACTTTTTCTGCTAGTGTCTAATAAAGATAACTAAGAATACCATTATGAGTCCAACTGCAATGACTGTTTTAGTTATTTAATCACCTAATCACGAGGACAGGAATCTTTAACAATAGATTCACTGATAGAACATAAGCTGGTCTCCCCTTCACACAGTCTCTAAGACAGTTGCCCCCTACTGCCTTCTGAGCCCTTTTCTCCCACCAGATAGTCTAGATTCCCTAAAAAGAAGGGAGTACACGATAACCTCTCAGTTCAAGGACTTTAGTATCAGGAATGTCTCCCTTCCAAGGGACCTCTTAGCTTCAGAGAAATGAGAAGTAGCACCTTATTAAAAAGAGATTGTGATTCTGTCTCCCTGTGTGCATGTGATCAGGCAGAGCCAAATTGCTTTGCACACAGCTATTATTTGTCTTGGTCAGTTGGAGGTAATTGAGACCATCTTAGGTAAAATCATGCAGAAGCTGGAGGTTACCTCAGGCCCTATTTGATGTTTTCCTCACCTCTAGTGAAAATCATTCTTGCCCAATATTAAAGAAACTCCATACTTACAGTATTAAGTATTGCGCTGCAGTAAACACGTTTCCAAGTGTCTGTTCAGCTCACATTTCTCTTCTCCGTGGACTGTCACCCTCCTTGCCCTGCCACATGCTCCCACCTCACCCTCCCCCCATTATTCACCTTTGTTCTTGAGTACATGATATCCTGTTCTATGAGTATCTTCCAGCATCCCTTGATTCCACCAATGTTTGATTCTAACTCAAACTGGGCCAGTTAATTCTCCCTCCCTGTGAATTTAGGTTGAGACCAAGAAATGCTGGTTTTTAGCTAAGCTGGCTCTGTGGATGGAGAACATGTCAAGTCAAGACCTGTGCAGTAGCCATGCAGTGGGCTGAGGGGTGATGGGTGTAGAAGTGCAGAGATATGCAGTGCTGGGATGCTGAAGGAGCCCCCTGCCTGGGTTCCTGGTTTTTTGTGGTTCTATTCCCTTCCTCAGAAGAAATGAGTCATCTGGATTTTTACCTTAAGTCAGGTTCAAGTTGCAATTTGTCATTTATAACCTAGTTTGAGAAAGCCATGCACATAGAAAAGATGATCAAGTATTTAGGAACTTGTCTTTTATATGAAAGCATTTAGGTAACGAGGGCAATTGAGGAGAATTTCAGACAAGGATGATATGACCATCAAGTCTGGGATTCAGAGATGCAGCATGAACTTTGATGGCAGAAACAGCTGTAGGGTGTGTGTGTGTGTGTGTGTGTGTGTATGATTGTGAAAGAGGGATATACACGCACACACATGGCATAGCAGAGGTGGGGGCTGGCATTTAGTGCAGTTTATACAAATCCCTCAGTGAGTGTGGTTTGTTGTGGTTGTCCTGGTATTTCATTTAAGAGTCACACTGAAAACAGTGAAGATAGAGAGAGGGTCCTTGCAAAAAATGCAATTGTGAGCTCTCTTTATTTTTTATTTTTTGGACTTGGAACAATAAAGCAGAACTTGACATCTTCCACCTGAGAAAAAGCATAGCTTGAGCATGATGATAATGTCTTGACTCCTTGTTTAGAAAATTTGGTGAGAAAGCTGCAGCATTTATTTGCCCTCTAACTCCTGACCTTACCTGGAAAGCATGTAAATCTGCCTGCAGGGCCAGACTGGGTTGGACTTGAGATACATACAGCACAACACTTGCCATGGAAATGACCATTTCCTTCAAGTATAGCAGGACTTCTGCAGTTTTCCAAGCCATGGGGAACCATGAGCTTTCTTTTTCCTGGGCTTTCCAGACTTCCCTGTCACCCTGTCCTCTGTCTACTTTCAGGTGCCTATTGGCCCTCCTCTTCCCCTAGTCTTCCAATAGATCAAAGGCTGCAGTGATGTTAACTATTTTTGTTCTTCACTGTGAAAGCTATTTCAGAATGAGAGCACTAGAAGCTCATGGCCAAGGACTGCTCAGCTGGGCACATGTGCCCAGAGGCACATTCCTGGCACATTCCTGCCAGGTGGGCCACAGGACCAGAATTGCAATCTGCAAGAGTGCAGATCCTCTCATCAACTGTTGCGCTTTTTCTTTTACTTCATTCCATTCCCCTGTGGCCCCAAACTACCATCTGTCCTTTACCCAGAGTCCATCTTCAACACCTCCTCTGCGTACTCTAAAGGGCTGCCCTTGCCCAGCAGCTCACTTCCTCCCTACTTCCTCTCTTTGACGTGTGGTGATCAGGTAGAGCTGTTCATTCACAGTTTGCCTCAGAGTTTCTGCCACTGGCCCCTCCTGGACAGAAACTTCAAGAGGGAGCAGTGATAATGGCTTAGCTCAGCGACATATGAAGGATGGGACAGACAATGGCAGAACTTGGCAGTATGGCCAGGAACACCTCAGCCTGGGGCTGTATCAGGTTGGGGAAGAATGCTGAGATAGAACATGCAGCAATGGTTTTTGGAGCCAAGATTCTGGTCTCTTAATGACGCTGGAGATGAGCAGTGTATGAACCTTTACAAAGAATTCAAAGAAGCTGGGAATGTTTGTGTAATTAGTTAATACCAGAGAACAAATGATGTAAAAGTTTTGCTAGGTTTAGTAATTTACGAGAATGACTTACCCCTTATAACGAATTACTGCATGCACCATAGCTCTTATGCACATCATTAGTAGGTGACAGGTTACTTTTATTACAGGTTTTATTTGTTCACAATGCATGCTAAACCCCACAGATGCATGCTCTTTTTTTTTTTTTTGTCTGGCACTGGCTTCTGCTCACAACTTTGAATAATTAGGAAGCACTATTTGAGACTGAATTAGGACAGGGAACTTCATCTGCTCTTAAAAAAATCATACGAACATGGTAAAACCATTACTTATTAATTTAACAATGATCTTATGTTTGAAAATGATATGAATGCAATTACTATATGTTTTTCACATTTTATGAAAAAGATCAGGCTTGCCCTCTGTTCCATTCCTGTAGAACCGCTCCGTCTACTAGCCACCTATGGCTATTTAAATTTAATTAATTTAAATAATAAAATTAATCTTTTAGGTGCACTAGTCACATTTCAAGGGCTCAATAGCCACATTTGTCTAGAGGCTATCTACCATACAGTGCATATACAGAACATTCCCATCATTGCAGAAAGTTCTGTTGGACGGTGTGGCCAGAGTCCAGTTAGTGGTGAAAGTTAGTTCTATCTATCATGGGACAACTAGGTCAGCTGGCTCTGAGTTTTCTGCATAGATTCTGGGATCCTCAGGGCTCCTGTGTGGGGTAGATGACAGTGAGTGTAGCAGTGACTGAGAGGCAATGCCGATGACATGAGAAAGCTACAGTAGCATGTCAGGGAGACCAGGCAGGAAGTGGGGAGGAGCCATTGCAGGTGGTGTGGATCCCATCACTATTCATGGAAGTGGGTTGCTACTCTTTACTGTTACCTTGTTCAGTGGGTACAGAGAAGTCACATCCAAATCAGCTCAATTTATTGATCTTTCAGTAGCTGGCTGAGTATTGTTCAATAACAATTTGTAGAGTGAATGAATGCACGAGATGGTCCACTACACAGCAGATTTTTATAATGTGGACAGCTTTCATGCATACAAGAACTTTAGAGTTTAGATACCACTTTAGGCCCAGTGTGGGGGCTCACGCCTGTAATCCCAGCACTTTGGGAGGCCAAGGAGGGTGGATCGCCTGATGTCAGGAGTTTGAGACCAACATGGCCTACATGGCAAAACCCTGTCTCTACCAAAAATAAAAAAAATAGCTGGGCGTGGTGGTGCATGCCTGTAATTCCAGTTAGTCCAGAGACTGAGGCAGGAGAATCACTTGAGCCCAGGAGGCAGAGGTTGCAGTGAGCTGAAATTGTGTCACTGCCCTCCAGCATGGGTGACAGAGCGAGACTGTCTCAAAAAAAAAAAAAAAATTAGATACTGCTTTAATAATTTTTTCATTTGATCCTTGTAACGCATGTAAAGTGGGTGCAGAACCTATATCCTACTCTTGCTGATGAGAAAGTCAGGGCTTAGACAGTTGGAGATGTTTTCTGAGTCACTGAGCTACAAGTAGCAGAGTTGTGACTCAAATTCAGGGCTTAGAATTCCAAATGACATGTCCCAAGGCATTGCATGGCCTCTTAGGTGCCTTTCAGTAAGAGTCTTTCCAAGAGCAGACTGCTGATGTGATAGGATTCAAGGATGCCTCTGACACTTAGGGTTTTCCAGGGACCAGTTGGTTCAACTTTGATAAGTTTTTCAAGTTCTTGGCATGATGCACGGTTTTTATTTTTCACATTTGCCTGAGTTTCTGCTTTGAGGCTTTCACAGACAGACTGTCTGGCATTCTGAAGCAGTGGCTTTCACACTGTGTCCCACCCGTCCCTGTAGCTCCATGGAGGGGCTGCAGAGGCTGCTGTGAGGGTGGGGCACAGTGGGGTGGCTGTGTGTTTGGGCTCTGGGCTGTTCGGGGCTGATAGGCTTTAAACTATTTTTATATATTGACGTTCCTCAAAAAAATTTCACTCGAAGAAAGGTTCTTTTGCTAACCATTACAAAAAGAATCACTGTTCTAAAGGATTTTTATGGCAGTTTGCTTCCTGTGACAAGAAAGTGGGGCAAGCTGAACTGTCTGCCCAGGCGTTCTCCAGGAATGGCATTCATCTGCAGACCAACTCATTCTTTCTAGTTAGAAACAGCCCCTAGAAGTTTGGGGGCCTCCTACACCTGGGGAGCCACCCCTAAGCCAGGGCAGAGGGTCAAGGGCCTCTGTGCTGGGGTCAGAGGGCCACGGTTGTTTGGTGGTGCTGCCCTGTTTTCTTATTCTGCCCCTTTGCTCTTGCCTTCATCTCAGGCAGGAGTCCTCTCATTGCCTGAGCCCCTGTATCTGCCGGGTTCTCCTCTGTGGCTCAATACTCAGTCTCGAGGGTTTGTTGGCTTGGGCCAGAAGCACCTGCCAGGCTCCTGCAACTCAGAGACTACCGCTCCTGACTGCATCTGGCCTGCTGTATTCTGTCGTTGCTCACCTGCTCAATGCAAGGCAAGGAATATTTAAGAACGTCAGATTCATTGACATCAGCTTTTGTATTCCTTGTTGCTCTCTTGAATGTGAATACACTAAATTTGATTGAATAAGCCTGGATTTTTACATTATAATTCTGCGTCTGCCTAAAGTTTACTGTGTAATTCATCTTAAAGCTCTGAATTTTTCATTGATAAGCATGATGCTGTTGTCAGCATAAAAAGGGGAAAATGAAGTGTGCCACATGGGAACTGGAAAATAATGTTAACCTGTGGCAGTAAAACTAAAAAAAAAAAAAAAGATCCATACATAATGAATGATAAAATTTATACACCTGGAGGAAAAATTGAGAAATCGATGCCCAGAGGACAAGATCTGTGTGACAACATGGTATTCTATATAGCAGGATGACCAGGGTATAGTCTTAAGAACACAAAATGGTACCATGACTTTTTTCCTAGTTTAAAATTTTAATTGTCATAAAATATACATAATTTAAAATTTACCCTCTTAACTATTTTTAAGTGTACAGTTTGGTATTATTAAGTACATTTTTCATAGTTATGCAACCAATCTCCAGGACTCTTTTCATCTTGCAAAACTGAAAGTCTGTACCCATTCAAAACTCCCCATGCCTCCCCCGCTGCGTCCATGCAGACACCCTTCCACTCTCTGTCTCTATCAATTGGACTACTCTAGGTACCTCATGTAAATAGTATCAAACAGTATTTGTCTTTTTGTCTTATCTCACTTATCATAATGTCCCCAAGGTTCATCCATGTTGTAGCATGCTTTAGAATTTTTTTCCTTTGTAAGGCTGAGTATATTTCATTGTTTGTGTTTACTGTATTTTGTTCATCCTTTCATCCATCATTGACGGACTTTTGGATTGCTTCTACATTTTGACTATTGCGAATAATGCTGCTATGAACATGAGTGTGCAAGTACTTCTTGAACTGAAAGAGACCCTTCTTTCAGTTCTTTTGGAAATATACCCAGAAATGGAATTGCTGGATCATGTAGCATTTCTGTTTTTAATTTTTGAGGAACTACCATACTGTTTTCCATAACAGCTGCACCATTTTACATTCCACAAACAGTGCACAAGGATTCTAATTTCCCTGCATCTTCACCAACACGTATCCTTTTCTTTTTTGTTGTTTTGTTTTATAGTAGCCATCCTAATGGGTATGAGGTATTATTTCATTGTGATTTTGATTTGCATTTTCTTTTTTAAAAAATTATACTTTAAGTTCTGATATACATGTGCAGAACGCGCAGGTTTGTTACATAGGTATACACGTGCAATGGTGATTTGCTGCATCCATCAACCCATCACCTACATTAGGTATTTCTCCTAATGCTATCCCTCTCCTATCCCCCAACCCCCCGACAGGCCCCAGTGTGTGATGTTTCCCTCCCTGCATCCATGTGTTCTCATTGTTCAACTCCCATTTATGGGTGAGAATATGCAGTGTTTGGTTTTCTGTTCCTGTGTTAGTTTGCTGAAAATGATGGTGTCCAGCTTCAGCCATGTCCCTGCAAAGTACTTGAACACATCCTTTTTTACGACTGCATAGTAGTCCATGGTATATATGTGCCACATTTTCTTTACCCAGTCTATCATTGATGGGCATTTGGGTTGGTTCCAAGTCTTTGCTATTGTGAACAGTGCTGCAATAAACATATGTGTGCATGTGTCTTTACAGTAGAATGATTTATAATCCTTTGGGTATATACCCAGTAATGGGATGCTGGGTCAAATGGTATTTCTGGTTCTAGATCCTTGAGGAATCACCACATTGTCTTCTACAATGGTTGAACTAATTTACACTCCCACCAACAGTGTAAAAGCGTTCCTGTTTCTCCACATCCTCCCCAGCATCTGTTGTTTCCTTTTAATGATCACCATTCTAACTGGCATGAGATGGTATCTCATTGTGGTTTTGATTTGCATTTCTGTAATGACCAGTAATGATGAGCTTTTTTTCCCATGTTTGTTGGTTGCATAACTGTCTTCTTTTGAGAAGTGTCTGTTCATATCCTTCGTCCACTTTTTGATGGGGTTGTTTTTTTCTTGTAACTTTGTTTAAATTCCTTGTAGATTCTGGATATTATCACTTTGTCAGATGGACAGATTGCAAAATTTTTCTCCCATTCCGTAGGTTGCCTGTTCACTCTGATGATAGTTTCTTTTGCTGTGCAGAAGCTCTTTAGTTTAATTAGATCCCATTTGTGAATTTTGGCTTTTGTTGCCATTGCTTTTGGTGTTTTAGTCCTGAAGTCTTTGGCCATGCCTATGTCCTGAATGGTATTACCTAGGTTTTCTTCTAGAGTTTTTATGGTTTTAGGTCGTACATTTAAGTCTTTAATCCATCTTGAGTTAATTTTTGTATAAGGTGTAAGGAAGGGGTCTGGTTTCAGTTTTCTGCATATGGCTAGCCAGTTTTCCCAATGCCATTTATTAAATAGGGAATCCTTTCCTCATTGCTTGTTTTTGTCAGGTTTGTCAAAGATCAGATGGTCGTAGATGTGTGGTGTTATTTCTGAGGCCTCTGTTCTGTTCCATTGGTCCATATATCTGTTTTGGTACCAGTACCATGCTGTTTCAGTTACTGTAGCCTTGTAGTATAGTTTGAAGTCAGGTAGTGTGATGCCTCCAGCTTTGTTCTTTTTGCTTAGGATTGTCTTGGCTATATGGGCTCTTATTTGTTTCCATATGAAATTTAAAGTAGTTTTTTCTAATTATGTGAAGAAAGTCAATGGTAGCTTGATAGGGATAGCATTGAATCTATAAATTACTTTGGGCACTATGGCCATTTTCATGATATTGATTCTTCCTATCCATGAGCATGGACTGTTTTTCCATTTATTTGTGTCCTCTCCTATTTCCTTGAGCAGTGGTTTGTAGTTCTCCTTAAAGAGGTCCTTCATCTCCTTTGTAAATTGTATTCCTAGGTATCTTATTCTCTTTGTAGCGATTGTGAATGGGAGTTCACTCATGATTTGGCTCTCTGTTTGTCTGTTATTGGTGTATAGGAATGCTTGTGATTTTTGCTCATTTATTTTGTATCCTGAGACTTTGCTGAAATTGCTTATCAGCTTAAGGAGATTTTGGGCTGAGATGATGGGGTTTTCTAAATATACAATCATGTCATCTGCAAATGGACAATTTGACTTCCTCTGTTCCTATTTGAATACCTTTATTTCTCTTGCTTGCCTGATTGCCCTAGCCAGAACTTCCAACACTATGTTGAATAGGAGTGGTGAGAGAGGGCATCCTTGTCTTGTGCTGGTTTTCAAAGGGAATGCTTGCAGTTTTTGCCTGTTCACTATGATATTGGCTGTGGGTGTGCCATAAATAGCTCTTATTATTTTGAGATACATTCCATCGATACCTAGTTTATTGAGAGTTTTTAGCATGAAAGGGTGTTGAATTTTATTGAAGGCCTTTTCTGCATCTATTGAGATAATCATGTAGTTTTTGCCATTGGTTCTGTTTATTTGATGCATTATGTTTATTGATTTGCATATATTGAACCAGCCTTGCATCCCAGGGATGAAGCTGACTTGATCGCAGTTGATGAGCTTTTTGATGTGCTGCTGGATTTGGTTTGCCAGTATTTTATTGAGGATTTTCACATCGATGCTCATCAGGGATATTGGCCTGGAATTTTCTTTTATTGCTGTGTCTCTGCCAGGTTTTGGTATCAGGATGATGCTGGCCTCATAAAATGAATTAGGGAGGAGTCTCTCTTTTTGTATGGTTTGGAATAGTTTCAGAAGGAATGGTACCAGCTCCTCTTTGTACCTCTGGTAGAATTTGGCTGTGAACCTGTCTGGTCCTGGACTTTTTTTGGTTGGTAGGCTATTAATTACTGCCTCAATTTCAGAACTTGTTATTGGTCTATTCAGGGATTCGACTTCTTTCTGGTTTAGTCTTGGGGTGGGGAGGTGTATGTGTCCAGGAATTTATCTATTTATTCTAGATTTTCTAATTTATTTACATAGAGGTGTTTATAGTATTCTCTGATGGTAGTTTGTATTTTTGTGGGATCAATGGTGATATCCCCTTTATTATTTTTTATTGTGTCTATTTGATTCTTCTCTCTTTTCTTCTTTATTAGTCTTGCTAGCAGTCTACCTATTTTGTTAATCTTTTCAAAAAAGCAGCTCCTAGATTCATTGATTTTTTGAAGGGCTTTTTGTGTCTCTATCTCCTTCAGTTCTGCTCTGATCTTAGTTATTTATTGTCTTCTGCTACCTTTTGAATTTGTTTGCTCTTGCTTCTCTAGTTCTTTTAATTATGATGTTAGGGTGTCAATTTTAGATCTTTCCTGCTTTCTCTTGTGGGCATTTAGTGCTATAAATTTCCCTCTAAACTCTGCTTTAGCTGTGTCCCAGAGATTCTGGTATGTTGTGTCTTTGTTCTCATTGGTTTCAAAAAACTTATTTATCTCTGCCTTCATTTCATTATTTACCCAGTAATCGTTCTGGAGCAGGTTGTTCAGTTTCCATGTAGTTGTGTGGTTTTGAGTGAATTTCTTAATCCTGAGTTCTAATTTGATTGCACTGTGGTCTCAGAGACTGTTATGATTTCCGTTGTTTTGCATTTGCTGAGGAGTGTTTTACTTCCAAATATGTGGTCAATTTTAGAATAAGTGCGATGAGGTGCTGAGAAGAACGTATATTCTGTTGATTTGGGGTGGAGAGTTCTGTAGATGTTTATTAGGTCCGCTTGGTCCGAAGGTGAGTTCAAGTCCTGAATATCATTGTTACTTTTCTGTCTCATTGATCTGTCTAATATTGACAGTGGAGTGTTAAAGTATCCCATTATTATTGTGTGGGAGTCTAAGTCTCTTTGTAGGTCTCCAAGAACTTGCTTTATGTATTTGGGTTCTCCTGTATTGGGTGCATATATATTGAGGATAGTTAGCTCTTCTTGTTGCATTGATCCCTTTACCATTATGTAATGCCCTTCTTTGTCTTTTTCGTTCTTTGTTGGTAAAGTCTGTTTTATCAGAGATAGGATTGCAACCCCTGCTCTTTTTTTGCTTTCCATTTGCTTGGTAAATATTCCTCTATCCCTTTATTTTGAACCTATGTGTGTCTTTGAACGTGAGATGGGTCTCCTGAATACAGTACATTGATGGGTCTTGACTCTATCCAATTTGTCAGTCTGTGTCTTTTAATTGGGGCATTTAGCCCATATACATTTAAGGTTAATATTGTTATGTGTGACTTTGATCCTGTTATTATGACACTAGCTGGTTATTTTGCCCGTTAGTTGATGTAGTTTCATCAGGATGTCGATGGTCTTTATAATTTGGTATGTTTTTGTAGTGGCTGGTACCGGTTTTTCCTTTCTGTATTTAGCGCTTCCTTCAGGAGCTCTTGGAAGACAGGCCTGGTGGCGACAAAATCTCTCAGCATTTTCTTGTCTGTAAGGGACTTTATTTCTCCTTCACTTATGAAGCTTAGTGTGGCTGGATATGAAATTCTGGGTTGAAAACTCTTTTCTTTAAGAATGTTGAATATTGGCCCCCACTCTCTTCTGGTTTGTAGGGTTTCTGCAGAGAGATCTGCTGTTGGTCTGATGGGTTTCCCATTGTGGGTAACCTGACCTTTCTCTCTGGCTGCCCTTAACTTTTTTTTTTTTTTCATTTCAACCTTGGTGAATCTGACGATTATGTGTGTTGGGGTTGCTGTTCTCGAGAAGTATCTTTGAGGTGTTCTCTGTATTTCCTGAATTTGAATGTTGGCCTGTCTTCCTAGGTTGGGGAAGTTCTCCTGGATAACATCCTAAAGAGTGTTTTCCAACTTTGTTCTATTCTCCCAAGTCACTTTCAGGTACATCAATCAAATGTAGGTTTGGTCTTTTCACATAGTCCCATATTTCTTGGAGGCTATGTTTGTTCTTTTTCATTCTTTTTTCTCTAATCTTGTCTTCACGCTTTATCTCATTAAGTTGATCTTCAATCTCTGATAGCCTTTCTTCCACTTGATTGATTTGGCTATTGATACTTGCATATGCTTCATGAAGTTCTCGTGCTGTGTTTTTCAGGTCCATCAGGTCATTTATGTTCTCTAAACTGGTTACTCTAGTTAGCAATTTGTCTAACCTTTTTTCAAGGTTCTTAGCTTCCTTGCATTGGGTTAGAACATGCTTCTTTAGCTCGGAGGAGTATGTTATTACCCACCTTCTGAAGCCTACTTTTGTCAATTCGTCAAACTCATTCTCCATCCAGTTTTGTTCCCTTGCTGGTGAGGAGTTGTGATCCTTTGGAGGAGAAGTGTTCTGGGTTTTGGAATTTTCACCTTTTTGGGGCTGTTTCTTCCTCATCTTTGCGGATTTATCTACCTTCGGTCTTTGATGTTGGTGACCTTCGGATGGGGTTTTTGTGTGGGCATCGTTTTTGTTGATGTTGATGCTATTCCTTTCTGTTTGTTAGTTTTACTTCTAACAGGCCCCTCTGCTGCTGCAGGTCTGCTGGAGTTTGCAGGAGGTCCACTCCTGATCCTGTTTGCCTGGGTATCACCAGTGGAGGCGGCAGAACAGCAAAGATTGCTGCCTGTTCCTTCCTCTGGAATCTTCATACCAGAGGGGCACCCGCCAGATGCCATCCGGAGCTCTCCTGTATGATGTTTCTGTCGGCCCCTGCTGGGAGGTGTCTCCCAGTCAGGAGGCATGGGCGTCAGGGACCCACTTGAGGAGACAGTCTTTCCCTTAGCAGAGCTTGAGCACTATGCTGGGAGATCCACTGCTCTCTTTAGAGCAGGCAGGAAGGAACATTTAAGTCTGCTGAAGCTGTGCCTACAGCTACCCCTTCCCCCAGGTGCTCTGTCCCAGGGAGATGGGAGTTTTATCTATAAGCCCCTGACTGGGCTGCTGGCTTTCTTTCAGAGATGCCCTGCCCAGAGAGGAGGAATCTAGAAAGGCAGTCTGGCTACAGCGGCTTCGTGGTGCTGCGGTGGGCTCCACCCAGTTCTAACTCCCCAGTGGCTTTGTTTACACTGTGAGGGGAAAACCACCTACTCAAGCCTCAGTAATGGCAGACACCCCTCCTCCTACAAAGCTTGAGCATCCCAGGTCAACTTCGGACTGCTGTGCTGGGAGCGAGAATTTCAAGCCAGTGGATCTTAGCTTGCTGGGCTCTGTGGGGGTGGGATCCACTGAGCTAGACTACTTGACTCCCTGGCTTCAGCCTCCTTTCCAGGGGAGTGAACGGTTCTGTCTTGCTAGCATTCCAGGTGCCACTGGGGTATGAAAATATCCTGCAGCAGCTAGCTTGGTGTCTGTCCAAACAGCTGCCCAGTTTTGTGTTCAAAACCCAGGGCCCTGGTGGTGTAGGCACCCGAGGGAATCTCCTGGCCTGTGGGTTGCAAAGATTGTGGGAAAAGTGTAGTATCTGGGCTGGAGTGCACCATTACTCACAGCAAAGTCCCTCATGGCTTGCCTTGGCTAGGGGAGGAAATTCCCCCCACCCCTTGTGCTTCCCGGGTGAGGTGATGACCCATCCTGCTTTGGCTCACCCTCTGTGGGCTGCACCCACTGCCTAACCAGTTCCAATGAGATGAGCTGAGTACCTCAGTTGGAAATGCAGAAGTCATCCGCCTTCTGGTTGATCTCACTGGGAGCTGCAGACTGGAGCTGTTCCCATTCAGCCATCTTGCCAGCCACTCTATTGATTTGCACTTGATTGGTGATGGTGAGCATCTCTTCAGGTACTCGCTAGCCATTTGTATATTTTCTTTGGAGAAATGTTTACTTAAATCCTTGTTCCCTTTTAATTTTTTTAAATTTTTATTTTTTTCTTACTCAGGTAAATTTGATTTTATTTTATTTTGTTTTTGAGATGGAGTTTCGCTCTATTGCCCAGGCTGGAGTGCAGTGGCACGATCTCAGCTCACTGTAATCTCTGCCTCCTGGGTTCAAGCTATTCTCATGCCTCAGCCTCCCAAGTAGCTGGGATTACAGGCACGTGCCACCATGCTCAGCTAATTTTTGTATTTTTAGTAGAGACGGGGTTTCACCATGTTGGCCAGTCGGGTCTCGAACTCCTGACCTCAGGTGATCTGCCTGCCTCGGCCTCCCAATGTGCTGGAATTACAGGCATGAGCCACCATGCCCAGCCTATTTTTTTTTTTTTTGAAAAATAATTTCAACTTCTATTTTAGATTCAGGTGGTACGTGTGCAGGTTTGTTACTTGAGTACATTATGTGATGCTGAGGTTTGGGGTATGACTGATTGATCCCATCACCCAGATGCTGGGCATAGTACTCAATAATTTTTCACCCCTTGCCCCCTACTTCCTCCCTTCCCCGTCTAGTAGTCCTCAGTGGCTATTGACGCTTGACCTATTTTAAATTGGGTTGTTTTGTTGTTATTGTTGAGTGATAGGAATACTTTATATACTCTGAATGTTAACGCCCTACCAGATATATGATTTGCAAATATTTTCTCCCATTCCATTTATTTCCTCTTCACTCTTTTGACTGTGTCCTTTGATGCATGGAAGTTTTAAATTTTGATGTAGCCCAATTTATCTATTTTTACTTTTGTTGTGGTACCACAATTTTTGCAAGTGTAACCCAAGCCATTCCAGGAAACAGATGAAAAAGCTGAATCATAGTTTATAGTAATAACAGGGTCAGAGCATTGACCTGACCAATTGTCTGTTGCCTGTTTGGGCATATATATCTTGTATGTTGTAATTATTATATGATCACAATAATCATATAATATTGAGGGGGGAATCCAAAAAGCCATAGAAAGTCTCTACATCTCCAGCATTGTCCAAAAGATCTAGGGTATAGACAATGGAAACACACTGGTCAGTGGGAGAATCTCTTGTAGGATAGTATCTTAGGGTTTTCCAGAGAAACGGAATCAACAGGATGTATACAGATATAAAAGAGGAGACTTACTAAGGGAATTGGATCACATGATTCTGGAGGCTGAGAAATCCCATGATCTTCCAGATATGCCATCTGCAAGCTGGAGAACCAAGAAAGCCTGTGGTGTGATTTAGCTCGAGTCTGCAGTCCTGAGAACCAGAGAAGCCACAGTGTAACTCCCAGTTTGAGGCAGAAAGCCTGAAAACTGGTAGGGTTGTCGGTGTAAGTCCCAGAGTGGAAAGGCCCTAGAACCAGGAGCTCCAATGTCTGTGGGCAGGAGAAGATGGATGTCCCAGGTCCAGAAGGAGAAAGAGAATTTGCCCTTTCTCTGCCTTTTTGTTCTTGGGTCCTCAAGGGTTGGATAATGCCCACCCACATTGGTGAGTGCAGATCTTTACTTAGTCTAATAACTTAATTGCAAATATTCTCCCAAAACGTTCTCGCAGACACACCCAGAAATCATGTTTTACTGGCTATCTTGACTAGACATTCCTTAGACCATCTAATTGACATAAAATTAACCATCACATGTAGTGAAATTGTGAAATTTTATCTGGCTTTCCTAGAGCCTAGGTAAATGTGTTCAAGTTTTTGGCTGCAAAAGGTAGAGGAGACTTTCACAATTTACCCCAACTAGAGGGATTTGTTGTAAAGATACATAGGGAAATAGGAAGGCAGGGAAACAAAATCTACAATCATTTCACAGGCAGGTCTCATGGAGAACTAGCAGGTTGTTGCACTCGGGACAGCAGCATGGCTGTCACAGGAAGGGCCTCTGACTCCACTAGTCTGCCAGGTGCGTGATTTAGCACTTATGTATTTGCTTCTTTCTCTACCTCCGCTTGCTTTACACTGCAAATCCAACTAATCTGTTTATTCTTCTGTATAATTGCTTCTGATAAAAGATTGCTTCTACTGTCTTAAGGCTTTTACTTATTCTCTTTCTCCTCTCTTTCTGTATGTTTCATATTTAAAATCTAAAGGAGAAATGATCTTACTGAGTGGTCACTCACTATTCAGTACAGGGACACCTCCTAGACCTCTAGATAGTGGCCCATCTCTGTGGGATTGAGTGAAACAAAGAATAAAAATCTATTGATAGAGACAGATTTAAAAGGCAAAAATTTGGAGACTTCTCTAAGACTAATATAATTGGAAGGCTCTGATCAGTACAGTATGATTATTCCCACAAGTATCCCACTACCTTTGTTCTGATTCACACTCATCAAGTAGCTTTAGGATTATTAATTAAATCCATCAAGTGATCTGATACTAAGAGGGTTTCCTGGCTTGTGAGCATAGATACTTTAATTACTGGAAAGAAATGTCCCAAATTTAAATGAATAAGTTGACATTTTGCTTTATATCAAGTCTCTTGTGAATTAGTTTAGCATAGGACAGTTCTCCTGAGTTGATTCTATTCCAGGGGCTCTGAAAACTCACATTTCTCAATTAGCTAACATCCTCAGTTAATTTCTTTCCTCTTTTAACTGACTACATTGACCTTTTTCTGAGAAATTCAGTGGTTTATTTAATGTTTTTCAAAAGTACTTAAGATTCTTAAAGTTTCCATAGCACTGTAAAGTGAGATTCATATGATTGCCCAAATCAATTCTAAAGGATAGATAGATACTGGCTCAGCAGGCGTGGTGGCTCATGCCTGTAATCCCAGCACTTTGGGAGGCCGAGGTGGGTGGATCACCTGAGGTCAGGAGTTCGAAACCAGCCTGACCAGCATGGAGAAACCCCGTCTCTACTAAAAAATACAAAAATTAATTGGGCATGGTGGCGCACTCCTGTAATCCCAGCTACTCGAGAGGCTGAGGCAGGAGAATCGCTTGAACCCGGGAGGCCGAGGTCGCGGTGAGCTGACGTCATGCCATTGCACTCCAGCCTGGGCAATGAGAGCAAAACTCCATCTCAAAAAAAAAAAAAAAAAAAAAAAAAAAAGAAGAAAAGATAGATACTGGCTCAGAGTGTTTAGTCAGGGTAGATTCCAGAGGGTCATCTATTGGATATGCATGACAAAAGGCCAAGTGGAGAGGGGGTAGGTATCTCTAAAAGTTTTAGCTACTGTATTTATTTCCTATTATTGCTTTAACAAATCGCCATGGAGCTAGTGGCTTAAAACAATAAAAAATTATTATTTTCCAGTTTTGAAGCTCAAAGGTCTGAAATGTGTTTCATGGGTCTAAAATCAAGGTGTTAGCGGGGCTGAATTCTTCTGAAGGCACTAGGGGAGAATCCCTTCCCTTGACTTTTCCAGTCTAGAGGCTGCCCATATTCCTTGGCTCATGGCCCCCTTGCAGTTAACAATTAATTGCATCACTTTGACCTTTGCTCCCATCATCACATCTCCTCTGAGTCTGACTCTCCTGCCTTTCTCTTTCACTTACCAGCACCTTTGTGATTATGCTGGGCACACTCAGATAATCCAGGACGATCTCTCCAACTCAAGATCCTTAACTTAATTATACCTGCAAGGTCCCTTTTGCTGTAAAAGGATTCACAGGTTCTGGAGATTAGGATGTAGATTTTTTGGGGGAGGGCATTATTCTGCCTACCACAGTTACATTATTTTCTGGTTATGTGCTTTTATTATTTATTTATTTATTTATTTTGAGACAGAGTTTCACTCTTGTTGCCCAGGCTGGAGTGCAATGATACGATCTTGGCTCGCTGTAATCTCTGCCTCCCAGTTTCAAGCGTTTCTCCTGCCTCAGCCTCCCGAGTAGCTGGGATTACAGGTGCCCCCCACCACACCTGGCTAATTTTTTGTATTTTTGTAGAGATGGAGCTTCACCATGTTGGCCAGGCTGGTCTCAAACTCCTTACCTCAGGCGATCTGCCTGCCTTGGCCTCCCAAAATGCTGGGATTACAGGCAGGAGCCACCATGCCCAGCCTGGTTATACACTTTTAATAAGCATCTAGGTGTTATAGTGTGGCAGGACTCTAACATTGAAAATAAAGAACATAGAGTAATTTAGAGTCACATTTAAAAATCAACACCTAATTTACAATAAAGGTATGCAAAATCATCTGAAGAAGATATTATTTGTAGGCAAGCAAACCCATACTGTAACCTCTTCAGTGTCTTAATCACTAGTAAAATTAAATCAAATTAAAGCAGAAGGAGAATGACATAGGTTCATATTGGTAGTGCTCACCTAAGCTCTAAAATGGAAAGGGAGACTCAAAACAGAGACTGATTATTTTAGATCTCATGGACAGTATGTCCCTAGAATGAATAATTCAGAGATTTATCCTTGCATTTCAAATATACCAGGCCCATTGGCAAGATTATCTTTATGGTAGAATTATACATCAGACTAAGAATTCATTCATTCTGAAACTATATCTGTAGAATAGTATTGTTTCGTGAGCTATTGATAAGTAATCTATATAGACAGGAGTCAAATGCACTTTAGAAAAGCTGTCTGTCTGAGCCCTTTGAGATTCACAATGTATATCTGCAGTCCAAAGGAAAGAATGCAGTTATGAAATCTGAGTTTAATCCAGTGTTTCTCACATTTATTGTATTAGTGAACTTTTTGTCGTTGTTGGAAGATGTATTAAAACATCTCACAGAACATAACGCATTTTGGGAAACAATGAATTAAAGATTTGATTTATCTACATCCTGTTTTTTTGAGTCTGTGCTCACAAAACCATCTTTTGATTTCTATGTGATTGGGCCACAAGTAAAAAAAAAAATGTTTTGATCAGGCCAATGTGATATTTCTTGTACATGTGGTGTTATATTTCTCACTGTAAATTAATGCAAGAGCCTTTTGATGTTTACTTTCATCTCATGTACCTCTTAGCGTGAGTCAATTTGTCACCCACCTTCCATTTACTTTCAGATGCCTGTCTACTTACCTATACCTACAAAAGGAAGGGTAGCCAGAACTTTATGTACCACTGGAAAACAATAATGAGTTCTGGACTCTGAAAACTCATCCTGGTGACATGACATCATGGGAATTGCCTAGACTACTTTGAATAGCTGGATTTTGCATCTAAATGTCAACACAAAGTTTTAAGATTACCATATTTCTTTGCCCTTAGGCAATCACTTCAGCTTTTTTTTCTATCAACTAACTGATGCATAACAGCATCAATCTATTGTATGTGATTACTATGAAGTGTATTCATTCATACTGCTGATCCATAAAAGGGTCTTCCAAAGCTGAGAGAGAATACAAGGTCAACGAGGGGCAAAAACAGGTCAGGCCCAGCATGCAATTTTGTTTGAAAAAAATCAGCCTGTAACACAAAGATCTTTCATAAGAGCAAGTTAAAGTCTGAACCACTGGATTTTTGTCTTATTGTACTCAGCTGACTCTAATATATATCATGGTTTGTACTAAAATCCTTAACAACTCAGGAGAGGAAGAAAGCTTAGAGAAAGTTCAGATGAGAGTAACCAAGTATTGGAATATGAGAGCCATAGAGAAGGTGAAAAGATAAAGGATGATTTAGACTTGAGAAAATAAAATTATAGAAATATATAATAAGCTTCCATACTTTGTTAAGATTAGTATATTTAAACAAACTAAATACGTGGTAAGTAAAACTTTGTAATAGCCTTGCAGGTTTCATCCTTGCCATACTTCCTTGTTTGAGTTCCCTATTTACTCAAGCAGTGAGTTTCCCTCCCAAAAGTACTGTGTCTTGCAATGTGCCTTCTAAACCCCCTCTGTCTTCCAATGGTTCTTAATTACCACCCCTTGAGTTAAGATCTCAGACTTGTTCTCTACCTGCGTCATTTAAGAGTTATTCTTCTCACCAGTCCACACTGGCATAAACTTACAATTCCTTTTTGTTTAACGCTTTGCTAAACTGTGTTCTAGGTCTCATCCAATTAGAGAAAAAAGGATCACCTCCTCCCTTTTGACATAGGATAGGAAGTTGAACAGGGAATTCCACAAGGCACAATTCTCAGTAAGACCAGGACTTGTAGAAAATAATGTAATGGCACAAGATCTGAATTAGATCAAGAGAAAGCATATTTCCCTAAGAAATATTTTCTTTATATTTCCTGTCTTTTGTATATAAAAAGTCTAATTTTAATGTTGCATTATTAAGTTCTAAATTTATTTCTATTTAGAAAAGGTATAATTAAACAAAGCAAATCTACATATGACTTTAGTCTCATAGCTCTAAATAATAACACAATTACTAAATATTCATAGCAAGTTTTCATAAAAATTTCAGAATCGTATAAACAAATTACCCTAAATAGATATTTGGTACAAAAAAATGAAAAAAAGCTGTACTTTTAACTATTTTTAGTAGATTTATTTAATAGGCTCTGTGATCCAGAAATAGATTAAAACTTAAATCTTCTAAGTTTTAGTTATTTTAGAGTTATGGCTTTGAAGATTGAACTTTTATAAAACCCAGAAGTTACTAAATAAATGGTAGTAAGTGCTTGCAATTCTCCGTTCTCTCCAGTTATGAAAGGACTACAGTATCAAAGGCTATACTTAATTTCTGAATGCTCAAGAAAAATTTTATGTAGACAGTTTCTTTATAACTTTAAAATTTAAGAATTTAGCACTCTGCTCCCCCTCCCCAGGAATTAGTACTAATCTTTTATGCCTTTGTAATGGTTTTCAAACATATATATGAGATTATTTTATCCTTGCTTACAGAGTTTACGGGGGAACTCAGGAAACACATGTGGTTTGATGTCTGCATTTCTTCTAGTGGTTCGGAATACTGGATTGGAATATTGGGATTGTATATTACATTAATTTCGGTTCTTCAGTAAACCTTCATTGATTGACAGCTGCACTGTCTAATATGGTAGTCACTAACCAAATGTGTCTATCCAGGACTTGAAATGTGTCTAGTACAAATTGAGATGTGCTGTAGTATAAAACACACACCAGATTTTATAAATTTAGTATAAATAAAGTAAGGAAATCTTATTAATAATTTTTATGTTGATTATATGTCAAAATAATAATGTTTTGACTACAATGGGTCAAATAACATCTATTAGAATTGATTTTACTCTTAAAAAATCTCTTTTAAAGTGACTACAAGACTATTAAAGATTACAGATGTCATTTCCTTTTGTGGCTGGCATTTATATTTCTATTAGACAGTGGAAATCTACAGCCATTGCACAATGAAGTGTTTTACATGTTTATATTTTCCAAATGCACTTAAACATTAAAATGTTCACTGTTTAAATTACTTTTTGGAAAGCGTCCTTAAGTGTACTCTACTTCTACATCTTTTTCTTTTTGTTTTTTTTTTGAGACAGGGTCTGGCTCTGTTACCCAGGCTGGAGGGCAGTGATGCGATTGTGGCTCACTGCAACCTCTACCTCCTCAGCTCAAACGATCCTTCCACCTCAGCTTCCCGGGTAGCTGGGATTACAGGCACGCACCACCACGCCTGGCTAATTTTTGTATTTTTTTTTAGAGATCCGGTTTCACCTTGTTGCCAGGCTGGTCTTGAACTCCTGAGCTTAAGTGATCCACCCGCCTCGGCCTCCCAAAGTGCTGGGATTACAGGCGTGAGCCACTGTGCCCCACTACTTCTACATCTTCTTAATCAGAGAAAGCCACTTAATATAGCATTTTCTTGATAGGCCAGTGTCATCATTATGAAGCACTATTTTTTTATGTTCTGTTTTATTAATGCCTTATGAGTTAGTGAGTCTCATAAGACTATTACTGTCATATAATATGCCCCCGGTTGATGTGTGATTATGTTTGATAATTTGGCTGTGTTTTTCACGTTGTTTGTAATTGTTTCCTAAGTATACTTCTATGCCCTTTCCAATGCAACATGGATGCCCCTTAGAAATTCAGAAAACCTGATCTTTTTCTAGAGAAAGCAGATAGTTTATGAAGCCTATAAGCTTTTACAAAAATGTAAGTCTTGAAACCCATGGCAGGCTGTTTCTTCTGTAGATAAATTCCATAAGCTTTATTATAGCTGATTTCCTTGTAGGGCGGAGATCTTTCTGGCTTCTGAATTAGTGGTTACGGATGAGATATCTGTGGCTGCCAGAATTCTTCCTACTAATCTATTACCTGTAGTATGTGGCATTTTCAAATGAGATTAGAATTTATGCATACAACTGTTGAGAAAATAATATAAAAATAAATAAAGGATTGATAGGCTACAGGTAGAATTATTCTGTTGGCTTCTATTTTTTAAGATGATGCTGTGGGATCAAGCCACAATTGCTATGTTTAAGTTCAAGTGTGGCTAAGTAGGCAAATGTAGAATAAACTATGCACATAAGAAATATGATCCTGAGTTAGCAGAGGTAGCCCATTGTTGTTTAGCTTCTCACCTGAAGGCTTTCTTCACATTCATTATAGCGGCAGCTAGGGCTGATTGTGTACGGCTGTTATTTCCCAGCAGTCCAAAGCTCTGTGGCATTGCTTGAAGCTGTGCTTCGATATGTTCCTATAGCGTTTATCCTGCTCTGCTTGCTTGTGATTTTTTTGACATCAGCTTTCTTACACAATAGCTCCTTGAGTATCCTGCTGTCTTCCATTCTCTGCATACACACATTCCAGTGGTACATCAATATGAGGACTATCTCAATGCCAAGACTGACAATATTCCTTATGATGCTGGTAAGAGATCTGATTTTTAAGTTAACATTCCTAGATCTGTGAGGTGGTATCTTTCCCAAATACACAGACATCTATTTTGAGCCATATGACATTGTGTTATGAACAATTATTTATTGGTAAGTTCTATCATTTGAATGAGATATGCTAGGATGTCTTCTGCTGCCCCATAATGTAGATATTCTGTTTTAGATGCTGTGAATTGAACAAACCTGATAAAATTGCTCAAGAAGCTCTGTGTGGTATGGGCAAAAGATACAGGACTTGCAACAAAACAGAAGTTTAGAATGCATTTTTGCTTATGGGCCTTCAGTTTATAATGCTAGCATAATAGAGTAGTGCTGAGTTAGATCTAAACCTGATCTCTCGGCCTCAAAAAAGAAACAATTGAATTTTTTACGTACTTCTCTACTTCTTTGTTAATAATACTCAGAAGAAAATGGCTTTTTAAGGCTTATACCAGTCCATTGCCCTCTCTATAGAGAATTTCGTGATAAATCCATGACAGTTGTTTTGTTACCTTTCTATGGCATTTGATGATACTTGTATCTTAGGCATTACCCTTCAGCCTGGATTCATTGAATAGGTTGTAGGAAACAGAGCATGGTACTACTTTGTTTTATTGCTTATGTGTAATAGGTTAGATAGGACACCATCCATTATTAGGTGGCTGCATAAGTTAATATTGCTACATAGCAATGCTAAAAATCTCAGGTTTTTTTTTTTTTTTTTTTTTTTTTTTTTTTTTTTTTTAAGACAGAGTTTCGCTTTGTTGCCCAGGCTAGAGTGCAATGGTGCGATTTCGGCTCACTGCAACCTCTGCCTCCTGGTTTCAAGCCATTCTCCTGCCTCAGCCTCCCAAAGTAGCTGGGATTATAGGTGCCTGCCACCACGCCCAGCTAATTTTTTTTTGTATTTTTAGTTGAGACAGGGTTTCACCATGTTGGCCAGGCTGGTCTTGAAACTCCTGATCTCAGGTAATCCACCTGCCTTGGCCTCCCAAAGTGCTGGGATTACAGGTGTGAGCCACCGTGCCTGGCTTTTTTTTTGGACAGAGTCTCACTCTATTGCCCAGGCTAAAATGCAGTGGCTGCTATCTGGGCTCACTGCAACCTCTGCCTCCCAGGTTCAAGCGATTCTCCCGCCCCTGCCTCCTGAGTAGCTGGGATTACAGGCCCGCACCACCATGCCCAGCTAATTTTTTGTATTTTATTTTATTTATTTTTTGAGATGGAGTCTCGTTCTGTTGCCCAGGCTGGAGTGCAGTGGCGCGATCTCTGCTCACTGCAAGCTCTGCCTCTCAGGTTCACGCCATTCTCCTGCCTCAGCCTCCTGAGTAGCTGGGACTACAGGCGCCCGCCACCGCGCCCGGCTAATTTTTTGTATTTTTAGTAGAGACGGGGTTTCACCGTGTTAGCCAAGGTGGTCTCGATCTCCTGACCTCGTGATCCGCCCACCTGGGCCTCCCAAAGTGCTGGGACTACAGGCGTGAGCCATCGTGCCCGGCCATTTTTTGTATTTTTAATAGAGACGGGGTTTCGCCATGTTGGCGAGGCTGGTCTCAAACCCCTGACATCAGGTGATCTGCCTGCCTCACCCTCCCAAAGTGCTGGGATTACAGGCATGAGCCACCGGACCCAGACTCAGTTTTTTATAATAATAAATATTTGTTTTCTTATTCTTACATCTGTAGGTCAGTAGAGTTTCAGCTGGGGTTTGGCTGAACTTGGTTGAGCTCAGCTGGGCTTGGCTCCAGGTTGAAAATTGGAATAGATCTGCTTTATGTTTCTTTATTTTACTACCAATGACTATACAAGGTATGCTCCTCTGATGATGGATCACAGGAGCCCAAGAGCCAAGCCAAATCATGAGATTACATTTAAAGCCTCTGGTAATACATCATTAACATATGACCAAGTTCAGTATCAATGGAACAAAGAGATATATTCTTGCTACCCTATGAAGAGGTACTATAAAGCAATATGACAGAGGTGTTTCCAGCTATGATAGTATGAAGATGTTAGTGAATCCTCTCTATAAAAAAAAAAGTCAGATATAAAAGTGGAAAGTCTTTTCAATAACAACTATTTCAAGGATGTGGGAATTGGCAAAAGGCAGATAATAATTGAGATGTGTTTATTCTAAAAAAAATACTGCAAGAATTTAGGGTAAGAATTGTGGAAATATGTGGCTTTTTTTTTTTTTTTTTTTTTTTTTGCTTGGGGGAATCTCCCATACCTCCTCTCACCCAAGAAAGTTGGCAAAAGCAGCTATAGTTTCACCAAGGTAACACTGGCCATGAACACCAGTAGGGTTGCTTCCTGAGTAGGCAGACTCAACTCAGGGCAAAACCCCATGACCAAGCCAAATAGGAAACCTACAGGAAATAAATAGGAAACCTACAGCTTTGCTAGCCCAAGGCTCTGGTTTTATTTGGGGGAAAATAGTAGACCAACTAGTAATTTAATGGGGAAATCCTAGAAACAAAACATCCATAGAAGAGCCCAATAGGTGTTCCACACATTTCTGGATAACTCAGAATCTACAAACTATGCATGTGCACAGAGGAGACCAAAAAGAATAATAGAAAGTAAATGCCAAGCCATACTTTAGAATTGGCTCAGCTTTGAATTTATTTCCCAATGTAGACACATATTGATTATTGGGGATAGAAGTGCTTTTGGGCCTGAGGTATTTAAGTAAACCTCTACCTAGATCATTAGCTGACCATCAAGGTATTAGTGACACATAGGTTGAGCCCTAATAAGGCAGGCTAAAAGTAATTTTAAAAGCACAGTTTAAAACTTGAACAGAAACATCATCAGCTATACCCAATGTGGGAGACAAATTCTGCAGTTAAAGTTCATTCAAGTTATTATTTTTATAATAAATAAATCAATAAAGCAATCTCTAAATTGCTATAATATAGTATCTAAAACGTCCACTTTTTAACAAAAATATGAGACCTACAAATAGACAGGAAAGTAAAATCCATACTCAGAGAACAAGTAGTCTATAGAAACTGTGTCTTTGTGGGTCAAGATTTTGAGTTTAGCAGAAAAAGACACGAAAGCAGCTAACATAAATATATCTGAAGACTAAAAGGAAATCTTATTCAAAGAAGTAAAGGAAAATATGGTGAAAATGGCTCAACAAATAGAAAATCTAAATAGAGAATAGAAACTAGAAAAAAAAGCCAAATAGAAATTCTTGATTTGGAAAATACAATAGCTAAAATAAAACTATAAAAAAGAGCCAAATCTTTTTTTAAATATTTTAATGCTTTTATTGATTCTACATTTGGAAAATACAGTAACTGGAATGAAAAGTTTGCTAAATAGTCTCAACAGATTTGAAAAGGCAGAAGAGAAAATCAGTGTACTTGAAGATAGATCAATAGAAATTATCCATTCTAAAGAACAAAAAAGAAAATAAGATTGAAGAAAAATGAAGAGACTCAAAGACTTATAGAGCCTATCAACATATTGGAATGAAAGTTCATAAGGAGTGGAGAGAGTAAAGGGCAAAATTTTTTTGAAGAATTAATGGCCATAAACTCAAACCTAGTGAAAACCTTAGTCTGTATGTTGAAGAAACTCATTAAGCATCAACTAAGATAAAAGCAAAGTTATTTACACCTATACCCATGATAATAAAAAACTTTTAAAAGCCTAGACAAAAGCAAAGTTTTAGAATAGTGAGAGTGAGAGGAAAATGACTCATTGTGAATGAAGAACCATACACGATGGCTAGTGGCTTGCTTTTCATAAAACATACAGAGTGTAGAAGGCAGTGAAATAAATAGCCAAAGTGATCATAGGAAAAAAAAAAAGCCTATCAACGAAGAATATTCTTTCTAGCAAGACAGTCTTCGAAAATGAAGGCAGGCTGGGTGAGGTGGCTCACACCTGTAATCCCAGCACTTTGAGAGGCTGAGTTGGGAGGATTGCTTGAAGCCAGGAATTTGAGATAAGTCTGGGGAACATAATGAGACCCCATCTTTACAAAAAAAAAAGAAAAAAGAAAAAAGAAAAAAGCTAGGCATGGTGGTGTGTACCCCTACTTCCATACTTCCAGTTACTCAGGAGGCTTAGGACCCCTTGACCCCAGGAGTTTGAGGCTGCAGTGAACTATGATTGCACTACTGCATTCCATCCTGGGTGACACAGTGAGACCATATCTCAAAAAAAATTTAAAAAATAAAAAAGAGTAAAAAATGAATGCAGAATAAAGACCTTCCCAGATAAACAAAAATAAAAATAGACCTTGTCTACAAGAAATCTGAAGGCAGTCCTTTGGGCTGAAAGGAAATGACAGCAGATGATTACTCAATTACATAGGAAGGAAGAAGGACCAATGAAAATGTTAAATATGGCCGGGCGCGGTGGCTCACCCCTGTAATCCTAGCACTTTGGGAGGCTGAGGCGGGTGGATCACGAGGTCGGGAGATCAAGACCATCCTGGCTAACATGGTGAAACCCCGTCTCTACTAAAAATACAAAAAATTAGCCGGGCGTCGTGGTGGGTGCCTGTAGTCCCAGCTACTCGGGAGGCTGAGGCAGGAGAATGGCGTGAACCCGGGAGGCGGAGCTTGCAGTGAGCCGAGATCGCGCCACTGCACTCCAGCCTGCGCAACAGAGCAAGACTCCGTCTCAAACAAAAAAAAAAAAAAAAAAGAAAATGTCAAATATATGGACAACTATAAAAGACTGTCCAGTGTTTTCTCTTTTCTTAATTTCTTTAAAAACAAAAAGTACTTGAAGCAATAATTATAATGCTATATTTTGGAGGATATCTTACATATATAGTTGTAATATGTATGACAATACTAGCACTAAAGTGAGAAAAGATAGTGGAAATAATAAACTGGAGCAAAGTTCCTGTATATTATTACTATTATTATTAACCTGAAACAGATTATGATAAATTAAAGATATATGTTGTAGTCCTTAGAAGAATTACTAAGAAAATAATTTAAAAATATAATTAAAACTCTAACAGAGGAAAGAGCAAGGTCCAACTATATGTTATCTATAAGAGACATTATATTGAAAAATACCAACAGGTTGAAAGTAAAAGGAGAGAAAAAGCAAACAATAGCTAGTAAAGAACCAAACTGGCTTTATTACATACAAAACCATAGACCTGAAGACAAGTACTATTATGAGAGACAAAGATAACAATTTTATAATAATAAAATTTTCAGTATATCAGGAAGAAGTAGCAATTATAAATGTATAAACATCTAACACCAGAGTCCCAAATGTAGCAAAGATTGACAGAATTAAAGGACAGACAATATAATATTGTAGTAGTTGGAAATTTCAACATCCTTCTTTTAGTAATTGACAGAACTAGACAGAATATCAGTAAGGATATTCACGACTTGAACAACACCATTAACCAACTTGATGTAAATAATATATAGAGCACTCTATCCAACAACAGCAGGGTACACATTTTTTTCAAGTGTACATGGAACATTTTCCATGATAAATAATAATACTATAGACTGTCAAACACATCTCAGAATATGATTTTTGACTAAAAAAATTCAGGAAACCAACAACGGAAAAGTATTTAGGACTTCACAAATATTTGGAATTTCAACAAATAGTTTTAGAAAAACAGTGAGTCAAAGATGAAATCACCAGGTAAGTTAGAAAATATGCTTAACTGAATAATGATTAAAACCTAATCTATCAAAATTTATGAGAGGTAGCTAAAGTAGTGCTTACAGACAAACTTAATGTTAAGTGCTTATATTAGAAAGAAAATAGATCTAAAATCAATTTCCTAAGCTTCCACCTCAAGAAGCTAGACAAAGAATGGTAAGTTAAATCTCAAGTAAGCATAGGGAAGAATATAATAAAGACCAAAAAAGAAATAAATGAAATACAAATTGGAAAAACAGAGTAAATCCACAAAATCAAAAGTTTGTTTATTTAAGATCAGTAAAACTGATAAACATTTAGCTACACTAACAAAAAAAGAGATAGAAGACAAATTAACAAAATCAAGAATGAAAGAACATCACCACAGATCCTGCAGAAATTAAAAGAATTAGAAGGGAATATTATGCCAATGAATTAGACAATGTAGATGAAATAGTTAATATTCTAGAAGGATACAGGTTACCAAAACTGTCATAAGAAGAAATAGAAATCTGAATAAACCTGAAATTCATAGAGATTGAATTAGTAATTTACAAGCTTCCTACAAAGAAAAGCTCAGACCTGGATGGCATCACTAGTAAATTTTGTCAAACATTTAGAGAAAAAATAATACCAATCCTACACAAACATTTTCAGAAAAAAAGAGGAGGAAACCCTTCCTAACTTGTCAGTATTGATATGATACCAAAGCAGGACAAAGTTATCACAAGAAAAGAAAACTATACAATTATTTCTAATGAACATAGATGCAGAAATTCTTAACAAAATATTAGCTTATTGAAACAAGCAACATAAACAGAGGATTATATGCCATTACCCAGTAGAATTTATTCCTGAAATGCAAGAATGACTTTACATATGCAAATCAATTAATAAATATACTATATTAATAGAATGAAGGACTAAAGCTATACAATTTTCTCAGTAGACACAGAAAACAACTTTTGACAAAATATAGTATTCATTGATGTTTAAAATCTCTCAACAGATTAGAAATAGGAACGAACTTCCTGTACCTGAGAAAGAGTATGTATGAAAAACCTTCAGCTAATATTATACTTAATTGTGAATGATAGTTGTAAAAGTTTTCCACTTAGATTGGGAATAGGCCAAGTACATACACTCTCACTACTTCTACTCAACATTTTACTGAATGTTCCAGCCAATGTAACTAAGCTACGAAATAAATTAAAGGCCTTTATGATTTTGTATGTAGAAAATCCCAAGATTATATGTAGGTTAAGTACCAGTTAAAATTAATGTGAGTTTAGCAAGGCTGCAGGCTATGAAGTAAATTTGCAACAACCAATTTTATTTCTTTATACCAGCAATGAACCATTCGAAAATAAATTTAAGAAAGTAATTTCATTCACAAAAGTATGAACAAAAGAAAATTCTTAGGAATAGGTATAACAAGAGAAGTGTAGGACCCATAAGCCAAAATATTATAAAACATTGCTAAGAGAAATCACACAAGATCTAAATTAATGGAAAGAGATACCATATTCTTGGAATGTAAGACTCAATGTTATTAAGATGGCATTTCTTCTCAAAATGATCTGTAGATTTAACACAATTCCTATCAAAATCCCAGCAGGCTGTTTCTTGTTGAATTTGGCAAGTTGATTCTAAAGTTTATATGGAAATACAAAGAGCTAAAACAATTTTGAAAAAGAAAAATGAAGTTGGGGATTTATACTAGCTTATTTCAAAATTACAGCATGGTTCTGGTCATCAGGCAGTGTGGTATTTATTGATATAAGGATAAACATTGGTCAGTGGAACAGAATGGAGAGCCCAGAAATAATCTCTAACATTTATGATGAATGGGTTTTCAAAAAAGGTGCAAATACAATTCATTTGGGGAAAAATAGTCTTCTCAACAAATTGTGCTGAGACAATTTAATATCCATATGCAAAAGTACTTAGACTCTTACATTACCCTGCACACACACACACACAAAATTAATTCAAAATGGATCAGAGAGTCAAATGTAAGAGCAAGAACTGTAACATTTCTAGAAGAAAACATTAGATCACAAATATGATTTCTTCAATCTAACAAAAATGACAAAATTTATAAATTAGACTTTATCAAAGTTAAAATGTTTTACTCTTTAAAAGGCACTATTAATAAAACTAAGCCACAGACTAGAAGAAAATACTTTTAAGTCATATAACTGATAAAAGACATACTCGGAATCATAAATAGCTATTACAATTCAATAATAAAAAGACAAAGAATCTGATTAAAAAATGGGCAGGTTTGAATAGGTGTTTCACCAAAGAAGACATGCAAATGACTAACAAGCACATAAAAAGATGAAAACATTTAGGAGAGGCGAAGTAAAAGCACAACGAAATACCACTAGAGACCCACCAGAATGGCTGTTATCAAAGTCTTACAATATTGTGTCAGACAAGCTGAAATCCTTCTACAATGCTCATGAGAATGTAAAATGTTATATTCACTTTAGAAAAACAGTACAGTAGTTTCTTGGCAAGTTATACATATACTGTACTTACCATACTACCCAGCATTTGCACTCCTTAGTATCTACTCAGGAGAAGCAAAGACACAAATACTTGCAGGTGAACAGTCATAGCCAAAATCTGGAAACAATCCAAATGTTAATCAGCTGAGAAATGGATAAGCAGAAGGTGGTATAGCCATACAATTAAATACTAGTCAGCAATAAAAGGGAATGAAATGTGCTATAGGCGACAACATGAACAAATCTCAAAACCATAAGTAACCATTATGAAAGAGGTAAAAGATGATATATTGTATGATTCCATTTGTATACAATTTCTAAGAAACGAAAAATGGTAGAGATATGATTGCTTGGGGCTGGGAGTGGGAGAAGGGATTGATTAGAGACAGCATAAGGGAGCTTTTTGGGGTAAGAGAAGTGCTCTAAAACTGCACCGTGATGTTGTTCTGTTATATAAATTCCATTATATAAATGTATCCAAAATCATGGAACTAAAGACTTACAATTACTGAATTTTTATGGTATATAAATTATATTTTAAACTTGTTTTAAAAAGTCACTTGAAACAGGCTTTCTAATGTATAATAATGTATAACAAGTAAAAATATTGGAGCAATAATTTAATCTGTCAAGGTAACCAGATACACTTTTTTTTTTTTTTTTTTTTGGAGTAAATGTAATATGTTGGTGAATTTCTTGGGGCAGTCAAACTGAACCACTAGCTTCTACAGCTCACATCTGACGTTGGCTTCAACCTGACTCTCCCAGTCACATCTTTGTGATTCACCACTGTATCCTAGAAATTTATAGGACATATAGTAGGTGTTTAATAAATATTTTTGAATGACATGAATTACGAATGTCTTGAAGATCTGTATGTGGTATCTACAGCAAAACCCATTTCACAGTTCCACAGTAACATGCAAAGTCACATCATATTACTTTTTTCTCTTAAAATTTTTTTTTCAGTTTTGATGTAGGACTATTCTTACCAGGAAAAATATACATGTAGTTCACATTATCCTAGCTATAAACCACTAACCATGCAGGTGTTCAGACCTTTATACAGTGCTGCCAGCAGTGTCTCATCCTCTACCCAGTTCCAGCAGCCCCAGGAATACTTCATGTGTGCTCGAGTGCAGTTTGTCCCCCTGATATCTCCCCTGCAATTCTGGGCAGAGTAGTGTCCCTATTTGTGGCTATTTTCACTTTTCCAGGTAGGGCGGATGGTGCTTCTTCTCAACTGGCCCTCTGCATGCTGCGAGAAGGACTACACATCTGGCCTGGTAGAGTGGCAACAGGGAGGTACTGTGTAAGCCTGTGCTATTGCATCCCTGGGTATTGGACATATCAGTTGTACACGGATATGTCCAATATCAGCAAGCTCTCAGCATCACAAAACTTTGAGGTGGCCTACTGTGGAATTGAAGAAGATGCCTTCTGTACTCACAGGGTTGCATTGTGTTAGATGCACCCCAAGGCAGTGCTGCCTGGGCCCCAAACTGTTAGAGAGTTTAGAGAGAGACTTTTTCCATTTTTACTCATAGCTTCTTTCTTCTGAGTCTCCAGACCTGCATCAAGGGAACAGTGTTGGGAACAGATTTTCTCAGTCTCAACCATGCTGTTCTCAGAATCCCTATTCTCTTCTCACTTCAGAGGTCAGCCTTGTCATGCTTGTCTCCTTACCTGCCACTAAGTACTCAGACCCCCCTGAAAACATATTTTGTCAGTCTACTCCATGAATTTGACAAACACATCCAGACATACCTGAAAACACAGCAGCGGAAGATGGCTCAGTATTGATTTTTACTACATTGTTATTAAGAGGGCCCCAAGACAGCACCTTGGACAAAGGACTTTTCTTAAACCCTTGGATCTACTGTTTCTTTTCACCTTGTTAGAATTATCTTTATTTAGATACCAGAATTTTAAAATATAAAATTATCTTATGACATATAAAATTGAAGTTTCTTTACTTTTTTTGGATTGTGGCTGCTCAGGCAAAGTGATGAAAAGAACGTAAATTGGTTAAGTGTCACAGAGAGGTACATTTTGCACCACCACTGTGACTCTAAGTGTAACCTTCAGAAGCTGACCTATGGTATAAGTAGATACTCTGCTGCATCACAGGCCATTAATTGCCTCCTCAAATCTATTCTCTTTTTGTTTCTTAGTAACCAAACCCTCAAAATGGGCCCAGCTGAAAACTGTATATTCTAGCTTTTCTTGCAGATTGATGTGGCCAATGAAATGTAAGTGGAAGTGTTTTCAAGACTTTCAGGAAAGCTTCTGAAAGTGAGGGGAAGAGTATTCTTTCTTCTCTTCCTTCTTCATGGAGATGTGACCACTGGAATTAATCAGCCATATTGGAGCTGTGAATAAATTTTGGGAATGGAAGCCATGTTTTAGGAGGTTGGGAAGAAAGATACCTTGAGCCTGGGCCTCTGAAGACTTTGAGGAGCCACCATGGGGGCCCTGGTCTGTCCATACAAGCCTTCTTTTTTAGGTTTAAGGGAGAAATAAAGTTCTGTTGTTCCAGGCATTCTTTTTTTTTTTTTCTGCAATACACAGCCAACTCTTATTCCTAAAGACTATACCTGCTAAGCACAAAAGGAAGATGAAATGCCCCTGATATCAGAAGAATACAGTATGATTATTATTCTATTGATTCAGGAATGGTTCTCATTATGGAATGACATTCAGAAGAGCAGCTGTTACAGCATCCAGCTTATCTGAAGCATTTCAAATATTAGTTAAAAATAAATGTTTATGTTTATGACTCACAGAATCATAATGGCTCTGAAATGAAGCTCAGCTAAATACCAAACCTTTGAGATTGAAGTCAGAGAGGACAATTCTCTTTCCCATGCTGTGTTAAATACTATGCTAAATAAGCCGCAATTCTGATCCATGAAATGGATCCCGTATTGCCGTATGTTAAGTATAATAATCACCTTAATTCTTCTGCCTCTAAAAGAGGGTGATTAATTTATTAAAAAGTAACACATTGATATAATAAGAAACTCAAATAGTAAGTGCAATAGGATAAGAAGGTATATTTGAAACTACTAAAACCTACATCTATTTTGTTCTTATAGATTATAACCAAGAGAGGTTTTGGTGTGTATGTGCTTAACAATGCCTAGTATATTTTATCCTATTTAATGTATTTATATTTCTATTTATTTATAAATAAATATTATGAAAATAAGTAGGTATTTTCCAAGTAGATTATTAATTCTCAGAAGACAGAAGCTGTGTCTTAAGTTTACAACCCAAACCACTGGCCTACAGTAATCATAAATATAATATGTTAAAGATAAATTAAAATACATTTAGAATTAAGTACCCTTATCGTGATATAGCAGGATATTTTGGAATTCAGATATTGCAGGGATTGGAATATTGCTCTGTTTATCAGGGTCTGGGTGCTCTGGCATCTGGAACTAGGTGCACTCTTTCCAGCAGGCCTCTCTTGCATCCACAAATTTACATTCAGTGGAGGATTCTCTTAGAAGAAAATCAGCAGGTATTCTGACCACTCCGTCCTCCTACTGAGGTTCAGATATATAAAATAATGTCTGTTCTATGGGATGGCTCCAACTAAAGGAAAGGACAATGGGACACTTGAGGATAAATTTTCCACAATGCGGAGGTAAATCTATGACAGAGAATTGGATTCAGCATCAAGATATAAGTTATTAGAGATGAGTGATGATCTGGATAAAGAGTATGAGCTGGCAGTAGAATTCATTCTTGCTAAGGGTATTAGTTTCCCAGGGCTGCCATAACAAATTACCACAAACTTGGTGGCTTAAACAATAGAAATTTATTTTTTTACAGTTCTGGAGCCCAGGGGTCTGAAATTAAGGTACAGGCACACCTTGTTTCATTGTGCTTCTCCTTATTCTGCTTCACAGATATTGCAATTTTTACAAATTGTAGGTTTGAGGCAACCCTGCAAGTCTATCGGTGCTGTTTTTCCAATAATACGTGCTCACTTCATGTCTCTGTGTCACATTTTTGTAGTCATGATATTTCAGACTTTTTCATTATTATTATAGCTGTTATAGTGATCTGTGATCACTAATATTATATTACTATTGTAATATAATATTACAATGTTACTATTATAATTGTTTTGGGGTGCAACAAACCATTCACATAGAACATAGCAAACGTAATCAATAAATGTTATGTGTGTTCTAACTGCTCCACTGTCAGGCTCTTTCCCCACCTCTCTTTCTCTCCTTGGACTTCCCTATTCCCTGAGACATGACAATATTAAAATCAGGCCAGTTATTAGCCCTACAATGGCCTGTAAGTGCTCAAGCGAAAGGGAGAATAGTGCATCTTTCTCTTTATATTAAAAGCTAGACATAATAAAGTTTGGTGAGGAAGGCATGTCAAAAGCTGAGACAGACCAAAAGCTAGGCCTCTTCCACCAAACATTTAGCCAGGTTGTGAATGCAAAGAGCAAGTTCTTGGAGGAGAATAAAAGTGCTACTCCATGAACACACTAATAATAAAGTCAAACAGCCTTATTGTTGGAGAAAGTTTTGGCGGTCTGGATAAAAGATCAAACCAGCCACAATATTTCCTTAAGCCAAAGCCTAACATAGAGCAAAGCCCTAACTCTCTTTAATTCTATAAAAGCTGAGAGAGATGAGGGGGGTGCAGAAAAAAAGTGTGAAGCTAGCAGAGGTTGGTTCATGAGATCTAAGGAAAGAACCCATCTTCATAAAGTAATCGTGCACAGTGAAGTGGCAAATCTTGCTGGAGAAGTTGCAGCAAATTCTCCAGAAGATCTAGCTAAGATAATGAATGAAAATGGCCACACTAGGCTGGGCATGGTGGTTCATTCCTGTAATCCCAGCACTTTGGGAGGCCGAGGCAGGTGCATCACTTGAGCTCAGGAGTTCAAGGTCAGCCTGGCCAACATGGTGAAATCCCATCTCTACAAAAAAATACAAAAATTAGCCAGATGTGGTGGCACACACCTGTAATCCCAGCTACTCAGGAGGCTGAGGCAAGAGAATCACTTGAACCTGGGACGGGAGGTGGAGGTTGCAGTGAACTGAGATTGTGCCAATGCACTCCAGCCTCGTTGACAGAGTGAGACTCCATCTTAAAAAAAAAAAAAGAAAGAAAATGGCCACATTAAACAATAGATTTTCAATTAAGATAAAATAGGTTTCTATTGGAACAAGATGCAATCTAGAACTTTCATAGCTAGAACAGAAAAGTTAATGGCTGACTTCAAAGGACAGGCTGACTCTTGTTAGGGGTTTACGGAACTGTTGCCTTTAAGTTGGAGCCAATGCTCTTTGACCATTCTGAAAACCCTAGGCCTCTTAACAACTGTGCTAAATATACTCTGCCCATGCTCTGTAAATGGAACAACAAAGCCTGCATTTACAGCATGGTTCACTGAATATTTTAAGTCCACTGTTGAGACCTACTGCTCAGAAAAAAGATTACTTTCAAAATATTGCTCATTGACAATGCACCAAGTCATCCAAGAACTCTGATGGAGATGTACAAAGAGATTAATGTTGTTATGCAGCCCATGACTCAAGGAGTACTTTTGACTTTCAAGTCTTATTATTTAAGCAATGAATTTTGTAAAACTATAGCTTCCATAAATAGTAATTCCTCTGATGGATTTGGGAAAAGTAAATTGAAAATGTTCTGAAAAGGATTTACCATTCTAGATGCCATTAAGAACATTCATGATTCATGGTAGGAGGTAAAGATATTAACATTAACAGGAGTTTGGAAGAAGTTGATTCCATCCTCATGAATGACTTTGAAGAGTTCAAGACTTCAGTAGAGGAAGAAACTGCATTTGGTAGAGATAAATATCAAGATAACTAGAATTAGAAGTGGAGCCTGAAGATGTGGCTAAATTGCTGCAATCTCATAACAAAACTTTAATGAATGAGGAGTTGCTTCTTATGGATGAACAAAGAAAGTGGTTTCTTGAAGTGGAATCTACTCCTGGTGAAGATGCTGTGAACGTTGTTAAAATTACAACAAAAGACTTAGAATATTACATAAACTTTAGATGATAAAGCAATGGCAGGGCTTGAGAGGATTGACTCCAATTTTGAAAGAAGTTCTACTATAGGTAAAATGCTATCAAACAGCATCGCATACTACAGATAATTCTTTCATGAAAAAGAGTCAATCAATGCAGCAAACTTAATTGTCGTCTTATTTTAAGAAATTGTCACAGCCACCTCTACTTTCAGCAACTGCAACAATGATCAGTCAGCTATCAACATTAAGGCAAAACCTTCCACCAGCAAAAAGATAATCATTCACTGAAGGCTCAGATGATCATTAGCATTTTTGGCAGTAAAGTATTTTTTAAACTTAGGTATGTACATTTTTAGACATAATGCTATTGCATACCTAATAGTGTACAGTATAAACAGAGCTTCTATATGCACTAGGAAAAAAATTTTGTGTGACTTACTTCATTCTGGTTTTCTGGAACTGAATCTGCAATATCTCTGAGATATGTCTGGTTTGCAGGGCCGCACTCCATCTGAAGGCTGCAGGGAATCTTCACTTGCCTTCTGCAGGTTTTGGTGATTCCAGGTATTCCATGGTTTGTGACAACACAATTCCAAAATCTGCTTCTTCATTCACATGTTCTTCTTCCTTGTATCTCTGTGTCTGTTTCCGCTTCTCTTCTCTTACAAGAAGTTTTCACTGGATTTAGGGACCGCCCTAATCCAGGATGATCTCTTTTCAAGGTCCTTAAGTATATCTGCAAAGACCCTTTTTCCAAAGTCACATTTACAGGTTCTGGGTAGATGTATCTTTTGGGAGGACAGTATTCAAACCATTACAGTCTGCCCTCTGATCCCTCAAAATTCATGTTTATCTCACATACAAAATACATTTTCTACATCCCAGCATTATCAAAAGTCTCAACCCATTAAGCGTCAACTATTATTCCAAAATCTTATGGTCTAAATCAGGTATAGATAATATCCTGGGTCTGATCTATCCTGGGGCAAAATTTCTGTCCATATGTGGACCTGTGAACCTAGAAAACCAGTTGTTTGCCTTCAAAATACAATGGCGGGTTGGGTATAATATAAACAACTCTATTACAAAAGAGAAAAATTGGAAGAAATTAAGGGGTCACCAGTACCAAGCAAATCTGAAATCTGGCAGGGCCTGAGAATAATTGTCTGTGGCTTGTGGCTCCACACTCTGTGCCTGTGGCTTTATCATCCTTTGTGGCCTCAGGCAGCTCCACTGTGCTTTGTGCCCTTGGCAGTGGCTCCATTGCCCTTTGCCCCTGGGCCAATAGCACTTTTGCTCTTGAGTTTTTCTTCCTTTTTTTTTTTTGAATAGCACATGCTTGCAGCAGAATAGCTCTATAAGCCCATTTCCTGCCTGAAGACTTTTAGGAGTCTGACAATCTTTTAAAATTTTGTCCAGTCTCAGTCTCCTTCAGCCCAACCTCATAATGTTTCTTTTAGTATAATATTCTTAAACATCTGTGAGCCTCCAGTGTGTGTCACGGGGATCCACACCATCAAGCAAAAGGGTTCTCTTCTTAGATAACTTAATATTTATTCTTGGATTCTGCTAACATGGTTGATTGCATCCATGAATCACATACCTAATTTCTTTAGCAAAAGGTTTTCAAGTTGCACACTTGGCCTTCTCTCTGGAAGAGGATTTCTCAATAGCGAATTTTCTAATTTTAGCATCCTTTGTTCTATGGATCAGAACCTCCAAAATTATCAAGTGCTGGTTCATTTTTGCTTAACTTTTTGCTTCCTCAATTTATCTCTTTACTTTTGCATTTTACTATAAGCAACAAGAAGAAACTAAGCAGCACTTCAACACTTTACTTAGAAATGTCCTCAACTAAATATTAAAGTTAATCTCTTACAAGTTCTACTTTACCAAAGTGTAATAGAACACAGGTGAGCCAATTTCTTCCCACTTTTCACAAGGTTCACCTTTCCTCCAGTTTCTAATAACGTGTTCCTCCTTTTCTCTGGAGACATCACCAGAAGCATTCTTGTCATCTGTATTTCCATTAATCTCTGCTAGGCCATCTGTGATTTTCTATCAAGTACCTCAAAATTCTTTCAGCCTCTACCAGTAACCCAATTCCAAAATCACTGCCCACATTTTAAGGTATTTATTACAGCAGCATTCCTCTTCCCAGTTTCAAAATCTGTATTAGTCAGAGAAAGAGAACCAGTGAGAGATATAAAAATCAATCAATCAATCTCTCTATCTCATCTATTAATATCTATCTATCTAAATCTCTCACTCTATAGTTCTATCTGTCAGTCATCCCATCTATCTATCTGTCTATCTATCTATCTCAATGAATTAGCTTACATGATTGTGGGGGCCGGCAAGTCCCAAATCTACAGGGCATGTCAACATGTTGGAAATTATCTGGCAGAAACTGAAGTTGCTGAGGAAGATATTTCTTCTTCCTTAGGAAATCTGTTTTGCTCTTTTTAAAAAAACAGCTTAAGATATAATTCACATGTCATACAATTCACCCACTGAAATTATACAATTCTATGGTTTTTGGTATATTCACAGATATCTGCAACTATCACTATAGTCAATTTAGAATATTTTTTATCATCACAAGAAGAAACTCCATATCCTTTAGCTATCACTCCCCATCCCCACCATTCACTCTTCACCTAACCATAAAGAACAGCTAATCTACTTTTTGTCTCTACAGGTTTCCCTATTTTGGGTACCATGTCTCAATGCGTGGTACCATCACACACCTGGCCTCTGGATTCAGAACATTCAGAGTCATCCTGGATTCTACCCTCTCACCTAACTTCTCATTCAATTAGTGCTAAGTCCTATAGATTCTTTCCTTTTAATTTCTTTTTGACTAGCTACCTTCTTTTCCATTTCCTCCATTACTGCTTTAAATCAGTCTTCAAATAGTATTTTCTGCCTATGGTCATCTTTGCCCTCCAGTAAATCCTGCACACTGTTGCCAGAATGACTTTTCTAAATCTGAATATTATGACCCAACTGCTGTGCTTAAAACCCATTGTTAGCTGCCCATTGCCTAGAGGAGAAGCTCCAAACCTCAGGATGTGATAAACAAGGCCTCCATAGCCTGTATATCTATAGCCCTATCTATTGATTGGCACCATGTTCCCATCTACACTGCCTCTCTCCCAAACAAGAAGCAGTACTTCAGCGATACCCAAATATTTGCATTTCCCTAGACATTTAACATTGTTCCATATTCCTGTATTTTTGCTCTGGCTCTTCCATCTTTTTGAATGATTTATCCTCCCCACTGGGCTTCTCAACCTCCATCCACATAGGAGCATAACTAGTTATCTTTAAAGGTTAAATATCTAAAGGGAGTGGAGGGAAGGAAGAGCCTTCAAAGAAGGTTGAGGAAGTATTATAATAAGAGGATATAAGAAAAAGTGCCATATACCGAATAGTTTTAGGAAATGACATGGTTATTGAACAAAGATTAAAATTAAAAGCTTCAAAACAAACATTCCCTGGGGGCACATAAAAGTTGTCAAACTTTTATTTGCTTTTAGACTTGATATTTATATTATGATACTCTTCTATACAAAGATATACAGGTATTTCCTAATGCCCTGCTATAGCTTTTTAAAATTTAATAACTTGGGTTGTAGGTATGACAAGCTATATATATATATATATAAATTCAAGGAAATTTTCTTCTTAAAAGTGACACGAACTTTAACTCCATAGCCAGAGTTGCTTATTGTCTTCTTGTCTATGGCAGCCATTTGTGTTATTTGTCACAGGACCTGCAATGAGTATCTGTTGTTATAACTATATAATACGGTTGTTCTGGAGTCTAATAAATTCACTTCTGAACTTCTGCATAGGTTATTTCTACTGTAAGCCCAAACTAAGTTATTAAGCTTTAAGATATATCAGACAAAGAAAATAACATACGCTAAGGCTTTATGAAGACTGCATGTATTTATGTGTATGTATATGTGTGTGTCCAATATATGTCTATGCATGTAATTATGCATACACAATACATCTTTTTCTTGTGCAACTTTAAGTCCATTTTCTTTTACCCTGTCCTGAGTGGAGTGAAGTTAAGCTTGTTATCTTCTCTCTCAGACTAACCATTTACACCCTTGAATACTGTTAAGCCAGCTTTTAGCCTATTCACCGTGAAAGAATTATGTAGTTCTTTTCATTTGTCTTCATTCTATTTCCCAAACGTAAAAATCATTCCATTCCTGGGAATGCTGTCAAATTCATGTCAGGCTTCACAGATACCAAAATGGGGTTCCCCATTTCAGGAAATAGCACAGAAAGGTAGAATAGAGTAGGAGGATTTTTTTCCCCAGGGTTTTCTAGGAGATGCTTGTATTTATCTAAATATTAAAATGATTGCAGCAATAATAATACCATTTTCCATGTCAGATGTCTTTTGAGGAATTTTAAAACACTTAAAGTTTTTTGAACAGTACAATGGGATATGGTTGCTTTGCAGTTCAGAACTGAAAGCCCAAAAACTCTTAAAATCTTGGTATTCTTTTTGGTTGTGGAACGTGGCCTCTTATTTCAACAGTGTATGGAATGTGGCATTCACTGATAAGCAAGCCAGACTGAAGGACCTATTATCCTGGAAGATTACATTCCAGTTGCTGCTCAAGCACATTTTTTATTACACAAACGTACTTGCATGATTGTATATCTTTGACTAGTTTTAATATTAGGAGTACTTTACACAAAAGATTTTAGTTTCAGTAAGTACTTTCTCCAAAGAGGGGGATTAAGAAGGTCCTGTTACATTTGTGTTGAGATACTACCACAGCTGATGCTCCCTGGAAAGTACGACCTCCCGGCAGGAGGCCAACCAGCGCACAAATAGAACATTAAACCACCAAAGCTAAGAACCCTCACAGAGTCCATTTTACCCGCTGCCACCTCCACTGGAACAGGTGCTGGTATCCATGGCTAAGAGACCCATAGACGGTTCACATCACAGGACTCTGTGCAGACAACCCCCAGTACCAGCCCGGAGCCTGGTAGACTTGCTGGGTGGCTAGACCCAGAAGACAGATAACAATCACTGCAGCTCGGCTCTCAGAAAGCCACATCCATAGGAAAAGGGGGAGAGTACTACATCAAGGGAACACCCCATGGGGCAAAAGAATCTGAACAACAGCCTTGAGCCCTAGACCTTCCCTCTGACAGAGCCTACCCAAACAAGAAGGAACCAGAAAACCAACTCTGGTAATATGACAAAACAAGGCTCTTTAACACCCCCCAAAAAATCACACTAGCTCACCAGCAATGGATCCAAACCAATAAGAAATCCCTGATTTACCTGAAAAAGAATTTGGAAGGTTAGTTATTAAGCTAATCAGGGAGGCACCAGAGAAAGGCAAAGCTTAATTTAAGGGAATAAAAAAATGACACAGGAAGTGAAGAGAGAAATGGTCAATGAAATAGATAGCATAAATAAAAAACAATCAAAACTTCAGGAAACAATGGATGCACGTATAGAAATGCAAAATGCTCTGCAAAGTCTCAGCAATGGAATTGAACAAGCAGAAAAAGAACTTCAGAGCTTGAAGACAAGATTTTCGAATTAACCCAATCCAACAAAGACAAAGAAAAACAGGATAAGAAAATATGAACAAAGCCTCCAAGAAGTTGGGGATTATGTTAAATGACCAAACCTAAGAATAATCAGCATTTCTGAGGAAAAAGAGAAATCTAGAAGCTTGGAAAATATATTAGGGGGAATAATTGAGGGAAACTTCCCTGGCCTTGCTAGAGCCCTAGACAGCCAAATATAAGAAGCTCAAAGAACACCTGGGAAATTCATTGCAAAAAGATTATCGCCTAGGCATATTGTCATCAGGTTTTCTAAAGTTAAGAGGAAGGAAAGAATCTTAAGAGCTGTGAGGCAAAAACATCAGGTAACTTACAAAGGAAAGCCTATCAGGTTAACAGCAGATTTCTCAGGAGAAACCCTACAAGCTAGAAGGGATTGGGGCCCTATCTTCAGCCTCCTCAAACAAAACAATTATCAGCCAAGAATTTTGCATCCAGTGAAACTAAGCTTCATAAATGAAGGAAAGGTACGGTCTTTTTCAGACAAACAAATGCTGAGAGAATTCACCACTACAAAGCCAGCACTACAAGAACTACTAAAAGGAGCTCTAAATCTTGAAACAAATCCTGAAAACACATCAAAACAGAACCTCTTTAAAGCATAAATCACACAGAACCTATAAAACAAAAATCCAAGTTAAAAAAACAACCAAAAAACCAAGGTATACAGGCAACGAATAGCACGATGAATGGAATGGTACCACACATCTCAATACTAACATTTAATGTAAATGGCCTAAATGGTCCACTTAAAAGATACAGAACTGCAGAATAGATAAGAACTCACCAACCAACTATCTGCTGCCTTCAAGAGACTCACCTAACACATAAGGACTCACATAAACTTAAGGTGAAGGGGTGGAAAAAGACATTCCATGCCAATGGACACCAAAAGTGAGCAGGAGTAGCTATTCTTTTATCAGACAAAATAAACTTTAAAGCAAGAGCAGTTAAAAAAGACAAAGAGGGGCATTATATAATGATGAAAGGACTTGTCCAACAGGAAAATATCACAATCCTAAATATATATGCACCTAACACTGGAGCTCCAAAATGTAAAAGACAATTACTAACAGACCTAAGAAATGAGATAGACAGCAACACAATAATAGTGGGGGACTTCAATACTCCACCGACAGCACTAGACAAGTCATCAAGACAGAAAGTCAACAAAGAAACAATGGATTTAAACTGTACTCTGTAAATGGACTTAACACATATTTACAGAACTTTCTACCCAACACCTGCAGAATATGAATTCTATTCAACAGTGCATGGAACTTTCTCCAAGACAGATCATATGATAGGCCACAAAATGAGCCTCAATAGATTTAAGACAGTTGAAATTATATCAAGCACTATTTCTGACCACAGTGGAAAAAAACTGGAAATAAATTCCAAAAGGAAACTTGAAAACCATGTGAATACATGGAAATTAAATAATCTGCTCCTGATCATTGGATCAAAAATGAAATCAAGAGGGAAATTAAAAAATTCTTCTAATTGAATGACAATAGTGACACAACCTATCAAAACCTCTGGGATACAACAAAGGCGGTGCTAAGAGGAAAGTTCATAGCCCTAAATGCCTACATCAAAAAGTCTGAAAAAGCACAGATGATCTAAGGTCGCACCTCAAGGAACTAGAGAAACAAGAACAAACCAAACCCAAACCAATCAGAAGAAAGGAAATAACCAAGATCAGAGCAGAACTAAATAAACTGAAACAAACAAAAAACAAAACAAAAGATAACTGAAACAAAAAGCTGCTTCTTTGAAAAGATTGGTCTATCAATTTTATTGATAGACCATTAGCAAGATTCACCAAGAAAAGGAGAGAAAATCCAAATAAGCTCAATTAGAAACGAAATTGGAGATATTGCAACTGACACCACACTTGTGAGCCTTGAAAAGATCATTCAAGGCTACTATGACCACTTTTATATGTATAAAATAGAAAACCTAGAAGAGATAGACAAATTCCTGGAAAGATAAAATCCTTGTAGCTCAAATCAGAAATAATTAGATATCCTGAACAGATCAATAATAAGCAGTGGGATTGAAATGATAATTTAAAAATTACCAACAAAAAAAGTCCCAGACCAGATGGATTCACAGCAGAATTATAGTAGACATTCAAAGAAGAATTGGTACCAATCTTATTGACACTATTCCACAAAAATGGAGAAAGAGGGAACCTTCCCAAAATCATTCTATGAAGCTAAAATCACCCTAATACCAAAATCAGGAAAGAACATAATCAAAAAAGAAAACTACTGACCAATATCCCTGATGAACATAAACGTTAAAATCTTTAGCAAAATACTAGCTAACCGAATCCAACAACATATCAAAAAGATAATTCACCATGATCAAGTGGGTTTCATACCAGGGGTGCAGGGATGGTTTAACATATGCAAGTCAATTAATGTGATACACCACATAAACAGAATTAAAAACAAAAATCACATGATCGTCTCAATAGACAAAGAAAAAGCATTCGACAAAATCCAGCATCACTTTATGATTAAACTCTCAGCAAAATCGGCATATAAGGGAAATACCTCAATGAAATGAAAGTCATCTATGAATTCAGCAACGTTTCTGGATACAGGATTAATGTACAAAAGTCAGTAGCTCTTCTATACACTAAAAACCACCAAGCTGAGAATCAAATCAAGAACTCAACGCCTTTAACAAAAGCTGCAAAAAAACAGAAACAAAAACAAAACCTTAGGAATATACCTAAGCAAGGGGGTGAAAGACCTCTACAAGGAAAACTACAAAACACTGCTGAAAGAAATCACAGATGACACAAATAAATGGAAACACACCTCATGCTCATAGATGGGTAGAATCAATCCATGTGAAAATGACCATACTGCCAAATTCCCGTCAAAATACCGGCATCATTCTTCACAGAATTAGAAAAAAAGCCATCCTAAAACTCATATGGAACCCAAAAAGAACCTGCATAGCGAAAGCAAGGCTAAGCCAAAAAAACCCCAGAAACGAAACAACAACAACAACAAAACCCAAAAAGAAACAAACCAACAAACAAAAAACAAATCTGGAGGCATCACCCTACCTGACTTCAAACTATATTATAAACCATACTTACCAAGACAGCATGGTACTGGTATAAAAATAGGTACAGAGACCAGTGGAACAGAACAGAGAGCCCAGAAATAAACCCAAATACTTACAGCCAACTGATCTTTGACGAAGCAAGCAAAAGCATAAAGTGGGGAAAGGACACCCTTTACAACAAATGGTGCTGGGATAATTGGCAAGCCACATGTAGGAGAATGAAACTGGATCCTCATCTCTCACCTTGTATGAAAATCAACTCAAGATGGATAAAGGACTTAAATGTAAGACCTGAAGCTATAAAAATTATAAAAGATAACATTGAAAAAACCTTTCTAGACATTGGCTTAGGCAAGGATTTCTTGACCAAGGACCCAAAAGCAAATGCAAAAAAACAAAAACAAAAACAAAAAACGAAATAGCTAGGACTTAATTAAAGAGCTTTTGCATGGCAAAAGGAATAGACAGCAGAGTAAACAGACAACCCACAGAGTGACAGAAAAATCTTCACAATCTATACATCTGACAAAAGGAATAATATCCAGAATCTACAATGAACTCAAACAAATCAGCAAGAAAAAAACAAACAATCCTATCAAAAAGTGGGCTAAGGACATGAATAGACAATTCTCAAAAGAAGATATACAAATGGCCAATAAACATATGAAAAAATGCTCAACATCACTACTGATCATGGAAACGCAAATCAAAACCACAATTTGATACCACCTTACTCCTGCAAGAACGGCCATAATGATAACTAAAAAAAGATGCTGGTGTGGATGTGGTGAATGGGGAACACTTCCATACTGCTGGTGGGAATGTAAACTAGTATAACCTCTATGGAAAGCAGTGTGGAGATTCCTTAAAGAACTGAAAGTAGAACTACCATTTGATCCAGCAATCCCACTACTGGGTATCTACCTAGAGGAAAAGAAGTCATTATATGAAATAGATCCTTGCACATACATGTTTATAGGAGCACAATTCACAATTGCAAGAATGTGGAACCAACCCAAATGCCCATCAATCAATGAGTGGATAAAGAAACTGTGGAATATATGTGTGTGTGTATATATATATATACACCACATATATGATATATATACCATATATACACACTATATATCATATATATGATACCATATATATGCACCATATATATGATACCATATATATGCACCATATATATGATACCATATATATGCACCATATATATGATACCATATATATGCACCATATATATGATACCATATATATGCACCATATATATGATACCATATATATGCACCATATATATGATATATATGATATACATGATGTGTATATATATATGATGGAATATATATATATGTGTATATATATGATGGAATACTACCCAGCCATAAAAAGGAATTAGTTAATGGCATTCACAGTGACCTGGATGAGATTGGAGAGTGTTATTCTAAGTGAAGCAACTCAGGAGTGGAAAACCAAACATATGTTCTCACTTATAAGAGGGAGCTAAGCTATGAGGATGCAAAGACATAGGAATGATACAATGGACTTTGAGGACTCAGGGGGAAAGGGTGGGGAGGAGGTGAGGGATAAAAGACTACAAACTGGGTGCTGTATATACTGCTCGAGTGATGGGTGCACCAAAATCTCACAAATCACCACTAAAGAACTTACTCATGTAACCAAACACCACCTGTTCCCCAATAACCTATGGAAATAAAACATTTTAAAAAATTGTGTTGAAATGAACAGACTGCAACTTTGGTTTTGCACAATTACTGCATACCAGAAAGTGGAAAGAAGAATCAAATATACTGGTATGATATGTCAAGAATTAGTCCACAATTTAGACATTTGAATTATTCTCTGTGGATGTGCAACAAGGGCAAAGTAGCCTAAAAGGGAAAGACTGTTCTATCACATTGGCCACATATCCTGGATCCCAGATCCCAATGTGGAGGTGGAGAAGGCCTTGTCTTCCCTTGACTTATGCCCATTAGGAGACTGAGATGTCTCTGGGCATGGATTGAGGAGCAGAGGAGGAGAAAGAAAGAAAGGGATAATTATGTGTTGCACACTTCTGGATCAACCCAGCTTCTAGTGACATGGTAGTTGTCCACAATAAGTGACTTACGGCATAGAGACTTCAGTAAAGGGAAGGGCTGTATATGGAAGAATCACTGTAAGGAACATGTTTACTAAACAGCTGTAAGTACACCAATGCAATTAATTTCCTCCCAAAAAGAGTTTATGTCAACTTAAGCATTAGTCAAGGGAAACTCGAGGTCCAAATCTACTTTCTACGACCACCCAATACCCTGTCCTCAAACTCCTTTTGATTAAAGTAGTTGTTACTTTCCTATTCTATTTGAATATGTTGCAAGCTTTTTCCTGGTTCAAAAACGATCATTACAACATACTTAGTATCATAAAGTGGCTTCCTTTTTGCTCTTATAAAATAAGATGAAAGTGAAAATGACCTCTCTCCTGCCTTCACTTTTGCACTGCCCACTCTTAAACAGTAGCTTGTTGCTCCTGCTGATGAGTTTCCTCGCAGTGTGCATTTATTTAATGGTTCAGGAATGACTTACACATACTACAACCTGGTAACTGTCCATGTAACTCCCCAATTTTTAAAGTTATAACAGGTTCTTAAACCATGCTACTAAGCAAGAGTAGTGCTCCTCCAGTTTAGAAAGTCGAATTAATATTTCTGTGGAATGTTTACTTATAGATCAGAGTTTCATTCATATTCAATTTAATGAAGAGGGGTTTTCTTGTAAATATAATGTTTAGAGCAATCAATTATTTCAGGCATCTTGACTGATTTACCTTATTCTATATCTCCTTTGTCTTCCTCAAACCTAATGTGACCTGACCAATGTAGCAAGACATGCAGAGATAGATCAGAGGAGAAGAGAAACCCAGCCTGCCTTACAGCTTTCCAAACTAAATACCATTAAAAATCTTTATTTCTTCTGCCAAAGGGGGACATCGGGTACTGGGAAAGACTATTTTAGAAAATATAACATTGAGTTTTATGTATTTTTAACCTGGGAGTTCTTCTAAAAATTGTTATGAATTCCACTTTTTGAAGGAACCGTGAGGAAACAATTCTGAGATACTAAAGCTCTGGGCACAGCCAGTTTAATGTACGTAGGGCCCTCAGTTAGAAATGCCAATAGAGCTAATGGATTAGTAAGACATTTCCACCATTGGGCAGCTCCCAGCTCAAAGTTGGAGCTGATAACCCTGCAATTGTTTTTGAACTTATCTCAACAGAGCAAGGAGTACAGCAAGGACCTATTGTTTCTAGTGAGCAAAATAAACAAACATGAGGCTGTTCAATTCTTTTCTTTCTGATGTTTCCCTTGGAGACTGTATGGTTTTCTTACACTCAGGACTTTTTTGAAGGTGGAAGGAGAAAGTAAAGGTGCATGAGAGGACATAGAAGGATGAATGAACGTGAAGTTAGCTCATGAAGAGAGGAAGACCCTGAAGCTGGTATAAAGAAGGCCCTGTCCTTTGCCTTCTCTGCCTTTTCTGGAGTCTTAATAACATTGGGGCTCAGAAAATAGCACAAAAGAATAGAGGAAAATTTTCCTGCATTGTACTTTTTTTTTTTAGGAAGAAAGAGACCCGTGTGGCTCTGTCCAGTTCTTCCATCAAAAACATATTAAAAGTAAGAAAAATGGCCAGGCGTGGTGGCTCACACCTGTAATTCCAGCACTTTGGGAGGCCGAGGCGGGCGGATCACGAGGTCAGGAGATTGAGACCACCCTGGCTAACACGGTGAAACCCGTTCTCCACTAAAAATACAAAAAAATTAACCGGGCGTGGAGGCGGGCGCCTGTAGTCCCAGTCAGTCAGGAGGCTAAGGCAGGAGAATGGCGTGAACGCAGAAGGCGGAGCTTGCAGTGAGCGGAGATCGCGCCACTGCACTCCAGCCTGGGTGGCAGAGCGAGACTCCGTCTCAAAAAAAAAAAAAAAAAAAAAAAAGAAAAATCACTTTTATCAAACCATTAACTAAGACAGTGCCAGAAGCAGATTTTTTGTCAACTCTTTTGGAATAATTGCATATACTCTCCTATGACTAAAAGTGGTATTTTTGCCTGTTATTTAAACCTGGCCTTAATAATTGAATATAAGTAACCATCCTAAATTTGCAGCCTTTTTGAACACCATGCTGAAACTTGTAATTTAGTTTACAAGCTCTGAGCTGTCATTTTTGCTAATTGCTTTGTTTTTTTCACTTGTGTGGTCTTCATTTATTTTTCTAAAATCAAATCGACATTTACTATTAAATGTAGAAATGAAAAAAGGGGCATTATAATGAGCAGATTTATAAAATATATTGTGTGAATGGACATTTTTGACTCAACTATAATTAAGTTTGGGATGGCGCTAAGGCATGTGGTTTTCATTTCTCTCTATAAACTTTTAGTTAGGAATTATGCTAAAATTTACTAAGCGTACATATAGCATGCAATGATTGTAGAAGACTTTATAAGTCTTTATTGGTTATTGCCATATGACATCTGTGTAGTGAGTAGGAATTACTAGGAATATAATTTCTTCAGACCCAAAACAATAATTTTTAAAAGTGACAAAGAGTAATGTTTGGGACCAAGGAATAGTTCCAGCACTCTAAGTGCACGTTTACATCCTTTTTAATGAAAATATGACCTTCAGCCTCAAAGATAGCTCCAGCTCTAGATATGATTTTTAATTACATCTTTACTTTAAAAATGAGCCCCAAGTCACCATTTGGAGGGTAAAATAAGAGTTGAAGGTTAGAGAAAATATTTTAGTAAATTCTTGCTGCACATTCTTAGACTTCCCGGGAAACTGCACCTCATGAAGGGACAGAGGGGATAAGCCCTTTATGGAGAAATGAAGAGGGTTTCTTCTTCAACAGGAACAAGGAAACAATCCTCAGATACAGTAGGGACAGAAGAATCCAGAAGGAGAGAGAGCAGAAGCATTACTCTCCTGCTCAGCCACCTCTCCCGGCATTTCCATTTCCTTCAGCTCCTCTGCCATCTGACTTGCTAGAGTAAGCACAAGGAAAAAGGGCAAAGTGGCAAGAATAAAGAAAACTCTATGTATTAATGCATTTTCACACTGCTATAAAGAACTGCCTGAGACTGGATAATTTATAAAGGAAAGAGGTTTAATTAACTCACAGTTCCGCATGGCTGGGGAGGCCTCAGGAAACTTACAGTCATGGCGGAAGGCAAAGGAGAAGCAAGTACCTTCTTCACAAGGCAGCGAGCGAGAGAGAGAGAGTGAACGGGGAACTGCCAAACACTTTTAAACCATCAGATCTTGTGAGAACTCCCTCACTATCACAAGAACAGCATGAGGGAAACCACTCCCATGATCCAATCGTCTCTCACCAGGTCCCTCTCTTGACATGTGGGGACTACAATTAGAGATGAGATTTGGGTGGGGACATAGAGCCAAACTATATCACTCTATAAAATATAGAATAAGCATCCATTATATGTCTTTCTAAGGCACACATTCAGGAACGAGTCATCTCAAAGATGCCTTTGAATAATTCAAAATTTTAAGCACAAGAAAACGCTTTATCATCTTCTGTTCTCTAAATGAGATGGTTTTTTGCATATGTTTTATTTAAGAAAAGAAATACTAAAATGGAAAATGATCCAAGTGGGAAAGGACGAGGTTGTCATGGAAGTGATCTTGGAATATAATTTGAGAGAGTAAAAGGAGTTTTGCTGTTCAGTAATTAGCAATATTTAAAAAAAGTTTTTACATGTGGAACTAGCAAAACATTTTGGAGGACTGATTATTCAAGTACAAAGAAGCCAACAAGACACTCAATTCACCAGTCATTTTAGATATTTTTCCTGTTTCTTCTGAGCTTAAACTATGATCTAAAGAGCCATTGATTTTGCTTTGTTACTGTAGTTAGTGTAATTTTTGTGTGATATGATTCGATACAACTCACCATGAGATAGATTTAATTCATTTATTAACATTTATAATATGTTAAATGGTCACAGCATCAAAAGCATTAAAGCCCAATGTGTTGATAAGCACCAATCCACTATTGAGTTAATAAGAATCATTGTAATTTACATAGCATTTTGTAAGCTGCTCTCCAAAAAATATAGAAATTGGATTAGAGAATATAACTATCTACAGTTATGCATTGCTTAACGAAGGGGATATGTTCTGAGAAATGTGTCGTTAGGTGATTTTGTCATCATGTGAACACCATAGAATGGACTTATGCAAACCTAGTGGTATATCCTACTATACACCTAGGCTATATGGTGTAGCCTATTGCTCCTAAGCTACAAACCTGTACAGCACGTTACTGTACTAAATATTGTGGACAATTGTAACACAATGGTATTTATGTATCTGAACATATTCAAACATAGAAAAGGTGCAATAAAAATGTCATAATCTTATGGGACCACCTTCATATATGCAGTCCATTGTATATGCAGTCCATTGTATATGCAGTCCATCATTGACTGAAATGTCATTATGTGGCACATAACTGTATTCCTAAGGAGAAAGTATGGAAAAACTTGAAATGTAGTCATAAACTGCCTTCCTATTTCCACTTAGCCATGTAAGAACTGTGTCAACCGTATGACAACCCATGTGAGGATGCGAATGATACAGTATAATTCACTATTGTAGAATTAACAATCCACATTTTTTTCTGTCCTGTGCTGGGATTCTGTAAATAACAAATATCCTACATAAGTCATTGCCATGCTAAGCGAGTTAGAATTAATCCTGTAAGTGATAAGAGATAGTTAAAGGATTTTATGGTGGGAGGTGCCATGATCAATGTATGTTCCTAAAAGAGCCCTCTGGTGCATTTTGCTATTTGGGAAGGGGTCATTCAGAAGTTGGAAGAACAATTAAGAGTCTATTGCTATTGTTAATCTCCAAAACATATAAGAAACTTCTGCAACAAAGACGATTTTTGGAAATCATTGTTGTACAGTTGGTATTTGAAACCATGGGAGCAGATGAGATCAATTTGGAAATGAATTCCACAGGTGTTGTTTCAGTGAACTTTCTAATGCAATAATCTTTTCTTAATGAAGATAAAACTTCAGAAAGTACATAGAATTTCTCACAATGTAAGGCGGTTGTTCCTTTAACTTTGAAGTGGTGGATGACGACTGCTGTCAGAGAAAAGAGAGATAGTTAACATTGCTGCAAGAAGAACATGGCCTTTTCCTTAACTGTGCACAATCATTGCGAGTTTTTGTTTATCTCTATTTCTAGAGAGATTATGGCCAGGATGCTTCTGGAGTGGCTTCTGAAAAGTAATTCCCACTAATGTATTCTTGGAATAATAGTGTGGCTTTAGGCTGCCATGTGCAAGCACAGGTTGTATGATCTCTAATCCATGGAAAGCTACTGAGAAATGCCTTTCTATGCTGTATTTACCAGCTCTCTAAAAGTGTAAACCCTGGTTGTGTACCAGGTTCAACCTTACTCACATTCATAATACCAGTCTGCCTGGGTGATTCATGAAGTCATAGCGTTAAAGCCACATTGCAAAGGATGAAAATAATCGTCCAGACTTTCAGCACTAGATTGAGACTAATTTAGGCCAATGCAAATTAAGTTCCTGGGAGTTTAGAATATGGTAGTTAGAAATTTCTATATTTCTATAACTATTTAAAAATGTTTTTAATAGAAAAAAATAGGTTATACTAGGGGAAACATGCAAAAATAAATATGATAGGTATAATTTGAACATTCAAATGTAAAGAGAATGACTATAGATACATAAAATTAATATTCCTCTTCCACATAATAATTGACCAAAGAAGTGGAGCAAACCATTTGCACCAAGAAAGAATGAACACTAAGTCAGTATGCTTGTTAATAGCTACAGCAAAATACATTAAAGGCCATAGGAGATGTTCCTTCTTCCCTGTTGTATAAACAAATGTAAATATGGTAATAAAATCCAAGTTTGTGGGGCAGTAGAAGAAGAGGTGCAAGTAAGATTTTGCAAATTTGTAAAATCTATCTAGAGAACATTGGAAATGAAGGAAATACACATGACAGTACTTGGTGATCAATAATCCTACTTTGAAGGAACATATTTCAAATTAAATACTTCTAAAAAATGTATTTTTTGTGTTCAGATGTTTATAGCAAATTATTCATTATATTAAAAACTTGGAAACAAAACTTAAGGGATAGATTAGAAAATTGTAGTCTTTATCTTGATAAATATGTGACCTATGCAGATATCTAGAAAATTATATAAAAAGTAGATTTCAATGAGAAAAGAAAATAAGTAACAATCACATAGATTACAATTACATACAATTTACATATTTACATATATACCTATAAAGATTGAAGCAGGTGACATAACCAGCTGTTTCAAAATTAAGGTGTAGAGGAAATTGTTCTTTAAATGAAAGAGTAATTAAAAATACTACCGTGGCTTACGCCTATAATCCCAGCACTTTGGGAGGCCGAGGTGGGCGGGCCACGAGGTCAGGAGATCGAGACCATCCTGGCTAACACGGTGAAACCCCGTCTCTACTAAAAATACAAAAAAATTAGCCGGGCAAGGTGGCGGGCGCCTGTAGTCCCAGCTACTTGGGAGGCTGAGGCAGGAGAATGGCGTGAACCCGGGAGGCGGAGCTTGCAGTGAGCCGAGATCGCTTCGCTGCACTCCAGCCTGGGCGACAGAGCGAGACTGTTGCAAAAAAAACCCAAAAAAAACAAAACTAATACAGAAGAAACAGATTTTAAAATCTTTATTAATAAGTGTAAATTTAAGTTCTTTTCAAATAAAATGTGATGGTCAATCAATCATTTATAAAGATCTGAGGGCAAGATACAACTTAAAAGTAGATGTTCTACTTGACCAAATTCTAACAGACTTGATGTCAAGGGTAAATGTACACTCTTTAAAATCCCAAGAAAACCTATAGCGTGATGGCATGTTTCTTTGGAAAGTCTTAATTAAGCCAATCTGTTTTTCCTTCTGCAATCATGTTAATCGTTTTACCCTCACCTTTTTCTCCATTAGATACTGACATTATTAGATAGCTGTTAAGTTTTTAGTTCTAACATTTATCATGCCATCGAATATGACTTCCAAGTACAGGAAAACCTCATTAATTTTGACCTTCCTAAATTGAAATTTGCAATAATTTAGGCAAACTGTGTTTCATTTATCTATGTACTGCATCATACTGACTAGTTTTACTAGATCAGGCAAACTCTTCCTGACCCCTGGTAAGATTTGTCAAGGTCAACAGAGAGATTCTGAAGCCCATCCTTCCCTACCTCCCTTACCTCCTGACTCTCCACATGAACTGTTCTGGTCAGAAATAATTTACCTTTGTCATGTAAGGCTTTGCTATCAATGAACATAAAATGTTCTCTCAACCAGAGGTCACAGTCTAGATATTGCCAAGAAGTTGTGTTTTGTTTAATCCCTACAGTGTTTAATTGTGCACACATACACACACCCCTGCCCCCACTGGAATTTGAAAGCCTTCAGACTGAGTGTATACTTTCCAGTTCACCACAGCATTTGCCAGTCTTACATTCGGCTTCTTCATACATTTGAGTTCACCACCTCATTAACTGTTAAGATACTCTCATAAAACCATTTCAAAACATTCCACACTTTGCATTTTTCTCCGTCCTTCCTTCCTTCCTTTCCTCCCTCCCTTCCTTTCCTCCCTCCCTTCCTTCCTTTCCTCCCTCCCTCCCTTCTTTCCTTTCCTCCCTTCCTCCCTCCCCCTTCCCCCTCCCTTCCCCTTTCTTCCCCTCCCCTCCTCTCCCCTTTCCTTTCCTTTCAACAGAGTCTCAACTCTGTTCATTGCAGCCCTGACCTCCGAAGCTCAAGTGATCCTCCTACCTCAGCTTCTCGAATAGCTAGGACCACAAGCACATGCCACCATGCCCATGCCTGGCTAGTTTATTCTTTTTTCTTTTTTTGAGATGGAGTCTCACTCTGTCACCCAGGCTGGAGTGCAGTGGTGCGATCTTGGCTCACTGCAACCTCCACCTCCGAGGTTCAAGCGATTCTCCTGCCTCAGACTGCTGAGTAGCTGAGATTACAGGCACACACCGCCATGCCCAGCTAATTTTTCTATTTTTTTTTTTTAGTAGAGACAGGGTTTCACCATGTTGGCCAGGCTGGTCTTGAACTCCTGACCTCAAGTGATCCACCCACCTCGGTCTCCCAAAGTGTTGGGATTACAGGTGTGAGCCACTGCACCCAGCCTATTCATTGTTTTTGGAGAGACAGGGTGTCCTTATGTTGTCCAGGGTGGTTTCAAACTCCTGAGCTCAAGGCATCCTCCTTCCTCAGCCTCCCAAAGTGCTGGGATTACAGGTGTAAGCCACTGTGCCCGGCCTGCATTTTTTCTTCAGTGATCTCTGGAATACTATTTTTTTCTTTCTTTTTTTTGAGATGGAGTCTCACTCTGTTGCCCAGGCTGGAGTGCAGTGGTGCAATCTCAGCTCACTGCAACCTCTGCTTCCCAGGTTCAAGCGATTCTCCTGCCTCAGACTCCTGAGTAGCTGGGATTACAAGTGCCTGACACTATACCCGGCTAATTTTTGTATTTTTGTATTTTTTTTTTTTTAAGTAAAGATGAGGTTTTGTCCTATTGGCCAGGCTGGTCTCTAACTCCTGACCTCAAGTAATCCGCCTGCCTTGGCTTCCCAAAGTGCTGGGATTACGGGCATGAGCCACCGCCCCTGGCCTGGAATACTATTCATTTTCTGCTGCTTTGCTTGTGTTTATTAACATTTCATGGACACAGCCTGGTTCCTTATGGGCAGAGATAGGTCTTAAATAATGTTATGTCTCCACAGTGCCTAGTAGAATGTCCTTCATCTAGGTGTTCCGTGACTGTTAAATAACTGGCTAATATGTAACTAAGGGTAAATAAAGATCTGAACATCATATAGAAGGATACTAGTCATGTTGCACTTTGAAGTTCAACAATCAAAAGCATATGGATTATGTCATTTGATCTTTTCAAACCCCCGACAGGAATGGCAGTTATGACAGAAAATAGAGCACGAATGCCTTGTGTCTCGAGAAAAGAGGTAGAAATTAGGATAGATAAGTATACATATGTTTATCCAAATACATTTCAAATTAGTGCTTTCACTTTGATCTTGAGTTTTAAGACCCAAATGTCTAATTACTCATATGTTATGAGAGGCAGCATAATTGAGAGATGCAGATATCATTACTGCTAAACAATGCTTATGGCTCTATTCCTTCTAGACAGGATTGCACTTCCCTGCTCCCATGAAACTGGGCTTGGCCATGGGACTAGTTCTGACTGATGAGTGTGGGCAGGAGTGAGATGTATCATTTTCAAGCCAAAACATTTCATTGCCAGTTCAAGACATGTCATCCCTCTCCTTGCTTACAGCTGCTGTCTTGGTAGCACATGTTGCTGTGAAAGTGACATAAGATATAACAGAGAATGTTTTGTCAACACATGGATAACTATGTCTTGAAGGGTTGCCTGAATCTATAGTAGCTTTTGAGAGAGCAAGAAGTAATCTTTTGTTAAGCCACTGTTGTTAGGAGGCTCTTTACTGCAGTGGAAACTTGATTTTCCCTACTAACACAGCTATTGGGACCAGGGCCTACCATGTTGGAAGAACTCATATGGATTGATTCAACAGTGCATCTGTAAAGAGTGTGATCCTACAGCCAGATTGCCTGAGTTCATATCCAAATGCCATAGCTACTTGTCCAAGTTCCTTAACTTCTTTGTTCTTCAGTGTCCTTATCAGTAAAATGGGATAATAATGGCACCTACCTTATGGTGTTGATGTGTGAATGGATGAATTAATTCATGCAGAACACTAACAACAGTGCTTTAGAACAGTGCTCAGTGAGAGATAGCTATTATTAATGTTATCATTACTAGTCAGAAAGCATCCCGAGATGATAAATAAACTTAGCGTATTAGGTTTCTTACCACCAAACCTGCTCTTCCTGTCCTGTGTTCTCTATCTTAGTGGCATTGACACAGACTCTTTGGTTAAAATAAAAGATGTGGAATCTTCTTATCACACCCCATCACCACACATATTCAGCCAGTTGCTGTATCCTGGCGATTTTACTTTGACTATACAAATAAATAAATAAAACTTTTATAATCTCTCCAAAATACATTCCCTCTTATCTTTTCTTATTGTTACTACTGTAATTCATTACCACTTTCGTAGAGCAATAACCTCCTAATTTGCCTGCCTGCGTACAATATTTGGGAGACAGAATGATGATAGCAGAAACAGCACATATTTTGCCATGCATACTGACCTTGAACTCTGGCTGTATGTCTTGCCAGCTATAAGATTCTGGGAAAGTTACTTAATCTCTCAGTGCTGTTTTTCTTCATCGGTACAAGGGGATGCCAATATTCACTTTATAGGATTGTTGAGAAACTATATGAGATAATCAAGGTAAAGCACTCAGCATACAGAATCAACCATTCTAAATTTTGTTCCTTTTTCCTCCATTAAATTTGGCTCAAACTATTGCCAATATTATTTTCCAAAGGCTTAGGCCAGATCAAATTCCTTTCTTCCTCCAGAACCCTATGGTATAAAATAAACATAGATTACTTAGTATAAAATTCCATAGCCTCTAGAATGTGTTCCAATACTCTTCCACATTTGTGCTATCTCTTACTACTACTTGAAAGTCCCTCTGAACTTCTGTTCATGCCCCTCCTTCAGCTTGAAATGGTCTAACTCCTTCTCTCCCTGTCAAAAGTCTACTTCTAAGTCCAGAACTGGTACCACATCCTTTGAGATGCAAGATTTCCCTCATCCTTCTGTGTATCTGTTAGGTAGTGTGATAAAATTGCTGCACAACAAATGACCCTGAAACTCAATGGCTTATAACACCAAGTATTTATTCTTGCATATCGATAGGTTGGCTGAAAGTGGTCTGGGCTCAGCTAGGGTGACTCAGCTTTGCGCTGCGTGGCCCCTTTTCCTCCTAGGACAAACAGGCTGCCCTGGACATGCTCTTTTCATGGCAGTGGCAGAGGTGTGAGTGCTGAAGCAGAAAAATGCAGGCATTTTGAGACCTGGATGTGGAACTGGCACTCCACCAATTCTACTTCATTTGATTGGTTAAATCAAGTCATACTGCCCAATCTAAACTCAAAGTGTAGGGAGGTATGCCCCTTGCATTATCCGGGGGCCACTGCAGTGTTGCATGGCAAAGGCTGTGGTTATATGAAGAAATGAAGAATTGAGGGCAATAAAGCAGTTTCCACACTTTTGTTGGAATGAATGTTTAGAGGTATTAGAATTCTACTTCTATCTTTATTATAAGTGTTACATAGCTCTGTATTTTATTACCTGCATTTCTTTTTACATACTGACTTCTTTTCTTTAGACTACATATATATATAATTTTCTAGCTCTGCTAATAATTACTGCACTAATATCACTATCAACAACAGACATACTGTTACTTAATATTTTATTTCAATTCTCTTTGTCCTTAAGTTATTAGGAAACAGGGACATGGGAGTGTGGTCTCAAATTATCATCCAACAGATTACCTATTATGTACAAAAAGGGAAATGTACTTTCATATTGAGAGATCCCTTGGACACTCCCAAATCTGTGATCAAATTTGGAATCATCAGTAATGGGACAAACTGGCATTCCAGGCCTTCTGGTATGACGTGCCGGAGAAGTGTGCAATAACACCGTGCCAAAAAATGCTCATCCTTCATCTGTTTATGAGGAAAAACACACAGACACATTTAGAATATGAATATTCTGTAAGATTACTGGCCCTGACTATCCAAAAATGTCAATGTCATGGAAGACAAAATAAGGTGAAGGAACTATTCTAGATTAAAGGAGACTAAAGAGACAAATAACCAAATCTAATATGTGATAAAGGACATTTATGGAACAACTGTAAACTATGAATATTGACTTAAATAAAATTATGATATATGCATATTGAAAGATATGGGGATAGGACTAGGAAGAGTGCATGTGTGTGGCTCATTAGAGATTTTTTGTTTTTGTTTTTGGGGAAAGGGAGGCAAACCCTTATTTTCCACAGTGTTGTATCAATTCATAATGAATGGACCAAAAAAATAAGAAGTAGCAATGTAAGTGTACCATTTTGAGTTGTGAGAGTAAATGCCAAAAATTTCAATTAAAAAGGCTGAAAGGGGCCTTTAGGGAGTGAAAAATTGTGGTGCTGAGGGGATAAGAGGACTGCTGCCAAACTATTCAATTATTTTAAACTCTTTACTTACATAGTTTTGATAAAACTAAAATATAAATTAAAAATAAAATAAATATCAATTTGAAAACAAAATTATAAATGAATGTATTTTATAAAGAGCTACAGAGGAGAGGTAAGCTGGGACCAGACAGTGAAGGAACCAGTGTGTCAAGGGAGAATTTGAACTAAATCTGTTACTGCGGAGCCTGTTGAGAAGTTCAAGTAGGGTCATCATAATGCAGCTATTGTAGAGGCATAGAAAATCCTTCTAGAAATACTTACTGACCTCATTCTTCAGATCCCCTTACAAGTCATTCATTCATTGATTCATTGAGACACTGCTCTAGGTGTTGGGAATGTAGCGGTGAACAAAATAGGCCAGGCCCCTGCCCCTGTGGCGCTTACAGTACACACCTCCCAGGGTACGTGGCCAGGGGATTGATTGTGTGAATTTGGAACATGGGAGGAATAACCCCCCACCACCTCAGGTGGGGACCTCAGAATTCTCCAAAGGCACTAGAGGTGTGTGTGTATGTGTGTGTGTGTGCACACGTGTATGTGTGTGTGCCCTAATGAAATCCACCCTAATTCACACAATTTCATATTAATTTCATTTCACATTTATTTTGTGAGACTCCTGCCTCTAGATGTGAATGTCGCACACCCATGTTACTCCATGTTCTCTCAACAGATTGTCAAGGTCTCCCAGTGGCCTCCTCTTTTCCCTCAACTTGGGCAGATTTTTAAGCCGTTTTGTTCTCATTTCCTTTACTTGGGCTCCACAGAAGTTCTCTTGGCTGTCAGTGGGGAAGGGTGCAGGGTGCCAGGAGTGAGGGAGGGGTATATGTCTTTTCTAGAAGGGGGCAGAAGTCATTATCAATAAATGCTACTCTAGAAGATAAAAGGACCCTCTGAAGGGGAGTAGGAAAAAGAAGTGATATTTCCCTGGGGATGATAACAGGAACTGTTCCAGGAGGAAAGGCCCACAGGAAAGGAGACAGATATTACATGGAAAAAGAATATTGGAGCGCTGGATACATGGCTCACAAAAAAGCCTTTAAAAAATCAGAGAAAGGATGAAGTGACAAGGGAAAAGGGAACTAGTGAAAGGAGAGCTATAAAATTTATTTCCATTTTGTTTCCTCGTTTACCTCACTATCCAACTGCCTCTGGCAAGAAGATGTTCCAAAATGCCTTGAGATAGAGATTGGGTCTCTCATTCATATTGTCCATAGTAAAAGAAATTAGGGTACATTTTTTGAGAAACTCAAATAATGAAAGCAAAACAAAAGAAGAATATATGTCTTCTGTATATAATAATGGTGAGGCTAGAGACAGTCTTTTTTCCAAGGTGTTTCCATGAGAAAAAGAAAGGGGGGAGAAGACCTATTCGGATAGAAAAATTAAGATTCTAAAGAATTCTTTTTGAAAAACAGCTGGGTCAGATCTGGTGTTGTTGTATCTTTGCTATGTTGAAAGGGAAAAATACAATTAATAAGACAGTGCCAACTGTAACTGTGCTTAATAGGGGGTTATTTCCATTCAGGGTATGAGTGATGCTAGAAATAACAAGTAAATTATCCCTTTTCTTTAGTACAGAGAAAGCTTACTATCACATTGCATCCTATATTTCCACCTTTCTAGGTTCAATCATTCTTCTCTCTGAAAGTCTTATTCATTCCTCCTTTCTCTCTCTCCTCCCATCCTGCCCCTTTGATTAATTTCCAAAAGAAAAGGGCAGATTTAAGGGTCAGGTGCGGTGGCTCATGCCTGTGATCCCAGCACTTTGGGAGGCTGAGGCAGGTGGATCACGAGGTCAGGAGTTCGAGACCAGCCTGGCCAATATGGTGAAATCCTGTCTCTACTAAAAATACAAAAATTAGCCAGGGGTGGTGGCGCGTGCCTGTAGTCTCAGCTACTTGGGAGGCTGAGGCAAGAGAATCACTTGAACCCAGGAGGTGGGGTTGCAGTGAGCTGAGATCATGCCACTGCACTCCAGCCTGGCAACAGAGCGAGACACTGTCTCAAAAAAAAAAAAAAAAAAAAAAAAAGGCAGATTTAGATGAGTATTGAAGAAATGTTTCCATGAGAACACAATGTAAATGTCTAAAAGTGTATTGTTACAGTGTATACAACAGGCTCAATAAAATGCCCTGCATAATGAATAATTTTTTCATTGTTGGAGGATAAGCAGGTCTTCAGACAAGGGGATGAGGGTTGTTTAACTCTTCCTTTGAAAAAGACTGTCTGAGTTGAATAATTAATATTATTATGATAAGAACAAAATAGAGATTCTTTTAAAAGAGTAATGATGGTAGAGGCAGGATCTTAGTATGCTTGTGCAAATTATTAAAATTGAATGCTCTGCCTGTGTTTCCTGTACACTCCAGGAATTGCAAGCAAAAGAAGATGGATTGGATTAAGCAGAAAACATTAATATGCGTGTTGTCAACTGAGCCTTTAATGATTACCTTTTCAAAGATAAAAATCATTCAAATATTTTATCTAGAAACCAGCAAGCCTGTTTTACATTAGGTAATGAACTGAGAGGCAGACTGACTTTGAAACTAATACAGCTTCGAATTCATAGACTCTCACTTGGGCCCTTTCTAAGGTGTTGGGAGAAGTCCTAAAATGTGCCCAAATGTTTTGGTGAAATTTGCAAAAGTAGCATATTTTAATTGTAATCTATTATTATTATTATTATTTTATAATTGCTTCTTTGTCACCCAGGCTGAAGTGCAGTGGCAGGATGTCAGCTCACTGCAACCTCCGCCTGTCGGGTTCAAGCGATTCTGCTACTTCAGTCTCCCGACTAGCTGTAATTACAGGTGTGCTCCACCATGCTTGGCTAGTTTTTGTATTTTTAGTAGAGATGATATTTTGCCCTGTTGGCCAGGCTGGTCTCAAACTCCTGACCTCAAGTGATCCACCCGTGCCAGGCCTTAATTGCAATCATTTAAAATTGCTCTTTCCATTCCAACTTTCCCTGTCAGATTTCCCCTCACACTGGGTGTCATTGGAGTGGTGGTGACCATTTTTGGGATGAAGCTAAGGGAATGCTGAATTGGAAACACGTTCATTTAGGCTTAGTGAGATATATCTCTACACCTTGCAATCAGTTCTCCATAGAGTTAAGTTATTGCTCACTGTTCCAAATGAAGAAAAGGTTTCCAGGTGTGACACAAAGGTGTCACAGGATATGTGTCATCACAGGATATGTGTCGTCCCGGTATTCTAGTTCAAGAAAAAGCTGCCTCTCCCTTACCTCAAAGTTTCTGACCACTTTGGTATTTTGTAACATTTTTTTTCTCCTTCAGATTTGTCTCTCAAATGGAGTGTTTTAAACATATATGACAAGTAAGAATTTTCTTTAAAGAATCTAAGTGTAATGTTTACCCTTTGGAAGCTGCTCAAGCCTCCAAAGCGGGGCAGGGAAGTGCTGGGAAGGGAAGGGTGTGGTCCCTGGCGAGGGTTCCAACCCCATGCCTGTGCCCAGGGACCTAGGTGAGGACAGGCATTTTTGTTTTCCTGCCCAAATGTTGCATTTCCCAAGACCACATAATGTTGCATTTCCCAAGTCATACCTAAACTAATTATTTAAGATGAAAACAGAAATTCTAAATAGCGGTAATGAATAGACCCCTGGGAATGTTTGACAATCAAATTAATGAAGAGAAGTGAATCATATGAACATATTGGGGAAATATTTATATTTTTGGCTCATTTGAGACAAAATGCTGTCATTGATGAAGACAGTATAAAACTTATAATAAATTACAAACTAGTTAATGAATTTTATCAATTCAAGAGATATTTAAGATTAGTCACTGAACAAGAAAACTTGAAATCCTTGTAACCTGAGAGCTTATATATCAAAGAAATTTGATAAATGTCTTTCTAAATTTGACAACAACCCTTAAAAGTGTAAACTGTACTAATACCAATAAATAGGAAAATTTTCTAAATTATCTATAATGAAAAACAATTTTCAGTTATTTTGAAGAATAAACTGGATCCCAGATTATTTTTTTTGATTCTAGTATCTTCATAGAAAATTATAGTTTAAACCACAATGTGAAGAGGTACTCAAAGAGAATGTGGTAAAAAAAATACAAAAACAAATATTACAGAAATATGCAGTTAACTAGAGATTATTATTTAAATTTTTAATTTTTGTGGTGTTTATAACTACTAAAGAATTTTTAAATTGTTGTGATTTATTTTCTAAGTGGATATTCACTTTTGCAATTAATTTTTTATTCTTTCTCTTAAAGAGGGACTCCAAATTGTATAAACTTCAGGCTCCAGCCTTTGGTACCGTGTTTGATCTGAAAGATGTTGCCAGATAAACATACTTTTTTTGTTGTTGTTGGCCAGGCAAGGCATAGGCTTTGCGTTTGCTGATTGGGCCATGAAAAAGAGTGTTTGCATCTTCTGGGAACCTCTCTTTGGGTTGAGTTGGCAGAATACCTCCAAAAGTGTCATTAGCAGCCTCAAGCAAGAGCTTCTCCTCAATAAGCAATGCTGTGAAATATGATGCAACATTTTGTCTCATTAGAATATTGTTTTCTGTGTTGCTGGACTAGGAGTTAGGAAATATATATTTATGACACTAAGAAATGGTGTTTCGAATTTCATGAATCTGGGCGATCCTTGAAATAGTTTTATTTTATTTATTTATTTTTGAGACGGAGTTTTGCTTTTGTTGGAGTGCTGGAGTGCAATGGCATGATCTCAGCTCACCGCAGCCTCTGCCTCCTGGGTTAAAGCGATTCTCTTGCCTCAGCCTCCCAAGTAGCTGGGATTACAGGCATGTGCCACCACACCTGGCTAATTTTGTATTTTTAATAGAGACGGGGTTTCTCCATGTTGGTCAGGCTGGTCTTGAACTGCCAACCTCAGGTGATCCACTCGCCTTGGCCTCCCAAAGTGCTGGGATTACGGGTGTGAGCCACCACACCTGGCTGAAATAGTTTTATTGAGAGGCTTATGGTCCATGAAGGCAAAGGTTATTAGTGAGAAGAGCAAGTGAGTGACAAGGAGCCAGAAAAAAAGGAGACGAATCTTAGTTCCATTGAGTAGTCAATGGGCAATGAATGCCATGGGCAAGGGATATTACTTTCCACTTCACAATCTGTGTGGTCCCTAGAATTAGCTATTTCAGAACCAGAAAAACTGCTTGATAAAGTGGCTTCAAATAGTCATAAAAAATATCTATTGAACCTCTACTGCATGTCTGGAATTGAGCCAGGTACTGGGAATATATGGATGACTTAGGTTATGGTCTGTCCCCTTAGGGAGCTAAACAACTAGTTTGGAAGACAGGAAATTGACACCAGAATATAATTTTAAGTTTAACTTTATGAAATTGCCTTTTTATTATATGTCAATAATGGTTATTTCATATGATTGGCAATTTCGTATGATTGAATATCAATAGTCTCACATGGTTCAACATGAATAGCTACAGAGGTAATATTTTTCCCTATAGTGGGCCAGTACCTGGTTAATGAATGCAATAAGTTATCACCCAGTCAGTTTGATAACTGATCAAGCAAACTCTTCCATACATTGCTGAATACAGAAAATGAGAGTGGAGGGGATGGTGGTGAGGTGTCATCTCTCATTTCAAAATTCTTGCAATTTTTACAGAAATCAATTCAGGCTTGGTTGACTGAAAAATATCCCCAGAGGAGGTGGGACTTGAGCTGGAAACTGAAGAGGAGTGTGGACTCAATTAGGTGGAGGAAGTATGAGCGTTCATTCTTCCCTGTACACTTGGAAAAGTGAACAGGGTGGAATGGAATTGCAACAGGGTTCAGGTAGGGAGGAAAAGGAAAGAAAATAGGGAAGAATAGTATAATTTTGGTGAAGGGACTGAGGATAGGAAGGGGAACGTGGGCTATGAGCCAGAAATAAAAAATATAAAAATTTAAAAAGTAGATTCAAGGTCAACCCATGAAGATCCTTGAGTGAGCTTGGATGTTATTCTGAAGCTAATGGACCAGGTAACGGTAATTTTCCTGGAAAATTCAGGGAAGAGTGTTTCAGGAAATCTCTATTAGGTTCTTGCTTTCTGCATTCTATACTCCTCTTGGAATCGGCGTTCTAACAACTGCAAACCTGCCCATAGGCAGGTGAACTTGAAAACCCTGGAGACAAATTATTAGAGGGGCTTGGGTTGGCTGTTGTGTATCAAGAGGGCACAGCAACTCTGGGGTGCTTCGACACTTCCCCAAAGTAGTGAAAGATCAGTTCTAACTCTTAGAAAAATAGAAAACCATTACTGAGAAGGAATAATTTGCATGTGAACACACTCTATTTGTGTTTTCACACAATGCTTATGTGTTCGTGTGTGTTAAATATGTTAGATTCAAAAATTAAGCCTGAGAAAAACCAGGAAACAGAAGAATTACTGTAGCTCAGAAGTATGAGTAGTCTGGTCTACAGGACAGCAAAAACATATCTGATGGCTTCTACAGACTAAAGTTCCAAGCCACTAGGTATATCCACTCACACAGCCTTCTCTCCTGTGCGTTTGTATGGCCGCTTCTCAGGAATGCTGGTGAGAAGCCCATGATATAACCAATATGAAAATGTTCCACCACTGTAGTATTCTAGATATTTGAAAAGACAATGGATGAGAATGAAAATGATGCATATACAATAATATTAATGTTAAAAGTAAACAATACTACAGGTGGTGATAAGGGCTATTAAAATATAAAAGAGTTCAATAGGAAGAGAAATGAATGGATGTTTGCCTTTTCAAAGAGGGTGGGTTTGTAAATGCCAGGAAATCCAGTTTCCTTTAGGGATTATTCACGGGCCTCACCATCTTCTCTTCTCAAGGCATTTAAATAACAGGATCCACTTTAATAAAAAATGTCAAACTCCTCCCGCCTTCACTAGCAGCCAGAAAAGCACGCGTATGGTCCATACTATACAATTTAGCCACGAATGACACCTGCTTTGCTTTGTTTTCTATTGTGTTAGGCGTCAGCCTCGTGTGCTCAGATAGATCTTAAGCTCCTTGAAGGCAAGAAAGAACCCGGTCCCAGACTGCGTCCGACACACAGAATGCTCGTAGGAAGCACAGGCTGATTTATGGAAAATACAGCAAGGGTCTTCAATTTCGAACTACAGCTCCGCCTTGGAGATGCTTTCCGCAGCCCGCGGGCCGCCCACGGGGGGCACTGTCTAGCTCCCCTCGCCCCTCAGCCGCTCTCCGTCGGTGCTGTTCCCCGCTGCGGCCGGGAGGAGGCGCCACGGACTCGGGCTAAGCTTCTTCCCCCTTCCGTCCCCCTTCCATCCACCTTACCACCCCACTTCCCCAGCACATGACGTGGGAAGCTGCCTCCGCCAGAGTCTTAGCAAGAGGAGTGAGGGGGTGCAGGGGCTTGGGGGTGGGGTGGGGTGGGGGGTGTGGAGAAAGAGGACACGCGCGCTCACACCCGCCCCTGGGAGCAGAAGCAGTATCTTCCCCAGCTTCGTGGGTTTCTCCTCCCCCCGGAGTCAGGGTGTGCGAGGTAGGGGGTGTGTGTGTGTCTGTGTGTGTGTGCGCGGCACGTTTTTGAGTGTGAGACCCAAATCCAGACCAGGCAACCTGCGTTCCCCGCGCCTCCCCCCGTCCCCGGTGATTAATACCCATTTTTCTGACGCTCCCCTCCTCCCCTCCTGCTCTCCCTCTCCGGCTGCCGCGCGGTTGACTTGCACAGCCTGCCCCCGCCCGCTTCCCTTCCCCCGGCTCCGATCCTCACCAACTGGAATCTGGGCTCCTGCCTCTCCACCCCCCACCTCTTTTTGAGAAAGGAAGGTTCCCCCCACCCCCTTTCAAAAACCACTTCCTCCGGCTTCTTCACCTCTAGGAAATCTCGGGGCTTCGCTCTATCGAGAGTGCTCGTCAAGGGTGATTCTTGATCACCACCATCCAGTAGTGCTGGCGTCCGAATGCATATCCTTTTGCCTTGCAAAGAAGAGTCATGAACTTCAAAACCCCCGAGACGGATCATTAATCCTGCTTTGCAGGAAAGGAAAACCCTCCATTCCCAGCCACCGGCCACCCCTCTCCGCAGACTGCAACCGCGGAGGCGCTCGGAGCCGGTACGTAAAGATGGGCTTTGGAGTCTCTCCTTTGAATGTAGGGGTTTGGGGGTGTCAGGCAGATAAAGGGTCGAAGCCGTGAAATCGTGAACGAATCTGGCATGAGGTAAAGCTCTGAAATCCAGCAGAACCCGGCACTTGCTAATTTGGACGTGGCTTTTTTAAAGGTTTTTTTTTTTTGTGGGGGAGGGGGTGCTGTGACTGGGTAGGGCTGTCTCTGGTCTTTTGGGGGGTTTCATCCCTTCACCTAGCAGAGGGGCAGGGCAGCGGCGCCCCGGGCCGGACCCACGCGCCGAGCCCATCCGTCCAATCGACACGTTGCAGGTGAAGCCCCGTGCGCTGCACCTCAGCGCGGCGGCAGCGTGAGTGTGCGCGGGGGTGAGTGTGCGCGGGGGTGAGTGTGAGTGCGCGCGGGGCGCGTGCGCGTCGGGGGCGTGTGTGCGCGCGTCAGTGTGCCCCTTCCAAGAAATGCCCAGTGTGCACCCCGTGCACAATCAGAACCCATTCAGCACAAGCCCGGGGTGGGAGGCGGCGCTGCTGCTGGAGGCGATGGGGAGAGCGAGCGAGACAAGTCAGCAGCAATGCAGATGGGGCTGGGGGCCGCACTCGCTGGCGAGTTAAGTGGGAATTGTGTTTCTGCGTGTGTGTGAGTGTGTGTTGCTGTATGGTGCCGCTTCTCCCCCCCTTCCTCCTTCCTTCCCACTTCCCTCCTTCGCTCGCTCCCTCCCTCTCTCCTCTTCCATTCAGGTTGGCTTTCCCACCTCTCATCCGTGCCTGTCCCAGGAATGGTATAGCCAGACCTTTTCTGAATTATTTATAGACCGGTACCAGCTGTTTTCAATTCCTCTCGTGTGCACTCTGTGGGAAATGCGGGGTTTCCTCCCCCCTTTCCTTAAAACGAATTGATATCTTTTTCGGAATGCATTTTTCTCACCCTCCGGGGGACACGCGAATCAAGCCCTGACCGCCTCTTTTTCCCCCTTAGGAAGGGGACGCTTTGGGAATGACCATGCTCCACCGAGGGACGGAGCCGGCCCCCAGCTTCTCCACACAGAGCCTCCTCCACTAACGCTCCAAAAACCAAAAACCGTAATTGCCAGAAGAAGCGTTAAAAATCTATTCCAGCCACTAACCTCACATGCACACGGAATAATTACTCTGGATTCTGCATTGTGAGCTGCTCTCCATACCCTGAATTACCTTTGAATTAAATCTTTTTTTTTTTGAATTTGCATCTCTTCAAGACACAAGATTAAAACAAAATTTACGCTAAATTGGATTTTAAATTATCTTCCGTTCATTTATCCTTCGTCTTTCTTATGTGGATATGCAAGCGAGAAGAAGGGACTGGACATTCCCAACATGCTCACTCCCTTAATCTGTCCGTCTAGAGGTTTGGCTTCTACAAACCAAGGTAGGGCAAATTCTATTTTATTTTTTCCTCACCTGGGGTAGGGATTCCTCATTTTATCTATCTCTTCGAGTCCCTCAAGTGGATCTTTTTGGAAGAAAAGGTCACAAGATATGAAAATAATGCTGTTTTGGGAAAAAAGGCTTATTACAAAGAAGGAAATCTCCCATGTTTTTTCTTTTTCTTCTCTCATCTAACAGGTTTTGGGCTTTTGGGGGGCAGTGGGGGTGGATGTATGCAGGCACAAAAGATGTTGGATGGCATCAGGGGAATGTATCTATATCTATAGACATAGCCAGCCAGGAGACCTGTGTGATTTTCCAGTTAAATAGCATTTTATTCACCCAGAACTAAAGCTCCGATTTTTATGGGAATCTAGAAATCCTTTTTTTTTTTTTTTTTCAGGTTGGCTTTATTCCCCTTGTCACCTTCATGCCTCTCTCCCTGTCTCCTGTCTTTACCTTTCTAGGCATCCTTTCTATGCCCTTTAAAACAGATAAAAATAATGATTGAGATTACTGTGATTGTTGCCCTGAAATCCACTTGCTGTCTAAAGGGTTGACAAGGGGCCCAGAGATCCCGGGAGGCCTATTGCAGAGGGGTAGGTCTAGGTGGGGATCGGGCTGGTCTCAGAACACCTGGAATTGAAGGATGCTGCAGGTTAAACGACTTAAATCTTAAGCTCGGAAAGGAGGAATTCTGTCAATATTCTGCTTTTAATTTGTATTTTTTCCTGTGCTATTATTTTTGAGCTGTAAATTTCTCCTTCTGTCTACATATCTATTTATACCCACACATCCTCCAAGCAAACTGTTACTTCTACACTCTTGCAAAATGGCTATCTTGCAGAGTTCTAAAATGCTGTGCATGTGGAAGGGGTGCAGAATTCGACACGTGAGTCTTTGTGTTAAACAAAGAGATGTGCTGTTTGCATGTATTAGTCTTGTACCCTCAAAAATGGAATTAATACTTTAACATTTTCCCTTTCATCAATTTTTACAATATGTGAAATGTGATTAGGCAGTATTTTAATGTACTTGAGAAGAGAAATAGCAGGAGAAATGGAAAAGACTTAGCTAATGACTCTTCAGCTAGTCACTCATGCAATCCAAGACAACTCTTGAGAGAATCAGATCATTCATGGGTTGGAGGGCCATGATGGTGAGTGGGCTGCTCCTTTCCTTGCTCCACTGACCATATGTCCCTGAACTCTGAAGGCGTCTAAATGCAGGGATCAGGTTGGGATAAAGATCTCCAAAAACATGTAGCAGAATCATTAGCATCATTATTTTTCCTAAAAGTATTACCACCACCCCAACACACACACAATTTTTTTTTCTGGCATTTTAAAACAACAATTCTTTGATAATCCAAAATACCAAAGGGATGTGGGGAAGAGGTGAAAGATCTTTGTCGCTCAACATGACAGTAGATGATAGTTCTTCATTGTCCAGAAAGGATAGATGTAATCCAAATTCACTATCCCCCTTCTCTAGGTTTCATTCTTTTGAGTTTTACTGCTGAAATGCTACTTTGTAACCATGGTGTAATCAGAGTGAGAGGGTGGGATCCCACTTTGAACCATGTTCTCACCACGTCTACAAATGACTGAGGTTATCTGGTGTGTGCTCACCTTAGAGACACCTGAACTCATTCTCCATCTGCTTCCACTCCAAGTAGGAGGATGAACTCTTAATTTGACTTCAAAATAGAAAAGAGGTATGGGTGAGAAAGGCAGCTCCATGTGCAATGCTTTCATACATACAGATGGACAAGGAGAGGAGGGCATTGATGGGGCACAGGGCCCCTTTTGCATCCCCAGTGCCACAACACCAGTACTCTACACCCAGTAGGTCCTTTGGAATGTTCGTTTGTTGGTGATGGGTTTGACAAGGATGCTGTTTGACAGGATCTCAGCTACCTCATTTATCTTGAATGCCAATGGATGAAGCCAGGTTCCAGGCTATCATTAGTTGTCCCTAAGACTAGGCGAGGTTGAAAGGGGAGGGAGTTGAGGAAGAGAGGAAAAAGTGGGTGGGGAAGCTATAAAGGGAAAGGAGAGGTAATCCAACTGGAAGAGGCTTGTTAAGATTCAAGGAGGAATCGCCACAGGTGGTCTGTGCCTTTTCACCATGCAAAGCCATTTTGGAGACCCTGATGAGGAAGCAGGTGTTCCCCATCCTCGCAGGCAGTCTCTGTGAGGCTGTGACTCAGTGGTGCTCTGAGCCATCTCAGGGCCTTTGTTCTCGCCCCCTTTTTCCCCCTCACAGCACAGAGCTGACTGGGTTCTATTTTGTCTTTTCTCCTTCTGCCAGCCCCCTTACAATGTGGGTGACATGGGAAAGAAAGGTGGCGGCTGGTGGGAGGAAGAGCAAATTTAATTTCAATCGAGGAACCTCCATGATGTGCAATTAAGAAAAGTAATAATAATGGGAAATAAAGACTTCCCAGGACACAGTTAAGGACATTAGGTGGGTGATTTCAAGAGAAGCAGAACAACATGGTTATCTTCTATGTCTGTTTCAGGTGTGGCAGAGCATGGCGGATCTGTGAACACAGAGTGATGTGGCAGTTTAGAGTTAGGTGTTACATGTGAGGAGAGGAGCCGGGAGTACCACTGGATTGTCTAATTTTTCCTCTCCCGTTGGTTCCATCCCTAGGAAGCCTGTCTGTCTGAAGATCCATGCTTTGCTAATGTATATATGCAATTTTTGCCAGGGATGGACGCAGGCAGAGAGAATCAATAAGAAGGTGAAATGACAGGAAAGGAGGGGAAAGAGAAAAAATCCTCAATTCAATACTTTGCACACCAAGTGCTTTTCTTTAAGGCTGATTGAGAAGAGCGACTTCCTCTGGAGAAGGGATGAACAGCAGGAACCTTGATTTTGTGTTCTTGGTTTACCTCCAGAAAGATAGCTTTGGAATCTTGACTGTCTTCCCTGACCTTCATGTACATTCACCCAGTCTTGTGTGGGGAGAGGCAGGGGGCACCTGGGAGGTGGGCAAATGGACTGAAATTGGCTGGTGGAATGAGGGGTGTTTGGGAGAAACAGGACTGAGCTGATGCATCCCTTGGCCACAATATTACCTTGTAAAACATTCTTCCAGTTCCTCCATGAATACAATAAACCCTGGGGGCAGGATTTTTTTTTTCTATATTCTTGTTTAAGAATCTGAAAACAAAGGTGACATATATACTACTAACAGGTTAAAGTAAAAAAATTGTTAATATTTATGGGCTATAAATAATATTGATGGACTATAAAAGGAGACAGGTGAAAGGACAAATTGTATGGGAAGAAATCATAATCCCAAATCAGCATGTAGAAGCTAGGGAAGAGAAAAAAGCCAGGGTTGAACTCACCATTCTAAAGATGGGAAAACTGTTGTTCCAAACGATAGTCTTGTGTCTTTAATATTGAAGACTGGGGCCGACAAAACCACTCATCTTGTGTATTTTGTTGGAGTCAAAAGTAGCTGAGCTGGAAAAATGAAGCTCCTCTTTTTCCTCAGTGCCATTCTACCCCATCCTTAGGAATTCTAGAAATTTCTTCCTTTCAGTAAACTACATTTTCAGTCGCTGCTCCTGTGCACATGATTGGATGCCAGTATTGTCTCTCATTGTAAATAAATATAGATCAAAAGAGTTACTGGTCTAATGAATTGTTCGCATTTATTAAAGTGCATCTACTCTTTGCAACCACAAGAGGAAGTCTCCAGGGAGAGTAGATTAGTGGTTGAATTGATATCTTCCAGAAGGAGGCCAAAGCTAGAACAGAATGTAGTCGGGATGAAAGAGCAGGCATAGCTCAGAGAAGGTGGGTTTTTGAGGTTCACCTGCGGCTGTTAATGGTGCCTGCGGCCATTACACAGAATCCATTGTGCTGTGAACATTTTGGGGGATTGTGAACCCAGCAAGGTGTGTTTATGAACCTTTAGTTGTTTTCTTGATGTTCTCCACCTTATTTTTGGTCTTTTCACTTCCTAGTACTTTCAGCAGAGGTTGGCAGAGAAGGGACCTCATGCACGTCTACCTTGTCCCCTTGGTGAAACTCTCCATGGCTGCCCCAGGCTGTGGAATTGCCTTCCTTTCTGGTCTTCACCAGCATGTGCTCATGCTTCTTAGTTTATCCTGACTTTGTTTATATGCCCTGTTTCCCTAAGAAGTTTGTGCACTCCTCAAGGGCAGGGAGAGATGTTTTATTCATCTTAGAATCATTTGTACTTAGCGTAGTGACTAGCACATAATAGATTATCAGAAAATGTTAAATAAATGAACAGAGAAAGGAAGTGAGATATTAATTAGTTGATGATGCTACCTGTTTGTTCTGTTGGGTTTAGGAAGGGTTAAAATTTTGTTGTTAGATGAGATCAAGAATATCAGAGCTATGTGATACTTTAGAAAGCATCTACTCTGAACTTCTCATTTAATAAAGAAATTGAGATCCAGGGACATTAAGTGATTTTCCTAAGGTTGTATAACTTCTTTAGCACCAGTGCTTTGTACACCATGCCATTGATTAGAGTGAAATGCAGAGTTATCTGTGGATTTTAAATATCTACGTCAGTGCTGCTCTAACTTTATCGTATATTAAAATCATCTGGAGATTTTGTGAGACTGCATATTCTAATTCAGTAAACCTGGGCTGGGGCTCCACATTTTGCATTTCTAATGAGCTATCAGTTGACGCCAGAGTTGCTGGACCACGCTTCACAGGTCTACACCATCCCTGCTTTTAATTACAGACCATGGTTAGTGGCCTTGGCACCAGAACATTGGCAGTTGTGCTTGTATTCTACTTTTGGGATTCCAGCACTTCTTTTTTTGTTTTGTTTTTTAAATCAGAAAGAAACCTGTATATTTAAGTTCACCCATCTCCTCTCTTCTTTCACTCTTTCCACCTATGCACATCTTTTGCCTGCTCTCTTTTCATTCTGTGCTCTCTTATTCTGATGCTTCTCATAACTGATTCCTCTCTTTCTTTTTTTTCTTCTTATGTCCTCCTGCTTTTTAGTTTATCTTTTTGTTAATGTCTCTTAGTCTCTTTTACACTGTTCTTTTAACTTCATTTATTTTCATGTCTTTTGCTTTGTTCAATTATTCAACAACATTTAAGAATATTGTGCTATGAAAAAGAGTTAGCTCTGTCTGTACCTGCCAGGATCTAGTGGTGTGGAGCAGGATCTAGTGGTGTAGCCCAGGATCTAGTGGTGTGGACATGTATAAAGAGATAATTATATATTTAGGTAAGATCTAAAAAGGAGAGAAATCTGGGAGAGTGAGGAGGGCTTCATGGAGGGGTTGACATTTAAATTATGTCTTGAGGAAAAAATAGGAGATTTATAGGATACAGAAAGACAGGTCATTTTAGGAGGACAGAAAGCATATGAAGAGGAAAGTTGGTGTAAAAGGCAAGCCTCCCGCTCTTCCTTGCATCCCTTAACTCAAGGAAAAGAACAACACAGGAATTTGCTGCTTCTTTGATTAGGAATTTCAGATTACAAATGACAAGGTTAGAGAATAAAGCCAGGGTCGTCTTAAAAGAAGGAAGAGGCTCTAATTTCTGCTTTCATGATTGTATAGTTAGTGAAATCCTAGCCTTGTTTATTAGACTTGCCTCTAGAATGAGCAAATGATACAGTTTTCATCTTAGACCACTGGATTGCAGCTAACTCTGTTGATGGCCATTACAAAGAAAGGGACAGCTGTTAGTTGGTTTGTGTCCAAAGGGAAACCTGGATCCTAGCCCAGGCCAAGCTACTCAGAATGAAGGACCAGCCTAGCCCATGTGTTTCTGGAGTAGGGAGGTAAAAAGTTGCCATGCCCTTCAGACACCAGCTGCTTTCTGTAATGGCAAAGGGAGTGATGGATGAAGAGGGATCCCATTATTCCTAGGGGATTCACAAAATGCTTTTTGGTAGTCTATTTAGAGTGGCTTGATATTTTAGAGGTTTTTACTCCTGGGGATGTCCAGGTGTGGAGATGCTGGGGAGACACCTTCAGTCACCTCTTGATTAAACTATAGCATTGGTGCCTAAGGGAAGATGGGCTTGAAATGGATGATTCCCTAAATTTATTTTCTATCTTTTTCTGCTCCTTATCCTTTTACCATTTATCTACACTTTCACCATTCTTTGTATGTTGTGGTTTGTATTTGTTTCATTAGCAGAAGAAACCTAAGCTCAGCCTGATGACTTATTAAAGATGCATTACATATAAAGAGAGTACCCTGGATCTGAAGATATGTGGGTGAGTAAATTCCCACCATTGACTGACCTAAGAGTCAGGCATTCCAAGGGGACTTGAGAGGCAGAGCAGGGGAGGCACAGTGATGAGGCTGTGCCCAGGGTCCCTGAGAAGGCGGTGGAGGGGAAGCAGGGCCAGCTCTCTGTGAATGGCAGACCTGGAAGGAGAGAGAAGCTACAGGCTTTGGCCCTCCTTGGAGCCCAGCTTGATGGGGAGCGTAAAGTCTGTAGTAGAGGAGCTTCCTAGATTAAGACAATTAAAGTTTCAATGAATTAACCCTCTGAACTGCTCACTCAACTCACCAACGGCAAACTATGCTGTCTACACGCCATCCTCTGTGTCTTTCCTCACTGCCTCACTCAGACTGAAAATTTCTTTCTTTAGAAAGAAATGTCAAGCTTAAAGTTCCCATTAATCTTTATATAGACCCACTCAGGGCTTCAACCACATAGAATTTCTTAGGAAATCAGATCTTGTTTCTTTTTAAGAGGGGGGACTTAAAAACAATGGCTGAATAAAAGCACTACATGGTTACAGGAAGGGAGAAGAGAGTCTCAGAAGCCTGAAGCTCAGGTGAGGACGCTCATTCTTTTTCCCATAGCTAATTGTTCTCTGTGAAAATGGCCGACATTCTTAACTAATCCTCCCACCTTCTAGGGGCCGTAGTCTGGTCACACAGATGCCATAGCAGTTTGTACTTTGGATTCGAGATTAGTGTATTGGATATGTATCCAAATCCACACACCCCCCACACACCTGTGCATATTAGACTTGTGTGTGGATGGATATGTTTGTGCAGTGACTTACCTACCAAATATAGTAGGCCCCAAAATCTTAAATGCATTAAATGTGTGCAATTTAGGGACAATAATGCATGTGGTCTCTGTGTGTGGCACAGGATAATAGAACAATAATGCTGACAGTCACCTTGGAGGTTACGTGTCCTCCTCGACAACCACCCTTTAAAAACTGTGAAAATAGTCCTAAGGTTGGCCATGTGGCCTAAAGCCACATAATGTGGTCAGCCACGTCCACTGACCCTCATTTCAGTACTTTCCTTTCCCGTGCCCTGCCCCCAAGAGCCCCCTTGGAATGCATGGCCCTAAATCAGCCAGTGGTGTGCATTTGCTCATCTACATAGCATCAGAGTCCGGAGTTCTCTCTTATATGTAATGGGTCTTTAAAAATGTTAGGTTTTTCCAGGCTGTCCAGTAGCTGCCTATATGATAATGAAAGAGGTGGTGGTCTTAGGAGGTGGTGGTCTTAGGAGTCAGAAGCTTATATTTAATTCTGCTTGTGTTGCTTTATTCTGTGACCATGTACAAACCGTTGACTCTGGACCTCAATTTTCTAATTTCCATAAAGTGACAATAGTCTGAAGCAGTGATTTTGAACTCCACTTCAATAACAAAATCATCCACAGAGCTTAAACAAAAACAAATACAAAAAACTAAACAAGAATAACAACAAAGAAAAGAATGATGCCCATGCTCAGACCCTACCCCAAAGAGTTAAATTGAAATCTCTCAGGGAGGGATTCAGGCGATGGTCATTTAAAAAACTTCCCTGCAGGATTCTAATGCGAAGCCATATTTGAGAATGACTGGGCAAGATGATTGACAAGGCACCTGTTAGCTCTAAACATTATGTTACACTAGCATTTTAACATGAAGGTAAGACCTTGTCACTGTTAAACTGTTCTATGATTAGTGGAGGGTCCCTGGGCCAGAAGTTAAAAAAAAATGCTGTTGGGATATGACGGTACTTAGTCTACAGCTTGCACCCAAGGGGTGGAACTGGGGTTTGAATTAAGGGAAGCTCTCTCAACACTAACACTGGCCTGGTGTTGAAAGTTAGGAAACTTAGGGAGAATGCTTTCCTGACGCCCTTAAAACAGGTGTGGCTGCAAAATAGGGCGAGCAGTTCTTGGTTTTGCAAACATCCTCTGTTCCACTTAGTCTTTATTGAGGGTGCCCCATTTCTTGTTTCGGAGAAAAAACCTCATTTCGGTCCTTTGTAACAGTGTAAATGTAGGAAAACTATTAATAAATGGGGCTGGCTAAGCAGACCTTGATTGATTGGTGAGGGGTGTGAATGGTGCAATTATCTGAGTGCTAGTTGGAATTCACTAGCCCTGTTGCCCTCCCTCTCAGTGCCTGAAGTAGAATATTAAAGGCACGCAGAGGAGGAAGAGGGTAGGAGGCATCAAGATGTCGTTCTTCTCTGACTGTAACTTTAATCACTGATTATTAGGCTGGCTGGGTTAATAGTTTTCTCACATCCTTCCTTTTTGGCTTACTCTCTTCCCTGTTTTAAAATAAATGTGAACCTAAATGTACAGAGGCAAGAAAAAACCCAGATTTATGAATCCGTGTCTTTAAAAAGACAAACTATAAAAGAATAAAAACACTACTTCTCTTTTGGACAGCTGCTAATAGCCATTGAAGATAAAAGAGAAAGGGTATGAGTGTGGTTTGGACTCTGGTGTTTGGTGGGCTGTGTGGTGGTGTGAGGCACTAAATATTTAGGAGAAAACTAAGACGCATACTCCTCGATTTGAATTTTTCAAATATCTACTGGCTGGCCCCACACAGGCAAAACATCCAAATCATGGAGCTACTGCAGCCTTTACCCTGGAATTTGTTACCATGCAGATAGATCAGTTTCACCCGTGAGCTCTGTGGAGCCACAATTGCTGTCTTTGTGATTCGTGGTTCTTCCTCTCATCACCTTGTTAGAGGCTCCAGAATTGTTTCTGAGCTTGAGGGGGAATGGAGAATATTTCAGTTTTTATTTGATTTTGTTTACATCTGTATCCTGGTTTTTCCTTCAGTTCACATAGGAAGAAGGACTGCAGAAGAAATTCTACCCTGGCCAAATACAGGTGCTCAGATTTGAAAGATCTTTCCTGAGTAGGAGAATGCTACCCTTTGGATTTTTGAAGAAAGAAATACTGGATGTGTGTGTGTGTGTGTGTGTGTGTGTGTGTGTGTGTGTTTAGAGCCTGCATGTAGAAGAGAAATCACTTTTGTTTAAAAGTGATCAAATTTGTTAAAGTGATCAAATTTATTAATTTTTTATTTTCCTGTGAGGACAAGATTTATGACTTTGTCCTTTTATGTCCTCAGTGGTTAGCAGAGTGCTCTCTGCACATGGTCAGTGCTCAGAAAATATTGGTTGTTGGTAAAGATGATGATGGAAATGAACGTGCATTGAAGATAAAGCTGACATGTTTATACCTTTTATGTTTCTATTTCCTTGCCATCCAAGCACCTCTTAATGCTTTGGGTGAGATTTACTAGAGTGGAACAGACGAAAGTATCTTTAGTGCCAGCTTTAGGCTGATGAAGTGAAAATATACTCATTCCTTAGTGCCTCAGTTCTTTGAGCTTCCTTTCACATTGTGTTCGATATGGACATTTCTTCAAAAAGCTCTCTCTCATCACTAATTATGCTATTGCCCTTCCTTTCAAATTCCATGTAAATACTGTTCATTCCTCAAGGCTCATCTCAAAGGCAGGCTCCACCATGAGGTCTTGCTTGATCTCCCCAACTAGAAGTGAACTCTCCCTTGGGAGGCCGAGGCAGGTGGATCAAGAGGTCAGGAGTTCGAGACCAGCCTGGCCAAAGTGGTGAAACCCCATCTCTACTAAAAATACAAAAATTAGCTGGGCACGGTGGCAGTTGCCTATAATCCCAGCTACTCAGGAGGCTGAGGCAGGAGAATTGCTTGAATCTGGGAGGCAGAGGTTGCAGTGAGCTGAGATTGCACCACTGCACTCCAGCCTGGACTGTCTGGAATAAATGGGATCATGGTTACCTTCTCAACCTCTCCTTTTTATTATGTACCCATTTACAAAGCTGCTTTGATTTCAACATAAAATTCAAGTTTGACACTGAAACTCATAAATGATCTTTCAGTAACCATTGCAGGCAATCTAGTTTATTGATAAGTCTGCATTTACGCAACTGAGACAGAGATTAGGAAAAGGAGTGAGAAGGTCCTGGAATTATGTAATCAGAATTTGTATATCCTTTAAAGACAAGAAGTGGAATGAAAATGCTAAGAATTATTGCTGTCAGTCTAAATATAGTTATCTATGAGGAATTGCCTTGCCTTTGCTGGAGACAAATTTCTATGGAAAATTATATTCTAGATTATGCCAATTATCTTCTAGATTATATTAATGCACATTACTCAATCCTCACCACAAGGCTGACATTATTTCTGTTTCTCAGATAAACTGAGGAGTAGAGAGCTGAATGTTACACAGCTATAAGGAGCAAACTAGGGTTCCAACTTACATCTTCTGATTCTAAGCCCTGACTCTTTAAATTATATAGAGTTGCTTCCATGTTAAAAAAGATAAAGGTTTATGTTGCATGTGGGGAACTCATAAACAGCCTGTACTTGGAAACTTCAGCTAAAGTGATTTTCTTCTAGATCCCTTCTCTTGGGGCTTTGCTGTTGGTAAAAGGCAAAGTTGTTTTAAACTGAAAAAATGGATCCCTACAAAATAGTTGATTTCTGGACCTTAATTTAATTCAGTGAGGATGAAGGATGAGAAACTCATGGTACTGGCCATAAGCATCTCATTCATTTCACATATGGCTAAGGCCTGAGTATCATCATCTTAGCCTACCCCTACCATTCTGTAAATATATTTCAACTCTGAACCTGAAGACTCTGGTTCCTCTAAGAGGGAAGGAACAATCTACTTCTCTCTGATCATGTAATCTTGGACATTTTGAAGATTCTCCATTTTCTTGCATCTATTTCTTTCTCAAACCCATTTGCAAACTACTCCTTTGAATAGAGACTAATGGTTAAGTGCAAGAGAATGGCAGTCCTAAGTATGGCTTTGTGCTTGGATTTTACTATTAACAGGGGTCATCATTGTTAAAGAGGAAATTCCAAAAAGGACGTGAGTGAGCTAGTTTTGTTTCAAATATCTCTATCAGCTATTAACTCAGAGGGCAGTTTTATAGAAAATAAATATAAAATACAAAGGTTAAATTCCCCATATCTTTTCTTTCTATTATGAAAGAGGATATATATTGGTGCCACATGGAGTGCCTTAACTTTACCACATGCATATTTTAAAAAGGCCTTTCAGTAATTTGAAGCAAGGTGGAATTGAGGAGAGAGGCACTGGTCTTTGGCCCTGTTGAGCAGATCCCATCTTGGCCCCACCCTGGCCAGCACTGTGTGACTCAGGCAAACTATACAACCTTGCTGAACTCACTTCCTCATCTGTAAAATGAGGTCTTTAGGGGAGCCAGTTATCGTGTTGACCCCTGTAAAGATGTCGTTTTGTGGACTGAATGAGGAAATGTAAAAAATCTCCTCAACCATAAGCGTAATATACACATGGGCTATATGAAATAATAATTAATAACTGCATCCTGCTCCAAATAGCCAGTTTTCAATGTATGATGTGGCCTTGAATTCAATGCATCCACTCTCAGTGAACAAGAAAATGGAAAATATTTAATGGGCAAGACATGCCGTGAGTGGCAAGGTACGCAGCATTCTGAATGCAGAGTGGCACCTAGACATTGTGACCTGCAGTTTTTAATCTTTGGTCTATGTCTCCTTCCCAGGTTCTCTTTCACAGTATTTTATTGAGAAAACTAGATAAATACTTGTCAGAAAGGAGAGCAAAACTAATCTTTCTAGCTTTATGTGTGAAACTGTTTTTTCCAGGCTTATCTTTTATCTTTACATGATCCAAGAAGTAAAGAGATGGAGATGGTGACACAGGCAGGGGCAAGGGATACTGTGAAAGGCTGATTTACACTCCAGGCCTTTGCTCATGCCTCTTGCTCTGACTGCAGTGCCCTCCCCACCTCCCCTCATGCCTGCAAGTTTCAGCTCAGGGATCCTCAGCTCCAGGTCTTCCTGTCGCCCACAGACTGGAATCACTGGCCTCTTCCTGCTCCCATAGCCCACCCTGGGATGTGAAAGGACTGCTATCGTGTCTCTATCCATCCCACCTCCCGATGTGAATTTCTCAAGGGGAGAAACAGCATCCACCCTCATGTCCTGGTGTGTGCCTAACAGAATGCTGGCACACCATAGATGTTTAATGGATGGCTGCTACTTTGTTGTGAGCACCTACAGGTTCTGTGCTTAGTGCTTTCCATGAATTGACCAATTTAACCCTTTCAAACATCCATAGAGGTATGTAAATTTATCTGCATTTCACAGATGAGGATACTAAGACATGAAGACATTAAAAGCTTGCTTTGCTTAAATGGCACAACCAGGATTTGAACTGGGCGTTTTGGCTCAAGTTCACACTCTTAAACTCTTTGCTCTAAGCTTTGTAGTAAATGTTTATGGTTGACTTGATGCTCAGAGACTTAAAAGAAACATACTGTGTGTCTGGTTCTACATAATGAAGAGAGTGGAGAAAGAGAAGGGTGCACAGCAGGATTCGAAAGGTGGTTAGGACCTGGACTTCTGTGAATGATTTGTGGACCTCTTTCTTCTGATGTGCTCATTAGCTATAGGACACAGCCAAGACAGTCTTCCAGAAATGCACAGGAGTGTAATTAATGTAATTGTTGAGTTATGCAGAAGGTGAAATGAGTTGTATTTTCAGCACTTGTACTTCCTCAGCTCCTTGCTGTCATCTTGGGTTTTTTACATTTTCCCTGCTACTGTCTTCTCCACCTTTCTTTCTGCAGTGTAACATGGTGGCAGAGGCAGAAAATGGTGGTTTTTCTCCTGAGCAAGAACTCAGGAGTCATAGTGCCAGGGTTTATGTTCTGACCCTTGTTCATTTATTGGGAAAATGTCTTTATTTCTCTGTACTATCAGATTCCTTATCCATCAAATGGAGTATTAATAATTCTGGGTTTTTAGAGTTACTGTGAGAATCAGGTGAGTTATTTCACTTTCAACAATACTTGTCACAGAGTAGGCATTGTATAAATATTAATTATCGTGACTTCCCCTGTTTCCAACCCACTAGGTATTCGATCAGAGCTAGTTTGGGTGGTGCAGTGTGATGCTTAGTTGTCCCATGTAGAGGGCCAGCAGTCATTTCTGAATTAGAAGCTTCCAGATCAAGTCTGACTTCTTTGAGTATCTCATCAAATTACATCTGGCAAGAAAAGACAATCTGGCCACGAGGTGCCATGTTTCTAGAATATTTAGAGAACATGAATTTTTAGTACAAAAATGCAGAAGATACAAATGGAAACCAATTAATTGAGGATTTAAAGTTTCAAGTGAGCCTAGGACAAAGTCACCATGAACTGATCACACATGAAAAACTGTAAGGAAAACTAAAACAAGCCAAAACTTGAGAAAGAAAAGGAAGGTTTTCAATGAAGGAAGACAACGGAGGCAAAGACAAACCAAATTGGATGTAATAATATTGATCACTTACATTTCTAAAGCTTGATAGTGTGTCAATAGCTTTCTCATATATACTGTCTTCCTCATACATTATTTGGTCTTCCCAAGAACTCACCAGGAGGAATTCTGGGCATGAACTATTAACCCTATTTTAAAGGTGAGGAAATTGAGGTACAAAGTACTCTAGTGATATAAAGTGCTCTAATGATTGCCCAAAATTATGCCGTCAAGAGGAAGAAAAACCTAGAATTCAAGCCCAGCTTTTCTGAATCTCATGTCCGGGGCTCTTTCTCCTCTGCAGGTGCCTTGAGATAGTTTAGGAGATCAGCTTGCTCTCCTAGATGAGAAAGTCTGGAGGGATCCTGCTCGGATAAACAAAGGTCTTATTCTAAAAAGAAAGCCACTTCAGTGGGAAGGTAGGCATCTTCAGAAATGGTAAAAGTTGTGAAATCTGAGAAGAAAGATTGACATATCATGCAAAAGATTTAAGACTTTAGGAGCGATGCAATTATTACCATTTTACCTCTCTATCTTTACTTTCCAAAATTTCCACAATAAAGCATATCATTTTTATATTTAGAAAAGATGATTAGGAAATAAAAAATGAAAAACTTTAGTTATATGAGAAATTAAAGGGAAAGCAGTAAAAGCCATCTTCATAAGAACAAGAAGTATATCTTTAATTTCTTAGAAATATAATTGGGAACTGGTAACTAACATACAATCACACACACGTGTGTGTGTGTGTGTGTGTGTGGTGTGTAATCTGGATTCTAGCATGAGTTAGGGAACACAAGACCAACATAAAATTGGAGAGGATTTTAAAACATTAATTAAGGAGAATATGATAAATAACCCCAGGTCTTCATGACAGATTCTAAAATGTCTTTAACAAAGAAGTGGCCAGTGCAGGGCCAAAGGCTGCCATTTGGGAAAATCACAGAGGACTGGAAAGATCTCTGAGAGCCAGTGTATAACCTTCTTTGAAAAAAGAGATGATGGCTAGAAATTACAAACTCATAAGCATAAATACTAGGTTGCAAAAAATATCAAACCTTTCAGTTACCTTAAAGAGACCAGGGCTAGGAACCCTCAAAATGACTTTTTAAAGAACAAATCCTATTAGATCTGGGGCTCTGTGAGGATTTCAGGCTTGGCAGGCTGCAGGAACTGATATATGTAATTAAGGAAAAGTAAGAAAAGTTTAAGATCTGGCTTATCCTGAGATTCTACTTTCTAAACAGGGAAAATGGGGTGGGTTAAATAGATGGTGGTCAAAATGGAGTGACGGCAGTGGCTGCCAGCTAGGGCAATGCCAAAGATGCTATGTGGTTCTCACCTGGGGGAGCTTGGACCCAACCTATATTAACATTCTCAACAAAGGTGGGAACAGTTAAGTATTGTGCCTGCTTCTCAGGTCTGAACAAAGAAGGCTGAGCTCCTGCTGAGGAATGAGGTGTTCTGCGAGTCAGCTTTGCACCGCTGCCGTCACAAACAGCCTGGCTTACAGCCTGTGAAGTCCATGCTGCCCTCCTTGACCCCCAAACCCGCTTCATCTTTGCTGCCTTCCCACTTCTACCCTGACCTTTATTCCACACATTGAAGCAGCAATTCCCAAAATGAATGTTCTGGATCCTCTTCCCTGAAAAATCTACTTTTGTGCCAATGCCTCAAATTCCACATGAAGTATTTATTAGGGGACTTAGCATCCCTGAAGCCCATCTATGAATGGCAGGTTAAGAGCCCTTGCTCTGGACTATGTGTCCAGGGCACACCCTGGCAAATATTCCTCTGGTTACTTGTCTCTAGAAGGTGAAGACTTTGGAGAACAGCTTTTCCTTGCAATCCTGACTTTTTTGTCTTTCAAGTTTAACCCACCGCATGGATTCATTTATAGGATGTTTATGAAGGTTTGTGGCCAAGGGCAGGGCCTCTTTGCTGTGGAATCAAATTTAATGCCTATCCTCCAAGAGCTCACACAAACCAGGAGCTGAGATTTGGGCAAAAATGTCTAGAGAAGAAGGCAGAATTGATGGTGTCTTTAAGGTGGCAGAAATCAAGTAATGTAGGAGCCCAGCTATCTGGCCCAGACACGGGTGAGCCAACGTGACCGCCCAGGGATAGGGGATGCAAGTACTTAGGAAGGGATGAATGTGATTCAGATAATATTGGAATAGAGGAATACTAGCTTTCTTTATAATTGTCTACTATGTTAGCCACCTCCCAGTCCACCCTAATGGACTCTGACTCTTGTCTAAGGCCCTGAGAACAAATTCTAGCCACAGCCAGAGATTAAGTCTCCATCAGGACCCCAGGGTGAAGATTTCTTAAAATTTCTCGTAAGGTTCTCCTCCCCTCTCAAAGTTGATATTCAGTGGATTCTCTCTTTACCTTTCCCACCATGGGAGATTTGTCTCTATTTTGTCCTGGGTGCCAAGCAGTGCCTTACAAGGACAGCTGAGTCCTGGCACCCTCAGGATCCTGGGCTGGTACTGCTGTGGCTTTTACACCAAGGCAAGCCTAGATCTTGAATATTCAACATCTAGAAGTAAAGATGGGAGCCCTAGTGCCACTCCCCAGAGAGGCAGCCCATGGGAGTCAAAAGCTGGGTCTTTGATGTCAAAGGGACTTGAGTTCAGAATCCTGGAATTGCCACCGAGTGACTTTGGGTAGGGCATTTCAACTTTTGACTGCCAGCTTTTCCTCTGCTGTAAAACGCAGGTTATGTGAAGGTTAGATGAGGTGAAGTATGTAAAGCGCCTGGAACTGAGCTCTCTGCCTCTCTTGTCCATATCCTGTGAGTAACGCTGCCGATTTCTCAGTACGGTAGGAAAAAGCAAAAGGGATGGTCCTTGCTGGCCTTCTCCATCTTCTTTTGTTTTTCTTACATAAATGCCTACCCCAGCCTGTGCCTCAACGACCCTCCACTACAGCTGTCATGCCGCGGAGAATTGCAGAAGCTGGGTGCGTTCATTTCTGCTGATGAGGGAGATGGAGTAAAGTGTATGAAACCGAGTGCCTAGGAGAGCCTCAGGAAATTGGGAGTGTTACAGAATAAGCCCAGAAATTAGGTGTGTCCAAGGGGGCGATCCAGAGAGACCTGGGGGCTGGGAGCCTCGGGTTATTAGAGAGAATGGCAGGAGCAAGGAAAGAGGGAAATTTTTTAAAAAGAGAGGGTGACACTGATGAAAAAGAAGAAAGTGCCATAGCCAGGACCTGAACTTCCATCAGCTTCTCTGCTTTTTCTCCACCTGTGTGTTAAGGAGGGAAAAACTAGGGAGGGAGAGAATAAAGGAAGAGGAAGGATGAGAAAAACAGGGTAAAAGGAAGAGGTGGCGGGTGAGGGGCTGAAAGGAGGTCTGCCTTCTCTGACAGCCAGGGGGAGACAGAGGGTCTGTCTAACTGCATTCCCCAGGGAGGGACAGTGCCTATCACCCTTCCTCCTTCCTTGCCTAGCGGACGACGAGGTGGCAGCAATTTTGGCACTCTTCTGGGGGAGAATCAGAAAGCGACAGCTGCTCTGCCCCCCTGGGAAGTTCTGTCTGGACTCCAGGGAGTTTTTGTGACTTCTTTGTGGAGGTCAGCCCGCCCGCCCGCCTGCCAGCCTCCAAGGCTTGCTTGGGTGTTACGGTCACTGTGATAATCCAGTCCTCTGCCGGGCAGATATTTGCTTGGTGTACATCTCTTTGTCTCACTCCTGCCTGTAAATGGTGGCAAACAGACATTTTGGAAAGGAATTAAGCATTGTGAGTTCACAGAATGTCAAGCATTCAAGTGGCAAATATAAATCAATTTCAAATTGTTTCTGGTTTTAGGTTATTTGTAGTACGGTGCCTACTTGTAGCATAGGCAATTCAGGGTTACTTTTATACAAAACGAATGCAATTTTCTAAAATCTGAATTGAATAACTGCAGGCTGGTGGATATATTGATCTTTGTGAAGCCCTTCTGTTTCCATGGGAGAAGGGATGGTATATATTTAAGGCATTGGGTCTTGATCTCACTTTGGTACTGGAATCAGGGGTGGGCATGAAGTAGATGTGGAGACAAGAAGAGCGTGAGCCTCCCTCTGCTCCCGCCTGGTTCCTCGGTGCAGTTGGGTTCAAGCCCAGATGCAGCTGGAAGAAGAAGCAGCTGCCAAGCAAAGCCATGCTCCCTGCCGCTCACTGTGTGGAAGAGCCAGCTTCGTGCACGTGTGTGTGTGTGTGTGTGTGTGTGTGTGTGTATGTATGAGAGAGACAGAATCTGAGAATACAAATGAAAAACCATTTCTTCACAGGGTATAAGAACTTTAGGGTATATTCATAAGGGCACTGATTCTGATTTCTGTCTTAGGGACCAGCATATTTGAAATGCTGCTCAGGTGGTTCTAATGTACAGCCAAGTCTGAGAATTGCTCTTCCAGACCCTCCCACCACCTCTCTCACACCCGTTCCTTTGTCTCATATGTGCCTGAGCCGTGCTGCCTGCAACCTCCACTCTAAGGGAGGAAGACAGCCTCTGACTTCTTGGGACTCCAGTGATTCTTGTCTGCCATTCCGCTGGACCTACGTTTCTAGAAGATGTGGTGGGTTGATTAAATAAATGCTCTCAACCCTCTAATTTTATGCACACAGCTCCTCATGCTGTGGAAATAACTACTCTTAGATTTTTCATTGTAAGTGGATTGCCCAGATTGCCCAGAGGGAAAGAACTTAGTCTAATTTTAATAAAACAAGTGTTTATTTAGTTATTCAGTTAAAATGGTCAACATTTTTGCACTTTGTTACATTTTCTCCTACATATTTCAAAATATACACTAAATTAACTTTTTTAATATGTTGGATTTATGGATTCTTGCACATTTCCATTGCAGATCAACCACTTACCGGCAAAAATGTGCCCTCCAATTCTTCCACATTGCCTCTTTGTCCAGGTGTCCAGCAGCATTTCTTCCCTATGGTATCTCTCTCACCCCTCCCATAAGATCTGGATCCTCTCTCCTTGTGACTTCAGGCTTTGCTTCCTCCACTTCACTTACATCACTGACCTTACCTCTCAGTGTGGAATTCTCTAATGCTTCCTTCTCCTGGGCTTAGAATTCCTTGTTGCTTCCCTTCCTTCCCTCCCCTGCCACTCTGTTTCCTCGAACTGGAATTCAGCTTCTCCAGTACTGACCCACCCACTTGCAGGCATATCTGCTTTTAGTGTTCTGTCACTCACACTACTAAGGGCAGATAAAAAAAAAAAAAGTCGTCAGAATCCTTTCTTCCAGAGCCCATCATCACGAATGACGGCATGACCAGCCTTTGTTCACAAGCACCCACCCCACTCTCAAAACATGGGCTCTCTGAGCATTCTCTCCTCCATAGTCCTGGTCTCAGTTGATGGTGTCATCACACTTTGCTGAGAAATCATCATTCTTTGATGTAAAGGTCCATAATCATTCTCTTTCCAGTATAAACACTCATGTCTATCTTTTGTTTGCTGGATGCTTCAGAGGGGACTTTGTTTTGTTCTTTACAGCTACAACTGCCTTTGTCCTGACCCAATCCGTCTCTTCATTACGGACTTTGCTGTCACACAATACTTCCTGTCTTCCCTGACATCAGGAAGTTCTGTTTTCTCTGCTTCTTCACTGCTGCTTTCAGTGTGGTCACCCTAAAACCTTTACTGATCCAAAACAAAATTCATTGTCTTCCCCCAGCCCCTCTCTCTGGGGTCCCTGTTTCTTAGGTAGTATGAGCCTTCTTTTAGTGCCTTAGGCCTGATGCTTTGGGGTCTCCTCCATGCCCCCAGTACCCTCTCCGCAGTCCCCCTGTGGTGTCTTCAAAGTGCTTTTGCATATGAATCCTCTTGCCACAAAAAGGCAGTAGAGCCTTTTGGTAAAAAAACATGGGCCTTGGAGTCAAACTGCCTGAAGCTGCCACGTTTTAGTGGTGGAAACTTTGAAAAATTACATCACTCCTGAGTCTTGGTTTCCTTATTTGGGAATAATGGAGAATAATAGTAATACAGTGATTAAAAATATAGTTTTGAGAATTAAATACATTAATACCTATAGAGGACTTAGAACAGTACCTGGCATATTATAAATGTCTAATAAATATCAATATTACCTCTAACCCATGGGTCTCTACTGGGGGCTGTTTTTCCTCTCAAAGGACATTTGCCAATGTCTGCAGACAGTTTTCATTGTCATGAGTGGGGAGCAGGGGTAGAGGCCTGGGATGCTGCTCAGCATCCTAGGATGCATGAGACAGCCCTTGAAAATGAAGAATGAGGCATCGCAAAATGTCAGCATTGCTGAGGCTGAAAAGCTCGGCTCCACTTATGCCACCATTTTCTCAAGCCTCAATCAAGCGTCCATTCTGTTTTTTCTCCGTCCTCCACTCCCTTGAATGCTCATTTTCTCACCTGGTTTCAGTTACAAACTGGTTTTGATCATTCTGCAATCTACAGTTCCATCATCCTGAATAATAATATCTCCAGTGGTGGATAGAAAAATCTCTCCTGGCATGTTCTCCCAATATTGGAAATGGTGAAGACCAAAAAAAAAAAAAAAAGAAAAAGAAAAAAAGAAAGAAACCCACTGTTCCTCTCCCTTCTCCCTTCATTCAATCAGCATCTCTTCGCCAACACATTTCTATGGTTGCCAGTGGCACACTGTCCTGGCACCAGTTTC